>NC_000018.10:70787528-72037528 GCF_000001405.40 Homo sapiens
AAACAAAGTTGTTGCTTTTTTTTCAAATTGCCCTAGTTAAAAGCAGTGAACAAACTACTCAATCTTCACCCCATGACAATTTTCTTGTCTCTGTATGGAACCAGCGTTCATTTCCATCATCTGGCCTAATAGTTTGAGGCATTTTCCTTAGTAACATGTCTATTCTCTCCTTTATCATTTGCCTTATGGTGACCAGAGCCTTCTACTCCAGGTAAGTGTATCTCAAGTCTTTCTGTTTTTCTTTGTATTTTCTATCTCTCTCATTCCATCCTGCAAGTTTCTATGAGCTAACAGGAATATGATTAGTGCTAATTATGAGGCATGCTGAGGGAAAAGTGGGAATAATTTAAGAGGGAGGAGTAGTTAATTAATGTAGAGAGATGTGGATAAGAGCGGAGAGAGAGAGAGAGCCATGTCAAACAGGAATATAAAAAAATCTGAGATCAGAGATTAAGACCAAACAAGAGAAAAAAAGTCTCAACTGCATATTTCCCTGGTGCCCATGACTTTAATCAGGGGGAGAAGCTTTGGAAAACTGATGATGAAGATGTCAGGTTGCTACTTCTTGGGTTCCAGGAGCCACGCAAGTCTTAAAAATAGCTGAACGATGATCAGGAAAGGGCAGAACTTCATTCAACCCAATTTAATAATAAGGCTGAATTTTCTCTGTATATTCTCTATGGAATTAAAAAATAAGGCAACAAGAAAAGCTCATTTTGACTTTTTGGCAGCAGGGAAAGTTAAGTTCCCTGCCTTTCTTCCTGAAGAATGAGTAAAATCAAGAACAAGATTAGTTATGGGGCCACCGTTAGGTGAAAGGGTTTTTGGTGTGCTGATTAAAGGTGTTTGTGCTGTCATTGTACTGTCTTTCTTCTTGGTTTGACTTTTGGGATTACCTTCTGTACTAGTTTTCTAGGATTGCCATAACAAAATTTCAGGTGGTTTAAACAACAGAAAGTCAATTTCTTACAGACTGGGGTCTTATGAGGCTTCTCTCCTTGGCTTCTAGATGACCAGGTTCTCATGGTGTCCTCACATGGTAATCCCTAGATCTGCCTGTGGCCTCTATGTTCGAATCTCCTCTTCTCAGAAGGACACCAGGCATATTGGATTAGGGCTCACCTAGATGATCTCATTAATTACCTGTTGAAAGTCCCTCTCTGTAAATATGTTCACATTCTGATATACAAGGCACTGAGACTTCAATGCACTGATGTTTGCAGGGCACTATTCACCTCATAATACCCTGTAACCACTGATATCCAGTTCTAACCCCTAATATCCAACTATGGACCTCTACCCCTTCCATTGGTGTAGTAACACATCTGGGTTTACCTACAAGCTAGCAAGGTCTCTAAGTGTCGATCCCAGGAAAACCTGTAATGGGGTGCTGTGACCATTTTAGTTCAAAGTATTGCAGCAAAATTCTATTCCTTTTGTTTGTTTGTTTGTTTGTCATTTGACTGGTGTATTCATTAAGGTTCAACTAAATTAACAGAACTAGTAATAGTGTGTGTGTGTCTGTGTGCACGTCCACATGCACACACACCTGCGCCTGTATCTATAGAATTGGTTCACAGAGTGTTAGGAATTGGTTAATTAGTTCTTCAGAATCTATCTCCACATCTGATGCTAAAGCCTTGAGTCCACAGGGAAGGAAGTCAGGAAGAGATGAGAATGAGGAGGGTGGAATCCGTGAGCACAAACTTAAATGCCCCAACAATGGACTAAAACCCATGTCCATTCCTGCTGCTTCTGACCTTGGTGAGAACAGTACTGTATAAGTGTATCTTCATGCTGGTAATAAAGATAAACCCGAGACTGAGTAATTTATAAAGAGGAAGAGGTTTAATGGACTCACAGTTCCATGTGGTTGGGAAGGTCCCACAATCATGGTGGAAGGCGAAGGAGGAGCAAATCCACATCTTACCTGGTGGCAGGCAAGAGAGTGTGTGCAGGCGAACTGCCCTTTATAAAACCATCAGATCTTGTGAGACTTATTCACTATCACAAGAACAGCAGGGGAAAAACCTGCTCCCATGATTCACTTACCTCCCATTGGGTCCCTCCCACAACATGTGGGGATTATTACAATTCAAGGTGAGATTTGGGTGGGGACACAGAGCCAAACCATATCATTCTGCCCCTAGCCCCTCCCAAATCTCATATCCTCACATTTCAAAACCAATCAACTCAAAAGTCCACAGTCCAAAGTTTCATCTGAGAGAAGGCAAGTCCCTTCTGTCTCATATCCAGGTCGTGCTGATGCAAGAAGTGGGTTTCCATGGTCTTGGGCAGCTCCACCCCTGTGGCTTTGCAGTGTACAGCGTCCCTCCCAGCTGCTCTCATGGGCTGGCATTGAGTGTCTGCGGCTTTTCCAGGTGCACAGTGCAAGCTCTTGGTGGGTCTGCCATTCTGGGGTATGAAAGATGGTGGCCCTCTTTTCACAGCTCCACTAGGCACTAGTCCCCAGTGGTGACTCTGTGTGGGGGCTCCAATAAGTCTCATAAGATCACTATCATGAGAACAGCATGGGAAAAACGCACCCCCATGATTCAATTACCTTCCACCAGCTCCCTCTCATGACATGTGGGGATTATTACAATTCGAGGTGAGATTTGGGTGGGGACACAGAGCCAAACCATATCAGGTACCCTGTGGAAGCTGGAGCCCTTTGTCATGGAGCCGAGACACACATGGCCCAGCTATTGTTTTTGGACAGGTGGGATGAGTCAGCAGTTGAGCAGCAGTGCACACGTGCTACACGGTGGCTGCTGCCTCCTGGCCAAACTCACAAGCTCTCAGAATCTCTCCAGTAGCCCACACTCACCAGAAATACACAAGAAAAAAAGTCTGCAGAATGTAGTTCCACCTAGGTAAGTGGGCACTCACAGGGCAGCCACAGCTTGTCAAACTTGGTAAGGTGCTGGTGGTGGTAGCAGTGATATTGGTAGTCATGGTGATATAGGTGGTAGCTAACATTTATTGAATGAATGCTTACAATGTGTTAGGCACTGGGCTAAGGTTTTTATGTGATTACTGTACTGTAGTTGATCAGATCCTGCCTACAATCCCGTGACAGAGGTTTTATTATCTCCCTCACAAATAAAGACTCGGGGGCACAAAGATGTTATAGAACTTGCCAAAATACAATGCAGCCAATAAGTGGCAAAGCCATGATTGGAAACCAGGTGGTTTCCAAACAACTCTTTTCAAAATGTCAACCCTATGGCATAAGTTTCTTTAGACAAATGGTCAACTTTCTTCCTCGTTAAAATATCACATTTGCGTTGAAGGGAAGAGTGTGTATGTATATTTGTGTGTGTGTTTAAACATCAGCTAGGGTCAGACACAGAGCCCAGGAGTTTGAGACCAGCCTGGGCAACATAGCAAGATCCCCATCTCTATAAAAGTAAGTAAATAAATAAATTTAAAAAATAAAGTAAATATCAGCTGGGAAGAATATCCATATAGCCATTTGTCTTCACAAAAAAAAGATCAGTAAATTTGGAATATTAGAATTAGACAACCAAATTAATATATCCCAAGATAACTAGTGAGCCTCTGGTGGTATAAAAGAGTTTTGTGGTCATTTGCCATTTCATTACAAACATTGTAATGATTTTAATACACTTCAAATGTGCCATTTGGAGAAAATAAACCACATCCGTGATGTCCTGCAACACATTTTGCATTTGTGCATTTCCCTGCTTTTGTCTGCTTATGAATAATGCAGTGAAGAAAATTCACTTGTGTTGTTAGCTCATAGACTCGGTCTGGAATTCTCTATTTCAGCCAGAGCAGCTCTTCTATCAATGATTGTTTGCCTAATTTTCCCACAAAACATTATTTTCTATATAAGCAATAATTTAGCATTGAGACTGTATCTTCTCTGGTATTTCTTTCTTCTGTTGGCTCATAAGAATGTAGCTTTTCAATGTGCTTCATTATTAAAGGGGCATCTATAATATACCAAAATACCATAAACCTGATGCATTAACCACATCTGTATTTTCATCTGACTGTATAACAGTTTTCCCACATCGCATATTTCTTCTAACGTTGTTTTTTCAATTTTTAGGAATGCTTTCCATGTATTCTAGCAGCATTTGCTGACAAAGGAATGCATTTTATTTTGCCATTATACTGTCTTTTATGTATCATTTCAGTCATTTTTACTGCACACAAAAGAACAAGTGTTTTCCAAAATTGTGAGGTTTTCTCTTTATTTTTAAGGGAGAAACCTCTGAAGAGGCTTCTAAGCATTTACCACTAGGCTCAGTGAAATTTTGTAAAGTATTACATTATTATTTGCTAAAAATTGAGAAGAGAGGTTTTATGTTTTTGGTACTGAATTTTAAAATTAATTACTGATTATCATCTAATATCTAAAAATAAACAGTAGCATATTGCAAATGATAAATGGATTTTTGATAAATATTTTTGATCCAATTTTTATCAGAGCACATTATTTCACTATTACATTTAGGCTTATAAAAAGAAAGAGCTTTTGCTAGGACAGTGCAACTATCACATCTAATATTTTTTGCTGTTAAGTTATCCTTGCATATTAATATTATTTTCAACTTTGATTTCTTTACAGACATTTTTTAAGGATCGACTATCCATTTTGTGGTTTAATTAAAAACTAGGAAATATTATAGTATATAACTGCGAAGTTAGGCTCATGCAAACTGTCATAGATTGTAGCTTACTGAAAGTGATCACATGGGAGAGGGTTCCACTGTAAACCACCTTGCTGGGGAATGAACACACTATTCTCACGATTCTGCATTCTCTGCATGGCATGCAAACTGAAGGAGGGTCCTCCATTTTCAATCCATATACTAAACATTGGTAACATTTATTTTTTTCCTATAAATTTTGGATAAAAGAACTCCAACCAGAAGGTCTAGCATGCCCTTTTGGAGGATATTTTCAATATTAAAGCAAGACTGGAGATTAGAGTATTGGCCTAGGAGAAGGGGACAGAGGAAGATGCTGAGCTCACCTTAGTCCTTGCCCTTTAGCCTTGCAGATGTTATTCAGTGATGCTCAGAGGATCATACAAAAGCTCTATAATAATAAACTGGAATGTGCTTTTCCCCAGCCTCCCTGTACATATATATCTCTATGAATTCATATGGAAGGAGATGGAGCTAAGTAGCTCAGGTGGGACAAGACATGATTCAGAAATCCAAGCACAGGCACATTTGCTACTATAACTTTAATCATTTTGATTTTTGAATAAGGCGATCACTGCAAACTGCACATTTTCCTGGCAGTAAAGTAAGTTTCAATGAACTCCTTATGTAGAAACACATGGCTCTGGTATATTTTCATCAACATATATAGCTCCTGCAGTTTGACGTTATTCAGTAGTATTCCTTCATTTGTTCTATATTTCTGTAAAGAGGATAATAAAATACCAGCTTCAAATCATTTTAGTCACAGCTGATAGGATTATAATATCAAAATTCCATTTCTTTTATATATTGTATTGATTATTGACACTGAATTGGAGTGACTTACTATTACATGCTAAATAGAGTTTCTGGAAGAAAATTAGAGATTTAATATCTGTTTTGGAACATATTTACAGTAAAAAAAAAAAACACAAGAGTCACTCTTCAGTGTTCCTGCTGGTTTTGGTTGTAGTCTTACTTCATTTTGATATCCTATATAAAATATATTTTATTACACAATTACAACATGTAAAATGTAAGTTGAAAAAAGACCTTAACATTTTGACCCAGGATAGCAGATATTTAACTAACATCCAAGATTCTGTGGAATGGGATTCGGAGTTAAATATGGTGATTCAGTCATTCAACTTATTGAACAACTATTTCCCAGGGTTTATCCTAAATCTCTGAGATTCATCCACAATGAAACTGTACATACTGTACAAAGAACTGTTAAGGAGAAGGCAGAGTGATCTTATATGTCAAAAATGTCTACACAGAACAGGAAATTGCAGATATCAGTGAACACATGAGGAGTAAAAATAAAGCCATTAGTAAACGTTATAGAAGAATAACTGAGCTACGTGGTCAGATGGAAAAGAGATAACATTAATAACAGCTGCAGAAGAGACTCAAGGCAAGCTTTCAGAGTGTCCACTCTCCAGCCATTAGTCACATCACTTATTTGGCTAAGTGTAGAGAATGTGGGAGAATCATGATGCACCTTGCTGAAAATGTTGCTTCCTAAAAGGTAGAACATTGTTTTTCAAAATACAAATATGCAATACCCAGACCAAATTCTTACAGCATATACTTTATAGTTCAGATTCTTGGGTATTGCACAGATTCAATAATTTCTATAAATGACACCAAAGTTTCTGATTTTCTTAAATCAGACACCTTGGTGGTACTTCAGTGATAGTTATATACACTAAAGTTTGAAAACTGAAAGGACATGGGAGACCACTGACTACACCGTCTCCCTGAATGCAATCTAACAGAAGTGGTGAAGGAACTTTAGGAAATGTGACCATATTACCCAAGGGTGCGCTATGGGTAAGGAAGGAAAAAATTGAGAATCACCAGTCAGCTTTGCTCTTCTATATGATGTCGTATTTCAAAAGCTGAAGTGAAATTTCATCGCCTTTTCAAAGAACAAGTCTTTGGAAAGGAAATAGCTTGAGAGGGTTGAGTTTCTCTTGAAAGGCAATTCAACGTGCAATTATTTAACTTCCATGTGATGAGAGGTATCTAAAGATGCCAATGTGCTTGCTTGTGCAGAGAGTTCTCTGAGGTGAGATTTCTGAAATAATGTGCACCAGATTGAGAAGAGGTTATGGACTCTCTATTCAAGGATGAATAGAAGATGCTGACACAGAAAAAGGACCACTTTTTCCTGAACAGAAATGGGTTGAAACCTGGCACTAGTCACACTAGTTCTGTGACTGTAGGTCATTCCTTACTTCTGTGAGCATCCTTCTTCTTATCTTGAAAATGGAGGTGAAATACCTGACCCATAGTTTGTTGTAGGTAATAAAGAAATAATAAGTGTACAACTCTTGTGCAGATGCACAGAATTTTTTTTTTTTACATCAAGTTTCTGTCTCAAATTTCTTCCCATCAAAAACTTTGGCAAAGGGAACTGGAAATTGCTGAATGAGCTGGGTCATTTTTGAAACGTGGAAAATGGAAGACATGGCAAGAAAATACCATTCTGATTTTTAACGTTGGGGCAATATTCAATTCAGAAAAGCACACATTAGTTTGCTTAACAGTGATCTTTGGCAGGATTTTTATGTGTATTATTTAAAGCATGGAATGTTTGCATGTGTGCAAGACATACATTGATAATAACTAGGTCCAATGTCACAACAGGTGACTTGCATGTCTTTTCTTGACAAGGTTATTAGATGTTTAGATCAGGAAATCTTATAGGGCAGAGGTATATGACTTATAGCAAGACATCTGATGAACTCTACATGTCATAGTTTCTTTGTGCTAAAAAATTTAAAATGTCCTCTGAGACGAAGCTTCCAGAGGAACGATCAGGCAGCGACATTTGCTGTTCAGCAATATTCGCTGTTCTGCAGCCTCTGCTGCTGATACCCAGGCAAACAGGGTCTGGAGTGGACCTCCAGCAAACTCCAACAGACTTGTAGCTGAGGGTCCTGACTGTTAGAAGGAAAACTAACAAACAGAAACAACATCCACACCAAAACCCCATCTGTACGTCACCATCATCAAAGACCAAAGATAGATAAAACCACAAAGATGGGGAAAAAACAGAGCAGACAAGCTGAAAATTCTAAAACTCAGAGCACCTCTCCCCCTCCAAAGGAACACAGTTCCTCGCCAGCAATGGAACAAAGGTGGATGGAGAATGACTTTGACAAGTTGAAAGAAGGCTTCAGACGATCAAACTTCTCTGAGCTAAAGGAGGAAGTTCGAAGCCAACACAAAGAAACTAAAAACCTTGAAAAAAAGATTAGACGAATGGCTAACTAGAATAACCAGTGTAGAGAAGTCCTTAAATGACCTGATGGAGCTGAAAACCATGGCACAAGAACTATGTGATGAATGCACAAGCTTCAGAGCTGATTCGATCAAGTGGAAGAAAGGGTATCAGGGATTGAAAATCAAATGAATGAAATGAAGCGAGAAGAGAAGTTTAGAGAAAAAAGAGTAAAAAGAAATGAACAAAGCCTCCAAGATATATGGGACTATGTGAAAAGACCAAATCTACGTCTGATTGGTGTACCTGAAAGTGACAGGGAGAGTGGAACCAAGTTGGAAAATACTCTGCAGGATATTGTCCAGGAGAATGTCCCCAACCTAGCAAGGCAGGCCAACATTCAAATTCAGGAAATACAGAGAATGCCACAAAGATACTCCTCGAGAAGAGCAACTCCAAGACACATAATTGTCAGATTCACCAAAGTTGAAATGAAGGAAAAAATGTTAAGGGCAGCCAGAGAGAAAGGTCGGGTTACCCACAAAGGGAAGCCCATCAGATTAACAGCAGATCTCTCTGCAGAAACTCTACAAGCCAGAAGAGAGTGGGGGCCAATATTCCACATTCTTAAAGAAAAGAATTTTCAACCCAGAATTTCATATCCAGCCAAACTAAGCTTCAAAAGCAAAGGAGAAATAAAATCCTTTACAGACAAACAAATGCTGAGAGATTTTGTAAACACCCAGCCTGCCCTACGAGAAAGAGCTCCTGAAGGAAGCACTAAACATGGAAAGGAACAACTGGTACCAGCCACCGCAAAAACATGCCAAATTGTAAAGACCATCGATGCTAGGAAGAAACTGCATCAACTAACAAGCAAAATAACCAGCTAACATCATAATGACAGAATCAAATTCACACATAACAATATTAACCTTAAATGTAAATGGGCTAAATGCTCCAATTAAAAGACACAAACTGGCAAATTGGATAAAGAGTCAAGACCCATCAGTGTGCTGTATTCAGGAGACCTATCTCGTGTGCAGAGAGACACATAGGCTCAAAACAAAGGGATGGAGGAAGATCTACCAAGCAAATGGAAAACAAAAAAAGGCAGGGTTTGCAATCCTAGTCTCTGATAAAACAGACTTTAAACCAACAAAGATCAAAAGAGACAAAGAAGACCATTACATAATGGTAAAGGGATCAATTCAACAAGAAGAGCTAACTATCTTAAATATATATGCACCCAATACAGGAGCACCCAGATTCATAAAGCAAGTCCTTAGAGATCTACAAAGAGACTTAGACTCCCACACAATAATAATGGGAGACTTTAACATCCCACTGTCAAGATCAGACAGATCAATGAGACAGAAAGTTAACAAGGATATCCAGGAATTGAACTCAGCTCTGCACCAAGTGGACCTAATAGACATCTACAGAACTCTCCACCCTAAATCAACAGAATATACATTCTTCTCAGCACCACATTGCACTTAATCCAAAATTGACCACATAGTTGGAAGTAAAGCACTCCTCAGCAAATGAAAAAGAACAGAAATTATAACAAACTGTCTCTCAGACCACCATGCAATCAAACTAGAACTCAGGATTAAGAAACTCACTCAAAACCGTTCAACTACATGGAAACTGAACAACCTGCTCCTGAATGACTACTGGGTACATAACAAAAGGAAGGCAGAAATAAAGATGTTCTTTGAAACCAATGAGAAAAAAGACACAACATACCAGAATCTCTGGGACACATTTGAGCAGTTTGTAGAGGGAAATGTATAGCACTAAATGCCCACAAGAGAAAGCAGGAAAGATCTAAAATTGACACCCTAACATCACAATTCAAAGAACTAGAGAAGCAAGAGCAAACACATTCAAAAGCTAGCAGAAGGCAAGAAGTAACTAAGATCAGAGCAGAACTGAAGGAGATAGAGACACAAAAAACCCTTCAAAAAAATCAATGAACCCAGGAGATGGTTTTTTGAAACGATCAACAAAATTGATAGACTGCTAGCAAGACTAATAAAGAAGAAAAGAGAGAAGAATCAAATAGATGCAATAAAAAATGATAAAGGGGATATCACCATCGATCCTACAGAAATACAAACTACCATCAGAGAATACTATAAACACCTCTATGCAAATAAACTAGAAAATCTAGAAGAAATGGATAAATTCCTGGACACATACACCCTCCCAAGACTAAACCAGGAAGAAGTTGAATCCCTGAATAGACCAATAACAGGCTCTGAAACTGAGGCAATAATTAATAGCCTACCAACAAAAAAAGTCCAGGACCAGATGGATTCACAGCCAAATTCTACCAGAGGTACAAGGAGGAGCTGGTACCATTCCTTCTGAAACTATTCCAGTCAATAGAAAAAGAGGGAATCCTCCCTAACTCATTTTATGAGGCCAGCATCATCCTGATACCAAAACCTGACAGAGACACAACAAAAAAAGAGAATTTTAGACCAATATCCCTGATGAACATTGATGCAAAAATCCTCAATAAAATACTGGCAAACTGAATCCAGCAGCACATCAAAAAGCTTATCCACCATGATCAACTGGGCTTCATCCCTGGGATGCAAGACTGGTTCAACATACGCAAATCAGTAAATGTAATCCAGCATATAAACAGAACCAAAGACAAAAAACACATGACTATCTCAATAGATGCAGAAAAGGCCTTTGACAAAATTCAACAGCCCTTCATGCTACCTTTGTAGGGACATGGATGAACCTGGAAACCATCATTCTCAGCAAACTATCACAAGGACAAAAAACCAAACACTGCATGTTCTCACTCATAGGTAGGAATTGAACAATGAGAACACATGGACACAGGAAGGGGAACATCACACACCAGGGCCTGTCGTGGGGTGGGGGACGGATAGCATTAGGAGATACACCTAATGTAAATGACGAGTTAATGGGTGCAGCACACCAACATGGCACATGTATACATATGTAATAAACCTGAACGCTGTGCACATGTACCCTAAAACTTAAAGCATAAAAAAAACTCTCAATAAATTAGGTATTGATGGGACTTATCTCAAAATTATAACAGCTATTTATGACAAACCCACAGCCAATATCATACTGAATGGGCAAAAACTGGAAGCATTCCATTTGAAAACTGGCACAAGACAGGGATGCCCTCTCTCACCACTCCTATTCAACATAGTGTTGGAAGTTCTGGCCAGGGCAATCAGGCAGGAGAAAGAAATAAAGGGTATTCAATTAGGAAAAGAGGAAGTCAAATTGTCCCTGTTTGCAGGTGACATGATTGTATATTTAGAAAACCCCATTGTCTCAGCCCAAAATCTCCTTAAACTGTTAAGCAACTTCAGCAAAGTCTCATGATACAAAATCAACATGCAAAAATCACAAGCTTCTTATACACCAATAACGGACAGCCAAATCATGAGTGAACTCCCATTCACAATTGCTTCAAAGAGAATAAAATACCTAGGTATCCAACTTACAAGGGATGTGAAGGACCTCTTCAAGGAGAACTACAAACCACTGCTCAACGAAATAAAAGAGGATACAAACAAATGGAAGAACACTCCATGATCATGGATAGGAAGAATCAATATCGTGAAAATGGCCATACTGCCCAAGGTAATTTATAGATTCAATGCCATCCCCATCAAGCTACCAATGACTTTCTTCACAGAATTGGAAAAACCTACTTTAAAGTTCATATGGAACCAAAAAAGAGCCTGCATTGCCAAGACAATCCTCAGCCAAAAGAACAAAGCTGGCGGCATCACGCTACCTGACTTCAAACTATACTACAAGGCTACAGTAACCAAAACAGCATGGTACTGGTACCAAAACAGAGATATAGACCAATGGAACAGAACAGAGCCCTCAGAAATAATACCACACATCTACAACCACCTGATCTTTGACAAACCTGACAAAAACAAGAAATGGGGAAATGATTCCATAATAAATGGTGCTGGGAAAACTGGCTGGCCATATGTAGAAAGCTGAAACTGGATCCCTTCCTTACACCTTATACAAAAGTTAATTCAAGATGGATTAAAGACTTAAAGTTAGACCTAAAACCATAAAAACCCTAGAAGAAAACCTAGGCAATACCATTGAGGACATAGGCATGGGCAAGGACTTCATGTCTAAAACACCAAAAGCAATGGCAACAAAAGCCAAAATTGAAAAATGGGATCTAATTAAACTAAAGGGCTTCTGCACAGCAAAAGAAACTACCATCAGAGTGAACAGGCAACCTACAGAATAGGAGAAAATTTTTGCAATCTACTCATCTGACAAAGGGCTAATATCCAGAATCTACAAAGAACTCAAAGTTACAAGAAAAAAACAACCCCATCAAAAAGTGGGTGAAGGATATGAACAGACACTTCTCAAAAGAAGACATTTATGCAGCCAAAAAACACATGAAAAAATGCTCACCATCACTGGCCATCAGAGAAATGCAAATCAAAACCACAATGAGATACCATCTCACACCAGTTAGAATGGCAATCATTAAAGAGTCAGGAAACAATAGGTGCTGGAGAGGATGTGGAGAAATAGGAACACTTTTACACTGTTGGTGGGACTGTAAACTAATTCAACCATTGTGGAAGTCAGTGCGGTGATTCCTCAGGGATCTAGAGCTAGAAATACCATTTGACCCAGCCATCCCATTACTGGGTATCTACCCAAAGGATTATAAATCATGCTGCTATAAAGGCACATGCACACATATGTTTATTGCAGCACTATTCACAATAGCAAAGACTTGGAACCAACCCAAATGTCCATCAATGATAGACTGGATTAAGCAAATGTGGCACATCTACACCATGGAATACTATGCAGCCATAAAAAATCATGAGTTCATGTCCTTTGTAGGGACATGGATGAAGCTGGAAACCATCATTCTCAGCAAACTATTGCAAGGACACGAAACCAAACAGCGCATATTCTCACTCATAGGTGGGAATTGAACAATGAGAACACGTGGACACAGGAAGGGGAACGTCACAGACCAGGGCCCGTTGTGGGGTGGGGGGAGGGGGGAGGGAAAGCATTAGGAGATATACCTAATGTGAATGATGAGTTACTGGATGCAGCACACCAACATGGCACATGTATACATATGTAACAAACCTGCACGTTGTGCACATGTACCCTAGAACTGAAAGTATAATAAAAAAAAATTTTAAATGCTATAGCTATGACTGTTGTATTAGGAACTGATTGAATAATTTTTTTTCATGCTATTACTTTTCCTCAGAAACCTGGTTATCACCCCTTGAAAGTTGTTGATATGAAATATTAGGTTCATGAGTTCAGGTGGCTTTGATGACTTTCATTTGCAGCTGTATAGATCTGTTTTCCTGACAGTCTATTTCTTTCAATAGAAGGATCAAATGGATGTTTTTAAAAAGCGTTCATGCGTCTGGGCTTGGAGCACAGTGAGAGTCAGTCAGGCTGTGGATCCCCAGATAAGGGAGTTTTTTTTTTTTTTTTTTGAGACAGGATCTCACTCTGTCCCTGAGGTTGGAGTGCAGTGGCGGGATCAGGGCTCACTGCAACCTCCTCCTTCCAGGCTCAAGCCATCTTCCCACCTCGGCATAACCTTTGGGGAGAAGATTTGTTTACATTTTACTCTATCTGATACTTTGGTGTCTGTGTACTTAATATATTTAGTATACTGTACTTTAGCACAGTGTTTCCTCAAACTTTGTTTTTTGTTCTTGAGCTTCAAGAACTCAAGAAACAACTGGCAGTAAGTTACTACCTGTACAAACCAGTTTTGGAAAGAGGTCATCAGGTTTTATTCAAGAAGTTAAAGCCATGATATGGGAATGGGGAGAGGCCACTGTGGCCGGGGCAGCTGCGCTCGATAAAGGTCTTTGGTAATTACCCTTTGTTGTTCCCGTGGTCCACAGCTGTTACTCCTGTTTGTTGATCCTGTGCCTGAAGATTGCTCAGAGCTCTTTCCGGAAGAACATTCGTTCCTCTGCTGTCTTAGGTGAGTGTTGAGTGTTTCTCCTGTTCTGTTTTTGTTTGTTTGTTTATTTTCCCATCAGCTTGTTTTTTATTGTCCTGGTCTGCTGTTTTTCCACTTTGTGTTTTTTAGCCTTGTTATGATTCTTCTGCTTTCCTTTACATTTTCTTTTTGCTCTTTGAATGGGAACTTTAGAGGGATGGAAAGTAAATAGACACAGCAGTTGTCTTATTTGGATGGCATATTTATATAGTAATATCTTTAGGAAAAAACAAAACCAAAATAAGACAAAAAGTCTCATTAGTCATGCTGATACAGGTTTGGGAAATGCTGATATAGTGTTTTAGAATTTAGAGAAAGAAACAAACACATTTAGCTACTGTAACATTGTCAAATAATTTGTCATTATCTCAACTTTAGAGACAAGGAAACTAAGCTTAAAATAGTTTAGTTACTTGGCTCAACTAGTAAATAGAAGAGCTGGGATTTGACCCAATTCTAATGATTTCCAAAGGCAACAATTTATAATAATACATGTAATAAAAATATTATAAGATATTGAATGAATTGAATATTATTTTTAAAAATGAACTAAAAATCTAAAATAACCAGAATAGCCATTTGTTGTCATTGTTTTCCCATCCAGAATTTAACATCTGCTACACAGTTGTAATTATAGTAGATGCCCATTTAAAAAAAATGTAGATTTTTTTTTTTGAGACTGAGTTTTGCTCCTGTCCCCCAGGCTGGAGTGCAATGGCGCAATCTTGGCTCACTGCTACCTCTGCCTCCCAGGTTCAAGGGATTGTCCTGCCACAGCCCCCTGAGTAGCTGTGATTACAGGTACACACCACCACGCCCAGCTAATTATTTTATTTTTAGTAGAGATGGAGTTTCACCATGTTGGCCAGGCTGGTATTGAACTCCTGACTTCAGATGATGCACCTGCTTTGGCCTCCCAAAGTGCCGGGATTACAGGTGTGAGCCATCGGGCCTAGCAAACAAAAAATGTAGATTTTAAACAAAAATCTAATATTAAAAATTTACTGTTCCATCTTTATGCATTTACTTTCAGTATTACCTCAGGACGGATTCCCCACAATGAAAGTTTCAGTTCAAGAGATATTAAACACTTTTATGTTTCCCATACATACATATTGACAAATTGACTTTCAAATATTTGTTCCAATTTACCTCAACCTCATTGCAAACGCTATTTCTTTGTTGCTGTCCCATCATTATTTACCTTCACAAATTTTTTTAATGAGCTGCCTTTTTCTACTATTAGTTCATCTTAAATTACAGAATATGAGAGATGAGGCTTAAAAATAGACAAAAAGTCTTTATTGTTGTCTCTGAGTCTAACCTGAGGAAGAATGTAAAAGAGCTAGCAGAAAGATAATGTGATTTTGAGCTTCTCACAAAATTATAAGCTAATTCCAGTAGGCTGAGTCCTTAATGTGTTAAATAATACCAAGAACACCAAGCTAGGAACATGGTTCACAACATCATGGTTACTCATATGTAAAGGGAAAAATCAAGTGTTGCTGTCAGTTTTTCATGGCATTATTTTAAAAATATGGTTTCTGCATGCTCTCACTGATAAGCGGGAGCTAAATGATGAGAACACATGGACATGTAGGGAGAACAACACACACTGGGGCCTATTGGAGGGTGGAGGGTTGGAGAGGGGAGAGGATCAGGACAAATACCCAATGAGCACTAGCTTAATACCTGGGTGATGAAATAATCTATACAACAAGCCCCCATGACACGACTTTACCTGTATAACAAACCTGCACATGCACCCCTGACATACAAGTTAAATTAAAAAAATAATAATATGTTTTCTTTTTAAGTGAATGACAAGGATATGAAATGGCCTAAGACTTTGGTATATTAAGAACAATTTTTTAAAAAAAGATCCTTAGTTGGTAAAGAAGAAAATAAGAGGACATGATACTCTTAAAAAATTAAAAATATGTTATTCAGCTCCGAGTGATAGAACTAGAAACAACACAGTTGAAATTTAATTAATTTGAGGTCAGTATGATGAAGAACTTTCTAACAAGTCAAACCAAATAGAAGAGCGGTGAGAGCTCATGGATTTTTGGTCATTTTATTAAAAATTCTGTGGAGTTCCTGATGAAAGGTTAAATTTGGTAAACATAGTTTTCATAACCATGCTGCTCTGTGCTTTTATAACTTTTCTTAATAATATATGCAATAATGTCTCAAAAGTTAGTCTACATTAGAATCCTATGTCTGCATGCAACATAAATAATACCTGATTTAATAAAGGTGATAATAATACTGTTCTGCAAAATTGTATTTCAAGAATGTTATTGCCATTTATTTGCCTCTGACTTTAAAACTTTCATTGTATTATTAAAAGCAAAGTAATATAAGAGATATTGGCATTAGTTTTGGATTTTCTGTAATAAAAAATGGTAAATAACATTTTTTGGAGAGGTTTATTGTATTTCTTGACTTTTTTTTGAAACAGAGTCTCACTCTGTCACCAGGCTGGAGTGAAATGGCTCAATCTTCACTCATTGCAACTTCTGTCTCCTGGGCTCAAGTGATCCTCCTGCCTCAGCCTCCCAAGTAGCTGGGATTACAGGTGTGCATCACCACCCCTGGCTAATTTTTATATTTTTAGTAGAGACGGGGTTTCACCATGTTGGCCAGGCTGGTCTAGAACTCCTGACCTCAGGTGATCCACCTGCCTCAGCCTCCCAAAGTGCTGGGATTACAGGCATGAGCCACCACACATGAACCAACTTTTTCTAAAGAGCAGATATGTTTACATAATTGTTTAATTGTCTCTCAATAAATGTAATATGATTTAAAGTTCTTTTTACACATTGCTTTTTTTTTTTTTGAAACATCCTAGTAATGGATTTTTTATTCCAGGTTGCAAGAAAGTGTTCTAAAATCCGTATTTTCTCCAGAGCAAAATCATTTATTTGCTTTCTTATTAGATATCACATCTATTTCATGGTTGACTAAAAAGTAGTAATTATTATAGATCACTCACATCATTTATTTTGATAAATTATTTTGTTATTCACATGGCAAATTAATTGTTAAAGTAAAAATAAAAACCCAGTTAAGTGGGCATATAGTTATTTGAAACACTGGATAGGAAAGGAGAAAGTGGGATTGATGTTTCTTTAGCAGGTAGGCCAGAGGCAAGGGGGCTGAATATTATTAATGTATGTTCTAAAGTTTACTGCACTTTGAATAACTGACTTTGAAAAATGACTCTTGAGACTTAGAGCATATTGTGTTTTAGGCAAAAGCACCTTTGAAGGCACAGGTGGGAAGTTCATGGTACTTATCAGTGAGAAAGCAAATTCTGTTCTAGTGGCCCCATAAATCATATAAAACAAAGTGATGAACTTATTTTTACTATGGATCACTTTTTGGTAAGTACATGCTTCAGTTTCCTCATAATCCTTTAGGCATGCAAACTGAAAATGGCTGAACAAACGGAGTGGCCCATATAGGGAAGCAACCTACCTAATTACATAGCCATCTAACTCTGAGGGTCTCCAGTAGGTTCCTAACACACTGGCTAAACAAGAATAGCACAGATGGGAACTGATTTTTGATCATGATAACAATAGTTTCCTCAAAATTTAGCCGACATATCTTTTTCCTAGAGGAAGTGTCTAATTCCCCTACACATGCCTTACAATTACCAACAGCAGGATGGTGATATTTTATAATTGTCAATTCTATCCTTAGTACAATCATAATTTTATTATTTCCATGTCTCCATATTATTCAATCATGAATCCATTTTAAAGTGATTTTACTCATAGTCTGATTTATTTTGATTTAATTATGGTAGATTGAGTTCTTAATTTGTTAAAGAATATACAGAACAACAAGCTCTGAACATGGTTCATAGTAGTTACTTATTACATAAAGAGTAACTTAGCTGCCTTTTGTTGTTTTTGAAAATTAATTGTTGAAGTCTCCAAGTTCCTAAATCTTCAGTCAGCTGGAGCAAAACAAAAGCTCTTCTTTCAAAAGACTAGAGGAAAAAATGTGAGTGACATAAATGTCCCTTTACTCCCAAACCCAATCCTGATCTCATTCATGGACCAGTTAGGTTTCCTGGGACTTTCAAAGGGGATGGATTCTTTCTAAAATTGATGTAGACTAGACATCCAGTTTTAAAATGGGGAGTTAAAAAAGAAAAAGAAATGAAAGGCAACTGATTTGGTTTGGCTGTGTCCCCACCCAAATCTCATCTCAAATTGTAGCTCCCATAATCCCCATGTGTTGAGGGAGGGACCCAGTGGGAGGTAACTGAATTATGGGGGTGGGTTTTCCCATGCTGTTCTGGTGATAGGGAATAATTCTCATGAGATCTGATGGTTTTATAAAAGGGTGTTCCCCTGCACAGGCACTCTTGCCTACCACCAAGTGAGACATGGCTTTGCTCCTCCTTTGCCTTCCACCATGATTGTGAGGCCTCCCCAGTCAAGTGGAACTGTGAGTCCATTAAACCTCTTTTTCTTTATAAATTACCCAGTTTCTGGTATGTCTTTATTAGCAAAGTGAGAAAGGACTAACACAATAACAAAGCAACTGCTTTTTTCTTGATTCCCAGAGGTGTTATTTCCTGGTTTCATTGGTGTATATGTTGTCTGGGTTCCTATCAGAGCATTTCTTGTGAATGAAAGGTATACCTCTGTATGTTTGTGGCTGAGGCAGGAATGCCGTCAGGTGTTAGTTATGGCCAAAAGTCTCTTGCTATATTTTGGTAACAGCAAGAGAGACAGCTGTTTTAGAAGTTAGAGATGTAAATAATGGATCAATCCTGTAACCTTATATTTTTAAAGCATCTTGAAACAATCTTAGGACTCCATTTTGACTACTTAATTAAGGATTTTACTTGCTACGCCTATTATGTTTTTCCATTTCATTAGACCCTTCTGTGGCTTTCCATCCTCCAACAAATGATGTCCAAACACTTGAGAATGGCTTAGACCAGTGGTTCTCGAGATTTAGCATGCAATGGAATCACTGGAGAACTTTGAAAATAGACTGTTTGGCTCCATGCTCGGTTTCTGATTCAGTAGGTTTGAGATGAGGCCTGAGAATTTGCACATCTGAAAAGTTCCCAGATGGTGTCAATGCTGCTGGTCCAGGGACCACACTTGGAGAACCACTGGCATCAAACAGTTTCCATGATCAGGCCAAGGTTAGCTCAATCTGCAGCCACTTCCTTATGCTCAAGTGTGTTTAACACACTATCTGCAGTTCCCGAAATGTGAGTATTCTTTCATGCCCCTCTGGTCCACCTCCTGCCTTTAAGGAACTTTTGGCTGAAATCTTCTCTATGAAGTCTTCTCTGACCTCCCAAGGTCTCTTTTGGGCCTCTCTCTTGCTGTTTCCCCAGGCTTTTATCACAGGGTTTATCGTTAGTTGATAGTGAGTTCCTCGAAGGTCCTAATCTTATTCTGTTCATTTTTACTTAGTTCTTGCAACTGAGTTTGGGGCTTCCTTGGAAGAATAGAAGTGACTTGTTAGATTCATAAGTTTTTCCTTGATTTTATCTGCTGTGATGTAGTGGTTACAAACTAATACTTTGGAACCAAAAGGCCTTAATTTAAATCTATTTTGCAGTTTTCTAAGTATAAGCAAGTTACTTAGCTTTTTTGAGCCTGAGTTTTCATGTCTGTATAAGTATTATACCAATAATCTATTCCTTGTAGTTTTGTTGTGAGTATTAAATGAGTTAAAACACACAAAGATCTTAGAACTGTGGGTATCTGGCAAGAATGTCAGCAATACATAAATATGTGAAACTTCTATCTCTAAACTATAATGTCCACAAGGGCAGTGATTTATGCTTAAATAATATTTGTTAATCAGTGAATGACAAGTGGTTGAGAAGGCTTGGAGATGGCCTCACTAACTTGGATCAAACTGTGAGGAAACTTTCAGTTGAAATATTGTCAGCAAAATCTCTATCAATATAATGATCTTTTTCTTGTTGACTATACAGTGCTTACATTTGTTAAAATGGCCTTTATTTTATAGAAGTTTTATGTTTATAGAAAAATTAAGCAGAAAGTACAGTTTCCTTGTTTTCCTTCCCCAGCATGTACTTTCTCCTCTTATTGACCTCTTCCATTAGTATGGTATATTTGCTATGACTGATGAACTAATACTAACACATATTATCTAAAGTCTATAGGTTAGATTAAGGTTCACTCTTTGTGTTGCACAGTTCTGTGAGTATTGACAAGTGTATAATATCACGTATGCACCATTCATTTTATATGGAATGCTTTCACCACCTTAAAAATGCCTTTTGCTCCAGTCTTCCCTTCTCACCAACCGTGCCCCCCCACCGAAACTCCGACAACCACTGATATTTTTAACCGTCTCTATAATTTTGTCTTTTCTAGAATGCCATACCCTTGGAATCATACAGTAGATAGCCTTTTTGAACCGGCTGCTTTTACTTAGTGATGTGTACCTCAGGTTCTTCCACATAGTTTCATGGCTTCTTAGCTCATTTCCTTTTATCACTGAATAATATTCCATTGCATAGATCATATCATGATTTGCTTATTCACCTATTGAGACTCATCTTGGTTGCTTCCAATTTTGACAATTATGAATAAAGCTGTTTTAAAAATCTGTCTGAAGGCTTTTGTGTGGCTAACTCATTTGGGTAAATACTTAGGAGCACAATTACTGGATCATATGGTAAACCTAAGTAGCTTTGTAAGGACCTGCCAAACTGTCTTCTAAAGAGGCCGTATTATTTTGGGGTCTCACGAGCAATGAGAGTTCCTGTTGCTCCACATTCTTACCAGCATTTGGTATCAATATTTTGGATATTAGATATTCTAATAGGCACATAGATTTACATTTTAAAACATCTCCTTCCTGTAAATTTTCTCTTGATGCATTACTAGCCATGTGCTTATAAAGTGGTGGCATGCTAGATGACACACCAGAATGTCTGGGGCTGAGACTTTCCTAGGTTTCCAGCTGGAAACTAAATTCAAGAGAAACATGACAATCTAACTGCATAAAGTGAGCTGTGTGGCATCGCTGACACAAAAACTACATAAAGAACACCCTGATTAATCTTGGGAATAGGGCAGCTCAGGCAGAGAACTGATCTTCGACCTAATCTCTTTTAAACTGTGTGGGGTTTCGTACTATCAATCTTCATAGCACAGCACAGGGAAAAGAGTGAGGCAGGAGACGAAGAACCTTGGGTTAATGTATCTGATTTGCCACTACTTAATCTGGTGACCTCAAGTGAGTCACTTAACCTCTAGACCCCAGAGAGAGTTGTACTATATGATTTATAAGATCCCTTTAAGCTTCACAATCCTATCATTCTAAAATCGATCCTGCTACTGTGAAATTAGCACAGAACAAGGGAAAGAGAGTCCACGTGTCCCATGCTTTGAGGCAGACATTACGTTTCATCAAGCAGGAAACCCTCTTGAGTAAGTTGTCAGTCTTTGAAGAGGCTGAGATATGTGACGGGGTGGCCTAAGGTAAAGTTCTTTGGGGGAGATGTTAAAATTTTCAAAAAGGGGGATTGTGTGTTTTGACGACCCAAACATGGGGATCATAGGAAGCAGGGCATCTTTGACTGGGTTAGGCAATTTTTGATTAGCGGCAGCCATAGCAGCAGGGATTTTGGCAGAGGAGTGAAATACACCCATGTTAAGAGCCCCAGTTTATAGCAATGCTCTGTCACACTGAGACGTTTTTCAATTTTTTTTTCATTTATAGATGAGGTTAGAGGGACTGCATCACAAGCAAATTTTAAACCAAATGGGGTGAGAAGGAATGCAGGAAAGAACAGGAAAAAGGAAAAATGACAGAAAAAAGGCATTATCAGACAGTGTGATTATACACGCTGTGGCTGCAGCTAAGTGCTTTTTTTAGGGGCCAGTGAAACCGCCTCTCTCCCTTTGAGACCAAAATGGCTGGCATGATATTGCTGGGACCAAAAAGGGATGTTTAACTTTAAGAAAATGAAAGGTATCTCTCGAACGTTTCTGTCATGCTTATATCTCCAGTTACATTCCCACAGGGCTAACTGGTCATTCTGCAAAGTCACTGGAAAGCAGGAAACCAAATAGTTGTAAGTGAAGCCAGATGATTTTTACCAACTCCCCTGGGTTGGAGAGTTGTCCTTAATGATAATCATTGGTTTTAATAACTCTAGTTTATGGGAGTCGAGGAACAGAACACCTGCCCATCCTGTAGGCTATTTTAATCTTTCTAAAATGACCCCCCTGAGCCTTTCTCAATGTCTTCAATGCAATATCATCTCTAACTACCTGTGCTGGTGACAGAACAAGTGAGGCCCCATCACAACGGAAACAAAGCCGGGATTGGCAATCTTCCCACTGACGATCAAGACACAGAGGCAGTTGTACACCGTGTCATGACATTAAGGTGTCATGTTGCTGTATGTGTTTCTATCAGTTCAGGGCCTAAATCCATTAAGAAATTGACCCCCTGGTCATGAATGACTCAGATACAAGAGAAGTTAATTTACTGTACACTTAAAATACTGGGAGGGTTGACTAGGTCAGCAAGGTATCCCTCTTCACACAGACTTTCTGGCTTTGGTGTTGGCGGGGGTGGGAGTAGAGGATGCTACCAATTTCAGAAATGGCTTCTAAGGTCACCCTGGGGGAACAGAGAGAGAAAACAGCTGGGGCAGAGGCACGTGGGGCATTTTATGAGGCAGAGCAAAAAGTGGCTTGCATCAGTTTTGTTCAGTCACATGCTCATAACCTAGAGACAAAATCTAGCCTCTACACTCGATTCAGAGCAACACTACATTATAGAAGAGAGGATATACACTTTTGCTGGACATTAACTGACCATAACAGTGCTGTGTAGGTCAGGGTAATTATAGATTGATGACGGATGGGACATCTCTAAGACTTTTGTTCCAGAAAGAAGGTAAACCTGGAACCATGTAAAATAGTCCTGGCAAGGTGGCTGATGCCTGTAATCCTAGTACTTTGGGAAGCCAAGGCAGGAGGATTACTTGAGCCCAGGGGTTTGAAACCAGCCTTAGAAACACAGTGAGACCCTGTCTCTACTAAAAAATAAAAGAAATTTTTAAAAATAAATAGGCAAAATAGCATGGCAAAACTTTCCTTATAAGGTTTTAGAGAAGATGCTTTATTGATATGTTTCCTTCCATGGCTGATGATATGAAACGCAGGAAGCCCAGCTCTGTTCTCCCCTCATCAGGTTCTTCCCATGGAGGACTGCATTTTACAATGAAATTGACTAGCCTCCCTGAGGCATTAGGGAGACACAGCCCAGCTGCGTCCTCTCACCCGTCCTCATCTTGGGCTTATCTTTTGCTCTGATTATTTACTGACAAAAGGAGTAGCCCATTGTGCTCAGATCTGGCTCAAAGGTGTTTCCTATTTTAGACATTTCTCTTTTTCTTCTTAGCCAAATTTTGATTTAGAAATTTGTACCAACTTTAACCCTTCTTACTTGTAGGAACTAATTTTCCCAATGATTTTTATCTTCAGTGAGACGCGAGACATTGATGGTCACAGTTGGCTGATGAAAATCTCTGGCTCAGTGTTAGTGTGACTCCACATGACATTGATTAGTCTTCCAAAATGAAACCTTCACTTTCTTCTTCAGAACTCTCACTGCTTCCTTTGAAGGAGGTCATTTTTGTTAAAACAATAGCCAACAACAAGGTGTTAGGAACCAATAATACTTCCATGTTATCCTGCCCTGTTTTATAAGTTGTCCATAGACTAACTCAAAGGATCACATCCTTATACTGTTAACCAAGTGATTATCTCTGGGATTCTCTTTCTAGTTGCGGCCTCCATGGTGTGGCTAATGAATCGCATACCTTAGTATTTGCTTCTGCAAGTTTGTGCAGCAGTCCACAGTTGTCGAGGAAGGAGGAAGGTGCAGCATTAAGGTCAGTCCCGTTAAAAAGTGTCTGTGTCCTTGTCATGCAGCCCAGTTTTCTGGATCCTTGGTTTGCATCTATGGATAATAATCCCAGCTGCTGTGTGTTTGCATTTCACGTTTTCTCAGAAACTGGAGAACAAGTGTTGGTCTTTCCTCTCCAATTTCCCCAGGGAAAATTTTCATTTCCCCTCCGCCCCCCCACTTTTCTTCTTTGTTATTTTCCTTAGTTTTCCTTCCAAGTACATATTCACTCTGCCCTTTCTCTGAATACCTGCATCTCCATTCCTTCAACATTTACACACCGTTTGTTATGTGTGATATATTCTAATCTACAAAGATGAGTGCATTACTCGGGAATTTCAAAAGTTTTGGTAAGTAGTTTGAAAGATGTATTTTGTAGCCAGGGAAAATTTTGGTTACTGTTCAGATTTTAGCATCTAAAATGATTATATTTTTTATGAGGGTATCAAGGACTGTGATCCAATTTACTTTATCTCAGAAATGTGGAATATATGTTTCACCTTTGTAGAAAATTCAACTGTGTTCCTAATGATAATAAAATTTTTTTCCAATGAATAGAAATTTTATGGGTGCCATACAAGTTATTCTGTCAACTGATTCATGATTTTCGCATACATTCCAAAACAGTTATTTTTTTATTTTGAAATACACATTCATATGGATGACAATATATATTTTGGGTTCTGGAGTCAGAAGCATTTATTCGGTGATTTTTTTTCAACTGTTACTAGTTGTGAATTAGAGAAAGTTTATTTAACCCGTCCCTTATTTTGCTAATCTATGCTTTGAGATGGTATCTTCCTGGAGATGTAACAAGAAGTATATGAGATAATACGTATAAATATTTACAACAGTTTCTTAGTACATAGAATTTATGCTTAACATAGTATTTTATTGTTAATAATATTGTTGTATAGTATTTGATTTCAATTTCATAAGAAAACATAAAAATTTAGTCAATATATTTTAAGAAAATCTGTACTATGTCTCATAATATTCCCTGAAGAATAAGTTTGAATTTTGTGTGGAATCACTGAAACTTATAAAATGGCTTACTTGAAAGGACAAAAGAAAAAATTACTGTTAGAAACAAAATTCTTGACATTGCCTTCAGCTCTTGAAAGGCTATTAGGGTTGGAGTATTCAGTGGTAAAATACATTGCTTAAAAATTGGAAAAGAACTTGCAAATGTAGAAAGATAAAATCAAAAGGTCAGGAGTATATGTGGGAAATAAGACACAGCAAGGCAAAAACAAAAGCAACACAGGCTGGGGGTGGTGGCTCACACCTGTAACTTCAACAGTTTGGGAGGCTGAGGTGGTAGGATTGCTTGCACCCAGGGATTCAAGACGAGCCTGGGCAGCAGAGAGAGACCCCATCTCTACCAAAAAAAAAAAAAGAAAAGAAAAAGTAATGCGGAAAAGTACAAGAAGGGGCCCAGAGTTACATGGCAGTTATCAAGTCTAAAATATTGAGCACGTTGTATGTGTTTTGCATTATGCTGATACCCAAGGGAAATACAGAGTATAAGCCTCTTTTTTTTTTTCTATTTAAGATCCATGCAATCCAGTTGAGAAGAAAAGTAATACACCTAAAATCACAAACAAGACATTTTAGCACCCATTTTGGGGACTGCTCTTCCTTAACTCTTGGTGTTTTCAGTTTCTTCCTTACTTAAACCCTTTGCTGAAACTGACACTGCTCACCATTCTGTCTTTAAATCCTGTATCTCTGGCTTCTGGATGCCATTTTGTTCCTGCCTCTTTTCTTAGCCCTTAGAATATTTATTTTCCAACTTGCCCTTTTATTCTGTATACAACACTCTAATAGATATTGACACCTGAACATCCCATAGTATCAGACAATGTGTTCAAATAGGGACCTGTCTCTCTCTGTAAACTGTCCACCTCTCTCACAGTATGACTCCTTAAGTGCCACCACCATCCATCCATCCATCTCAGCCAGCCATGCCCAATTCTTCCATCTCCTTTAGACCTCCAGAGTCCCAACGAGTCAGCAATTAGCTTATTTTTATTTCACTTCCTAAATTTTGCTGGAATCTTTTTTTCATACTTAATTACTTGTATCACTCAGGATCCAATCAGAGAGTAGAACCAGTGGGAGATATATTCCCTCTCCCTCCCCACTACTCTTTCTCACTGTCCCCCACACCTGCTTCTCCACCTCCCATTTATTAAGAAAGAGATTTGTCACAGGGATCTGCTCTTCTGTGATTGTGGGAGCTGGTTGAACAGTCTCTGTAAGGCTGTTTGTTGTCTTTGCTTCTGATGCTAGAGATGGAATCCACTGTTGAGACCTCCAGTGCCACTGCCAGCTCCAAATCTCCATCACCTCTTGCTTGCAACATTGTTTGCTTGGTCTCTTTGCTTCTGCCTTTGCCCCAGTACCGCTATTCTCACAGAGCATCCAATGATCCTTTTCTAATTGCAGTCTGATCACTTCATTTCTCTGCTCCTCAGATGTGTCCTCTTTCACTCACATTAAAAATCAAAGTACGTGCATCTAGGAGGCTCTATGGGGTGTTCTTAATCACTACATTAGGCTGCCAATATATTATGACAGCTGTGATATATTTTATGGAGAAAATTAAAGCATGGTAGTGAAAACGGGGAATATGTGAGATAGTGTAGGTTGCCATTTTGGTAGAATGGCTTTCTACACAATGGTTTTCCTGCAGATTCTGATGGTAAGCTTCAGAGCTCCATGAAGCCATTTCTCTCCTTTGCCTCTTTTTTTTTTTTTTTTAACATTTTAAAACATTCCACTATTATTTCATTTTGAAAACATAATTAACCTTGAGACAGATTTTCTTCTACTATTCAGATATCCATGGAGAAAGAAGTGATTTTTTTGTGAAGTCTCGTATTCACCTATTTTCTAAATGAAAATTATTATTAAAAATTATTTATGTAAATAGCAAGTTGTATTTGAGGTTATGTTTGGCTTGCATTAATCCATGCTTGTCAGATGGAAATAATTGCACACCATTACTTTTAAAATGCAGTAGGAATAAATGTAGTTTGTAAAGTTATAGGGATAAATTGTAATCACATTTTCCCTAAATGCTCATCTCAGGATTATTCGCACACTTCGTTTCTTTAAACACACATCCTAATTCCAAAATAATTGGTTACAATGATCTTTTCTCCCTCCATATGCCTGTTCATAACGAGGTCTTCAAAGGGAAATAACCATGTGCATAAAATGTTTATTGTCATTGTTTGCATTTTATTGTTCAATAAATATTTGTTGCCAAAAAAAAAAAAACTTATCTTTTCTATTTCTCTTCACCTTCTCCTCAAAAATACTTACTAATATTAGGCAAACTTTCAGAAACAGAAGATTAAAAAACACATAAATAAAATTGGGACAAATAAATGAATTGTCATTACACTGCATTTACTTTAAGAATTCTTAACCATTTATGATTTTTTAATATTTTATTTTCAATAATTTTAATATGCAGGATTTATTTCTATAATCCTCATAAATGACCTCTGAAGGATGAAGAAATTAGTAAAGAATTAAAAGTAATATATTGATAATAAAACATTTATAGTGTGAAATTGATAAGTACATCTAAAAACAGTTTTGAAATCTCATTTAAAACAGATTAAGTTTTTGAGAAGACTCATAAAATACCCTGAAGATATTCAAATTAGAGAATAAGATGCCAGGTGTGGTGGCTCATGCCTGTAATCCCAGCACTTTGGGAGGCTGAGGCAGGTGGATCACCTGATGTTGGGAGTTTGAGACCAGCCTGACCAACACAGAGAAACCCCATCTCTACTAAAAATACAAAATTAGCCAGGCATGGTGGTGCATGCCTGAAATTCCAGCTACTCAGGAGGCTGAGGCAGGAGAATTGCTTGAATTTGGGAGGCGGAGGTTGTGGTGAGCCAAGGTTGCACCACTGCACTCCAGCCTGGGCAACAAGAGCGCAACTCTGTCTCAAAAAAAAAAAAAAAAAAAAAAAAGGAATAAGGAAGAAAAGCTACATAAAAGAAAAAGCTAAAGGTATGTAAGATATACAATTTTATGCAAAATTTAAGGCAGATTTGAAATAAAATAGTAATAAAATACATAGTTGTGGGTCCAGATAAAAAGTAAACACCGAGCACTTTATGTATGGAAATAAATTAAAACAATGATATAAAATTATCTCCAGGAGTTTGAGACTAGCCTGGCCAACATGGTGAAACCCCATATCTACTAAATATACAAAATTAGCTGGGTATGGTGGTGTGCTCCTGTAGTTCAAACTACTTGGAAGGCCGAGGCAGGAGAATTGCTTGAACCTGGGAGGTGGAGGTTGAAGTGAGCTGAGATTGAGCCATTGTACTCCAGCCTGGGTGACAGAGCAAGACTCCATCTCAAAAATAAATAAATAAATAAATAAATAAATCTTGAAAAAAGGCAATTAACTCAATGTTTTTATTGTGTTAGATCTTTAAGTTTTCAAAGTAAACTTATTTGATTATATAATGTTCTACAGCAAACACATAATCAGGCAAACAAATATCTATTTGTTTAACCAAATGCATACACCAGAACGAAAACAAGTATCATACTCTAAAACACGTTCAATGTTTCTTATTGGAAATGTTGTTGTGAAAATATTTTTCACAATCTTTTTCTTCAAGTCTCTGAATAAATAGGATATGATAATAGAAATTTTTTAAAATACATTTTTCTATTTCAGGTAGGTTTTATTTTTAAAAGAAAAGATGGTTTATATTAAAAAAACTATCCCTAACATGAAATCATGTCAGAGATATGAAATGACTTCAATAAAATACAGTCAAAAAGGTAATCTTTTATGGTAAGACAAAATCTAGACTTTCAGTTTCCATTAGGAGATATAAAGCTAGAAAGAGAGTCATTTCCACCCATACTACACGGAAAAAACAGACAAACTGTATGCAAATTAATGACTTTTATTGAACTCCTGAAAAAATTGGGGTCACAAAACAAATGACTTGTTCAAACTCAGGAGAGAGAAGCACCTAAACTTCCACCTTAAGAAACTAGAGAAAGAGCAAATTAAAACAAGCAAAAGTAAGAAGTTAATAAGGATTTGAGAAGAAATCAATAAATTAAAAACAGAAGTAATAGAGAACATCAACAGAACCAAAAGCTGTTTCTTTGAAAAGATTAATAAATTTGATAAACCCCTTGCCAGGCTTCCAGGGGAGGGAAAAAACAAAAAGAAGACACAAGTTGAAAATACAAAAAAAAGAAGGAACATAACTACTGATCCAATAGATGTTAAAAGAATGTTAATGGTTCATGTCCTTTGTAGGGACATGGATGAAATTGGAAACCATCATTCTCAGTAAACTATCGCAAGAATAAAAAACCGAACACCGCATATTCTCACTCATAGGTGGGAATTGAACAATGAGATCACATGGTCACAGGAAGGGGAATATCACACTCTGGGGACTGTGGTGGGGTGGGGGGAGGGGGGAGGGGTAGCATTGGGAGATATACCTAATGCTAGATGACGAGTTAGTGGGTGCAGCACACCAGCATGGCACATGTATACATATGTAACTAACCTGCGCAATGTGCACATGTACCCTAAAACTTAAAGTATAATTAAAAAAAAAAAAAAAAAGAATGTTAATGGAATACTGTGAACAACTCTAGATCTCATGTTTGAAACTGAGATGAAATGGACCAATTCTCTGAAAGACAAACTGCCAAAATTCAAAAAGGATTGGATAAGGTGAATTATCATACATTAATCAAATAAATTATATTTGTTTGTACAAGCCCTCTAGAAAAGAAGACTCTAGGCTCAGATAATTTCACTGTGAGTTCTACCAAACGTTTCAAGAAATAAATCATACTAATTATACACACTTTTCAGAAAATAGAAGAATGTCTCTCAACTACTTCTATGATGCCAGGATTAACCTATGCCAAAACCAGATAAAGACGGTCCAAGAAAAGGAAACTATGTTTCAATCACCCTCACAAACCCTAGACATAAATATCGTAAACAAAATATTTGAAAGTCAAATATTAAACAGATTATGCATCACAACCATATGCAATTAATCCAAGGAATGCAAGGCTGGTTCAACATTTGGAAACAAATCAATGTCGTAGGCCATATGAACACTCTGAAGAGCTGATCATCACAATAGATGGAGAGAAAGAATTTGACAGTCGACATCCATTTATGATTAAAAAAAAAACAACTCTAAGCAAACTAGATGTAGAAAGGGACTTCCTTAATCTGATAAGGCATACTACAAAAAAATTTACAGATAACATCATATTAAATGGTGAGAGACTAAATACTCTTCCTTTAAGATCAGAAACTAGGTAACAATGTTCCCTCACCACTGCTATTAAACATAGCACTGGAAGTATCCATCCTTTCAGGTTAGTTATGACTGGATCTTATCTAGAATCACACCCTCAATTGGCTTCTGACCCTTTCCTATCCTGCTTTTTCCCATCTCTTAATGGTTTCTTCTGGAAGCACATCCTTGATCAATCACACTTGCACAAGGTTTCTTGTCTTAGAGTCTGCTTCAATATAATAGGACCTGAAACAATTTCCTTATAACAAGTTCTAATAACCATGTCCTTTTACTTACCTCTTTCCCATTGTTTTGATATGTTTTCTGTGTATTTTTAAATTATATATATTTTATGTAGATATTTTAATGAATTCTCATGTGCATCATTTGTATTATATATCTCATTCCCCTATCTTGCTTGTTACTAAGCAGGACATATTTAAAGTCTGTGTTTTTGGTTATTTGTACATGCTGTCTCTTCTTCCTGATACTCCATTGTGTGTTATTTGCCTTTAGTTGAATACTACAACAGATAATACTGTGGACAATTACTCATACACATCTCCTTTTGGCCCTATGTAGAATTTTCACTGTTTTATATATATACGGAATTACTTGGTCATGGTTTATTTGTACAATTAACTTGACTAAATAATGCTAGACAGTTTTCCAGAATGACTACACTGGTCTACTTTCCACAGTCAGTGCATGAGGGTTTCTATTGCCCATATCCACACACACATATATTTTGCACTGTGAAATTTTCTAATTTGTATCAGGCTTATGGACAATTCACAATGCTGTACTCCAGCAAATTGTCACTTAAATTGTATAAAAAATTGAAATGTGTATTGAATCTTAAATTTTACCTCCCATTTATACACTGCCTGAAAACAAAAGCAGGAACAAAAAAAAATCACAGAATGCAACCAAACATAAAAGGAGTGAAAGAAAAAGAATATCATGGAATACAGGAAGGGGTACATGGCAAAGAACACAGTGCATTGAGATTTAAAGTCTTTATACAAAGCAAGTAATTGTTGACACTGTGTGGTATGAAGTCTATTGCAGTTGTTAAGAAAGGATTTTTAAAATGGCCAAAGAATAATAGAAAAAAATTCTCCAATAAAAACTCCAAATAAGCTGGCTGTGGTGACTCATGCTTGTAATCCCTGCACTTCGGGAGGCCAAGGCGGGTGGATCACGAGGTCAGGAGTTCAAGACCAGCCAGCCTGGCCAAGATGGTGAAACCCTGTCTCTACTGAAAATAGAATAATTAGCCGGGTGTGGTGGTGGGTGCCTGTAATCCCAGCTACTCAGGAGGCTGAGGCAGAGAACTGCTTGAACCTGGGAGGTGGAGATTGTAGTGAGCCGAGATCGTGCCACTGCACTCCAGCCTGGTGACAGAGCAAGACTCCGTCTCAAAAAAAAAAAAAAAAAAAAAAAAGCTCCAAATAATTCTACACAGCTTTTGTGATGCTAAGTAAAAGCATGTTTCTATTTGATGAGTTGATCATGGATACTGATTAATTTTCAACATCAGTAGAAAAATATAGGCTGAAGTGAAAGTTTTATTATATAAAGAGAATTGGAAAAAAATAGAAATCTTATATTTAATTACTGAAATCCTGACAAAAATAGAAAAATGAAGAAAAAAACATGCTGGGAAAAAAGGAAAGAGGAAGGAAACAATAATATTTACATAAACAATAAATGCAAACATTGAAAAATATAGGTTAAAAGGTTCAGCTCTCAAGAAAATGATGGTTTAACCTCCCCATTAAAGTAAAAAGATGCTCAGATATTTTTAAATGAAAATCAAAAATGAAAGCCAATATCCCACGTTATTAATGTACCTGAACATCAAACACAACTGCATGATAAAGGTTCTAATAACCATGTTCTTTCACTTATCTGAGAACATGTACCAAGTGAGAAATGACTATTGCATGTAAAAGGCACCAAAACAAGACTGTACAGAGAGAAAGATTCAACTAAGCTAAATAAAACAATACCATGGATCAATCTCACTGATAAATATGGAGGTAAACAGTCTAAATAATGCAACAGGAAAAGCTAATTTTCCTGTATTTTAAAAGAATGCACATGACCAACTGAGATTTATCCCAAGTGCAAATATAATTCAGCATTCAGATAGCTATTAATGCAATTCACTATACTACCAGATTAAAGTAGAAGAATCATATTATCATTTCAAACATCCAAGAAAAGAATTTGGTAAACTCTGTTACTGTCAAGGGCTGAGAGGTATTTGAGAGACAGCTGAGCTGCCAGGTGGTCAATTAAAGCACAGCTAGATAAGAGGAATAAGTTCTGGTGTTCTATAGCACTGTAGGATGACTATAGTTAACCATCATATATACTTTCAGACAGCTAGAAGGATGTTGAATATTCCGGACACAAAGAAAAAATGTTTGAGATGATGATATGCTAATTACCCTGATTGAATCACTATACATTGTATGCATCGAAGCATCACTATGTACTCCATAAATCTGTGTGCCAATTAAAATAAATTGACCAGGTTCAAAACAAAACAAAACAAAACAAAACAACAAAACAAAGAGCCCAACTGAAAGTAATGGTCAAGCCCTTACTCACTCACTGCAATCATATAAGCAAGAGGCCTGAAACAAGATATTCTTGTGTTTCATTTTCACCTGTGTGACTGCACCACTGTGTGAGTCAGGTGTGCCCGTGCAGATGGAGAGAGCCCCAGACAAAGGCCCCTGGCATTTTATGGACCCTGAGGCTACACAAAAGGGAGGGAGAAGTACTAGGAGAGAAAAACTCCTGAGTACTGGGTTCTGGTGGAGAAAAGTATCTTCAAGTCTCCTGGATAAGGTAGTCTCAGCAGAGGCCAGTTCTGATAAGGAGGTCTTGGGATGGGGGTGGCGGTGGGGAGGGTGGGGTTGGGGTGGGGCTGATCCTTGACTGCAACTCCCTCTGGAAGCAGAAATGCACTGGTTGTGCATGGAGTCTCCTGTGTGGAGGGCAGTGTCCCTTGTGAGATCTGCCAAGTACAGCCTTATTGCTCACGGTGGGGTCTGAAGGATCACACTTAAGATATGGGCCTAGAGATGGATTCCTCAATTATCTGTTGTAAAGTTTTTTTTTTAAAGGACATCTGAGAATCACAAATAACAACAAAATTATTTTTAAACTAAGAAAAAGAAAATAATTTCTTTACCTTGAAAAAATGTATGTGTCAAAATGTTTCAGTATAATATAGTCTCTGGGCATTGTTCTGGGCTGGAAGATTAACATGCTGGTGTAGCTTCCATCCAGGGAGTGCTCAGGGTTACAAGGCCTGGCTGCCTGTCCTCCACTGGGGCAACTTTGAAGGGCCCTTGCAGCCCCAGAGCTCCTCGTGGGATCAGCTGAGCCCCTGTGGCGGCTGTATTCCATTTCTTTTCTCCTTGCCCAATTCTGCTGTTCTAATTTCCTATGGGTGTTGCTTCTAAAGACACACCCTGTTCACATTTCCTAAAGTTGCCAAAACAAGTCTGCACAAACCAGGTAGCTAAAAAGAACAGAAATTCTCTCACAGTTTTGGAGGTGAGATGCCCAAAATTGAGGTGTCTTCAGGGCCATGAATTAAAGTGCCTGACGGCTCCAGGGGAGAGTCTATTCTGGGCCTTTCTCTTAGCTTCTGATGTTGCAGCAGTCATGGGTGTTCCTTGGTTTGTGGATGCGTCATTTCAATCTCTGCCTTGGTTGTCATCTGGTGTTCTCCCCATATATCTGCACGTCAACTTCTGTGCATACCTCTTGTTGTCTTTTCTCTTCTTATAAGGACACTAGTCTTATTAAATTAGGGTCCACACTAATGACCTCATCTTAACTTGATTACATCTGCAAAGACCCTATTTCCAAATAAGATCATATTCCCAAGTGCAGGATTACAGATATCTTTTTGGGGGCCATAATTTAACCTATAACAATCCTTTATGAACCTCCTATACACAGATCAGGCATATGAATTGCTGCCTTTTCTCTGTGCTACAGAAACAGCTTAAGGGTTAGACTGTTCCTTCTTTCCTGATAATTTTCTGTATATTCCTAAAGAGAAAATAATGTTATAATAAAACATATACCTAAGCACATGTCTACATTCTTTCTGAATAAACTTTAAAATTCCTTCTCATTTAGACTATGAACAGAGGTTATTTGGAGAAAGATTACATTGATACATACAAAATTATTTTCAGTAACTCAAAATATGCAATTTAAAAAAATTTTCTTGCTCATTTTACTCTGAGCTTCCAATCTTCTGAAATGTTTAGGAAATTAATTGTGGGTACATTTTTTACTTCACTACTGCTACAGTTGTGAGTTTGGAGAGTTCCAGAAAGAGTTACACAAATAAGCTAAGATATTACTAACTGCCAGCTGTAATTTTGAGCCAGACTGAGTAACATAAATACATTATTATCTTCTGTGATTTTCTTGCCAGATTGCTCAATGCCCCCACAAAAAGTAGAATTACAGTATGACACGATAACTTACGATAGCTTTTTAGTGGTATTTGGATAGCTACTGTCACCATGTAAACAGCTTGATAGCTTGACTGCCTGAGGTGCTTTCATGTTCTGGATAGATGTCAGTTTTCAGGCATTTTCCTGAGATTGAAGTAAGGAACAGTAGAGAAGGAGGACCATACAAATTAAAGGGACGGAAAAGGAAATCTACAAAATTATTTCCTTGAATATTCTCACTGCCATTGGACAATTTAAACAGTCATATAGATTAGCCATGTTCCTTCCTCCCTGCCCCACAATGTAGATGTGTGACTCTGGGAGAGGGGCTTAAGGGTTCCGACATCCAGATGCAAAAAGTGAGTTTAAAATCCCATTTATAAATCCCCCAAAGCCTGCACAAAAATGGCATGAAGTCTAAAGACAGGCAAGCATTTATCATCTGAAGTTATTGACACCCTCTTGCAAGGAGAGGTTGGTTGAATTTTTTTCTCTTCATGAGACATTTTTTGCTGAGACTGTTAAACTGTTTACGGTAAATTGTACTCCCTCTGTGCTCAACACCTGATTTCATATATTGCCCTACACGAGATGTCATCTCCCAGGACACCCTGGAAGAGTTGCTGGGCTCAGCTAAAACAAAACCCGGTTGCTTTGACACAAAACATCTGGTAGAGTGTTTACTTGTCCTATGGCTCTCTTAAATGAATGTACAACATCAGCTGTTCCAGTAAAATTAGTTTCCTAACAATAAATACCTAAATAATTTGATAACCAATTCAGCATTTTCTTAGTATTAAATAAAATATCATTGGTGTAGGCAATTAATACACTTTTAATCTAACATCAACCAGAGTGTTCTTTTAAATAATTTGTTTTTATGCATATCATTTTGGAAATGACAACCTGAAAGTCAATTACACTATTTATATCTATTTATTTAAAAAATACTACTTGAGAGAAAAAAGATTAGTAGTGTTTGTATTTACAACTTTAATAATGAGTTTATATTAATCAACCAGTCTGTAGGTAAATAGGTAATCTAATCATCATTATCTCCTTTCTTTGGGAGCAATTTTTATTTTCTTATTGATTTCGCTGTACTTATTTCTGCATTGGATCAATAGATGTTTAAAACACAGTCTCAAAAACAGAGATGTTATCACTTTTTCTTCAACAGTTTTATCTGCTCTGGTCTAACTTGAAATAAAGTTTAAAGTTTCTACACCAAATTTATGTATCTACATATACTACTAAGTCAAAAACATATGAGACCAGAAACAGAATTTTTCTTAGCTATTCATTTTTCTTAAATCCTGTGCTCCATCAGTTTAATATTTGTTGACAGATTTTTAGCTATCTTGCTCTGTTATTGTTCTAATACACTCACTCACTCAACCCTTCCTCACTTGTCTCAACTGCCACACCCTGCAGATGTCGTTCTAAATTATGCTCCAACCTAAAGCAGACCCTTAGCACTGTTCCATGATGTGTCATTGTCTCTCTGTCCAAATCCTTCTTTATTCTCCATAACCTTCTCTTATTTATACAACAAGCCTTTTAAAAATACCCGGTCCAGGTTAGATGTGACTCTCAGGGGGCTAATAGTCTAGAAGAAGAGACAGGCATCAAACATGCATGGCAGATAAATTGTTACACGGCAGTTGTAATAAGTCATGTTGAGTAAAAGAATGAGGTGCAAGTCTTCTTGCTGAAAGTGGCATTTGAGGGAACATTGAAATGTTGAAAAGAGTTAATTAGACAAAGTCGAGGAGGTCACTTCAGAAATGAAGAACCACTTATGCCAAGCTCTTGAGGCAGAAATGCAATAACATTTAAGAGACCTGTGCTGAAAGCAGGGGCCAGGTTTTCAAGACTATTATTTAGGATGAGCAAAGGGTAGTAATGTACTTCATGCTAAGAGAAATAGAGAGCTCTTAAGGGTATTAAGCAGAGAAGGAACAAGATGAAATTTATTCTGATTGTTAGTGGAGAAATTGGAGCAGGAGTAGGAACACAGGAGCTGCGACAGTGAGAGATGGTGGTGGCTTGGATCAAGGCAATGGCCTTGACAAAACAAGAAATGGAAGAATTGGAGAAATATTGAGTAAGTCGAGTTGAAAAGCATTTTGAGAAAGTTACTGGATATGAAGGCGTAGGCTCTGGAGTGACTGGCAGGTCTGTGCAAGGGCAACCTGACGTCTTCTTGATGCCATTTACAGAGCGAGCAAATGCAGCATGAAGGGCAGCCTGGTGTTTGTGTCTTTCTATAGATTAGAAAAAATAATGGAGCCTAATGAGCATACTGGAAATAGAGAATCCTGGTTCAAATTTGTCACTCATCTGAGGATATGACATCACCACACAGCCGACTTTAGAAAAGTAATCTTAAAGACTTGGGAGGCCACTCAGAACTGCATCAGTGTTACATCAGCGATCTATTACATCAGTGATCATAACAACTGGACACTAGTCTCATTAGCATGTATGTACTTAAAAATCCCAGAGCATTTCCCACAGTGTTCTTCCTACCCTTTTAAAGGTTCCCTCACTCCCTCCAACAACACCGGCTGGGGAAGCTGAAGGCAACTTCCTATGGAGATGGAGAAAAGCAGCTTTCAGGGAAACCTCCAACACGTGATCCTAGAGTCCTTCTCCATTACTGTAGAAGTTTCTATTCAATGTAACCTATTTCATAGATATAGGGACAACTGCGATATTTTCTGCAGACAGTTCCTGTGAGCCATTCAAGAAAGGAAGGCAACTAAGTAGTTGTATGCACCAGTCTAAACTTGGAAGATTTATCCAGTTTGGAGATATGAGTTTATAAGATACAAACTTAGAGATATAAGATGGGAATGATTTTGTTTCTTAAAGAAAGACTTGCACAGCAATTAATATGTCCCAGGCACAATGTGCTTTTACAAATAGAAATTAAACTTCAAAACAACTTCAAACACTAGTGCTATTATTATCCCCATTTTACAGGTAGGAGATACCAAGGAACAGTGGAACAGAGATACCAAGTGACTTTCTTAAAGGCACATAGCTAGCAAGCGGTAGAGCTGGAATTTGAATGCAGGCTGAATATAAAGTTCATGCCTTAATTACTGTGCTTTGCTTTCTAAGGAAAGGGTCAAGACAAAACAAAGAAGGGGGTCTGGGCCACATTGGAAGCAAAGAGCAGCCCTCACCAGATAACCAAACCAGCTGGCATTTTGATCTTGGACTTCCCAGCTTCTAGAACTGTGAGAAAATAAATTTCTGTTCTTTGCAAATTACCCAGTCTGTGGTATTCTGTTATAGCATCAGAAACAGACCAAGACAGCTCTATAGTTAAAAAAAAAAAAGGAAGAGTTCACATATGCACTAATTGGAGACTGTGGCCCTGGGAAAACTGTTGGTGGGCTAAGCCGAAGTGGGTCATCTTATATGATTGGCCAAGGGGAGAATATTTGAATTTCTCTGATTGGTTCTAAGTTGGAAATATAGGCAAAAATCAGGGAGGCTGGTAGTTACTGTTCATGTCCTGACTGCTTTAGATGAACTGCTGGAGAGGTTATGGTTTGGTTTCCTCCATGGGTTGCTGCCAGTGTGTCTCAGAGTTCTATTTTTATCTATGATCTGGCCATTATCCATTTGCGTATTCAGGTTCCCATACCTGCTGTCCATCATTTTCTCACATTCTGGAAAAACACATGCCTTCACTTCTGCGATACCACAACCCTCTTGGGCATACTTATGATCCTTTTTTACCTTCTCCTTCATGGGGGAATCCTTTCTCTGCCTATTAATTTAATTTTGCTGTTAGCCAAATGGCTCATCATGGCTTAGAAGCTTCTTCTCTGTACCTTCATCTCAAATTCTTTGTATTAAATTCTGTGTCCCAGCCAGACTAGACTACAGAAAGTTTCAGCTGACTTGAAACATCTTTCCCATCCTCCATCTGAGTAACTATCTCCTCTTTTTTAAAAAAACCTATTTTAGCTGTTTAAAACCTTAGATATCACCTCCTCTACAAAGCTCTCTGCAAACCCTAAAAAAGTCTATAAGCTTTCATAGTCCCCATTCTTAGGACATTGCTTATAAAGATATTTATCTTATTGTATTTGTCATTGTCTGTTCACATATATTTCCCCCAAACTCCAAACACCTCTAGGAAACGGTTACTGGTATGGTGCCCTGTACAGCAGACAGCTAATAAGTATTTATTGCAATAATGATTTCGTCTGGAACAGAATGTCAGAAATTAGAACAAAGCTCCAGAAGTTTTCAGAATCCTTTGTGAGCTCCAGGAGGGTGGGAGTCAGTGTACTTCACAGAAAGCTTTCTTTTCTAAGTGTGTGGAAGCTTGTCATCAATGTGATGGAAAATCTGATGTTTAAACCATTGAAATGGAAAGCAAATGACTTAATACTATTTTTTGAAACATGCAACCAAATAAGAAGGCAGGTATGTGGTGTGCCCTGAGCCCATGTTGAGGACCAAGAATTGCTGACGGGGCCAGCAAGGCACCTGCCCTTCTGGTTTAGGGCACCTGTCCTTCTTGGGTTTTCTAACCGTAGGATCTGCCAAAATTGAAGGCTCACAATAAGCACTCTATTTACTAGGTTTACTTCATCACACTTATTACAGACAAAAAAAGTATGTATCTTTGTGAAGGGCAAGCACTACTTGTCTTCCATCTCAAAAGTTTTTTAGAAATTTTAAAATGTGTTATCTGAAAATAACTAAAAACTTTTGTCCCAGCACAGAGAATATCCTATGATTTGTTATTTTCAGTGCCTTCTAGATGATTTGAATTGCTTTAGTCCTGTGGTATGAGTCACTCTTGTCAAAAAATTACTCTTCAATTTATTTTGTTTATAGATACAAACAAAAAAGGTAAGAGATCATGTAGTGAGAGCACAATGAACAAGTTGCGTTTCTTCATCCAGGAGCTTGGTTTTAGGAAGAGTTTTACTTCTAAGAGAAGATAGACCTCTGAGAAGAAAAGATCCGCAATATGAATTTCTCTTGGGTGGGTTAATCTGGGCAATGTGGTTGAACTCCACAGTTTCACCCTGTTGTAATCAGCCCGTGAGGTGATGCAGGGAATTAGGAATGTTATTACTTTGCAATGTGCGAGCTCTGCTTCCCTTCTGGCGGTGCTCTGGTTGGTTGTGGACTTTTCTGCTTCACCTTTTTAAGCCGAGACTGTTCAGATATTCTAGAATGACACACACCAGACAGACAACCTGGAGTCAACTTCCTGCACAGAACCAAAGCCACTCCCTGTCAGCTCTCCCTCTGCATCGCTTTACCGTTTCTGGTCCTGGGAATTTCCTGAGTTAGTTCTCCTTGTTTTTCTAGTATTTGAGTCTTTTCAATTCTCATGTGAAATAGATATGGTCTTACCTTGACTTCCAGGCCCTATGGGTTTCTGAGTCCATGACTGTGGTCTAAACTGAAATCTGAGGGCTCACTTTGTCTGTTACTGACTCAGTGACTTGTACTGGTTCAAAAGCCCCGAAGTGCTGTTTTCCATTAGGGTCCTGATAAACATCTCTGCCTTGACCTCGCTTCCCTGGGGTGTCCCCATTTCCATGCCTGCCTCTGCTTTACAGGCCCGGTATTGCCTGCCTCCTTGGCTGGTCTCTGAAATATGCAAATGCCTTGTCAGGACACACTGTCAAAAGTGATTTTCCTGGATAAGAAATTTAAAAGCACAGGATGAGGACTGAGTTAACAACATATTTTTTAAAATCACTTACTTATAATTTTCATCTCAATCATCTCTTTTCTAATTTTTCTATTATAACGTATTTATACATATATTTTATTAATATTTATTTTGTTCTTTTAAACATTGATAAATGTTTGTGAAACAACTGCCTTGAAGGGGTTCTAATGAGTGAGTTTCTGTAATTTATAGATGATTGGCTGCCTGTCAGAGAGCAAAACATGAAGGCAGTTATTTTCTAATAACGTTCCTAAATTATCTGGTATACTTAACGGATAGCAGAATAATGTATTTCTGAGACCTTTTGAAAGCATTCCTCTCTTTTTAAATAAATTGTAAGGTTAAACACAAGAAATCTTGAATTAAAAAATTACACACATACTTATTTTCATTTTCTGTTTTGTGTATTGTGATAATTAGCTTGGGACAACAAGGGCATAAACTTAAATATAATTATCTTAATGACATTGCTAAGAAAGAATATTTAAATTGTTGAATAAAAGATGACTAATTTTATATATGAAGATATTTTTAAGTAAGGGAAAAATAATAAATAGGAAATGTCTTGTACCTAAGCAACATAATTACTTTTTTTTCCCTAAATGATGGGTTTGCCTCTTGACATTTTAAAATCATCAGATATTTCCTTTTTCTGTATTGGATAATCGACACTGTAACACAAGCATAGCTACTTTAACATGAGAATTGAATGACATTATTTACAAATGACTACATATTTAGAATGGTATTCGCTTAATAACTTGTGTGCAGCAAACAGAAAGGTATAGGTAAATTACAAGTGACAAACATCCTTTGTGATAATGAAGAAGACTGATGACTTTACTTCAAAAAAAGCATGTGCTCATGTATGCAATTGATGGATAATAAACACTTTCACACTAATTTTCCTCAGATTAAAATCAATACAGAAAATAATACTGATTATCTGCTGTAAGTTTTACCAAAAAATTGGCACAACTTTCTACTGAAATAAAATGTTAGTTTGTACTTAAAAGTTCAGATATGAAAATCTCTACTTTCCCACTTTGGAATGAAGCATTTTGTGAGTAGCCAAAAGCTAGAACTTCAGAGCAACACCTATTAATTACATCCCTGAACCAGCTGAGTCCATGGCCCAACACCACTGGCAACCAATATGGCACATACTGAGATGCTAAACAGTCTATTGTCAGTGTAAAGCACCGAGAGGAAAGAAAGACACCATGGCAGGGCAGAGCGCTGACCTTCTGGGGTGTGTGCATGTGTGTGTCATGTTTTGAATTGACCACTGTATTTATTTACTTACTTTTAGTAGACTTTATTTTTCAGAACAGTTTTAGATTTATAGAAAAGTTGAGAAGATAGTACAGAGAGTTCTCGTATACTCCCCACACAGTTTCCCCTATTGTTAATATGTTAGAATTTTTATTTTTTGTCATTAATGAACCAATTTTGTTACATTACTATTACCTAAAATCTATACTTTATTCAGATTTTCTGTTTTACCTAGCGTACTATACAGAATATTCCTTTTTAGGATACCATGCAGAATAGTCTATTTCGTTTTCATGTCTCCTTAGACCCTTCTTGGCTGTGACAGTTTCAAAGACTTTCCTAGCTTTTAATGGCATTGACAGTTTTGAGAAGTACTGGTCTAGTATTCTGTAGGATGCTTCTCTATTAAAATCTGTCTTTTTGGGTGTCATGATTAGACTGGGATTATGGGTTCGGGGCAGGAAGAGCCCAGAGATAAAGTATCATTTTCACTACGTCATCTCAAGGGTACGTAATATCAACAGGGTTTATCACTGGATGTTCTTGCCCACCTGGCTGGGTAGTGTCCATCAGGATTTTTCACTGTAAAGTTAGTTACTCTCTTCCTCCCTCCTTCATTCTCTACTCTTTAGAAAGCAGTCACAATGCACAGACCACGCAGAGGGGGTGGGGATTTGTGATTCTCCACTGAGGGTGCAGTATCTACACACATTATTTAAATTATTCTGCAGGAGAAATTTGTTCTTTCTCTTCATTTATTTATGTAATAATTTTTATCACTATGCCTGATAGATATTTATTTTATATTTTGTATTATGATCCAATACTACCTTATCCATTTTCTAACTCAAATTTTTCCCACTGGCCATTGGAAGCTCTTTCGTTTGGCTCCTGTCTTTGACATAACAACCATAACTGCAGGAATTTTTTTTAGCACTTTCCTACTTTTCAGAGATACAAGATGTTCCATGCTTATCTTGTATATTTCCTGCCCCAATCCTAGAATTAGCCATTTCTCCACTGATCCCTGGGTCTTTTTCTTTGAGAATCATTCAGAAACAGTTTTTAGTTTTTTTCACATAACATATTTTCAAATCTCTAACGAACTTTTGAGATGGAAGACAGGTATTGCTTTCCTTGGTTGATACCACTATATTACTATATATAATACATTTATCTGTCTGTCTGTCTGCTGTAATATGTATTGTGAAATAAATTTGGTAAACGGAGTGCTTATTGTGAGCCGTTAATTTTGGCAGGTCCTTAAGGTTAGAAAACCAGAGGGAGCATAAGCCAGAAGAGCAGGTGCCTTGGTGGCCCTCTCAGCTCTCTTTGGTTTTCAACCTGGCCTCAGGGCACACCACATACCTGCCTTCTCATTGGGTTCCACATTTCAAAAATAGTTTAAAGTCATTTGCTTTATATTCCAAATATTTAAATGTCAAGTTTCCATCTCATTGACGATGAGTGTCCATAAGCTTAGAAAGAAAGCTTTCTATGAAGTGTACCTTTTCCCACTGTCTCCAGCTGACAAAGGATTCTACAAACCTCTGGAACTTTGCTTTACTTTATTGTATTCTGTTCTGGATCAAATTATTATCGCAATAAATACTTATTGGCTGTCTGCTGTACAGAGCACTATACTGGTGACTCTTCCCAAAGGTGCTTAGAGTTTGAGGAAGAAAATATAGGTTAACAGATAATGACAAATACAACGACATAAATATTTGAAAGGCAGTGTCCTAAGAGTGGGGACTATGACAGTTCATGGGCATTTTGCAGGTTCACAGAAAGCTTTCTGGAGGAGATGATATCTAAACTGAGATTTTCAAATAAAGAGGAGGTAGCGACTTAGAGGATGAGAAAGATGTTTCAAGTCAGTTGCAACTTTGTGTAGCTCAGTCTCATGGAACAGAATTCAATACAAAGAATTTGAGATGAAGCTGAAGAGAAGAAGGTTCCAAGCCATGATGAGCTATTTGGCTCACAGCAAAATCAAATTAATAGGCAGAGAAAGGATTTTCCCATGGAGGAGAAGGTAAAAAGGAATCAAAAGTACACCCAGGAGGGTTGTGGCATCCTAGAAGTGAAGGAAAGGGTTTTTCCATAATATGAGAAAATGATGGACAGCAGGTATGAGAAACTGAATACACAAATGGACAATGGCCAGATCATAGATAAAAATAGAACTCTGGGCCACGCCATCAGCAACCACTGGAAGAAGCCAAACCATAATCTCTGCAGCAGTTGGGTTCAAAACAGCCAAGACATGAACATTAGCTGCCAGCTTCCTTGATTTTTGCCTGTATTTCCAACTTAGAACCATTCAGAGAAATCCAGTTATTCTCCCTTCATAGTTATTTGGGGTCTTTTGTGGTTCCATATAAATTCTAGGATTTTTTATTTTTCAATCAGTTAAGAAAGTCATTGGTATTTTGATATGGATTCCACTGAGTTTCTAGGATGCTTTGGGTAGTATAGCTAGTCAGTTTAACAATATTAATTCTTCCAATCCATTACATGGGATGGCTTTCCATGTTTTTTGTGTTCTCTTCAATTTCTTTCATCAGCGTTTTGTAATTTTCACTGTAGAGATTTTTTTTATATTTTTGATTAATTTTATTAGTTTTTTTGTCGGTATTATAAATTGGATTGCTTTCTTATTTTTTCAGTTGTATTGATATATAGAAGCACTACTAATTTTCATGTGTTAATTTTGTGTCTCGCCACTTTACTCAATTTATTTATCAGTTCTAAGAGTTTTTTTGGTGTAGTCTAGGTTTGTCTACATAGAAGATCATGTCATCTGCAAACAGATCATTTGAATTCCTTCTTTCCAGTTTGGATGTCTTTTGTTTTTGTCTCTTGCCTGATAGCTCTGTCTAGGACTTCCAGTACTATGTTGAATAAGGGTGGTGAAAGTGGTCATCCTTGTGTTTTTCCAGTTCTTAAAGAAAAACCTTATAGCTTTCCTGTGTTTAGCATGATGTTAGCTTTGGGTTTATCATGGATGACCTGTATTTTGTTGATATAGTTTCCTTTCATATCTAATTTGTTGAGAGGTGTTGTTTTTTTTTTTTCATCACAAAGAGATGTTGAGTTGTACTAAATGCTTTCTCTGCATCTATTGAGATGATCATTTAGTTTGTGTTCTTCACTCTGTTGACGTGATGGATCACATTTGTTGAATTGCGTGTGCTGGACCACCCTTATATCCCTAAGGATGAATCCCTTGATCATGGTGTATAATCTTTTTGTTGTGCTGTTGGATTTTGTTTGCTAATATTTTTTGACGATTTTCACATGTATGTTCTTCACAGATATTGGCGTTTTGTGTGTTTTTGGTTTTGTCCTTATCTGGTTTTGGTAATGCTGCCCTTATAGAATGAGTTAGGGAGAATTCCCTCCTCTTCATTATTCTGGAATAGTTTAGGAAGAAATAATGTTAGTTCTTTATAAGTTTGGGGGAATGCAGGAGTAAGGCCATCTGGTCCTCAGGGATTTTTTTGTTCTTGTTTTTAGGTGACTTTTCCTTACTGACTCAATCTTGTTAGGTGTTATTGTTCTGTTCAAGTTTTCTATTTCTTCCTGGTTCAATCTCAGGAGGTTGTATGTGTCCTGAAACTTACCCATTTACTCTAGGTTTTCAAATTTACCAGCGAATAATTGTTCATCGCAGTCTCTAGTGATCCTTTATATTTCTATGGTATCAGTTTTAATGTCTAATTTTGTGTTTTGGATTTTATTTGTTTGGCTCTTCTCTCTTTTTTTCTTAGTCTAGTTAATGGTTTTTTGCTTTTGTTTATCTTTTCAAACAACCAACTTTTTGTTTTGTTGATTTTCTTTTTTAAAATAAAGACAGGATCTCATTCTGTCACCCAGGCTGGAATGCAGTGGCACACTCTCAGCTCACTGCAGCCTCAACCTCTTGGGCTCAAGCGATTCTCCCACCTCAGTCTCCCAAGTAGCTGAGACCAGAGGAGTGCACCACCATGCCCAGCTAATTTTCTTTAAATTTTTTAAATTAAAAAAATTTTTTTTCTTTTTGAGATGGAGTCTTGCTCTGTCCCCCTGGCTGGAGTGCAGTGGTATGATCTCGGCTCACTGCAACCTCTGCCTCCCGGGTTCAAGCGATTCTTGTGCCTCAACCTCCTGAGTAGCTGGGATGAGACGCGACTGCTACTATGCCCGGCTAATTTTTGTATTTTTAGTAGAAATTGGGTTTCTCCATGTTGGCCAGGCTGGTCTCAAACTCCTGACCTCAAGTGATCTGCCCTCCTCGGCCTCCCAAATTGTTGGGCTTACAGGCATGAGCCACTGGGCCTGGCCTTGTTATCTGTTGCATTGTTTTTTCAGCCTCTATTTGTTTAGTTTTCTTCTGATCTTTCTTATTTCTTTTCTTCTACTGATTTTTGGTTTGGCTCATTCTTGTTTTTCTAGTTCCCTGAGGTGCATCATTAGATTATTTATTTAAAATCTCTCTACTTATCTGATGTAGGCATTTATTGCTCTAAACTTTCCTCTTAGTACAGCATTTGCTGTATCTTATACGTTTTGGTATGTTGTATTTCTACTTTTATTTGTTTTGAGAATTTTTTTATTTTCTTCTTAGTTTCTTCATTGACCCAATGGTCACTCAAGAGATGTTGTTTAATTTCCATGTATTTGTACAGTTTCCAAAGTTTCTAGTATTGATTTCTAATTTTATTTTATTGTGGTCTGAGAAGATACTTAATATGATTTCAATTTTTAAATTTGTTGTGACTTTTTTCTGGCCTAACATATGGTCTATCCTGGAGAACATTCCACATGCTGATGACAAGACTATATTCTGTAGCTGTTCAATGAAATTGCTTGTATCTTAATTATTTTATTTCTTTTGCTTGTTTCGAATTTATTTTGTTCTTCTCTTTGCAGGATCTTAACACTGTAGCTTAGATTATTGAGTTGAGATGAATGTATGCATTTATTGTTACAAATTTTCCTCTCATAGCCTTAGCTGTGTTGCACAAATTTTGGCATGCTGCATTTTCATTTTCATTCTGTGTTTTTAAAATTTTCCTTAAGACTTTCTTTTTGATCCAAAGGTTATTTACAAGCGTATCATTTAGTTTGCAATAACGTGAAGATTTTTCTTGTCATCGTTCTCTTATTGAGTTCTACTTTTATTCTATTTTGGTAAAGAAATGCTGTGTCTGATTTTAGTTCTTAAAAATTTGTTGAGGCTTGTTTTATGACTCAAAATATGGCATATCTTGTTACGTATTTTGTGGAAGTATAAAGAAAGCATATATATTTTGTTGTGGTTGAGTGAATTGTTTTATGGATGTTGATTTGATCTTTTTGGTTGACAATATTGTTGAGTTCTTTATCCTTCTAGATTTTCTCTTCAATTTTGTGAAAGATGAGTCTTGAAGCCTTCACTATAACTGTGGTGTTTGTCTGTTATTTCTCATTTCAGTTGATCAGTTTTTGCTTCACATATTTTGTAGGACTGTTGTTTACAGTGTATAAATGCATACGCATTTATGACTTTTATGTTTTCTTGATGTATGGCCCTTTACCACTGTATAATGATTCTTTCTGCCTCTAGTGATCTTTCTTTCTAAAGTCTACTTTATCTGATACTAATATAGCCATTCCTGCTTTTCTTTGCTTAATGTTTGTGTTAAATATCCTTTTCCATCCCTTAAATTTTAACTTGCCTTTATCATGATATTTAAATGCAATTCTTTTTTTTTTTTTTTTTTTTTTGAGACGGAATCTTGCTCTGTCGCCCAGGCTGGAGTGCAGTGGCCCAATCTTGGCTCACTGCAAGCTCCGCCTCCCGAGTTCATGCCATTCTCCTGCCTCGGCCTCCCGAGTAGCTGGGACCACAGGTGCCCGCCACCATGCCCGGCTAATTTTTTGTATTTTTAGTAGAGACAGGGTTTCACTGTGTTAGCCAGGATGGTCTCTATCTCCTGACCTTGTGATCCGCCCGCCTCGGCCTCCTAAAGTGCTGGGATTACAGGCGTGAACCACCGCACCCGGCCATGCAATTCTTACAGACAGCTTAGAGTTGGGTAATGGTTTTCAGTCCACTATATTAATCTCCATTTTAAGTTGGTGTGTTTAGTATTCTTATATGCAATTTAACTATTAGTGCTTTATAGTTTAACTCTACCATTTTGTTTTGTTTCTCTGCTTTTAATACTTTGTTTTATTTTTTCCTGCTCTCCTATGGCTTAACTGAACAATTTTTAGTATTTCATTTTGATTTGCTTGTGGTGTATTTGAGTGTATCTCTTTGCATAGCATTTTTAGTCATTGTTCTAGATGTTATATATACAGAACTTATCATAGTGTCTGCTGTAATTTTAGTGAGAGTGAAGTATAGAAAAGTAACTTGCCATTAAGTCCTGTTATGTGCTAAACTGTGTCTCCCAACTATTCATATGTTGAGATCCTACCCTCCAGTATCTAAATGTGATTATAATTGGAGATAAGGTCACAAGAGTGGTGATTAAATTTAAATGAAGTCATTTAAGGTAGACCCTAATCCAATATGACCAGTGTCCTTAAAAGAAAGGAAATTAGAACACAGACACTCATAAAATAAAGACAGTGTGAAGACATAGGGAGATGATGGCCATTGGCAAGCCCAGGAGGGAGGTCTCAAAAGAAATCAACTCAGCCAGGTGCGGTGGCTCATGCCTGTGATCCCAGCACTTTAGGAGGCTGAGATGGGTGGATCATGAGGTCAGGAGTTTGAGACCAGCCTGACCAACATGGTGAAACCCCATCTCCACTAAAAATACAAAAATTAGCCGGGAGTGGTGGTGCACGTCTGTAATCCCAGCTACTCAGGAGGTTGAGGCACAAGAATCACTTGAACCCAGGAAGCAAAGGTTGCAGTGAGCTGAGATTGCACCACTGCATTCCAGCCTGGGAGACAGAGCGACACTGTCTCAAAAAAAACAAAAAAAAAAAAGAGAGAGAAAGAAACTAACTCAGCTGGTACCTTGATCACAGCATCCTGGACTCAAAAAATGTGAGAAAATAAAATTCTGTTGTTTAAACCACCCAGTCTGTGGTACTTTGACTTAACTGATAGCATAAGGTACTTAAAATACTCTATTCCTGATTCATTATTTGTGTATTAAGCATAACAGCATGTTTCAGTTGCTGTTTCTTCTCATCAGTGTTGGCAGAGTTGGTGAGGGAATGCAGACTGCCAGGACAAATACAAATGTATTTATAAAACTCACATCTTTTGGATGTAGCCCTTCAGAGGTATTAATCTCATAAAAAGCTAATCAAAGAATAAAGATGAATCTTTGAGTCTCAAAAGGAATACAAAAAAACTCAATATTTTATTTTCTTATTTGAAGCTTTAAGTTTCAGCATAATATAAAAGAACAAAATTACTATCACCTGAGAATCTAAAGCAAAGAAGTTGTTAAAAGTAAGCATAAATATTTGGACTAATTTGATATTTATGTATGTATTTAGAGACAGAATCTCACTCTGTTACCCAGGCTGGAACGTGGTGGTTCAATCAGAGCTCATTGCACCCTTGAACTCCTGGACACAAGCTATCCCCTTGCCTCAGCCTCCCAAGTAGCTGGGACTACAGACATGCCCCACTATACCTAGCTAACTTTTTAGAAATTTTTGTGGGGACAGGGTCTTACTATGTTGCCCAGGCTGGTTTTGAACTTTTGGACTCAAGCAATCATCCCGCCTTGGCCTCCCAAAGTGTGGAGATTACAGACCTAAGCCACTGTGCCTGGCCCATATTTGATTTGAAATTACCTTGAGTATCATTTTTCCTCAAGCAAATTTGTGCATTAATTTTGCGGCCCAATAGAGGTGAAAGAAAACTGAAAACATTGCAAGGTGTATCTGTCATGTGAAATATGTTTGAAAATATAGTTGATTCATAAAGCGAGATAAAAGACAATGTGGAGATAAGTTATATATACTTACCATGTTAGTTTTCCATTGTGGCCACAACAAATTACCCAAAATTTATGCTTAAAACAATACCCATTAATTATACCTTCATTTCTGTGGGTCAGAAGCCTGGGCATGGTGTGGCTGAGCTGGTTCCTCAGCTTCGGGGCTCACAGTACTAAAATCACGGTGTCATCAGGGCTTAGTTCATTGTTCATGGCTTAGAGGAAGAATCTCCTTACCAGATCATTTGGATTGTTGGCTAAGTTCAGTTTCTTACATTCTAGGGCTGAGCTTACCACTTCCTTGCTTTGCTTTGACAGGCTGCCCACCTTCCTCCCCATGCTCCTTTGGTGCCCCCTTTAGCAAGGATGAGCTGAGTTCCTCGGATTCTTTGGATCTTTCTGACATCTCCTTTTCTGCCAGAGAAAGTTCTCTGCTTTTAAGGGTTTATGATATGACATTGGACTTGTTTGGTCATCCATATAACCTTCCTATCTTAAAGTCCGTAATCTTAATTATAGCTGATATATATATATATATCAGCTATAATTAGCTGATATATATATATATTATATATGCTATATAGCTCTATATATATATGCGCAATATATAAGACTATATTTGTCTTATAGTGAAACATCTTCACGGGTTCGTGGGATTAAGATGTGGACATTGTTGGGGAGCTATCCTTCCAGACATGCATTCCAAAGAGAGAGACATGTTCTAGTTCCATATTCTTTTCTTCTTCTTAATGGGAAAAACTGGAAAGGAAACCGCAGTTTGCTATGTTTCTCATAAATTACTCTAATTCTTTATGGAACAGGATAATAATAAAAATTAACCCAAATACAAATGCAATAATTACTATAGATCTAACAATAAGCATACAATGTAAGCATTAAAATGGCCTAAAAATGTGGTGATCAAATAGATCTGGTAAGAAATTTTAAACTCCTGAAGCTTCTTAAATCTTTATTCAATCACCAGAAGATCATGTCATCTTAACAAAGTCTCTAAACTATGCTTCTTGTTGTTTGACTAGCAGAAGATATCTCATATAAGTTTTAAAAGCCGCAGTAAACTTATGTATAGTGTTTTCATTACATAAGACACTCATGGTATACTGTTTAGAAATATCATCTTTGCTGCACACCAGATGTAGCTAACTAGAAACAAACAAACCACAAATGGTCCTGAATAGAGCATGATTTATATTGAATTACATAATTTGTAAAGTGAGTATGCTATTTTATTGTAAAGGTAAATCCTAAATTAAATAAATGAAGTATTTATGATATTCTACATTAAAAAATCAAACTTCAAACACAATCTGTAATAGGTTGTTAAAGTAATAAAATATATCATGTTTTATATATTATCTAATTTGATTATATACATATTTTAAGCATACTCCATTTGAATTTATCATAAAGGACTGAAATATTTGGAAGCTTATTTTGTTCTCTCTCAAACCTATAACATCTCCTAAATTACTTCATCTTAATTAAAGTTTTAGCACACAGAAGTGGATATATTAACCCGAAGCAGAATTTCTTTTATCTTATAGTGACTATAGTGATTAAGAAGGCCTGGCCTGGTGCAGTGACTCACGCCTATAATCCCAGCATTGTGGGAAGCCAAGGTGGGCAGGTGACTTGAGGCCAGGAGTTTGAGACCAGCCTGGCCAACATAACAAAACCTCATCTCCACCAAAAGTACAAAACTATTCAGGCGGGGTGGTTCATGCCTGTAGTTCCAGTTACTTGGGAGGCTGAGACAGGAGAATTGCTTGAACCTGGGAGGCAGAGGTTGCAGTGAGCTGAAATCATGCCACTGTACTCCAGCCTGGGCCACAAAGAGAGGCTCTGTCTCAAAAATAATTAAATTAAATTAAATTAAAATTTTAAAAGGCCTTAACATTTCCATTACCTTGACTAAACTTTAAATAGGTTTCTTTCTGACTACAGGCACCTGATCTTCCTCTTCTTGGGACATTTATTTTAGAAAACTTGAAACTCTAAATTCCTTGCTTTAAGGAAATCCCTTTGAGATGTAATACTTTTTAGAAGCTTGTTAGTCATTTTATGACACCAGAATGTGTTTCTGAAGGGCCTGGGAGCCTTCCCTGAAATGGAATCATCAAGGAAAACATGGCTTCCATCTCCCAGTCTCTGTGGGAAGGTAGGGGCCTAGCTCTAATAAGCACCAAATAGTAAACAGAGATGGCTTGACCACAGTGACCAGCCTGCACCCTAATGTCCTCCAGGACTTTCCCAGAAATTCACGCCAGCACTTGAAATCCTCCCAGCAGTTTCTTTCAGTGGAGTTGAACTCAGTTTCTCTCCCCTATCAAAATAACCTTGAATAAAGTTTCCCCTGCCTGTTTAACTTGCCTGGTGCAATTTTTCTTTGATAATAGAAAAAAAATTAAATTTTATTTCAATGGAAATAGAACTCCAATAATAGTATTGGGAGACAAGAAATATAACATCATAGGGGACATAATACATCCAAAAAAATCATATTAGAATTCAAAGTTATGTGCTGTGGAGAAACAGAGGTTTCAAGTCTTATAAAAATGTTGCAGGAGAGGGGTCCTGATCCAGACCTCCAGAGAGGGTTCTTGAATCTCACGCAAGAAAGAATTCAGGCCAAGTCCACAGAGTAAAGTGAAAGCAAGTTTATTAAAAAAGTAAACAAATAAAGCAATGGCCACTCCATAGACAGAGCAGCCCTGAGGGCTGTTGGTTGCCCATTTTTGTGGTTATTTCTTGATGATATGCTAAACAAGGGATGGACTATTCATGCCTCCCCTTTTAAGACCATATAGGGTAACTTCCTGACATTGCTGTGGCATTTGTAAACTCTCATGGCGCTGATGGGAGTGTAGCAGTGAGGACGACAAGACGTTACTCTTGTGGCCATCTTGGTTTTGGTGGGTTTTGTCCAGCTTCTTTACTGCAACCTGTTTAATCAGCAAGGTCTTTATGACCTGTATCTTGTGCCGACTTTCTACCTAATCCTGTGACTTAGGATACCTTAACCATCTGGAAATGCAGCCCAGTAGGTTTTAGCCTTATTTTACTCAGCTCCTATTCAAGATGGAGTTGCTCTGGTTCACAGGCCTCTGACAAAAACATCTCTCCCCAGTTTCCCAAAGAATAGACAGAGTAAAATAATCAAATATTTTGTTGTTAAACATAACTAGTGCTTTAGCATTTCAAAAATAATGATCCTTGTTAAAAGGCAGCTTTTTAAGGTTCAAGAGAATTTAAACTATTTCTCTTACTAATAGACTTTTTTTTTTTTTTTCCAATTCCTTGGATACTCTTGGGCTATCAGTGTTACTAAGATACAGTTAAAGAAAAAGAAGAAGGAAAAAAAAAAAAAAGCCCGACCCTTGAAAAAGGTTAGCTTAACACTACAGAGATTCTTATTCCTTGTTTCACTATAGAATTAAATTAGATTGAAATTGTTACCTTCTCTTTTTTTTTTCCTGAACATAGAGAAAGAATGTTAAGCTAATCCAGGATTGCTGCTCTTCAGTGTTTTGCAACCTTCCGTTTGCAGCAAGGGCAAAGGTCTAGGCATTGAGATTCTGAAGGGAATCTGCATGACATTGTTAGCAATGGGCAAATGATCTGAAACTCCCCACACAGCCCATACCACTCTGATTAAAGCTTGGCATTTGTTTTCCTGTTCTTTGGAGCAGACAGCATGCTGCCCGGAATTAGAAATATGAAAGACAGAGGAACTTCACACTGTGCAGAGAATGTTTCTTGCTCTCCTATTTTCATAAGGCAGATGAGTCGCCAAACTTTCTTCAAAAATAACTTGGATCACTCAAATGTAAGGATAGATTTCCTCAATATTATCTTTCTATAACATCCCACTCCATGCTCCTGAAATCCTTATGTGGCTATCCCTTCTTAGTTCCATTTAATAAAGGAATATTTCAATTGTCTTAAAGTATTAATGAAGAGATTTTGTTTTCTACAAAGTGTCACTCCTCTGTAACTCTTATGGTTGCTCTATGATTTGAGATGATTTGCTATTGATTAAAGACAACACAAAAAGTATTTTTATAAAACTATGTATGTACAGCACAGTACTACTATAATGATCCAATGAATTCTTCTTGCCTGCTGCTCACATAGAGTCAATTTATCAAGACAGACGATTGCAATGGAGAAAGAGTTTAATGTACACAGAGCTGGATAAATGGGAGACTAGAGTTTTATTATTACTCAAAACAGGCTCCTGAAAATTTGGGGACTGGGATTTTTAAGGAATCATTTGGCAGGTAGGGGGCTAGGGAGTGAAGAGTGCTGATTGGTTGGGTTGGAGATAAAATCATAGGGAGTCAAAGTGAGTTCTTCTTGCTGTCATATGTTCCTGGGTGAGATCCCAGAACTAGTAGATTCAGATTACCAGCCTGGTTAGCACCAGCTGGTGCATCAGAATGGAAGGTCTGAAAAATATCTCAAGCACCAATATTAGGTTTTATAATAGTGATGTTATCCATAGGAGCAAATGAGGAGGTTAGGGATCTTGTGGCCTCTGGCTGCATGACTCTTAAACCATAATTTCTAATCTTGTGGGTAATTTGTTAGTTTTACAAAGACAGTCTTGTCCAAGGCTAATTTGTTACTTTTACAAGGGCTGTCTCGTCCCTTTGTGTCTGGTAAGAGCTACCATCTTTGTTTCAAAACTAAACTGTAAACTAAATTCCTCCTATAGTTAGTTCAGCTTATGCCTAGGAATGAACAAGGGCAGTTTGCAGGTTAAGGCAAGATGGAGTCTGTTAGGTCAGATCTTTTTCACTGTCATAATTTTCTCGTTATAATTTTTGCAAAGGTGGTTTCAGTAAAATTAGCATCTAGGCATCTAGAGTAGGTATATAAACATTGACAGTGCCTAACCCTGCCAGGGTCTTTTTGTCACCTATAATATTAAGAGAATATGATGGAGTCTATTTGCTTGAACTTTCACTGCAAGATGACTGAATTCTGGGTGTTATGTGAAAATTCCTCAAAATTCATCATGCTTAGATTTATAATTGTATTTTTCATATAATTAGTATCATTGACCTTGTAATGTTATTTGGTCATTGATTGATTATTAGAATAAAATAAAGTTGCTTGTATTACAAAAATTGCATCTGCTACTCATAGCTATTGCTTCAGTTTTGTTAGTAATCTCCCCAAGCCAAGCAGCTATGAAGTAGGGGAGCCAGGAGTTGAATGTTGGCATCCCAACTCCAGAGGCCCATGCACCTAACAGTGAGACTTCGTAGCCGTCTTTTAGGTTGTGTTTTGAAATACTTTCCTATTTAAAAAGGCATATTGGAATACAAGTAAATTCAAGAGACAGTCTTGAATGTACTATAATTTACATAAGCATAAGTCACTCACAAGCTATAGCCTCATAATTACAGGTTCCTTACAACACACCCCTGATTCAAAAACCTGTAAGTAGGAACTGATACTCATTTATGGCAATTGTTCCCATGACTGAGCTAATTAAGGTGCTGTTTTCCTAAGGGACCCTTTGGATGCTCTCACAGCACTCTGGCATCCACTCTACTTTTCCTTCCCTGACTTTGATACTAGAGCCTCCTGGCCACACATAATGAGTGCTGTCTTAGTGATTTCTGCAACCTGTTCTGTTATGCATCGATCTGTTTCCTGCTGCCTCCATTATCAAAGCCCTTGACAAAGAAATACTTACCTTCCTTCTGATGATAGCACCATGGTTTTGGCTAAATGGAAGGGTATCCATTAGGATATCCAGCAAACTCTTCTTAGATTTTTTTTTCTCCTGATTTACTCCTCAGATCGGTCCCTTAAATGCCAACACTACAGCTTTGAGTCTCGGTATTAAAATCTGGCTTGGCACATGAATGACTTTGATTCTTACTTGCCTAACACAGGGGAGATAAAATTGTTCTTTCCTGAAATCATTATCATATAGAGTAAAGCCAATCCAACCTATGTGATTTCATATGTAGAGAATCCAAATTGTTGCTGAACTCTACTTTGCCTTTCAAGAAACCATTGATAGAATCTGAGGGTAACAAGTTTATTATTCCCTTCTACATACTGACCCTACATCTTCTTTAAGTTCATCACTCAAGAAAATTTTATAAACTTTATTAGTTGTCCCATCCAGTGTCTTTTAACCTGGAACCTTAAAGAGTACACAGATGGGCTTCAAGTGGCCTGCAAACTTTGTGAAATTACATGCAAAATATTAATCACATATGCATATGCATGTTTTTATGGAGATGAGTTTGATAACGTTTATCATATTCTCTGAATGATTAGTGACTACAAAATTAAGGATTACTACAACACTTATAGAATAAATGAAGGAAATGGGCAGGACTATGAATAACACCTTTTCCACATCAGCCAATAACAGTTCAAGTTAGACTGCATATGCATCCTCTAAGCTTTCAACTGGCTATAACTCTTCTACTGCCAGCGGTGCTATCAACAAAATATTCTCAAACACACTTCCGTCACAAGATAATTAGTTCTTGAATACACTGCAAAAACATATTCTTTATGGCATATCTAGGCTCATAAAGAAGTGACGTAAATGTCCCAAGGGAGAAAAGAAGCAAACAACAAAAAAGTAAACTAAGAGAATGGAAAGTAGTTAGTAAATGCTAAACTCAAGATTGTCTTTGAGACATAGATGAGTTTCAGCACCGAGATTAAAACATGAAGCTTCAGCCCACAGCAAAGTTCTGTTGGTGCTATGGATTGAATTGTGTGTCCCACCCACTCCCCAAATTCATACATTGAAGCACTAACTCTGAGTGTGACTGTATTTGGAGACAGGACCTTTAGGAAGTAATTAAGGTTAAATGAGGTCATAAGGGTGGGACCCTAACCCAATAGGATAAAATCTCTTCTGAGAAGAGCCAAGAGGGTGGGAGGGTACGAGGGGACACCGCTCTCTCTCTCTCTTTGCATCTCTGTTCCTCTCTCTCTTTGCATCTCTATTTCTCTCTCTCTTCCCACACTTCACTCTACCTTGTAAAGACACAGAAAGAAGGTGGCCGTATGTTACAAACTAAGAAGACAGCCTTCACCAAAAACCGGCCCTACCAGACCTTCACCTCACACTCCACAGCCTCCAGAACTGTGAGAAAGTAAATTTTTGCAATTTAAGCTACCCAGTCTAATTGTTTAAGGAAGGCTGAGCAGATGAATACAGTTGGTTTCTCTAGGACACCAATATGTACCCAAAATAACTGGCCAATGCAGTGTCAGGTCAATCAACAATCTGGCACCACACAGAAGCAAGTACATTTTTTTTTTTTCCAGGAGGTAAACTCCAACTTTGTTCCATGGATTTCTAAGAATTAGTTTAATTAAATATGAGTTAACAGTCAAATATCACCAAAAACATAAGAAATCCAGTTACAATAAGTGAGAGTCATTAGGAAAAATAAACAGATTTAGATTCCCAAGGACTGTAGATATTAAAAGTTAGTAAATAAATCATCCACATATGAAATATTTAAAGTAATAAAAGATAGCATAAAACAACAAGCAAGAAACAAAAGATTACCAACAATTAAGAAGAATTGGAAAATAACTGAAAACAACCTTAAGAAATTAGAAAAATATATATAGGAGGAAGTGAAGGATAGATTAGACCAAAAGACAGAGTATTAGTAAAGAAACATTTCTGAAGGAATTAGGACAAATGAAAAGTGTGACATGAAGAAAAGTGTTACTTAAAGGGACATTTTATACGTTTGAATGTTTCTGTAAAAGAAGAAAGGCTGGAAAATCAAGGCTAACCATTTAACAGGTAAAGATTAATAGAAAATGAAAAGAAACATAGAAGAAGTAATGTAATCGCATTAAAAACAATCTATAAATAACGGCCGGGTGTGGTGGTTCACGCCTGTAATCCCAGCACTTCGTGAGGCTGAGACGGGTGGATCACAAGGTCAGGAGATTGAGACCATCTTGGCCAACATGGTGAAACCTTGTCTCTACTAAAGATACAAAAATTAGCTGGGCGTGGTTGTGGGCGCCTGTAGTCCTAGCTACTCGGGAGGCTGAGGCAGGAGAATCACTTGAACCTGGGAGGTGGAGGTTGCAGTGAGCCGAGATCATGCCACTGCACTCCAGCCTGGGTGACAGAGCAAGACTCCATCTCAAAAAAAAGCAACAAAACAAACAAACAAAAAACAAAAACCAAACCAATCTATAAATTACATGGAATAGGCTGGGTATGGTGGCTCACGCCTGTAATCCCAGCACTTTGGGAGGACAAGGTGAGCAGATCACTTGAGGTCAGGAATTCAAGACCAGCCCGGCCAACATGGTGAAACCTCGACTCTACTAAAGATACAAAAAATTAGCCGGGTGTGGTGGCATGTGCCTTTAATCCCAGCTACTCAGGAGGCTGAGGCAGGAGAATCACTTGAACCCAGGAGACGGAGGTTGCAGTGGGCTGGGATCGCGCCATTTCATTCCAGCCTGGGTGACAGGGCGAGACTCTGTCTCAAAAAGAATATATATATATATATATATATATATATATGTATATTTTTTGTGAATTTCTACATCTGGCTATACTTATTCCCTTTTATTTACTTCTTTTTGTTTAATTTATTATTTATTTTCTATTTGTTTCTTAGTTTTAGTGCCATCGCTTTTATTTTCCATTTTTATTCTTTAATTACAGAGCCTTCTACAACTATTTCTTTCTGAACACAGTTCTTATAGTATGAATATTTGTTTATACATAATAATTTAGGAGCAAGTTTTTAAATATCAAAATAATCTATTTGGTCACCTTTATATTACACACGTGTATTTTTTGTTTGGTCAATGAGGTTATTATTGTTATCTTTTATCTGAACTATATTACATATTTCTAATTTATTGGATTCCACCAAAGAAATTAGACTGGAAAATGTGTACTTTGTTAAATTGTTCTTTGTAGCAAAGTATGTTAACTTTTTAAACATTTAATAGACTCATTAAAGCAGGTGCATACTCATTCACACATTTCAAGGGTCTACTTATCTATTAATTCAGATTTGTTTATTGTACTATTCCAGATTTCTGAAGAGGGGTACTAAAATCCCCTTCTGGAGGTCTATTTTTCCTGAGTGTTCTTTGTTTAGATAAGAGTTGGTGTTTTATGTAAACAACTAGTCTCCTCTTTTGGGTATTGTGACTGCTACATTTCCTTCACTGAGGGTGCCTGTTATTTCCTCACTATATGATGTCTCTTTATCATGTTTAGTGCTTCTGACCTTAATCTAATTTTGTCTGATTTTACTATTCTCATTTATACTTTGTTTTAATTTTCTTGATATCTATTTGTCCATCCCACTATTTAAGCCTTTCTTTATTGATAGTTTCTTTTCAATGTAGTTCTTAAAAAGAGTTTCTTTATTTTATTTTATTTTATTTTTGAGATGGAGTCTTGCTCTGTCGCCCAGGCTGGAGTGCAGTGGAACAATCTTGGCTCACTGCAAGTTCTGCCTCCTGGGTTCACGCCATTCTCCTGCCTCAGCCTCCAGAGTAGCTGGGACTAGAGGTGCTCAGAACCGCGCCTGGCTAATTTTTTTTGTATTTTTAGTAGAGACGGGGTTTCACTGTGTTAGCCAGGATGGTCTTGATTTCCTGACCTCCTGATCTGCCTGCCTCAGCCTCCCAAAGTGCTGGGATTACAGGCGTGAGCCACCGCACCCGGCCAAAAAGAGTTATTTTTTAAGCCAATGTAACAATTTGCCTCTGAATAGAATTACTTTTTTTTGCTTACAATATGCATGAAGCCCAATACATTTGATTTTATTCTCTGTTCTTACCTTGTTTCTTGCTGATGCTACTTTGGGCTTCCACATCCTTTTTTGGGGGTGGGGGCAGGGCTGGTTAACATAGCTCTTTAATTCATTTTGCTACATCGATATGTGTGTATATATGTATCTATAGTGTACATACACATACATATATACACACGTATGTGCATATACAGTAACTTTCAAAACATTATATGCTCATTTATAACAATAAAGCAATTTTTTTTCTTTTAACAAGGTATGCAAGAGACTTGTTTACTTACCAAGAATAATAGTTAATGGTACCAATTTGTCATCTTCATCATTTTTTCCCAATGAAACAGGAAAGATAAAACGTTAAGCATATGGGGTGTGTGTGTGTGTGTGTGTGTGTGTGTGTGTGTATGTATGTGAGTAATTTGGTTGATTAGCCATCCATCTAGATTGCCCAGAAACAGTTCCTTTTGCTAAGGCAATAATCACCTTACCAGGATAATCGCTAATATAGGCCCCCTTTCACTCTCAGAGGTGCTGTTGTGTAGAGGATGTGTTACACAGTCATTCTGTTTATTATTACCGATTACCTTCTCTTTCCCCGTGTTCATAATCATACATGAATTTCCTTAGTATAGTGTGGAAAGAAAACAACTATTTACATGATGACAGCTTTCCTACTGTTTCCCCTCAGCCTAGAAAGGCAGTACCTTTTTAATAAGATGACTTCCTGCATTCTTTTCTCCTACTCTAGGATGACTTTGAAACACTTTTACTTCCTCCTTTTCTTTGCAGCCTAACATCTGAGGTTTTGCTTTGATATTTTAGTCCAGTTAATTCCAAAATATTCTGAAAATTTACTTTCCATATGTCTTTTTTCATGTTAGAAATCCTTATTTGGCATTTATATTAACTCCCAAACAGGATATCATCACCCTTTTCCATGCATTTCACCCATCCAGTCCAGGAAGGACCCCTCACTGTTTCCTTTGTTGGTGATTCCAGGTTTCCTTTCTGAGTTTTTGATATTTGGATAGAGTCTTTCTCAGGTATTTTGTCAGTTGGAGTTTCATGTGTGACGGAAGCACCAACTCTCCCCTATCTTCATATGGCCTTCACCCTGCAACAGATAAATTATAATGCACAGGGCCTTGCTGGTGCAGCTTGCTTAGTGCCTGTTCCACGTTCATCTGCCATCTTCTGGCACGATCCCTTCCTTTAAGCTCCTGTCCACAGTCTTCAGCTTCTTGTCTTCTGTCTCTAACAGTTGAGCTCCTGTGAGTAGCTATTTTCTCTTTGCTGCCTACTGAGGCCAAGTGGCTGGATACAAAGGTGGGGTCTCATGAATGGACCCGCCACTAGTGTTGCAGTTGTCAGGGTTTCAGTTCCCTGCCAGGGAACCAGGAGGCTATCACCGAACCGCCCAAGAGGGAGAAACGACACTATCCAACTGCTCATGTCTCCTTAACTCAGCCAGGGCCAGGACTAAAACGCGAATAACCTTTCTCTCCATCTATTTTTAGGCACACATGAATGCGTGTTGTGAGTTGCACTCAGACAACCATTACCTCATTGGAGACAGATTCCTGGCCCTTTCCCTTCTCCACTAAAATATAATTTAGAAGGGGAAACAGGTTTTGTCTGTTTTGTTCACTGCATTGTCCTTGTGCTGAGAAGGGTACCTGGAGTAAGTTAATGAATGAATGGATGCACTTTAGAAGTAACATTAAACAATATGCTGGCCCGAGTTTTGAAAAGTGATATCTCGTGGTAGCTTTCCAAACATTATATGCTCATTTATAACAATAAGGCAATTTTTTTCTTGTGTAAAAAGGTGTGCAAAAAACTTATTTACTTACCAGGAATAACACTTAACAGTACCGATTTGTCATCTTCATCTTTTTTTTTCCAATGAAGGAGGAACAATAAAACAAGCATATGGTGTATAGTAAGAGGGCTGAAACTATCAAGAGAAATTTTACTAAGAGCCTCTCAGAAAAGTGATTCCCCTCCAAGATATGCAGATGTACTGCTGAAGACTCTGTTCCCAGGGGAGAAAGGTGTCTTTCCTTGGTGTGAATTTATGGCTGCAAAGTTTGGCTTGTTCCTGTGAGGATGTTTGTGATGTGACTTACAGGATATCAGCAGTCAAGAGACCGAAGTCAAATTGTCATTTAACTGCAGAAGCGAAGTTAAATTGTCATCTTCATGTAAGGCTGTAAGAAGGTCTAAATGAGGATGGACCCAGACTGGACAAGTGATATTTACATGTGCTGATATTAAACACGACACCATGAGGACTTGGAGCAATGCTGACACTCAAAGGCATTTCCTTCCTTTTGTTATTAAATTTAGAATGGGAAAATAGAAGAAAAACTTTTACCCTGTTAACCGTAGGCTTATGAATGAATGTTGTCCATTGTGTTCCGAACAACTATTCTAAAAGTAGGCCCATATATGAAGGTCTGCAAATGGAGGACAAAAGAATCAACTTCTATTATTAATCTCTGTGGGGCAAGATATATCTTGAATTTTAAGAAATGGGGTTGTGGACTCAAGCATTAGGCTGACATTATAATGCAACTCATTTCTCCCTCTGGGTTCACCTTCTCTCTGGTCTTATTTTCAGGGAGTCTGGATGTGCTCCAGTTTTTGCCCAATGGGGAAAAAGTGTATTGTCCTGTATACAGGTGGGTTGGGTGCTAGATAACAGTAACTGCAGCTCCTCATAAGGATAACTTTGCACCTGAGTTCACATGCATCCATCAGGTAATGTAGCCTTCTTATTTCACCCCTGTTTATAACTTGCATTCTCATATCATTGCACTTTTAGCAAAGTTGCATAACACATTAAAACCTGATCTCAGCTGTGCTCTGGGGAATGAATGAGAAGGCATGGATGCAGAGAAGACAGTCATATTCTCCTGATTTTTCTCTCAGCTCTCTGGCAGTTCCTTCTCCATCCTCTCTACTGGGTCCTTGTCATCTCCCTGGCTTTACACAAGTTAGGCTCATAAACTTCTCACTTTATCTGCATTCCCTTCCTTTCTTGGTAATCTCACAGAGTCTCATGCCTTTAAATACAGTCTCCTCAATTTCTATGGATGATAAGTCCAATCTTAAAATTGCAGCAAAAATATTGAAATCAAACATACTCTTTCCCCCCTTCCAAGTTATTTATCTGATCTATTGGTAAATTCCATTGGTTTTTACCTTCAAACTATATTATATTATTATGCAGTTACTCCTGACTACCTTCACTGTTATCAATGGAGTTTATGTAACCATCTTCTCTTGCTTTATTAGTCCAGTAGTTTCTCTGTTTTGCCTTTGTTCTCTTCTTTATATTCTCGCAGAGAAGCTAGATGGATCTTCTTAAGGTAAAACAACACATATATCACTTCTATGATGAAAATGGCTCCATCTCATCTAGATAAAAGCCAAAGTCCCCCAAGGCTGGCAAAGCCTTGTGTAATCTGGATCCCAATTTATCTGACCTCATCTTTCTCTACTCATTCCCAGCTCATTTTGCTCCAACCACACACACTTCTTTGCTATTCCTTGAACATAACACATGTGCTTTGGACACAGAGCCTTTGTACACAGGTTTTCCATCCAGCTACCAAGATACTTTACGTGCCTCACTCCCCATCTTTCTAAAGGATTTTACTTAAATCTCATCTCTGTGTGGTTCCCCTCGGTCACCTTATTTGAATTTGCAACTTCTCTTAATCTCAACCCCCCCATTACCTTTCCTTCTTTTAAATTTTCTCTTTATTACTTGTTGCTGGGTAAGATGATACCTGTTTTACTTAGTTTTTTTTTTTTTTTTTTATTGTCATCTCTCACACCTTCCCCAAAGTCAACAGAATGCGAACTCCAGAAAATAATGAATGTATTTCTGTTATCTTCTCTGTTGCAGCCCCAGGACTTGGAACATTACAAGTACCATAGTAGGAGATGAATAAATATTTGCAAATTTAATAAATGAATGAGTGAGTGAAACAATCAACCAACCGACCAATCAATCAATTTCCTCTCAGATTATGGTGTTGGCCAGATGAGCCCTCTGGTGAGAATTCTGGTTTGAGAATTAATAGACCTGTAAGGTAAATAGTCTAAGTCAAATGATAAGAAAATAGCAAAAGCAAAGTATGCCATGTGACAAACCCCTAGGGACTCCAGAAATAATGACGTCAAAGATGAATCCTTAAAAGAGAGCTCAAGCCCCTGTAAGTACAGGTGGTACTCGTAAGATAGCAAAATTTCATTTGCACATTAATATGACATCCTTTGTAAGCATAGGATGGTGAAAACTGTGGTCACTTAGTGCTTACTTTTATATTTGTGTGCATGTTTAAGTATATTTGTATATGCCAAAATATGAGTGTACATGTGTATTTGTTGAATGTCAAAACATTAACACTGATCATATGCCATATCCGGGGGTACAATTATGAGCATATTTTAATTTTTTTAATTTAAAATTTTTGCTATAGCTTACATAATTTACTTTTGATGATTCAGCATGCACAGTGTGAAATTATGTGTTTGTTACCTAGGTTTTAATCAGGAAATTAGGGTGTTTGGATTTAGGATGGTTCTAATCAGGAGGAACATAACCTCTGAAGGGGCCATTCTGAGCAGTTCATTTGATGTAGTTCCATCCACCATCCCACTTTGCTAATTAGCATGACAAATGTCTAAACAGGATTTTTGTTGTTGAAATGATGACCTATTACTTAGCATGATGAATTTTATAAACAGGCTGTTTTGATGACATTAAGAAAATTTTACATACAGAGTAAGGTAAAAATATTTTGTAGGTAATTCCACCTATGCATGGATAGAAACTAAAGTTTCTATGTCCAGCCTGTAGGAGTAATGTTACAGGCTGAATCCCTAAATGGTCCCGAAGCCAGCCGAGTAATCTTGGGGATTCTGACTGCTTGATCCCACCCAGCCTTTAAGGCACACACATCTTTTCCCTGGATTTGGGTATTTTCCCTAACTGAACAATTAATGTGATCTGTTGACCAGAAAAGTTAAAAAGATAAAAACCTGGAACTTTCTCCAGTTTACGGAATGGGCTATAAGACCACCTTTTATGCCAAATTGGTAATAAATACTTAGTTAGCAAATCCCTTTTTGACTGGCAGAATTGTTTCTGTGTGGCATTGCTTATAATTTGGTAGGTAGAGGAGTAGCTAGCATTCCTCCATTGCAGACTTCTTCAGCAAGTACCAACCTCTACCCAAAGGAATCTAAGTCAGTTCGGGCTTAAGGCTGATTGTAACAAACACCATGTTTAGAAAGGAAGTGATACATAAAATTCTCATGCAAGCCATTCACTCTCAATATAAAATAAAATTAACTTGCTGCGAGAAATTATTTAGGTAGCTTTTGAAAGATATCCATAGTACAGGTGAGGGAGGAGGACTTTGAGTGGCTTTTCTTTGCCCATACTGATGCTATTGTAGCACATCAATTCTTCTGCATGATTTGGAGATCAAAGCATATGAAAAGTGTAAAAAGAATGCATTTGATTAAAGATATTAAAAATCATGTTGTGTCTTAAATTCAATTTCTTATGTGCTATTTCTCAGAGAACATTATATCGTTTGCCTTTAATTTCAGCCGAAAACCTGATGCAAAATATAACCCACAATTACTGTGTATCTATTTATCCAAAGACAGATACGGAACTGTTTCTGCTCTGAGGTTTCTCATTGTGCTTTGATTTGTATCCCTCTTTAACACATCATGAAACTGGAAGCATGAGTACTGTGAGCTGCGTCTTTTATTAGTTAGGCTCTGGATCAGTACCTTTAATAGAAGTAAAATGGTAATCTATATCCACTCCAACATCAGAAGAATTGAATATTAGCTCCAACGTTTCCTTTTGCATTCAGCAAATACTTTATTTATTCTTTTGTCTACTTTATATATTGATCATCACTTTTTTATGTAAATGAATGTTTCTATGTCCTCATTCTTCTTTTATTGCCTCTCTCGGGTAATTTGATGTGATAGGTACTTGATTAAAATCATGTTTCTACCCATATTATTTACATCTCATCATTCATAAGTATAGTTTAGTGGTGGAAGGAAATTATTTCCTTTGATGACAATCATATATAAAATTAATACTACTTTACCTTTTGAAGAATAATGCAATGCATTATCTAATAATTGGATTAAGTGAACAAAACAATTCTAAACATATTGGTTTATATTATTTTTATTGAGTATAATTGAAAACTAAATATTATATATAAGGTGTACAACATGACAATTTGATATTCATATTTAAGATGAAATGATTATCACAATAATTAATAAACACATCCATCACCTCACATAGTTACTATTTTTTTATGGTGAGAACATACAGTCAGCAAATTTCAGGTACACAATTATGTACTATTAACTGTAGTCACCATGTTGTACACTCGAGCCCCAAAATTCAACAAGTTTCATTCATAACTAAGTTGGAAGACTTGTCAATAAAGGTACTTTTGAAATGTGAAATGTGACATCATCTTTATAACATCCTTTATATATAAAGCACTTAAAAACTAACAGGGTAAGTGCTAACCTTTTTACAGAAGACATTGTCACTTTACACTTGGTACTTGTCTCTTCAGATTTTGTCATGTTTATCTAATGATCCAAGTTTTTCAGCCTCTTCTAAGTCTCAGATGGTAGGACTTACACCAAGGCCACAGCTCCTACCCAGCCTCCGCTGGGTCCAACGTCACCACAATGAAGGGTAGCTGGACCATGTTTAGGTACCCTGCTGAGATCCTATCTCACTATTAAAGTCTTATACATTTTGCATTATTTACTTTTCTGCTTGAATTCTATATTCTTATCAATAATTCTATGGCCTCAGTTTTCTCTATCTCTGAAATTTGAGATTTTTATTAGATAATATTTAGGTGCCATGCAAACACTGGTATCCATTCATTACTTGGTTATTACACATTTATTAAATATAGATTATGTGCATGCTTCACACCATGATGAGCACCAAGGATTCACAAAGACATTTTCCACGATTATATTTTAAAGGTTTCCAAACTGTTTGGGAAGATAGGACATATAAGAAAAATTGATAACAGTTTACATTATCATGCAATATCACTGAAGCGAGTGGGGCAGATTATCTGTTTTATAGACTTTCTTTTTATTTTATTTTATTTTATTTATTATTATTATACTTTAAGTTTTAGGGTACATGTGCACAATGTGCAGGTTAGTTACATATGTATACATGTGCCATGCTGGTGCGCCGCACCCACTAACTCGTCATCTAGCATTAGGTATATCTCCCAATGCTATCCCTCCCCCCTCCCCCCACCCCACCACAGTCCCCAGAGTGTGATGTTCCCCTTCCTGTGTCCATGTGTTCTCATCGTTCAATTCCCACCTATGAGTGAGAACATGTGGTGTTTGGTTTTTTGTTCTTGCGATAGTTTACTGAGAATGATGATTTCCAATTTCATCCATGTCCCTACAAAGGACATGAACTCATCCTTTTTTTATGGCTGCATAGTATTCCATGGTGTATATGTGCCACATTTTCTTAATCCAGTCTGTCATTGTTGGACATTTGGGTTGGTTCCAAGTCTTTGCTATTGTGAATAATGCCACAATAAACATACGTGTACATGTGTCTTTATAACAGCATGATTTATAGTCCTTGGGGTATATACCCAGTAATGGGATGGCTGGGTCAAATGTTATTTCTAGTTCTAGATCCCTGAGGAATTGCCACTCTGACTTCCACAATTGTTGAACTCGTTTACAGTCCCACCAACAGTGTAAAAGTGTTCCTATTTCTCCACATCCTCTCCAGCACCTGTTGTTTCCTGACTTTTTAATGATTGCCATTCTAACTGGTATGAGATGGTATCTCATTGTGGTTTTGATTTGCATTTCTCTGATGGCCAGTGATGGTGAGCATTTTTTCACATGTCTGTTGGCTGCATAAATGTCTTCTTTTGAGAAATGTCTGTTCATGTCCTTTGCCCACTTTTTGATGGGGTTGTTTGATTTTTTCTTGTAAATTTGTTTGAGTTCATTGTAGATTCTGAATATTAGCCCTTTGTCAGATGAGTAGGTTGTGAAAATTTTCTCCCATTTTGTAGGTTGTCTGTTCACTCTGATGGTAGTTTCTTTTGCTGTGCAGAAGCCCTTTAGTTTAATTAGATCCCATTTTTCAATTTTGGCTTTTGTTGCCATTGCTTTTGGTGTTTTAGACATGAAGTCCTTGCCCATGCCTATGTCCTGAATGGTAATGCCTAGGTTTTCTTCTTTTATGGTTTTAGGTCTAATGTTTAAGTCTTTAATCCATCTTGAATTGATTTTTGTATAAGGTGTAAGGAAGGGATCCAGTTTCAGCTTTCTACATATGGCTTGCCAGTTTTCCCAGCACCATTTATTAAATAGGGAATCCTTTCCCCATTGCTTGTTTTTCTCAGGTTTGTCAAAGATCAGATAGTTGTAGATATGCGGCGTTATTTCTGAGGGCTCTGTTCTGTTCCATTGATCTATATCTCTGTTTTGGTACCAGTACCATGCTGTTTTGATTACTGTAGCCTTGTAGTATAGTTTGAAGTCAGGTAGCGTGATGCCTCCAGCTTTGTTCTTTTGGCTTAGGATTGACTTGGTGATGCGGGCTCTTTTTTGGTTCCATATGAACTTTAAAGTAGTTTTTTCCAATTCTGTGAAGAAAGTCATTGGTAGCTTGATGGGGATGGCATTGAATCTGTAAATTACCTTGGGCAGTATGGCCATTTTCATGATATTGAGTCTTCCTACCCATGAGCATGGAATATTCTTCCATTTTTTTGTATCCTCTTTTATTTCCTTGAGCAGTGGTTTGTAGTTCTCCTTGAAGAGGTCCTTCACATCCCTCGTAAGTTGGATTCCTAGGTATTTTATTCTCTTTGAAGCAATTGTGAATGGGAGTTCACTCATGATTTGGCTCTCTGTTTGTCTGTTGTTGGTGTATAAGAATGCTTGTGATTTTTGTACATTGATTTTATATCCTGAGACTTTGCTGAAGTTGCTTATCAGCTTAAGGAGATTTTGGGCTGAGACAATAGGGTTTTCTAGATATACAATCATGTCATCTGCAAACAGGGAAAATTTGACTTCCTCTTTTCCTAATTGAATATCCTTTATTTCCTTCTCCTGCCTAATTGCCCTGGCCAGAACTTCCAACACTATGTTGAATAGGAGTGGTGAGAGAGGGCATCCCTGTCTTGTGCCAGTTTTCAAAGGGAATGCTTCCAGTTTTTGCCCATTCAGTATGATATTGGCTGTGGGTTTGTCATAGATAGCTCTTATTATTTTGAAATACGTCCCATCAATACCTAATTTATTGAGAGTTTTTAGCATGAAGGGCTGTTGAATTTTGTCAAAGGCCTTTTCTGCATCTATTGAGATAATCATGTGGTCTTTGTCTTTGGTTCTGTTTATATGCTGGATTACATTTATTGATTTGCGTATATTGAACCAGCCTTGCATCCCAGGGATGAAGCCCACTTGATCATGGTGGATAAGCTTTTGGATGTGCTGCTGGATTTGGTTTGCCAGTATTTCATTGAGGATTTTTTCATCAATGTTCATCAAGGATATTAGTCTAAAATTCTCTTTTTTGGTTGTGTCTCTGCCCGGCTTTGGTATCAGGATGATGCTGGCCTCATGAAATGAGTTAGAGAGGATTCCTTCTTTTTCTATTGATTGGAATAGTTTCAGAAGGAATGGTACCAGTTCCTCCTTGTACCTCTGGTAGAATTCGGCTGTGAATCCGTCTGGTCCTGGACTCTTTTTGGTTGGTAAGCTATGGATTATTGCCACAATTTCAGCTCCTGTTATTGGTCTATTCAGGGATTCAACTTCTTCCTGGTTTAGTCTTGGGAGGGTGTATGTGTCGAGGAATTTATCCATTTCTTCTAGATTTTCTAGTTTATTTGCGTAGAGGTGTTTGTAGTATTCTCTGATGGTAGTTTGTATTTCTGTGGGATCGGTGGTGATATCCCTTTTATCGTTTTTTATTGCATCTATTTGATTCTTCTCTCTTTTTTTCTTTATTAGTCTTGCTAGTGGTCTATCAATTTTGTTGATCGTTTAAAAAAACCAGCTCCTGGATTCATTAATTTTTTGAAGGGTTTTTTGTGTCTCTATTTCCTTCAGTTCTGCTCTGATTTTAGTTATTTCTTGCCTTCTGCTAGCTTTTGAATGTGTTTGCTCTTGCTTTTCTAGTTCTTTTAATTGTGATGTTAGGGTGTCAATTTTGGATCTTTCCTGCTTTCTCTTGTGGGCATTTAGTGCTATAAATTTCCCTCTACACACTGCTTTAAATGTGTCCCAGAGATTCTGGTATGTTGTGTCTTTGTTCTCGTTGGTTTCAAAGAACATCTTTATTTCTGCCTTCATTTCGTTATGTACCCAGTAGTCATTCAGGAGCAGGTTGTTCAGTTTCCATGTAGTTGAGCAGTTTTGAGTGAGATTCTTAATCCTGATTTCTAGTTTGATTGCACTGTGGTCTGAGAGATAGTTTGTTATAATTTCTGTTCTTTTACATTTGCTGAAGAGAGCTTTACTTCCAAGTATGTGGTCAATTTTGGAATAGGTGTGGTGTGGTGCTGAAAAAAATGTATATTCTGTTGATTTGGGGTGGAGAGTTCTGTAGATGTCTATTAGGTCCGCTTGGTGCAGAGCTGAGTTCAATTTCTGGGTATCCTTGTTGACTTTCTGTCTCATTGATCTGTACCTAATGTTGACAGTTTTATAGACTTTCACTTCTCTTCAGATATGGGGATTACCTGAGAAGATTTTAGAAAGGAAGGAAGTTTCATTTGAACTATAAAGAAACCATATATACTTACCATAAATAAGACTTAAAGTTGTCATGGAGATCTTGAAAACTAAGGATTTGGCTTAATGTGTATACCCTGTAAGTGATAATTTTTAGTGATTATGCTAGGTATTAAAATATTGTAACACAAATATAAATAGTGTCAGTGTTTTACCACATTGAGTGAAGCGTAGAAACCTTATTTCCATTTAGGTCCCTATAGGTAAGGGTAAAGGTCCCCCCTTTTAAACATCATCAGTACCGGATAGTGTTATAATTTTTGTTGCTAACGTCACAACTCATTTAGAAAGCTCATAAGGAGGATCATCTATTGTATTTACATATATTTCTCCTATTTCTGTTGTTTTTTGCTTAACAAATGACATGGTTTGGCTGTGTCCCTACCCTAATCTCATCTCGAATTGTATTAAATAGTTCCCTTAATCACCATGTGTCGTGGGAGGGACCCAGTGGGAGGTAATTGAATCACGGGGGCAGTTCCTCCCATGCTGTTCTAGTGATGGTGAATGAGTTCTTATGAAATCTGATGGTTTTATAAGGGACTCTCCCCTTCTCTTGGCACTCATTTCTCTCTTTTGCCACCATGTGAAAAAGGACATTTTTGCTTCCCATTTTGCATGATTGTAAGGTTCCTGAGGCATCCCCAGCCCTGTGGAACTGTGAGTCAAGTAAACCTCATTCCTTTATAAATTATCCAGTCTTAGGTATTTCTTCATAGCAGCAGGGGAACAGACTAATACAGTAAATTGGTACCACAGAGAGTGGGGTGCTGCTGTAATGTTACCCGAAAATGTGAAAGCAACTTTGGAACTGGGTATTAGGCAGAGGTTGAACAGCTGGGAGGGCTCAGAAGAAGACAGGAAAGTGTGGGAAAGTTTGGAACTTCCCAGAAGGTGGGAAGTTCTCAGAAGATGGGAATATGTGGTAAAGTTTGGAACTTCCTAGAGATTTGTTGAATGGCTTTGACCAAAATGCTGATAGTGATATGGACAATGAACTCCAGGCTGACATGGTCTCAGAAGGAGATGAGGAAGTGGTTGGGAACTGGAACAAATGTGACACTTGTTATCCTTTAGCAAAGAGACTGGCAGCATTTTTCCCCTGCCCTAGAGATCTGTGGAACTTTGACCTTGAGAGAGATGATTTAGGGTATCTGGTGAAAGAAATTGCTAAGCAGCAAAGTGTTTGAGAGGTGACAGAGGGTAAAAGTTTGGAAAGTTTGTAGCCTGACCGTGTAATAGAAAAGAAAAGAAAAAAAACATTTTCTGGGGAGAAATTCAAGCCTGCTGCAGAAATTTGCATAAGTAACGAGGAGCAGAATGTTAATCATCACGACAATGGGGAAAATGTCTCCAGGCTGTGTCTGAGATCTTAACGGCAGCCCCTCCCATCATAGACCCAGAGGTCTAGGAGGGAAAAATGGTTTTGTGGGTCAGGTTCAGTACCTCCCTGCTCTGTGCAGCCTTCGGACTTGGTGCCCTGCATCCTCACCACTCCAGCTGTGGCTAAGAGGGGCCAAGTTGCAGCTCAGGCTGTTGCTTCAGGGGTGCAAGCCCTAAGCCTCGGTGACTTACACATGATGTTGGGCCTGTGGGTAAACAGATGTCAAGAATTGAGGTTTGGGAACCTCCACCTAGATTTCAGAGGATGTATGGAAACACCTGCATGTCCAGGCTGAAGTTTGATGCAGGAATGGGGCCCTCATAGGAAACCTCTGCTAGGGTAATGCAGAAAGGAAATGTGGGCTTGGAAACCACACACAGAGTCCCCACTGGTGCACTGCCCAGTGTAGCTGTGAGAAAAGAGCCACCATCCTCTGGACCCCAGAATGGTAGATCCACCAACATCTTGCACTGTACACCTGGAAAAACCGCAGACACTCAATGCCAGCCTGTGAAAATAGTTGGGTGGGAGGGGCCTGTACCCTGCAAAGCCACAGGAGCAGAGCTTCCCAAGTCTGTGGGACCCCACCTTTTGCATTGGCATGACCTGGATGTGAGACATGGAGTCAATGGAGACCATTTTGGAGCTTTAAGATTTAATTACTGCCTTGTTAGATTTCGGACTTTCATGGGACCTGTAGATTCTTTGTTTTGGCTCATAGGCAGAAGGGACTTGCCTTGTCTCAGATGAGACTTTGGACTTGGACTTTTGGGTTAATGCTGAAATGAGTTAAGACTTTGGGGGACTGTTGGAAGAGCATGATTGTGTTTTTGAAATGTGAGGACATGAGATTTGGGAGGGGCAAGGAGTGAAGTCATATCGTTTGGCTATGTCCCCACTCAAGTCTCATCATGAATTGTAGTTCCCATAATTTCCATTTGTTGTGAGAGGGACCCAGTGAGAGGTAATTGAATCATGGGTGTGGTTCCCCCCATGCAATTATGATAGTGAATGAGTTATCACAAGATCTGATTTTTTTTCTTTGTTTGAGATGGAGTCTCACTCTGTCTCCCAGGCTGGAGTGCAGTGGCATGATCTCGGCTCACTGCAACCTCTGCTTCCTGGATTCAAGTGATTCTCCTGCCTCAGCCTCCCGAGTAGCTGGGACTACAGGCCCCCACCAGCATGCCCGGCTAATTTTTGCATTTTTGGTAGAGATGGGGTTTCACCATATTGGCCAGGCTGGTCTCAAACTCCTGGCCTTGTGATCTGCCCACCTTGGCCTCTCAAAATCTGATGGTTTTATAAGAGGCTTTCCCCTTGGCTCAGTACTCATTTCTCTCTCCTATCACCATGTGAAGAAGGATGTGTTTGCTTTCCCTTCTGCCATGGTCGTATGTTTCCTGAGGCCTCACCAGCCCTGTGGAAGTGTGAGTCAATTAAACCTCTTTCCTTTATAAGTTACCCAGTCTTGGGAAGTTCTTTATAGCAGCGTGAGAATGGATTAATACACCAAAGCTCCAAGTTTCTTTGTTTTATCACATCTTTTCTTTTTTATAGAAAGTCCTTTAGCCATTCTTTAAGGGTAGGTCTATTAGCCTTTTGTTTTGTTTTTGTTTTCTTTCATCAGAGAAAATGTTTGTTTCCCTTCATTCAATTGGATAGATTCACTGGGTATAGAATTTGCAGTTGACAGGTGTTTTGGCACTTGAAAATTGTTTTGCCACATTATCTGCTGCATGGTTTCAGATAATTTCTGCTGTTATTCAAATTTGTGTTTCTCTATAGGTAATGTGTACTTCCCTTTGGCTGCTTTCCAGATGCTTTCTTTATCATTTGTTTTTAGATGTTCACTTATAGTGTATCTTGACATGGATTTCTTTGGGTTTATTCTATAGAGAGATTGATTAGCTTCTTGAATCTGTCTGTGTATGACTTTTGCTAAATTTGGGAAGTTTCCAGACTTATTTGTTTGAATACTCTAAGCCCACTCACTTTATCCTCTGCTACTGAGAATCTAATGTATGTATGTGGACTTTTTGTTATTGTCCACCTGAGGCTCTGTTAATTTTTTTTCTACTCTATTTGCTCTGTTGTTCAGATTGAGTGAAGTCTATTGATTTGTCCTCCAGTTCAATGATTATATTCTCTGTTATTTCTATTCTGCTATTTGAGCCTATTCAGTGAGTTTGCAGTTTTAAAAATTTCTATTATTATTTTTTTCAGTTCTACAATTTCGATTTTATTCTTTTTTTATAACTTCAATTTCTATGCTAAAATTTTCTATTTTGAAAATTTGTTTCAAAAGAATTTGTGATTACTTGCTGAATTATATTTGGGATGATTTCTTTATAATCCTCAATAGACAATTTGAACATCTGATTAATAAACCTTGGTGTTTATATCAGTTTATTATCTTTTAAAATTTATCTTGTAATTTTCCTGGTTCCTAGTATAATAGGTGATTTTCATATGTATTCTGGAAATTTTGGCTCTCATAATCTGGATTCTATCTATCTATCTATCTATCTATCTATCTATCTATCTATCTATCTATCTACCTCTCTATCTATTTTCTTAGCAGTCATTCACTTGTTTAGGTTTAGCACACAGGCCCTGGCCTTTTTTGATGGCTGTAGTCCTAATGGCAATTAATTTTCAGAGTCTTTGTCATGTTATTTTGATCTGCTTGCTTTATCTTGTGCCACGGGGGCTCCCTCTGGTCCATGCTAGTGATGCTTGAGGTGGCAGCCAAAATAGGTTTTCTCAGTCTGGGATGCCTGTTGCCTTCAAGTGGGGGAAAAGAGTCTCTGGCCCATAGGGAAAAATCGTGTTTCCCAGGACAGGTGCTCTTTGAAGAGAAGGACCCTTCTGCCCATGGAGTATCAAGTAAGCTTCCCAGGCATGGATTTGTCATTAAAGAATTCCCCTTGCTGGAGACCCTGGATTCCCTTTGTCTCTTGGCATGGGAAGGGAGTCTCAGGCCTAGTGGAGAAAAGGGAAGGAGAGCATTGTCTTAGGTGACTATTGATCCCTTTTGCCAGAGGAATTGGGTTTGCCGGGTATTATTGGCAAGATTCCGACTCAATACTATGGAAGGATGGGCACATCTGGGCTGCCTTCTGCTGTTAGGTTGAGGTTCTGTGACTTGGGTCTCTTTATTCTGTTGGGTAGGACAACATAAATTGCCCTGCAGCTATATTGTTTCTCCATTTCTGAGTTTCTAACTAGTTTGCCTTTGTCTTTCCACCTTTTTTTAGTTCCGTTTTTGCTGTCTTGTGCATTATTTCAGGGTTTATTTTTTGTGCTTAGTGGAGAAGAGCAGGAAGAGACAAGTTTACATTACCTTGTACAGGTCAGAGGTTCTCCTTGCTCAAATGTGGACTTCTAAAAACAAATCCTTTTAAGAAAGAAATGCAAGGCTTAACCAATGTGCTGAGAAAGACAATTTTAGTGAGGCAATTGGTGTTTCTCTCATGCTTCCTCCTTTCAGGATCTTTTAGGGTCTTTCTTGCTCTTCTTTCTCATTTTCACTCTCTCGTCTGTTTTTATTCCCTCTTAGATTCAACACCAAGTGTGAAAGTTTTGCAAGGCCAAAAATAAGTGGTACCTTTAGAAGAAAATTTTCATCATTCCTTTTCATTATTACTCTGGCTGTTTTACATTATTTTCTTTCTCAGGTAATTGTAATTTCTGAATGTTATATGTTTTCCATTCTACTGTCCAGAATTCAGAATCTGGGAATAGTATAATAAGTTAGTTATTGACATACATAATTTTTGACATGGTTATTCACAAGCTATAACTGTATAGATCCAGGAACTTTCAGTGTATTTGGAGTTATTTTTGAATGTGCTAATTGCTGTCCTTTGAAAACAGCAATAACTATCATAGTATTAAAAATGGTAAAGTATGAATATGAAAACTTTCATACTTTATTGAAATATGAAAATGAAATATGAAAAATTTATTGTAAAAATTATTGGTATTCTCTATGATAGAAATTGAAAGTAAAATAACTGATTTTTATCACATTTTATTACAATTGAATTTTAAACTAATTAGAATTAGACAAACTCTTCAAACTCATATGTTTTCAGGACTCAGCTAAATTTGTAGACTCTTATTTCAGGATTAAAGATTGGTCAGGTTAAATTTCACATATTCCCACCTTGAGCAGTGTGATTATTGGTCATTCTTTAGGGCCCTGGGAATCGAAGGTGTAGAAATATAACTTGGAAGTTATTTATATATTGCCGATTAGTTATGAATAACAAGAGTCAACATCTATTTAGCTACCTTTCCATGTTCTTTATTTAGCATCTGAGATGGTTTAGCTCTGTGTCCCCACCCAAATCACGTATGTAGCTCCCATAATTCCCATGTATTGTGGGAGGGACCTATTGAGAGACGAATGAATTATGGGGGTGGGTCTTTCCTGTACTGCTCTCATGACAGTGAATAGGTCTCATGGGATCTGACGGTTTTAAAAATGGGAGTTGCCCTGCACAAGCTCTGTTTTTGCTTGCTGCCATCCATGTAAGATGTAACTTGGTCCTTGCCTTCTGCCATGATTGTGAGACCTCCCCAGCCATGTGGAACTGTAAGTCCAATAAACCTCTTTTGTAAATTGCCCAGTCTTCGGTATGTCTTTATCAGTAGTGTGAAAACAAACTAATACAGTAAATTGGTACCAGTAGTGGGGTGCTACTGAAAAGATACCCAAAAATGTGGAAGTGATATTAAAACTGGGTAACAGGCAGAGGTTGGAATAGTCTGGAGGGCTCAGAAGAAGACAGGAAAATGTGGGAAAGTTTGGAACTTCCTAGAGACTTGTTGAATGGCTTTAACAAAAATGCTGATAGTGATACGGACAATAAGGTCCAGGCTGAGGTGGTCTCAGATGGAGATGAGGAACTTGGGAACTGGAGCGAAGGTGACTTGTTATGTTTTAGCAAACAGACGGTGGCATTTTGCCCCTGCCCCAGAGATTTGTGAAACTTTGAACTTGAGAGAGATGATTTAGGGTATCTGGTGGAAGAAATTTCTAAGCAGCAAAGCATTCAAGAGGTGATGTGGGTGCTGTTAAAGGCATTTAGCTTTATAAGGGAAGCAGAGCATAAACGATTGAAAATTTTCCAGCCTGACAATGCACTCTAAATCCCATTTTCTGAGAAGAAATTCAAGCTGGCTGTAAAAATTTGCATAAGTAACAAGGAGCTGAATGTTAATCCCCCAAGGCAATGGAGAAAATGTCTCCAGGGCATGTCATAGGTCTTCACAGCAGCCTCTCCCATCATAGTCCCAGAGGCCTAGGAGAAAATGTTTTAATGGGCCGGGCCTAGGGTTCCCATGCTGTGTGGAGCCTAGGGACTTGTGCTTTGCATCCCAGCCACTCCAGTTGTGGCTGAAAGGGGCCAACATAGAGCTTTGGCCATGGCTCCAGAGGTTGCAAACATCAAGCCTTGACAGCTTCCATGTGGTGTTGAGCCTGCGAGTGCACAAAGGTGAAGAATTGGGTTTTGGGAGCCTCCACCTAAATTTCAGAAGTTGTATGGGAATGCCTGGATGCCCAGGCAGAAGTTTGCTGCAGGGGTGGGGCCCTCATTGGAGAACCTCTGCTAGGGCTGTGTAGATGGGAAATGTGGGGTCAGAGCCCCCACACAGAGTTCCTACTGGGGCACTGCCTAGTGGAGCTGTGAGAAGACGGCCAACTCCTCCAGACCCCAGAATGGTAGATCCACTGGCAGCTCACACCATGCACCTGGAAAAGCCACAGACACTCAATGCCAGCCCATGAAGGCAGCCAGGAAGGAGGCTGTACCCTGTGAAACCATGGTGGTGAAGCTCCCAAGACCATGGGAACTCACCTCTTGAATCAGCATGACCTAGATGTGAGACATGGAGTCAATGGAGATAATTTTGGAGTTTTATTATTTGACTACCCTGTTGGATTTTAGACTTGCATGGGGGCTGTTGCCCCTTTGTTTTGGCCTATTTTCCCATTTGGAATGACTGTATTTACCCAACGCCTCTATCCCCATTGTATCTAGGAAGTAACTAACTTGCTTTTGATTGTACAGGCTCATAGGTGGAAGGGACTTGCCTTGTCTCCATGAGACTTTGGACTGTGGACTTTTGAGTTAATGCTGAAATGAGTAGAGACTTTGGGGGACTGTTGGGAAGGCATGATTGGTTTTAAAATGTGAAGATATGAGAGTTGGAAGGGGCCAAGTGTGGAATGATATGGTTTGGCTCTGTGTTCCTACCCAAATCTCATCTTTTAGCTCCCATAATTCCCACATCCTGTGGGAGGGACCCAATAAGAGATGATTGAATTATGGAGGAGGGTCTTTCCTGTGCTGTTCTTGTGATAGTGAATGGGTCTCATGAGATCTGATGGTTTTAAAAACAGAAGTTGCCCTGCACAAGCTCTTTATTTTCCTTGCTGCCATCTACATAAGATGTGACTTTCTCCTCCTTTCCTTCTGCCATGATTGTGAGGCCTCCCCAGAGATGTGGAACTGTAAGTCCTATAAACTTTTTTTTTTTTTTTGTAAATTGCCCAGTCTTGGGTATGTCTTTATCAAAAATGTAAAAAACTAATACAGCATCATAATAAACACCGCATGTCAAATTGGTGTATATACTGTACTGGTCATGGTTAAAATGGATTTATTTTTTTTCAATTTGAGAGATTGTCAAATTTTATTTTCTTCAAAGTTTGAAGTGTTTTGTTTTAGTTTTTACACTTATGCAAAAAAGTCTCAACTTGACTTAATTTGGAATTATTATCTTCTTATATGTGTTTTACATTTAGAATATTTAGATTATTGTAACATGTAAGGCAAATACAAGCCTGACTCAGACCAAAGAATTAGGGCCCATGGTTCTTCTATAATATTTAAATTTTTACATATTCCAAATTAAAATCAACACTATACATGGAGCGTGTGTTAATTTATTGATTTATAATTTCAACTTTTATTTTAGATTTTGAGGGTACATGTAGATGTTTGTTACTTGATTATATTGTGTGTTGCTGAAATTTGGGATATGAATGATCCCATTAACTATGTAGTGAGCATAGTATTCAAGAGATAGTTTTTCAGCCCTTGCTCCCCTCCAAACTGTAGTAGTTCCCAGTGTCTATTGTTGCCACCTTTATGTCCATGAGTACCCAATATTTAGCTTCCACTTTAAAGTGAGAATATGTGGTATTTGATTTTATGTTTCTGCATTAATTTGCTAAGGATAATGTCCCCCAGCTGTATTCGTGTTGCTGCAAAGGACATGATTTCATTCTTTTTTATGGCTGCGTAGTATTCTATAGTGTACATGTACCACATATTCTTTCATCCAATCCATCATTGATGGGCACCTAGACTGATTTGATTCTATGTCTTTGCTATTGTGAATAGTGTTGTGATGAACATACAAGTATATGTACCTTTTTGGTAGAACTATTTATTTTCTTTTATATATATATATATATATCCAGTAATAGGATTGCAACTAGGTCTACTATTAGACGTCCTAGATATTAGGCCTTTGTCAGATACATAATTTACAAATATTTTTTTCCCATTCTATAGGTTGTCTGTTTACTCTATTGATAATGTCTTTTGCTGTGCAGAAGTTCTTCACTTTAATTAGGTCCCACTTGCCAATTTTTGTTTTAGTTGCAATTGCTTTTGAGGACTTAGTCATAAATTATTTCCCAAGGCCAATGTCCAGAATGGTGTTTCCCAGGTTTTCTTCTAGAATTCCTATAGATTTAGGATTTTTACATTAAAATCTTTCATCCATCTTGAGTTAATTTTTTAATATGGTGAAAGCGAGGGGTCCAGTTTCATTCTTCTCCATATAGCTAGCCAGTTATCCTGGCATCATTTATTGAATAGGGAATACTTTCTCCACCATTGCTTATTTTTGTCGACTTTGTCAAAGATTAGATGGCTGTAGGTGTGCAGCTTTATTTCTGGGTTCTATATTCTGTTCCATTGGTCTATGTGTCTATTTTTGTACCAGTACTATGCTGTTTTGGTTACTGTAGCCTTACCATATAGTTTAAGTCAGGTAATGTGATGCTTCCAGCTGTGTTCTTTTTGCTTAGGATTACTTTTACTATTTAGGCTGTTTTTTGGTTTCATATGAATTTTAGGGTAGTTTTTTCTAATTCTGTAAAAAATGACATTCATAGTTTGGTAGAAATAGCGTTGAATCTGTAGATTGCTTTGGGCAGTATGGCCATTTTAACAATATTGACTCTTCTAATCTAGGAGTGTGGAACAATTTTCCACTTGTTTGTGTCATCTCTGATTTCATTCACCAGTGTTTTGTAACTCTCACTGTAGAGATTTTTCACCTTCTTGGTTGGATATATTCCTAAGTAGTGTGTGTGTGTGTGTGTGTGTGTGTGTGTGTGTGTGTGTGTGTGTGTAGCTATTGTAAATGGGATTGTGTTCTTGGCTTGGCTCTTAACTTGAAGATTTTGGTGTATAGAAATGCTACTGATTTTTGTACATTTATTTTGTAACCTGAAACCTTACCAAAGACGTTTGTCAGTTCTCGGAGCCTTTTGGAAGACTCTTTAAGATTTTCTAGGTATAGAATAATATTGTCGGCAAAGAGAGGTGGCTTGACTTCTTCGTTTCCTATTCGCATGCCTTTTATTTCTTTCTTTTGCCTGATTGCTCTGGCTAGGACCTCCCATTTGGAATTTTTAATGCAATCACCCTGCTATCCATTTGAAGTGGTGTGAGTTGGAAGAATTATAGAATTCTTCACTGTGGGGTGGGTGTTCTAATTCCTGACTAAGCCTCAGGAGGCATATTTATTTTTCCTGGAGAAAGGATGACAGATTCTGTAATCATAGTATAATATTTCTGTGAGAGTTCCTAATTATTTAATGCCAGTTCTAGAGCAAAGACCACTTCTGGCTAGTGCTCTCAGTTGGGAATCAGGAATAGTTGCCCTAACCCTCAGGATCTCTAATATGAAAGGGCTCTCTAATGCTAGAAAGAATGATGTTAAAGCCTCAATTAATAATTTAAAATATCATCTTTTTGTAAAGACTTTCACAAAGGAAATGTTTTACCTTGAAAATTGTCTCCTATGACTGAATTGATTTTGCCAGTTTGTTATAGATTGTCCATCTACAATGACTATAACTCTCAAAATTCCTAATTGTGGGACTAGAATGTGTATAATTATAACTGGGGAAAATGTCCTCTGGTTTCTTTTCCTGCCACGTTCCTCCCCATTTTTAATCTTTCCTCATCATTGTCATTGTAATTATCATCATCATTCTCTCCATCAAACTACCATTTATTGATAAATTATTATGTGTCAGGCACTGTTTAATAGTATGTAAGAGTAGATGCCCATTGGTGGAAAATATCATACATTATTGACATGTACTATAAAAGCTTATCTGGAAATATTTTTAGGAATATGTTAAAATATTAACCTCAAAAATTATATTGATTGAGAATAAAGCAGAATTTTACTAGATACTCTATTATGCTTTTCTAGCTTTATAATTCTCACTGACTTGATATTATAATTTGGAGATTTAAAGATAGTAATCAATTGATAAATTCATAAACAATAAATAAATTACATATATAGTACCACCGTCTGACTCTCCATTAAGTGAATTGCATGAATTATATCAATTAAACTTTTAAACAAATCTATAAAGTTCCAAACAATTATTATCTCTGTTGTTCAAAGGCAGGTACATGATTCTTAGAGAATTTAAATAATTTTTTTTCTGGTTACCTAGCTAGTATGTGGCGAAGCTGGAATTGAAATTCATGTCTGTGGAAGAGAAATTTAGCAGATGTAGAATCCGGTTTATTTTAGTTAATTTTTAGTTATTGCTATAGAAATTAATTTGAGTCTGAATATTAATGGTCAATAATATTGGCCCCTCTGTTGAGGTCATTTGATTCTTTTTTAATGACTACACCAAGGTAGTATACTTTTCAGAGGAAGAGCAGAGAGGTAAAGTGCCATTCTTATCAGATCACATCAAAAGCATATATGATCAATATGATACACTATGTATTTATGAATATTTATTTTATGCTTGTGTTATAATAATACTTTATTTTGTTGCTTATATTGTTTCAGCTTTGGTCTTTGCGAGCTCTTTCAGTTGGCTCCTGTGTTCCTTTCACATACCCTATCACTGTGGGCTTTGTTTGAGTCCTTTCTTATTTCTGCCATTATAAGAGGCTACACACTCATCTTTTATATTTTCTGCCCTGGTCTTGGAATCAACAATTTCTTCAAAGAGCCTAGTTTCTTTTACTGGAGAATAGTGTTAGAAACAAAGATTTGTGCCCTAAGTATGCTAGTTGATACTGGGTATTGTTGCTTCTAGGTCTTCTCAGCTGAGAAAGCAAGGAGGTACATGTGTTTATAGTAACTCATGAATATATACATATCTATAGATATTTCTCAACTTAATCATTTGTGTCTATATTGTGTCCTAAATAGGAGTATATATTTAAGCCTTCAAATCTAATCCATTACTATATGAATAATTTTAGCCTCCTCTCTTCTTTATCTGTGACCCCTGACTCCAACAGCGAGAAATTAAACCATCCATTTATGTATTTTTTTCAATTTCAGTATATAGTCATTCCTCAGTATTTGTGGAGATTCATTCCAGGACCTCCCACAGATAGGAAAGTCTGCTGATGCTCAAGTCCCTGCTATAAAATGGCATAATATTTGCATATAACCTGTATACATCCTCCCATATATTTAACTCATCTCTAGTTTACTTGTAATGCCTAATATAATGTAGATGCTATGCAAATAGTTTTTATACTGTATCATTTAGGGAATAATTATGAGAAAAAGTCTATACATGTTCAATACAGGTATAGTCTTATTCAAATATTTTTGATCTGCAGTTAGTTCAACTTGTGAATGCAGAACCCACAGGTAAAAATGACCAACTGTATTTGCATTGTGGTTTTAGAACTGTTAAACCAGACCCTTCTTGAAAACAACTTTATCAAATAGAATATACTGCTTATATATAATTCCTTTTGCCTTTAGTCTTACAGACTCATTTCCAAAGTTACTTAGGTCAGGACCTTTTTCCTTGACTGCCTTCAGTAAGGTTGTGAACTGAAGGGGGTCATGGAAAAAGGTGCTGACCTAAGTGAAAAGGTTGTGATTTTTAAAAACACATTTACATTGTCTTGTCACATTCTTTATTCCATTCCGGAATATCCCAACTTCCTAATACTAAAAAAGTATACATTAAGGTTTATTCTTTGTGCTGTAAAGTTCTGTGGATTTTAATGAAAACTTAATATCCTATATTCAACATGAAAATATATTCTGCTGCATTGTCAACGCGGGCTGGGCATGATGGCTCATGCCTGTAATCCCAGCACTTTGGCAGGCTGAGGCAGATGGATCACCTGAGGTCAGGGGTTTGACACCATCCTGGCTAACATGGTGAAACCCTGTCTCTACTAAAAATACAAAAATTATCTGGGCGTGGTGGTGCATGCCTGTAATCTTAGCTACTCAGGAGGCTGAGGCATGATAATCACTTGAACCTGGGAGGCGGAGGTTGCAGTGAGCCGAGATCACTCCACTGCACTCCAGCCCAGGCAACAGAGAGACTCTCTCTCTCTCTCTCTCTCTCTCTCTCTCTCTCTCTCTTTGTCTCCATATATTTATATATATACAATTTCATCCCTCCAAACACCTGGAAACCTCTAATCTTTGTTTATATCTACAGTTTGGCATTGACTAGAACATCATACAATTGTAGTCATATAGTATGTAACTTTCTCATGGCTCGATGGCTTATTTTTAAAATTTCTGGAGAATAATCCACTGCATGGATATAATATCATGGGTTTATTTTTCTACCTATTTAAGGTCATCCTGGTTGACTGCAGGTTTATGAATAGGCTGCTATAAACATTCTCATGCAGACTTTTATGTGGATATTAGTTTTAAAATCATTTGGATAGGCCGGGTGTGGTGGCTCACGCCTGTAATCCCAGCACTTTGGGAGGCCAAGGCAGGCGGATCACAAGGTCAGGAGATCAAGACCAGCCTGGCTAACACGGTGAAACCCCGTCTCTACTAAAAATACAAAAAGTTAACTGGGCTTGGTGGCAGGCACCTATAATCCCGGCTACTCGGGAGGCTGAGGCAGGAGTATGGTGTGAGCCTGGGAGGCAGAGCTTGCAGTGAGCTGAGCTCATGCCACTGCACTCCAGCCTGGGTGACAAGAGTGAAACTCCGTCTCAAAAAAAAAGATCATCTGGATAAATGCCAAGCTGAGCAATTGCTGGTTTCTTTGGTAAAACTATGTTTAGTTTTGTAAGTCTTTCAGAGTGCTGTGCCAGTGTGCATTCACATCAGCAATATCTCGGAGTACCTGTCTCTTTGCATCCTTGCCAGCAATTTGGTATTGTCAGTTTTTTTGGATTTTATCCATTCTAATAGGTATGTAGTTTTATCTCATTGATGTTTTAACTTGAAATTTCCTACTGGCAAATGATGTTGAGCCCCTTATTAGACGCTATATATCTTCTTTGGTGAAGTGTCTGTTCAGAGATGCCAATTTTTAAAAACAGATTATTTTCTTATTGTTGAGTTGTACCTTTTAAAGCAATAGTTTTAGCTTTTAAGGTTGAATTCATTTCAGGCTTACATAAAATATCAAAATGACAGCTCAATTACCCTGATTTGATTATTATTGTATGCCTGTATCAAAGCATCGCACGCACCCCATAAATATATATACACTTGTTTTGCACCCATGATTTTAGAAAACCCAAAAAAGCATAAAGATTTGTGATGTAAATTTTATCCAGATGCACAAAACAGTAACATATTACAAAACATTATTTGATAAAATGCTATTAACCGAGCTATAGAACTTATTCAAATTTTGTCCACTGTCAGTAATGATCTTTTTCTGGTCCAGGATCAAAACTAGGGTTGTATGTTGCATTTAGTTTTTACGGCTTCTTGGTGTTCTTTAACCTGGAACAATTCCTCACCCTTTCTCTTTTAAGTCCTTGGGAGTTTTGAAGAGTGCTGGCCCAGTTATTTGATAGAATGCTCATGATTTTTGTTTGTTTGATGTTTTCCTATGATTAAATTCATATCATACATTTTTGACAAGAATATCACAAAGCGATGATATATCCCTTTCGATGCATTATGTCAGGAGACATATGACATTGATTTGTCCAATTAATAGTGGTACTAACTTTGATCACTTGGTTAAGTTGTTATCTGCCTAGTCTACTCTAAATTTACCTTCTCTCTTTGTAATTATTAAGTGTCTCTTATATGGAGATTCTTTGGGATCATGTAACTATCCTATTTCTCATCAGATTAGCTTACTAACTGACTTCAGTATTACTGATTATTCTTGTCTGAAACAACCATTACTGTAACTGTTGCCAAATGGTGAATTTTCAATTTTTATCATTCCTTTTATATTTGCTAATTAGATTTTTCTTACACAACAGACCTGTCTTTTCTCCTCCATTTGTTGATTACTTATTATTTATTTACATTAATATGCTCTCCTGGATTCTTTTCTATACTACAGGATATTATTCATTACTATTATTGTTTTGCCCAAATTGACACAGATTGAAAGTTCTTCAAGTAAGCTGCTTTGCCCTTTTTGCATACCCTAAGGTTGCCATAGTTTGGCTAATAGCAATCAGTTAGACAATACATTCTAATATAAAAGGAAACATAGACAAAATAAGTAACCTTTATATAATTTAAATTTTATGTATTCATGTGATTACATGTCATGGTGCATATGTAGTAGTCTCTCCCAGGGACTTAAAACAGGGTATATATCAAGAACCCCAGTGAATTCCTGAAATTGTAGATAGCACAAACTCAAGCACTGTAATATCACAACCAAGATGGCTACTAAGTGATGAAGGGGAGGGTAGTGTACACAGTGTGAGTATACTGGACAAAGGGATGATTCCCTTCCTGAGTGGGACGGAGCAGGACCAGAGGACAAAGGCACAACATTTCATCACACTACTCAGAATGGCATGCAATTTAAAACTTAGGAATTGTTTATTTCTGGAATTTTCCATGTAATATTTTTGGATTGCAGTTGACCACAGGTAACTGAAACCATTGAAAGTGAAACTGTGGATTAAGGGACGGGACTACTCTAAACACTTACTAATTAATGTTGTTGTTTAAAAAGACCTTGACATCAAATAAAGTATTTTGAGAGTCAATGATGCCTGACTTTCTAGAATTTCTTTAATTGCACAGCCTCCACAGTGTAATATTTTCCTCCAGAAATAAACAAACAAAAAAAACCCATATTCTTCAGGAAGTAGTGAAACTGCACAAAGTTTCTGTTCAAGATTAGGCCAATTAATTTACTTATTCAACACATAGTAATTGAGAACACAAAGTCTGAGTGTTTTATCCTGAATAATGACACATGACTGATAGTACCATTTAGCTTTTCATCCTACACATGGTAGGGGTAGCCATCACCTCTGCAGCAAAAAAATGAACTCCACTTCTGCTTTAGAACATTCTCTTTATATAATCTATCCTTCTTGTCTTTGGCCAATACCTACAGTGGTTTATAGACATCATCATCAAAAATCAGTTCTCTCTTCTGTTGCTGACTTTACAAGTAATATCGAGCATAGAATATTATGGCACAATACAACAAAAGTGTATCTCATTAAACAGGATTTTGTAGATTATTTTAATATTGGATATAAAAGTTTTGTACTTCCCAACAATCTTTATGCAATAATAAAGTCCAAAGAAAAACTCAATGAGGAAATAAAAAGATAGGCACCAGTTCTCAGATGTCAAACTTAGGAAGCAGTGAACCAATAGATCATAAGATCCTGCTCCTGAAACGGTAAACTTGAGAGATGAGAGCCACTGAGAATCAGGCCCTGGTTTCAGATGATCAAGAGAAATATAAACACCATAAAAACAATTATTCACCATTAAGGTGTATATCTTGATTGCTTAGATAATGCTTGATCCTTACCTCCTTCAAACAAGCAACTGAGGTGGGGGCTGAGCACTGGCTAAATCAAGCCATGGGTAGCAGTGGCCACCCCACCACATGCATTCAGCATTTGTTATAGCCATATAGAGAATAAAGTATTGGACCATGAAATTTTTTAGTGTTGGTGAATGAATGGAGACACATGTTTATTATAACTCTTTTCATTTTTATCTTACAGTTTTATTATAGGCTTTTTTTGTTGTTCTTTAAACAGCCTAAATGTTAACAATGTTTACATAATTTGATTACTATTTAGTTTAGGGTGAAAGGTTTGTGTTTTCAATTGTGGTAATAACTTACTAGTTTGGCCCCAACTGAAACAACTATCTGCAATGAAATTCCATATCTCTTGAGACAGTAGTGCTAATATGCAAAACCTTATACTGAGAAGGGGAATGTCCCAGAGCTGGTCATAAGCAGAATATTCTTTTAAACTTCATGTACTTTTTCTTTGCACTGTTCCTAGTTGGGACCTAAAATTCTTGCCCTTATTTTAAACATATTTGTCCTAGGTATTTTTTTTTAACTTTCTCTTATACTAGAGACTTAGAGCATTCAGATAACACAGTCACGTGAGCACCATGTGGTAACATCCTATGTGTCCTCTAGTGTTCCTTTCCTGATCATATGGGAACTGAACCCCAAGAAAGCTTATCTTTCATCCCTGATCTTGTGTTTTTCTCTATAGGATTTTCCAATAAACCTTAAAAAATATCATTACAAATAAAGGTTTCTAATGTCAATGCTGTTTTTTGACAATAGACCAGAATATGAATATTTGTTTATTGATGCATAAATTAATTATGTATAATTCATATTTGTTACAAGGTTTCAACATGTCAAAGGTAGACTATACTACCTCAGGCTTAAGAAATTATGGCAGGGGAAGCTCCTCAGTCTCTATAATTGCCGAGTACTTTTTATGCATTATCTTGTTAATATAAAGAATATTCATTCAACATACTGACTTTTGGCCTGGCTCTATGCATTAGGTGCTGGGGTGAAGCCAGATAAAAAGGAACATGTCCATTGCCCTTGTGAGACTTAAGATGTGGCAGGATAAATGTCCATTTGTTAAGTAAACATCAAAATATATAGGCAATTGTGAATTGTGTAAAATGCCCCGGAAGTGTCAAGTTTGAGTGAAGACTTCCCACAGGTAGGAACAGTCAACTTAAGAACTGAAGAAAGTTCAGGACATAAATGAGCTATCAATGGGAAAGTTTCCCATCTGCCCCAGAGTAGGAAGAAATATGGCTAAGTTTGAGAAATTCAAGGATGGTTCACGTGGTTGCAGCATACAGTCAGGAGGAAAGTTAAGGCTGACCTGTGAGCTAAGGCTTTATAAGAGCATGTGGTAGGTCATGTTACAGCTGTTGGTCTTTGTCCAAGAGCAATAAAGATAAATTGCAGAATTTAAAGTTAGAGGGAGGTGATATGTGATCCTATTCACATTCTAAAAAGAGCCCTCTAGCTACAGTGTAGAAAAGAGTATGCAGGGGTAGTAGAGGGGATGCAACCTGCTAAAATTCAGAGATGAGAAGCAAGGCAGCAATGAAGGTACAGGAAGCAGGGACTGGTCTATCTGGAGTGAAAGCCTGTGCTCATAAACAGTACACCTCAGAAATCCTGGCTTCTATTCTGAAGATTGTGTGCATTTAGTGCTTAATTAAAGGGCAGTTGGAATTTCTGGTACTCCTTTTAAAAAGCAACAACTAAGAAATAAAAGTGGAGTATTCCATATTTTTCAGACTATTTACTGAATTTTTCTGGTCCACCTTGACTGTGAAACTGCCTTTGCAAAAATTGTAACAGTGAGAGAAATTTAACCTGATTCCATCTTACTTCTAACCTCACAAACTACCTACCTTTGTTAACTTCAAAATAAAATAATAACAGTCTCTTCCCAAAACTAACCCCTCCTTGCTCAGGGACCAAAACCACCTTTGTAAAACTAATGAAACCCCACAAGATTAATATTATGAGAGGGTTCTAAATTCTGCTAAGGTGTAGATGTAGTTAAACAGTAACCAACCATTGTTCCCCAGCTTGCCTTTCTTTTTTTTTTTGAGACAGAGTCTCGCTCTGTTGCCCAGGCTGGAGTGCAGTGGCACGATCTCTGCTCACTGCAAGCTCCGCCCCTGTGTTCATGCCATTCTCCTGCCTCAGCCTCCCGAGTAGCTGGGACTACAGGCGCCCACCACCATGCCTGGCTAATTTTTTTTGTATTTTTAGTAGAGACGGGGTTCCACAGTGACGGTCTCAATCTCCTGACCTCATGATCTGCCCGCCTTGGCCTCCCAAAGTGCTGGGATTACAGGCGTGAGCCACCATGCCCAGCCCCCAGCTTGTCTTTCTATAATCATTTACTGCTCCAGAGGTCACAAGATTTGTAACTACCCCAAATCTCCCTAAATTACATCCCTATTGTCAAAACTTAAGATTGGTCTTTGAGCTATTTTTCAGACTTTTGCATTCTCGTGACCAAGTGACTCCACTCAGACCCCTGACTAATACCAAGGACCGAATTCAACTGGTCCTGCTCCTGTGAACCCTATCCAGAACTGACACAGTACAAGAAGACAGCTTTAACACCTGTGATTTTATCCCCAACCCAACCAATCAGCATTCCCAATTCCCTAGCCCCATGCCCCCCAAATTATTATTGAAAAAGCCTACCCTTCCCATTTTCAGGGAGGCTGATTTGAGTACTTACTTCTCTCCTTCTGCCTGGCTAGTACTGCAATTAATAAACTTTTTCTCTACTGCAATACTGTTGTCTCAGTGAATTGGTTTTATCTGTGCAGCAGGCCAGACAAACCCACCAGGCAATTACAACTATATATTGCAATCAGCTGGAGAGTTTTCCAGTTTTCTGACCCTGGGCTCTACACCCTAGAAGTCAATGGGTTTGTGATACAGAGAAGATATTCCTGTTGTATAAAGTGCCCAGCAGATTCCATTGTACAGTCACAGTTGACAACCACTGTTCTAGTCCCTTAAATTTCTTCTATGTAACTCAGCACATGGGCCAATCCTTAAATTATATCTTAAGATGAATGTGAAATTTTCCTAAAGATGAAACTTCTATATTAAAAAATATTTGGTGTCAGCTGGGCATGGTGGTGCATGCCTGTAATCCCATCACTTTGGGAGGACAGTGCAGGTGGATTACTTGAGGCCAGGAGTTTGAGACCAGCCTGGCAAACATGGCAAAACCCCATCTCTACCAAAATTACAAAAATTAGCCAGGTGTGGTGGCACACGCCTGTAATCCCAGCTACTCAGGAGGCTGAGACATGAGAATCACTTGAACTCAGGAGGGTGAGGTTGCAGTGAGCCGAGATCGCATCACTAGACTCCAGCCTGGGTGATAGAGTGAGACTCTGACTTACAAAAAAATACATATATATATGTTGTGTGTATATATATATATACACACAACATATATATATAGTCTTTCAAACTATGTAGATTTCTGTATGAAAAAATATAGGGAGATTAGCACACACAGAAATGTGGGAAGATGACTTAATCTAAATATACCCTGGTTTATTTGACATCTCCTTTAGTGGTCATGAAAATATTCTCTTACAGCACTATGAGACACAATAAAGAAATGAGGTGTCTGTGCTTGGCATGAGAGTTGTTCCAGTTATTTTCCCTTTTCCTAAATCAGATTTCTCAGGAGAGCTCCTCTTGAAGCAATCAACACAAGTATTCACAGCCCGTCTCTTTCGGAGAAATAATTATGTATCATTGTAAGTTCTGTAGCCATCTTTCCTTCATTTTGGTGCTCTAAACTCTGGTGCAAAATGTCCTTTTCTCAGTGAGATGGAAAAGAACATGCTATCCAGTTTCCTTTCTGCTGCAGGGCTAGTAATGAGAAAATATTATGTCTATCTTTGGCAAGTACATACGCTAGGAGAAATCTAAAGAGTTATTTCAACTAGCATCTCATTACGAATGAGAACCTTTATCATTTAAACTTATTGAAAATATTTGTTTTTTTTGTTGTTGTTGTTTGAAAGTTCAAGTTTTTTGTGTGTGATCTTTGGTTCAAAGAATAATCCTTTGGACTTTAGCAACCATCAGTTTCTTCTTTAGATAAAATATATTTTATGTTTGATCTGATGAACAGAGATAGTTGCTATCATTCTTTACATGGAGAAAAATAAAATTTTTTTTGAAGGCCATAGCTATTTCAGGGACCTAGTTTCTTAAATTGTTTTTCACCACCTAGTTTCTTTAAAAGGTTACTTTTACCAAGGTTTATTAGAATTTATACAATATTTTGTTGCAAATCATTTTATGATATCAAAATTCAGTGGGAAAATAATTGTATTTATTGTTTCAGACCAAGAGGGTCATATTTGTCTCTCTGAAATCTTATGAATCAGGAGATACTTAGCTAGTTATCCCTGTCACATTTATTCTCTTGTGTATCCTGTATATATATTCTTTTTCACTTGGCTCTTTCTACTAATGCAAACTCTCCTTTCCTACACCAGGATGAGAAGTTTTATGTATCAACTTGGTGAGACTACAGTCGTGAGCTAATCAGTGAAACAGTGAACTAGGTGTTTCCATGAAGGTACTTGGTAGATGCAATTAAAGTCCCAAATCAGTTGACTTTGGCTAAGGGAGATGACCCTAAATAGTTGGAATGTGCCTGATTTAGTCAGTTGAAAGGGATTTAGGGTCGAACTGAGGATTAACTGAGGAAAAAGAAATTGTGCCTTTGGATGGAAGCTCTACCCTCATGCCCAAGAGTTCCATCCAGCCCTTCCTGATGGTCTGCTCTGTATTTTTTGGACTTGCCTTCCCAGCTACCACAGCCTTATAAGCCAATTCCTTAAAGTATATATCCTAGCACACATCTCCTTCTGGCTGTCTTCTCTGGTGAAGCTTGCCTGATCATAAATGCCTTCTAATTTTTTAGGTCCTCAGTGTGCTCCTCTCTTGAAGCCTGCTCTGGAGCAGTGCTTCCCAAACAGTAATTTACAGAGAAGCATCTGAGGATCTTGAAAAATACAGATTCTGTTTAGGCTGGGGTTTGGCCTGAATATCTGCATTGCCAATAGTCTCCTAGTTTGTAGACTGGTAGCCTTTGCTTGCAAAATGCCTGGTAGTAAATCTTTTAGGCTTTGTGGACCACATGGTTTCTGATACCACTGTTCTCCTCTGCTATTGCAGTGCAGAAACAGCCATAGACAATATGAAAACATATTAGTTATAATCATTTATGGATGTGGTTTGTTTCAGTATAACTTTACTTACAAATAGGTGACAGTCCATGGTGGCTGAAGGTTGCCGACACCTGTCCTAAATTCTGCCAATGTCACTGGTTCAGAGACTGCATTGTGAGCAGCAAGATTATAGAGCAGAAGTTCAGAGTAGCAATGTATACAATTTGATGAAGTCTCTGAGTTATAGTCCAGTGGTGTGGTGGAGCCTTGTTATACCAGCCTATGTGAGTCCCTTGTAAAATATTCAGAAATGTTGTTGAGCCAGTTATTAAGCTGCTGTTACATTGAAATTGGCTCTGATGGAAATATTTACACCATGGAAATGGCCAATGCTACAAATCAGGAATTTCAATTTTCTCCCCCAGCGTGGGGTTGCAGCAGCATACCACTGGAGTTAACTCTGTCAGGGTTATTTACAAGGTAAAAGTTACCCTGGCTTAAAAAATTATGGAAATATATGCATGTAAAGTGTAAAATAAGTTATTTTAGCTGATATCCATAAACATATTTTTGACTTTTGAAATTTGACTTTTGGATAGTGTCTTTGTCAAATACAAGAGATGAGGTTCATCTGATTCCTTTACCTGGCTGTGGAAAATTAAAAGCTGATTCAAGAATATAGATTGATTTTTTGGCAATTATTTTTCTTTAAGTGTGACAAAGCTTCAGCCAATTTTAAGCACAGATGGTTGGCTAAGGAAGTGAAGGTTGTCCTGCTCATGTCTCTCACACACCATCATTCTTTTTGTGTGTACCAGCTATGCTCAGTGTGAGGCTGCACAATACCAAAATCACATAACGTTGAAAATTATAGGATTCATTTTCAGTGTCAGTTGACAATATCTGTTTTCTTGCTGGGATTTGAAAGAGGTGTTTTTTTTTTTTGTTGTTGTTAGATATTCATGTCATCCCTGATGGAAGTATAAACTAAATTTGTAAACATGTAATATTAAAAGTATCCTTGTGAAGTATCTGCTTATCTTTTCATTTTATAAATAAGTCCCTGGGCCCGAGGTGAAATTAATGCTATAGACTGAATGTTTATATCTCATCAATATTCAAATCTTGAATTCCTATCTCCCAGGGTGACGGAATTAAGAGGTGGGAATTTGGGGAGGTGATTAGGTCATGAAGGTGGAGCCCTAGTGAATGGGATAAGTGCCCTTACAAGGAACAGAAGAATCTGGAGTTCCCCTTTCCACCACAGGAGGACACATCAAGAAGATGACTCTCCTTAGACACAGAATCTGCTGGTGTCTTGATCTTGGACTTCCCAGCCTCCAGAACAGTGAGAAATAAATTTGTGCTGTTTTAGAGCCACCTAGCCTATGTTACAGCAATGCAAATGGACTAAGGCAATGAGTAATTAAAACCAGTTAACAGCAGGACTGGGCATAGAACTCAGACCTGCTGACTTCCTAGATGGTGCATATTCCGTTATCTACTAACATTGTTCAAAGTTTTTTAGTTACTTCTATGCACAAGGCTGTGTGCTAGACTCTGAGCATATAAAGTTGAGTGAAAGGTATCTCCTATTCTTTTAAGCAGATTACAGTCTCCTTTTGTTAAGTAATTCCAGTGCACTACAAGTTTTAGTGTAGTGGAAAAAAGGATCTGCAGGGGTGTGGAAGTTGCAATAAAGAACTCTACAAAAACAAGTTGAAAAAAACTTCTAAGTGAAGAAACACTAGTTCTGTTTCTTAAAATGTGTGTTTATTGAAGAGCTAAATGAATACAGGCATGAGGAGTAACTGAGTGAGATAAAATGCTTAGCTTGATGTCTTACAATAATGGCATTTATACAGGTCAGTTCCCCTTGCCTTACTATGCATGCTATTATCTCCACTAAAGGAAGGGGTTTCTGCAGAGATGTTTGTTTAGGGTGATAAGAAAGGCAGTCCTCAAGGTCTGTACATTCCCAATAAAAACAACACACTTCCAGAGACAACTGATTCAGCTTGAGGAGGTGTATTCATTAAATAACCTCTTAAGAAGTCCAAATCCTGCACCCTAGTCTGTGAAAAAGAAAGGAAGTCTGGATTATAATCTTTATAAAGCTTTGATGGCACTTCTGATGATTAATATTGAGTGTCAACTTGATTGGATTGAAGGATGCAAAGTATTGCTCCTGGGTGTGTCTGTAAGGGTGTTGCCAAAGGAGATTAACATGTGAATCAGTGGACTGGGAGAGGTGGACCCACTCACAGTCTGGGTGGGCACCATGTAATCAGCTGACAGCATGGCTAGAATAAAGCAGGCAGAAGAAAGTGGAATGAGTAGACTCGCTGAGTCTTCCAGTCTTCATCTTTCTCCCGTGCTGGATGTTTCTTGCCCTCGAATATCAAACTCCAAGTTCTTCAGCTTTTGGACACTTGGACTTTGGCTCTCAGGCCTTTGGCCACAGACTGACGGCTGCACTGTCAGCTTCTCTACTTTTGAGGTTTTGGGACTCGGATTGGCTTCCTGGCTCCTCACCTTGCAGACGGGCCTCTTGTGGGACTTCACGTTGGGATCGTGTGAGTCAATTCTCCTAATAAACTCCCCTTCATATATACATCTATCCATTAGTTCTGTCCCTTTAGAGAACCCTGATGAATACAGCACTCAACTCTTGGTTGTTAATTTGTGAATCTTCCTTCAGTGGAACCCCGATTTACATTCAGAAGTACGCTGCAGCCAGCTTGCAGTGGCTCCTCCTGAGAGGAAGCTGGGTACACCTCTTCCCAGCTCCACCTTCGGTGAGGTCAGGTCGGCAGCCTGCAATTAGCCATAGTCAGTGTTTAGACCATGAAAATCAGCAAATGGCATAGACCAGGGACATGATTTTTTAAAGAGAGCTTATCTACCGGTACCTTATTGTACATTTTTCGGTTTCTACCAGCTTCTGGTGACAGCATGGAAGAAGTGATTGGACTGAAGGCAATGTCAGAACAATGCAGTAGAGACAGGCAGAAATAACCAGCTGTAGCTGGTTGGTGGTCATGATGGTGATAGTAATGGCAAGAGAGTGACCCTCTATGCCGTAGGGTGGGGCAGGAGTCACCTGCATCTCACTGTTATCCTCCATGAAAACTGGCGCTGATGTGCGTGCACCCATGCGTATGAAGAGAGACCCATTCAACACGTCAGTTGTCCTTGGAGGCACTAATCTATTATCCAGATTTCTTCACAGGTTAAGACAGGTTCTCTGGTATGTTCTCCCCCAGCTTGAAGGAAGCCCTGGGGCTTCAGGGAATCTCTGAAGTTTGTCTTAGTGTTGGCCTGAACTTTCTGCACAAGAAGGCAGTGACTTCTAACTGAATTTAATTTTGCTTTATTACTTCATTTTTAATAATGATAGACCGCATATTTAAAGTGAGGACAAATTTGGCTTACATCTCTGCACTGAAGTGTTGGTTGTTAATTTTCAAAGTTTTTTTTTTTTATGGATTTCTTCTCGTCATCTGGTTATATCCAGATGTTTCCCACCCCATCTTTTACAGGCTTTTTTTCTCCCTCTGTCTTTGGAAATTACTCTTTTGGTTAGTTTGTTACAGTAAGGACAATTTTGCCTCCAGGTGAAATCAATAATGGTTGACCAAAAGGTCTTTTGCTGGCTAGAGAGATTTTGTGCATTAATATTTTGGCATGTCTCTTTTCCTAACTTAATTCTTGTATTCTATTTTGCTTAAGGGACTACAACAATGTTGTCTAGAAGATATTAAGGTCTAACTGGACAAGCTTCTATTTTCTTTCCTTTCATGTTGTCAGACACTGCGGGCAGTGAATGTTTAACAGTAATGGGAGCTCAGAGTTCTGACAGTTCTTCCATCTTTTGTACCTCTCCTTAGGGCTCAAAGATATAAACTCACTGCCTCCAATGGCCCTTAGGCTGAAGTCTGTATTTTGTTAACATACTTCAAAAACGACAGTAAAATTTATTGTGAGCAGATTTGATTTTCAGTACTACAGTTTTATACAAATTACTTAAAGCGGATTTGTGTTTTGGTCACTTAATTAAGCGTCTCATACTCACTTCATTTTTATTTTAGCTCAAGTCAGAAGTGCCCAAAGCTAATTTTCTTAGCTATGTTGATGCCGTGGCTGCACATTCTCCATCCTGGATAATTATTTTCCTTACTAGCTTTTGACCTTGTAACACAGGTAATATGAAATGAAGCCCTTTGAAAACCAATTTCCAAATACAGGTCTTTGCTCAGTGTGATTTTGGTGGTGTATTTATAAAAATAAATTTATTAAAGCTATAAAAGTGTTCATACAAATTTCACTTTTAATATTAAATTCTCTAGGACAAATATGCACAGATACATACCCGAAAAGAACTGAAACAATATTCACATTATATTATTAAAAAGTAAGACAATAAAATATCATCATATTCTTTAATTTTCATTATAATTAGCAATTTTAAACATGCAAAATAAATTTTCCTAACATAGATAAAAAATTTGAAATAATCTCTCACTAGCAAATTACTAATTCAAATTTTATCTATTAGGGGAGTCCTACTAAAAATGTTTTTTACTATTAGTCCCTTTGTATTTTATATCTTGTACATAGAGAATATATTTATAATATATTAATGTAGAAAAGTCTCAATATTAATCTATCATCATTTTATTTATTTCAAATGCACAACTGGGTGCGATTAAAACTACAGTGAAAAATTATTTTCTTTCAAGTACCATTTTACAGGAAAAAAGGCGAAAACATTGATGCACAGAGAATCAAAGTAAATTAATCTGATAATATAAGTGAATTGAACAAGCTGTGCAATATAAATATTTTAATCACTTCTTGATCCAGAAGTGCCACATCTACAAAATGAGCAATTATGGTCTACCTCTTGGGAGTCGACTCTAATTACGAAGCAGTAGGATATTACTAAATGTTAATACATGTAAATATCAAACATCAGGCCTTGAATTTCCACATAATTTTTAAAAATATAATTTATGTTTGCTTCTTATAAATACTTTTGGTTTAAACTATATATGTCCAAGAGTGGAGTATTAGTTGTCTTTTAAGCACTTTATGTTATAAAATACTATTTATTGATTCTAAAAACAGGTATCTTAAAACTAGTCAGTGAAAATACATAAACATTTAGAAAACCAGCAACTTAGTTTTCTCCATATACTATGCCAGAGTTTTTCTGTCCTGAAGCAAGGAGACCAGATATTTCACTAAGGGCCTTTGGGAGCCATATTTATTAAGAAGTTAAAATGAGACAGACATTGGGCTCTGGTAAGTGCTTGTGTTCTTTCAGACCTAAGCCCAGGGAGGCTTAATTATGGAACTTGGCTCTTTCCATTAGGATGTATTTCAATCCTGTGATTGAATTCTAATACATGACAGAGCTCCTCTATTAACAGGATCGCAGGGGGAAAGAGCCATCTCTCAGGACGCAACCTTGTGTATGTATATGGAATATAATATTTGATAGAATTTGGAGGTGCATGGTAAATAGAATTATAAGATGGTCCCCAAATTCCCAACCACTATTGTTCACACATCTTCATCCAGTTATTCAATCAAATACAAATCTAGGTGTTGCTGTTCAGAGATTTTGCAGATGAAACTAAATTACTCTATCAGTTAACATTAAGACAAGAAGATCACACAGCTGGGCCTGACCTAATCACACAAGACCTTTGAAATCAGACAGCTCCCTCTGGCCAGTCAGAGAGGTGTAATCAGAGGTTGCAAGCACAGGTATTTGACACACTGTTGCTGGCTTGTAGATGGAAAGGACTACAGTAGCAGGGAGTAGGGGCAGCATCTGGGCGCTGAAAGCAACCTCCAAATATAACTGCAAGAAGCAGATTTTTTATTTTTATTTTTTTTTGAGACAGGGTCTAATTCTGTCACCCATGTTGGACTGCAGTGGGGTGATCTTGGCTCGCTGCAATATCCGCCTCCTGGGCTCAAGCAATCCTCCTGCCTTAGTGCCCAAGTAGCTGGGACTACAAGCGTGAGCCACCACGCCCAGGTAATTTTTGTAGTTTTGTTAGAGACGGGGTTTCACCATGTTGCCCAGGATGGTCTCAAACTCCTGAACTCAAGCAAACCACCCGCCTCGACCTCCCAAAGTGCTGGGATTACAGGTGTGAGCCACCATGCCATTCCCGGAACTGAATTCTGCATATAGAAACAATGAGTTTGGAGCAGATTATTCCTTACAGCCTCCACAAGAGAACTCAGTCTCACTAATACCTTTATTTCTGCTTTGTGAATGCCAGTCATGCTATTCTGGACTTCTGACTTATAGAGCTGTGAGCTCATAAATTGGTATTTTCAGCTGCTAAGTTTGTGGTAATTGTTATGCTGCAATAGAAAATGAACATAATCGGCAAAGGCTGCATTAACTCTCCCACCTGAAACAAATCTTTGTGGGCGTTTCTGACAAAATTAGGAAGACTCTAAACAGGTATATGATGATGTCACAAAGCTTAAAATATTCCTCAAATTTCATAATACATTTCTGTCTAAAAAGTGAGTTCAAGCCTTTCATTTAATTCACAGAATCCTTCCTGTACTTACATCCTAGCATGTGAGGTCCTATATTTCCTACACAGCACTGGCTATTAAGTGTGTATTTGTGGACACAAGTATGAATGGATGCGCAATTGGACAGAGAAAATAATATTGTCCAATATTCAAAATATTTTTCTTTATTCAATATCAGTAAACTCATATTTATATGTAAAAATATTTTCATCACAATCAATGCTCCTATAAGAAAAATATTTCCTATAAGAAATATATTATAATCTTTTGATTACAATTCATTTTCTTATAAGGAAAATATTTCCTATAAGAACGAAATTTTTATTGAATATTCAAAATATTTTCCTCTATCCAATATCAGTAAAACTGACACTTACATGTGAAAATATTTTGATCACAATCAATGTTCCTATAAGAAAAGTAATATTTTCTTAAAAGCATAGTTTATTATTATGCCAAATTTCAGACTTGATTCTTCACATCTTCTGACCCTCTGATACGGTTAGGCTTTGTGTCCCCACCCAAATCTCATCTTGAATTGTAATCCCCATGTGTCAAAGGAGGGAAGTGATTGGATTATGGGGGAGGTTTCTCCCATGCTGTTCTCATGATAGTGGGTGAATTTTCACAACATCTGATGGTTTTATAAATGTTAGTTTTTCCTGCGTTCACACACATGCTCTTCTCTCTCCTGCCACCTTGTGAAGAAGGATGTGTTTGCTTCCTGTTCCACCATGATTGTAAGTTTTCTGAGGCTTCCCCAGCCACGCAGAACTGTGAGCCAATTAAACCTCTTTCCTTTATAAGTTACCCAGTCCAAATATTTCTTTATAGCAGTGTGAAAACAGACTAATACAATGAATTGATACTAGGAGTGGGGTACTGCTGTAAAGATACCTCAAAATGTGGATGCGACTTTGGAACTGGGTAATGGGAAGAGGTTGAAACAGTTGGAGAGCTCAGAAGAAGAAAAGAAGATGTGGGAAAGTTTGGAACTTCCTAGAGACTTGTTGAATGGCTTTGATCGAAATGTTGATAGTGATATGGACAATGAAATCCAGGCTGAGGTGGTCTCAGATGGAGATGAGGGAACTGAAATAAAGGTTATTCTTGCTATGCTTTAGCAAAGAGACTGGCAACATTTTGTCCCTGCCCTAGAGGTCTGTGTACCTTTGAACTTGGGAGAGACGATTTGGGGTATCCAGTGGAAAAATTTCTAAGCAGCAAAGCTGTGCAAGAGGTGACAGCATAAAAAGAGGTAAAAGTTTGGAAAATTTTCAGCCTGATCATGCAATAGAAAAAGAAAAACCCATTTTCTGAGAAGAAATTCAAGGGGGCTGCAGAAATTTGCATAACTGATGAGGAGCCAAATGTTAATCACCAAGACAGTGGGGGAAATGTCTCCAGGGCATGTCAGAGACATTGATGGCAGCCCCTCCCATCATAGGCCCAGAGGTCTAGGGGGGAAATATGGTTTTGTGGGCCTGGCCCAGGGCTCCCCTGCTCTGTGCAGCCTCGGGACCTGGTGCGCTGCGTCCTCACTGCTCCAGCTGTGGCTAAAAGGGGCCAAGGTACAGCTCAGTCTGTTGTTTCAGAGATTTTTTAGCCCCAAACCTTGGCAGCTTCCTCATGGTATTGGTCCTGTGGGTGCACAGAAGATAAGAATTGAGGTTTGGGAGCCTCCGCCTGCATTTCAGAGGATGTATGTGTGCTGCAGGGGCAGAGGCCTCATGGAGAAGCTCTGCTAGGGCAGTGTGGAAGGGAAATGTAAGGTTGGAGCCCACACACAGAGTTTCCAGTGGGACACCTCCTAGTGGAGCTGTGAGAAGAAGGCCACCATTCTCCAGACCCCAGAATGATAGGCCCACCAATAGCTTGCACTGTAAGCCTGGAAAAGCTGCAGTCACTGAATGCCAGGTATGAAAGCACCTGGAGTAGGGGAAGGGGGTGATGTACCCTGCGAAGCCACAGAAGCAGGCTGTCCAAGGCCATGGGAGCCCACCTCTTGCATTGGCATGACCTGGATGTGAGCCATTGAGTCAAAGAGCTTTAAGATTTGATGAGTCTCCCACTGGATTTCAGGCTTGCATGGGGCCTGTAGCCCCTTTACTTTGGCCAATTTCTCCCATTTGGAATGGGAATATTTATCCAATGCCTCTACCTTCATTGTGTTAACAGTGGAAGAGATCAAGTTACCCCAAGTTACCAGCAGCCTATCTTTATGGGTTTGTAGAAACTTCAGCCTTTGCCTCCTCAGAAGAAGGAATTTGACTGTGGGGCATAAAGCAGAAAAAGAGACCGAGGCAAGTTCTAGAGCAGAAATGGAAGTTTATTTAAATAGGACTTAGAATAGGAAAGAAAAAAAGGTGCACTTGGAAGAGACACAAGAGGGTACATGAAGGTTAAAGAGAGAAGGTCAAGTGCCCCATTTAACCATGATCCTAGGACTTCTATAAGCTCACCTCTTTCCCATGATTCTTCCCTTAGGGTGGGCTGCCCGCATGTGTAGAGCCCTCCTTACCTTTGGGAAGTGAGCACACTCATTGTGTTTAGGGAGTTATATGCATGCTCATCTGAGGCTTTCTTCCTTTTTCTGGTGAGTGTACCCGGAAGATCATACTTTGCCATTTTTGTCTCTTAATATGCATGCATAGGAAGCTGTTATTCCGTGGGGTCTGCATTCAGTTAACACTTTTGATGTTAACAGATATGGACCATCAGAAGGTTGTCTCCCCCTGGCTGCCAAATTATCATTTTTAGAGAGGTAAAGTGATAACTGCCAAACTATCTCCTGACCGGTCTAGTGGGTAGGGGGAGAGCCCTCTTCTGCCCCATTCATGCCTGTAATAATTGTATCTTGGAAGTAACTAACTTGCTTTTGATTTTACAGCCTCCTAGGCAGAAGAGGCTTGCCTTATCTCAGATGAGACTTTGGAATTGGTCTTTTGGGTTAATGCTGGAATCAATTAAGACTTTGGGGGAGTGTTGGGAAGGCATGATTGGTTTTGAAATGTGAAAGGGACATGAGATTTGGGAGGGGCCAGTGCAGAATCATATGGTTGCCTTTGTGTCCCCACCCAAATCTCATCTTGAATTGTAATCCACACATGTCAAGAGAGGGAAGTGATTAGAGTATGGGGACAGTTTCCCCCATGCTGTTCTCATAATAGTGAGTGAATTCTCATGAGATTTGATGGTTTTATAAATGGTAGCTTTTTCTGTGCCCACACGCATGTTCTTCTCTCTCATGCCACCTTGTGAAGAAGGATGTGTTTGCTTCCCCTCCTGCCATAATTGTAAGTTGTCTGAGGACTCCCCAGCCATGCAGAACTGTGAGCCAATTAAGCTCTTTCCTTTGTAAATTACCTGGTCTTGGATATTTCTTGATAGCAGTGTGAAAATGGACTAATACACCCTCCATTTATGTAAAACCTGTGACTCAGAATTAACTATAAGTTTTTGACCATGAACGTAGATATCCTTTATGATGGTGCTTGTTCTTTATATGTAAATGTGAAATTTTAAGGAAATTGCTAGAGAATCACAAACACCCATTTTTTTTTTTAAATAAAGCTAAGAGAACTTCCCAGCATGTTTCAACTTCTATGTTATTTATCATGTGTCAAGAACTCTATATGCTCCCCTAACTGGTAAGTCTAGTTGGACTCAATGCCAATTTTCTGTCCATGGAGGAAATTGCCACCAATTTCCTTCTGACTTTCCATTGTGGGACTAAAGAACAGAACATTCATGCATGCTGTGTGCATTATCCAGGCTTGCTTTTTCTCTTGCTTTCTCATTGTTTTGATATTTTAGTTATTGTCTGTGCTTTACATAGTTCAAAGTGCTCCTATGTCTATTATAAACAAATTTAAAAGTATTCTAAAATTATTATCCCTATATTAGAAGTAAGAAAATAGAATATGTTCAATGACCTAGGCAAATATTATTGAGAAGGCAAATAAGTCCAAATCCAGGTTATCTTAAGAGTGTAAAATGAAGACTTAATATCATAATTAAAATATTTTTAAAATGTATAAGAAATACCACTTCATAGTTTGAAGAATGGTATTTGAAACTAATTTTGTCATGTGGTCTTTGTCAAGAGAGCTTCTTAGGTCAAGGAAAAGTCATAGATCCAGTTACTTACCAAGTTCAGAATTTTCTTTGAGACAAAATAGAAATTCACAACCATTAAAAAATAGAAGGAAATTTGAAACTGTCACTATAGAAATATGCAGGGTAACAATAAAGCCTGAATAAGTGAGTTTCTAGCATCCATGAGGGTCCCCCTGTGGTATAATGGCATATACTTATAATGGAACCAATCATTTAAATTCATACTTCCTTCGAGAAATAAAGGAAAAATTTAGTATGGTTTACTTAGAACTGGAGAATAATAGAGTGACGATTATGGAAGCCACCATGGTTAAGAAATTCCAAGGTACAGGAACTATGTATCAAAATGATGCATCATGCTGAAACTAAGAATAAAGTCTCAGATGTAATTTATGAATGCTAGCATTATAAAGTAGACAATTAATGTATTCATTGAGAATGATGGAGCAGAGAGATGAAAGAAAGAAAGCTATGATCAAAAAGGGAATATCAGAATTGGGGATACAAATTTGATTTGGTTTTGAGGAATGATGAAGTTCAGATTATAACTGGGATGGATGGAAATAGACTAATTGACTTTGAGAAGGTAAAAGATACTGTAGAAAAGGATTGTTAGAGTTAAACATGGAGAATGACTTCAGGAGATAGGAAGAGAGCATAACGTTAAACCAGCTTCTCAAGTCACTGGGAAGGTGGGAAGTGAAAGGATGTGGAAAGAAGAAAGGAGAGGAAATTATGTAAATGTGTTGCATACATTCAACGGATGAGTTAAATTGAAATGTGACAGAAATCCACAGCATCTTTGTAGTCTTTGATGGTGAAATTAATCTTTTCAAGTCCTGCGAAAATGTGATATTGCTCTTGGGTTACTATCCTAGCTGGGAAAGGAAATTTTAGGGACTTTCACCTGGCTCTTCCTATCATAGCCATCATCTCATAAGCCATCAGTATGGAAATTTTGTCAGTTTCTGAGTGTTGCAGTATTCTTTATAAATTCAGGAACTTGAGATATATCTCAAGTATATATACCACAAGAGTAATTTGCAGCTCTGCTGCACCCAGTATGAATAGGGCAGGGACAAAAGCTCCACTTATTACCTGACATCCACACACCTCCACTTTGAATAAACTACAGTGGTGTTTTTGGTCCCTGTCTATTAACAGTACCTCAGAACTAATTTCTGTTAAGCCCTCAAATTTGAATAACTTTTTTTTTCTCAGTACCTTTGTTACCATCACATGTAACTTCCAAATCTCTTGGGGAAAATATTGGAGGAATATTTAGGGTATATTTGTGTCCGTATTGCAATGTCTTTTCCAAGGGGATGATACTTTCCATGAAATCACCTGTTACCTTCCTTAGAGAGGTAAGAGGTTATGAGTGTCTGCATTGCTAACTCAAGTCAAGTTTTTCATTGTCAGATCTAAACTTTTATCTGTGATGTATATAAAATTATATTCTAATAAGTTGCCTGTTATGCATCAAATTGTGTCCTTTCAAAATATATATAGAAACCCCTCATACTGAAGAATGCAAACTTATTTGGTAATAGGGTTTGATACAGTTTGGTTGTGTCCCCACCCAAATCTCATCTTGAATTGTAGCTCCCATAATTCCCATATGTTGTGGAAGGAACCTGGTGGGAGATAATTGAATCATGGGGGCGGTTTCCCCATACTGTTCTCATAATATGAGTAAGTCTTGCGAAATCTGATGGTTTTATAAAGGGGAGTTTCACTGCACAAATTCTCTCTTTCTTGTCTGCCACCACGTAGACATGCCTTTTGCCCTGCGCCGTGATTGTGAGGCCTTCCCAGCCACGTGGAACTGTGAGTCCATCAAACCTCTTTTTCTTTATAAATACCCAATCTTGGGTATGTCTTTATCAGCAGCGTAAAAATGGACTAATACAGGGTTTTTGCAATTGTATAATAGGTTAAGATGAGGTCATACTGGAGTAGAATGGGTCTCTAATTCAACATCACTGTGTCAAGAGACACCGAGACAGATACCATGTAACAATGAAGACAGAGGCTGCAGTAATGCAAGTACCAGGCAAGGAATGCCTAGGATGGCCAGCAGCACCAGAAAGAGGGAGAAAGGCATAGACCAGACTCTCCCCTTGAGCCATCAGAGAGTGCATGGCCCTGTAGACACCTTGACTTCAGGCTTCTGGCCTCTTGAACTGTGGAGAAGACACTCCTGGCCTATTACTACCCAGCTCATGGTACTTTGTTACCGCAGCCCTAGGAAACCAGTGCAGTGTCTATATATTACATTCTGAGTAATCAGTCATTGACAAAGATTCCTATTGTGATCTCTGCTCATTCTTTTCTCTGTCATTTAAGCACAGTGATAATGCCTAAATGATGCATCATGCTGAAACTAAGAATAAAGTCTCAGATGTAATTTATGAATGCTAGCATTATAAGTAGACAATTAATGTATTCATTGAGAATGATGGAGCAGAGAGATGAAAGAAAGAAAGCTATGATCAAAAAGGGAATATCAGAATTGGGGATACAAATTTGATTTGGTTTTGAGGAATGATGAAGTTCAGATTATAACTGGGATGGATGGAAATAGACTAATTGACTTTGAGAAGGTAAAAGATACTGTAGAAAAGGATTGTTAGAGTTAAACATGGAGAATGACTTCAAGAGATACGAGCCTTACTAAAATCAGGCATTGGATTAGAGCAGGATGGGTTTAAAGCAGAAAGACGGCTGGGGCATAGTGGCTCATCCCTGCAATCTCAGCACTTTGGGAGGCCGAGTTAAGAGGATCACTTAAGCTCAGGTCTTTGAGATCAGCCTGGGCGACATAGCAAGACCTCATCTCTACTACGAGGTTGGTGCAAAAGTAATTGCAGCTTTTGCCATTAAAAGTAATGCTGGTTTGTACCAGGTACCATTTAGACAAAATACTCTAAAGAGGACTCTAGAGAAAATACTCCATTTATTTCTTTTTAAATACTGTGAGAATAGTTTAATAAAACTTAAAAGTGTAATCTGTTAATTTGATGTCAAAGACCCAGTTAGTATTTACTTTGACTCAAATAGATGATCTTCTAATATTCTGATGCATGTTTCATTGTCTGATTTATGCAGAGAATATAGAACCGGATCTTTTCATAATATTTTTGCTGTTGAAAAAAGTTTAGCATGTGAAGGATTCATTCTAGGAACTCAAAGTTTCCAAGAATTTGTCCATATCTGACTGTCTCAGCAGCTACATATATTACCTGTGATTTCTTCTAGGTTTGTGGAACTGATTGACATTTGCCACTTGTCTGTATATTTATACCCTTTAAACCACCCACTGCCATACCTTGTTTCCTAAAAGAAGGGAAGAAAATCCTGCCAAATACACACTCTGTAACTCATTGTGTCTCTAATTTCAAATCTTCATGTTCTTTCTTAGCTCAGTGAGCTCACTTGGGTAGTGTAGAGAACAGAAGGCCCAGGTTTACTTCTGTCTCTTTCAGAAATGCCCACAAAGATTTGTTTCAGGTGGGAGAGTTAACATAGGCTTTGCCCATTATATTCATTTTTTTATTACAGTATAACAATTACCACAAACTTAGCAGCTGAAAATACCAATTTATGAGTTCACAGCTCTACAAGTCAGAAGTCCAGGATGGCATGACTGGCATTCACAAGGCAGAAATAAAGGTATTGGTGAGAGTAATTTCTCACCTGGAGGCTGTAAGAAACAATCTCCTCCAAACTCATTGTTTGTATATGCAGAATTGAGTTCCTGGCCTGGGCAGGGTGGCTCATGCCTGTAATCCCAGCACTTTGGGAGGACGAGATGGGCAGATCGCTTAAGCCCAGGAGTTTGAGATCAGCCTGGCAAACATGGCAAAAACCCACCTCTACTAAAAATACAAAAATTTGCTGGATGTGGTGGTGCATGCCTGTAGTCCCAGCTACTCCAGAGGCTGAAGCGGGAGGATCGCTGGAACCCGGGAGGCGGAGGTTGCTGGGAGCCGAGATCGCGCCACTGCCCTCCAGCCTGGGTGATACGGCGAGACACTATTACACACAATAAAATAAAATAAGATAGAAAAAATAAAACTGACCAGGCTTGGACTTAAAGAGGACAACCAGAAAAACGAAGCTTTACTAAGCTATTTATTCCTTATTATATGAAACCCTGCTAAAGGTAAATGCTGTGATTAAATACTCGCTCCCTTTCCCAATTTCTTAGCTTAACGTTAACATTGTAATTCATAAAGAGGACATTTAATATATTCTTTCATTGTAAATGCCTGTGGCATTTCACTAAGGATAACCAACTTTTCTAGCTGAAATTGTTAAATGCAGGTTGGGAATGGCCTGGTCATTGCTGCATTTTGCATGGCTGAAGTCTCATTTTGCATTTTTCTCTTTTGCTAGGATTATTTTATTTAGAACCTCCTTAAAAATCACCCCTTAGATTTCCCAAAAGAATATATGTTATAAGCAGCAAAACACTTTACCAACATGAATAATTCCTCTTTCTCTATAAATTGCGTATTAAATTTATGGATTATCTGTGACCCAAATATCTTCCCCTAGGCTATCCTACTAGTTCTTACTGAGTGCCAGCTGGGAGGAGAGAAAAAAGGTACAGGGTAATGAACGGAGTCTACTTGAGGAGAATAGCCAACAAAGAGATTGATTGGGTATATTGCCTCTTTCTGCAAAACCAATTTTAGGTCCTCTTTCCGTGGTTGTGTGTGTGCATATGCTGGTATGCATAAATTGAGAGAAGCAATATAATGTTTAAAATCAAAAGCTCCAGACACAGACTGCCCTCTTGAGTCCTAGTTCCATCACATCAAGGTCTTGATCTTGACATGTTGTTTAACCAGTCACTTCACTAGTTACCTCTTCTCTAAAGAACATGGTAGAAGGGCCTCCCTCATACCATTGCTTGGATAATTACATGTTTATAAATACATGATGTATAGCAAAATGACTGGTACATAGGAAAATGTTTCAATAAACACCAACAAATATGTAAGTGTCCTCTCCTCCTTTTAGCTCAGGTAATCAAAAAATAATAATAATTGACTGTGTCTTATTTCCAACTAGTTAAATAAGAAATAAAATAAGAATAAACATTTTCTTTACAGCCTTGTTACATTCATTCAATTCTTCATCTGGTGACAATTTTAGAACTGGTTGTAGGAAAAAAAAAAAAAAAAGCAGTCACCTATGAATCAATGCTATCCAAATAATCTAAGTGACTGGGTGTGCAATTCCAACTTTGTCTGATCACACCACTTACCAATAACTGAATCTGTAGAAGCAGTATCTGTCAGGTAGAAGGGATAAAAATAGTACAAGAAATTCTCATTTACTTTCACATTGGAGGAGTAGTTCTCACAAGACACTTGAAGAAAAAACATGACCAGTTTTGTATTGCCAGTGGAGGAAACTCTCTGTGGTATCCTTGGAAGAGGTTCACGTTTGGATGTGTGTGCCACCTGTCCTTGGTTTCAGAACTGTGAATGTCCAAACTTCAAATGATTTTCTCCTTTATTACCAGAACTTTAACTTCTGTGCTGTGAATGTCCCATACCAAGGCTGAGCCAGCTGCATTCTCATATGGAAAAGCATACTCAACAGAGAGATGACTTCTTTCAGCTTTTAATCAAACCACCTATGGGAATTTGGAGGAATTTTTATGTTTAAATTCTTACTCATACAAGTATAAATCTAAAACCCTCTTTAAATCTTTGCTTACAAAACTTGGAGGCTTTCACACTGTTTAACTTAATTCTACTTTATGTTGTAAATTTTACCATTTATTTTATATGAGAGTATGTTCTAGAGCTGTGCTGTCTTATACTCTAGATACTAGTCATGTGTGGCTACTTATATTTAAATATAAATCAATTAATTATAATAAAATACAATTCCAAATTCAGTTTCTTAGTCATGGTAACCATATTGCAAGTACTTAACCACATGTGGATAATGGCTACCATATTGGACATCACAGATAGAACATTTCCATCACTGTAGAAAGTTCTACTAGCCCATGATGAAATTCTAGAGCTTATGGACTTGAAATCAGGAACTGTATTTTATACTTCTTTTAAATATAATCCTACAACAAAGACACTTTTAAATATAATCCTATCACAAAAACAACATGTAATATTCATCAAGACATTTGTTGGTTGAATGATATCTTGCAGAATTTCTCCTTTTCACCGGATCTTGCTCAACTTCCACAAAACCAAACCTCAGTGTGGCCCATTACCTGAAGTTTTGGTCATTACTATCCTTCCAAAGAATTATCTCTATGCTCTTTTCCTAGATAAACTCTGGCTTTGTCCCATAGATCCCACAGATCTCCCTGTAATCCTTTTTTAGCCACCACCTCCTCCTCTTTCTTTTCTATGCATTCTTCAGGTTCCTCACTGAATACAGTGCTTGTTTTAGGGTTGAGAACAATTAGAATGAACTCTAGGTGTTTCATATGAGGTGCTTTTCCTGCAAGACCTGCACATGATATGATAACGAGGTTTGGGATGCTACAGACTTTTTGCTACCAGGTGGAATCTAATGTCAACCTGCAAAGGCTAGCAAAAGAGAACTTAAGAGAAATCCAACTTTTTTTTTTGAATTTATTATTTTTTTTTAGATGGAGTCTTGCTCTGTCGCCCAGGCTGGAGTGCAATGGCGTGATCTTGGCTCATTGGAACCTCCATCTCCTGGGTTCAAGCGATTCTCCTGCCTCAGCCTCCCGAGTAGCTGGGATTACAGGCATGCATCACCATGCCCAGCTAATTTTTGTATTTTTAGTAGAGACGGGGTTTTGCCATGTTGGCCAGGCTGGTCTTGAACTCCTGACCCCAAGTGATCATCCCACCTTGGCCTCCCAAAGTCCTGGGATTACAGGCATGAGTCACCACGAGAAATCCAACTTGTATATGACTTGAGCCCTTAAATCTCTGAAGCCAGCACTATCACAGTTTTTCAAATTCATGAGTCAATACATTCTGTAGATTTCATAGGTTGTTCTATTACTTAAAATAAAAATACCCTAAATTATACACTCTCTCTGTTCACTCATCTCTTGGAGACAATTTCAAAATCTCTCTCTTTACTCCAACTACTACTATAATTATAGGAGATTTTAGGAAATAGTGGCTGGAACTTTCTATTCTTTAAAAGTTGTCTAATAACCTCAGAAATGGTAAATATTAAAAGTTCATTGTATTAACACAACCACCCTAATATTCCAGGGCTCTGTACAATATTTGACATCAGAGTGATTTTTCCACCTAGTGACTATCAATATCTCCAAGCCGTATCTTTGTCTCTCCTTTGGTTTATCCATGAACATTCATGATTCTATTTTTTTAATGATACAAACTATATTTTTTCAATTGTCTTGGCAACCACTTTTCACTGAATAGTCTAGTTAAATCATAACTTTTGAGAAATGAAATAATTCCCTTTCTCTACTCTGATAGTTCAGGCCCTTTGTGGTTGAATTCTGTTCAGCTAAAACACATGACCCTACAGACAAGGGTCTTGCCTTAGATTGGTCCTCAGTTAAACCTTGAAAAGTTTTACCTCTTATTTGCGCGAGCAACTATCTCAAATTTTTGCCCTGCTCTTCAAAACCCAAACTCAATCCCTACTCCCTTCATCCTCAGCAGATTATCTTTTTACTACTTCAGTAAGAATATTGGGGCCTTCAGCAATAATCCTGCTTCTTTCCCACCCCCTACGTTTAATTTAATTTCCATAAGATCATCTTTACCTTCATTATGTCATGACCAGAGTGTGAGCTGTGTCTTCCTATTTAAACCCACCTCCAACTTTCTCCACAATAATACTCTATTATTCATCCCCTCTCTCATATATATTTAACTTCTTCCTTTCCACTCAGTATTCCCCCTCAGGCTGTACACATGGTTGGTCCTTTGCCTGAAAAAAAAAGTTCACAGTCAGGAATGAGGGATGAGATCGAAGAAGGAGATGGGGAGTCAGATCACTCAAGGCATTCTATATGATATTTGGGAGCTTATACTGTTTGGGGGGATGAAAACCACTGCAAGGATTCAAGCAGGGGTGGACATGGCCATATTTCACATTAGCATTCTAGATGATTACTCTAGCTTTTCTGTGGGTGATGGATTGTAAAGTTGTAACTAGTATACCAAAAGCTTATTTTGCAATAGACTAGGTGTTGCTGAATGTTACTAGGTTTTCCTAAAAACCATTGCTTATGGACAAGCAAATATTCATCTTTGGCTTAAATAAGCTTTTAAGTCTCAATCTTTCATCAACTCAGCCTCTTTAGTCAGAATATTCTTTATTTCCAAACAGTTGTAAGCAGGTGGCTCATTTAGCTTTCTATTTGTTCATCAGGTGATAAGTTCATGTTTATGTTCTGGTATAGTACCTGGGTGGTAAGAAGATGTTTCTGCACAAGTATCTGCTTCTCATTCCTGCCCCAGGAGTTCCAGTACACTGTCCAGTCTAGTGCTAAATCCTTATGGGGATGCTGTGAGACCCTAAGGATTCCTTGCTCATGTAGTCATTTAACTAAAGGTATGCTGTAGTTGCCTCCTTTCACCCCATGGTTGAGGGAGGCATTCCAGCCCTGGGTTTATGTGGATGGCTAAGCACAAGACATCCAATACTGGGAAGATGGGACTGACGAGAGTATGAGTCCCATATACTTAGAGCCTAGGGAAAAAGAGACTGCATCCGTGCAGGACCACACAGAAGCTGCGCTTGGGAAAGCAATGAACAACTGGAGGCTGCAGGAGGGAGGCCCTGTAGTATCAAGAGCATGAGGCGACCCTGGTTCCCATGGGAGGATGAGACTGGCTTGTTTGAATAACTCTATGGACTATCAGAAACAGAGGCCTGCTATTCAGACTTTTTTGTTGTTGTTTATGAGACGGAGTTTTGCTCTTTTGCCCAGGCTGCAGTGAAGTGGCACAATCTCGGCTCACTGCAACCTCTGCACCCCAGGTTCAAGCGATTCTCCTGCCTCAGCCTCCCGAGTAGCTAGGATTACAGGCATGCACCACCACACCCGGCTGATTTTTGTATTTTTAATAGAGACAGGGTTTTGCCATGTTGGCCAGGCTGGTCTCAATCTCCTGACCTCAGGTGATCCACCTGCCTCAGCCTCCCAAAGTGCTGGGATTACATGTGTGAGCCACTGTGACCGGCCTACTCAGACTTTTGTACAACTTTTCGTTACTAGCTTAAGTAGGACATCTCTGAACAAACATCAACCTGACACTCTATCCACTGTCGGTAACAAGAGAATAAATTCATTTAATAGTTACTTCTTAGATTATAAGTATTAGAATTAAGATTACTGTAATGCTACTTTTCAGGGATAAATTGAAATGTATTCATAGAAATCTAAATTTATCCAGTGCGTATTTTTCCATAAGCATGATTCACTTTATCAGGAGCTATAAAATATTCTTTATAATTATATCATCTAAACTTTACAGAGTTTGTAATTTTGTTAAAGAAAGTCAATTGTTTCCTCAGATATTTATGTGTGAGGCAGATTTTTGAATTTCCTACAATAATATCTGATATGGGATCTTTCTTCTTTTTATGTATCAATTTCAATATATTTTCTTGAAGAAGCAATATTTTTGAGAGGCACATTTTTTCTTATAAAATACAGAGGAATGACAGATAATGCAGTTTGTGACTGGGATTTTCAGGTTTATCAATTCCAATTGCCTGTATTTGGGTTTCTGATAATATTGGATTGGTAAACTGACTGCATTACCTGCTGAGCATCTGGTTTAAAAAGTATACATGGAGAAGTATGTGACATTAGCTGTACTCCCTGTTATTGGTTGAATTTTGTACCCCACAAAACATGTTGAAATCATAGTCCCTGCTAGCTGTGAATTTGACCTTACTTGGTTGAAATTCAGATGTAAGTTAAGATTAGATTATACTGGAGTAGGGTAGGTCCTTAATCCAACATGACCGGCATCCTTATAAGAAAAGCATAAAAGACACAGACACACACACAATTGTACACACACATGCACACACACACAATGTCATGTGATAACAGAAGCAGGGATTGATGTGTCTACAAGCTGAGGGATGCTAAGGATGATTGACAACACTAGGAGCCAAGTGAAAAACATGGAACCAATTCTCTCCTAGAGCCTTGAGAGAGAGCACGGCCTTGCCCACAGGCTCATTTTGGAATTCTAACCTCCAGAACTTCAAGAGAATAAATTTCTATTGCTTTAAGCCATCCAGTTTATAGTGCTTTGTTATGGCAGCCCCAGGAAAAAAACTGAGACACTCTCCTAAGAATTAAGTTATCTTACATATACAAGCTTCCACATAGACGTTCACAAAATTTTGGAACTTAAGTCTTGGAAATGATGCAGTTAGCTGAACTACTTTCACATAAGGAGATCCAGGGTTCTTACAGACTTTCCCAAAATATATGACCATTCAGTGTCAGGGTCCTAGCATAAGAACTCCAGTTTCCTGACTGCTTGCCAAATGCTCTTCCATCTCCCGTTCACATTAAGAGTTGACTGCATGTATTGCCCATCTACCTCCTTGAAAAGCACAGCATGGGCCTTAACAGAAACACACCTGTAGGGGAGAGGTTCTAGTAGCCCTAGTGGAAATCCTCAGGGGATCTTTTCCAGGATTGAGAAACAACAGGAGGATTGCGAGTAGGCCTGAGAGGACAACTGTCTTGAAGTTAAATATTGCCTTATAAGTCCTAAGTGGCTGGTTGAACAAATGAAAATGTGATTTATTTATGATGGAAGAGAAGCAAAAGGTTTGGATGTTTACAGTGAGCTCACAATTAACACAATAAATTGGTCCTTAGTATTCAGAACAAATATGTTATTTGACCTGAATGCAAGCTCACTATCGAATGGTTGACCTGTTGTTTCTTTCAGTTTTATGCTGTGTCTTCTGTGATACAATATCAATGTGCCATGTAAAGACAAAGAGTGTGCAGACTCATTTTGCATGGGGCTTTGCACGAGGATGGTAACGTCACAAGACAGATTTGGATGATGACAGCTAGGTACCAGATTGAGCAAGAGAAAAACAAATATCAAAGCCTAATGGTATATTTGATTGTAAATATACCCATGAAACACACAATGTAGAAAAATAAGCAGTATAACCAGAAAGTCCTGATTAAGGTTAATAGTGTGTGTGTGTGTGTGTGTGTGTGTGTATTTCTCTGAAACAGATAAAAAGGTACTAGAAAATAATTTGTTTATCCTTAGAAGGCAAAGCCACTTAAATCGTGGCACATCGCTAGGAGGGATGAGGGTGTGGTTGGGGGAGGTGGATGTGGGGTACTCTAGGGATATTCAAGGTAGCTACTTTTCTTCCAACACTAGAAGGTCTAAGTTTTTCAGGAAAAAGAGCGTGGTTGGATCTTTTAAAACTTTTAAAATCTGTATAAACTTTATATGTGTATATATATTGATATATATAACTTTATATATGTATACACACACACACACACATACATACATACATACATTTAAAAGCAAGCAGCTTCTGCTCCAATTTAGGTGTATATATTTTAGCCATTACATCAAATTCCTATAGATATATATATATATATACATGCACACATATATATTTATATATAACTTTATATATATATGTATACATACATTTAAAAGCAAGTAGCTTCTGCTCCAATTTAGTTATTTATTTTTTAGCATTACATCCAATTCCTTGTTTTATAGCAATTACATTTATGTGGTAAAAATTTAGGAAGTCCCTCCTCTTTACCTGTCCCCCAGACAGATGGTTTGCTTGCTCTGAAGGCCACCACTGCTACAAACAATAGATCATGAATATCATTTATATACACATGGAATTGTAGCATATAATACATATTGCTCTGTGCATTACTTTATTTATTTACTTATTTATTTTTGGCTGCCCATATATATTGGTGATGTTCCATACACCATAATTAGAGCTACCTGATCATTTTTAATGAAGATATGATTTCCTATTGTATGGAGGACCTGTAATTTATGTAACCAGTCCTCTACTGTGCTTTTCAGTTATTTATAATCATTTGATGATAAATGAACCTGTAATAAATGTTCGGAAAAGTAAATTCATGACTGGATTTCTTGTGTCCTTGTGTTTCAGGCATGTCTCTGGTAATTACTTAAAGCTGTACGTTTTCATTATTTAAAACAATCACACATTCTGACTGTTGGACCATACATTCTGATGAAAGGATGACACACTTAATAATAGTACATATAATAATATGTAGGAATTAATGTGTGCAATGGCAAAAACTAAAAGTAGAGCCCAGAAGAGGGGCTGGAAGTATGTGGAATGCTTGGAATACTAACTAGTGTGGTCATTGGCAACACCCTTGAGGTGGAGGTATTTTAGCACAAGCTTGAATTTAATTGGGCAGTGCAGCACAGAGGGCATCTGGAAGAAGTTTTCAAGCAGTAGAACAACCTGAAACAAAGGTCCCAAGTTAAGAGAACACCTGGAATGTTTCAGAAATGGCTGGCCTAAGGGGAGCAAGTAAGCAAGGGGCAGAACAGCAGATGAGCACCAACAGCTATCAGGGTCACCTCACGGAGGATCCTGTGAGCTACCAAGAAGTTGGGGGATATGATCTGAGCAAATGGGTGTGGAGGGTTCTGTACAAAAGAGTTACAGTAGTCGCACTTTTAAAGGGGACAGTCTGAGTGCCATGTCGATAGAGGCTTTCTAGGGAAAGAGCAGAAGCAGCGAGGCTTCTGCAGCCATCCAAGTCATCTAGCAGGGCAATGATGGCAGCGCAGATGTCTAATATAGGTTCTACTTAACAGTGTTCTGACAGTCCCAGGAAGGATAAGAAAGCGAGGAAAAGGGAAAGGCATACATCTTTGAAAGAAACAGCAATGTTACCTATTCAGGAACACACCTTTCTATTATACATTGAAGCCCTTTCATTCAAAATGGACTGAGTTCATATGTGTTCTATGCACAGGGTAGTCAGATAGAAGGAGGGAGGGGGGCATAGAGAGAGAAAGAGAGTAAAAGAAAGACAAAGAAATATGACATATCCAAAAAAAAACCCTGGATTTGCCTCCCAAGTTTGCAACGACCCTGCTTCTCCCTCTTTGTTGAGAATGCCACCATACTTCCAAATCCTTCTTATTACCATTGACTTTTCTCTTTCTCCCAAACAAAACATCCAATCCATTAACAAATCTTTTGACTCTAATTATTATTATTATTATTTCTCCAGAGCAGAGTCTGAGACAGATTTATTTGTGGGTTTCATCACATGGAGACAAATTACTCCCCAGTCACTTTTCTGCTGAGTGTTGTTCTTGAATTTCTTATCTTCATGCTGGTGCGCATGTCAGCCAGCTTCCTCCCTCTCTTATGGGAATGATAGCTGTCCACACTTCTCCCCTCCTAGTCTCCTCTTCTCCCTACTCTCCTTTTTCCAGTATTGGCATTTCCATGAAGGAAGAACAGTTTTATTCCAACTTCAAGTTAATATGCTCATACTTAGTTTCACTTTCCTATCCTTTCAAAGTCATTTGCAACTTTCTTTTGAACTAAAAAACGTGTGTAAGTACATATTTTTTGCAACTTTCTGACATCTGATCTGTGGCAACAGAAAGCTTTAAAGAATATCTAGTCCACTATAGTCCTGAGAAGCACTCAAATGATTTTTCTGCATCTATTGAAATTCTTCAATCTCAATGTGAGAGTTTTTAATTTAAAAAAATGTCAGGATTGACTCCTTCTTATCAATATTTCTAAATTTAACTTTATTATGGTAAGAGCTTGTGGTCTGGGTCATTGATTTTGGGGAATTTAAATGGAATCCTTTTTTGATCTAATAGGTATTGTATTCCTTCTTTAAGATTAAATGAGACTGCCTTTGTGGGTCAAATATATAGTCAACTTTTGTGTTTCCTATGTGCTTGAAATTAAATTACATATGCTCTACATGTGATTATATAAATTGCTCTTCCTGAATCTAGAAAGCCACTCAAATGTGCTTTCCCTTTGCATCACTCACATCTGTAGAATCTTTGCTAATTCAGTGTCCATTTTAATTGTGTGATTGAAGGGTACTATAATATATTCTGAAATTTATGATTTACTTTTTATTAGACTATTTGCCATTTTCATACACCAGTAGTCTTCCTAGTCTCTAAATCTTCTTGACTTTTGAGTGCTGTCTTATGACAGACATTATTTGCCTTATTACCCTCCATTTTACTGTGAAATTTCAGATTTCAGAATCCTAAATTTTGCATGATGCTCCCCATAGGAAAGCCAACATTTTCTAGTATCGATTGCATTAATCTATGACCATGTGACTAAGTTTTAGCCAGTGAGTTATAAGCAGAAGGAGCGAGTGAATTGTCTTGGAGATCTCCTAAAAAGAGATGGTCTGCTATTCTTCATCTGGTTACCTAGAATCATCATAGAATGACTGGAGTTCCAACCATTGTCTTGTATCAAAACACAAAACTGAGAAAGTTGAAACAGAAATTGAAGTGTTCTGGGTTTTAGATGTTATAGCAGCCCTGTTATATAAGATAGAAATAAATTTCTATCTCTTTTAAGATTACTCAACTTGGAAGCTTCCTGTTTTATAAAATAAAACCTATCCTAGTTAATACCAACCACAGGCCACCAACCTCAACACCAACACATTTTTAAATCTCATTGACTAAACTAAAGGTTTAAAGGAGGAAACTTCTATGTCTGTAAAATGGTTTATATATTTTTTCTTTATTTTGATTTATGGCTTGGATAAAGATGGAGTCCTACATTTAATTTTTTTTCTATAACTTGAAAGAATTTCTCCTTTGTTTTCCAGTATGGAGTTATTTGGAAGTTTGGGATATTGAGAATCTTTTTATCCCCTCTTCTGGAGTTACTTCAGGTCTTCTTTTTATCTCCATGATTCTGAAAATTGTTGACCATGCACTTGTCAAAGAAAAATTGCACCAGACAATTTAAACAGCCAAGGAAGACTTTATTAAGAACTACTGCAAGTTGAGAGATTGAACTCAGTTCCACTAAAACAAAACGCGGGAGAGTTTGTAAGTGCTGCTGGAGGACGACGAGGTGGAAGTTGGTGGATGTGATTAGACCACCTGTGTTGGCTAATTCGTGGTCTCAATTAGGCTCTTACCTCTCAATTACCCTCTCACAGATACTGGGAGGCAGGGGTGTGTAAAGAGCAACCTTGACATAACTAACTTCCTTTCAGAAAGAGACCCTCTTTTATGTTTCACAGGACAGTTTGCCAATAGGATAAGAGGTTTTGCTTAATAAACAAATAATAATAATAATAAAAAGACCAAATCTAACTAGATAAGGAGACAAACAAGCACACTCTTCCACTATCAGTTCTCACCTGAGGACTCGGACTATAAAAGAGCGGGCTTTCAGTAGCTCAGGACAGTGTCTTAACTGACACTGTCTTGCAGTCGCTCGTGATAAAAACTTGGCATCTGCCGCCCAAGGCTCTGCCTCATCAATCTTCCTTGCAAGATCGAGGGACCACCAGGCCCAGGCCAGGACTCCTTTTGTCATCCTTCACTACCCCAGACTGGTTTGTTAACACTTTCTTCTATTACATTTTCCTGTTGATGGTAAATGTCACTTTGTTTGTTCTGGAATGTTGAATCTATAGCATTTATATATTGGCTAAGTATACCATGATGTATGGTTGGCAATATTGACTGCCTTGTGGAGTGGCTTGAGCCTGCGTGCATATGGTCGGTCTACCCAGTGAATGAGTGAACAGAAAGTGCTAAGGAAAATTACCCTCTTGGGAACTCCATGTAGCTCTTGGCTTTTTTGATGGTAACAGCATCAATAAAAGCCCAACTTTGTGGAAAGACGCAAACGTGCGTGGACCTGGTTATCTCTAACTTTGCACCACTTGTGACAGGTACTGTCTCTGTGAATGATTACATTTCAAAGGGATGGCTCCCAGATACTTGAGAAAAACTTTCATGGGTTGTGATATCCTCAGGAGGCTGAGAGAAGATTTACCTCTCAAAGGAGAATAGAAAAGAGTTATAATTACAAGTTTTCTAAGCAAATACTCTTAGAAAACGGAAGTCAGAATAGCCTAAAGTTTAGTCAAGTGAGAGGAATGTCAAGGACATATATCTTGGTCACACTTTTGTATTTACTGTTTCCTTGTTCATTAATTTGGACCCTTTGTATGACTTTTTAATCTAGAGACTTCTATACATAAGCTCTGGGGAATTTTTGTGGTACAATTTATTTTATGCCCATCACTCCTATCTTTCTTCTTTTTTTTCCCCATGAAACTTTTATTAATTAAATGTTAAACTGGATTGTTTATGTATTTTGACTTTCATATTTTCTATTTCTGAGATTTCATTCAACTTTCTGGAAGAAATGTTTAATATGCTCTTCCAAACCTTTTAAATTTTAATAATCATATTTTATTTTCTAAGTAATATTATCCTCTCATTCATTAATATAAACATAAATCTTGTTTTCTGGCTGTGATGTAATGGTACGTGTTTCTGAGAAATCTAATTGGAGATATTTTGTATTGTTAAAGTCTTTTATCAGTATTTTCAGAGGTCATTTTTGTTGTTGTTTATGTTATTTCCAGTGAGGTCTCGTGTTCCTTACTTGTTTCTTTATATTTCAAACAGATGCATAGACAAGCTCACTGGGAACCATGAGCATGTGGGGACTGTGGGGAGGGCCGGGTGAATTTTCTCTATTTTAGGGTAATCAGGTACAAACCCACCTATCACTGTAGAAAATCTCAAAAGTGTCTGACACTTTTTTTTCCTACTATCTTTCAAACTTCTAAAGAACCTTTTATTTTATTTTTAAACTTGAAATTAGAAACCTGCCTTCTCTTTCCTGTATGTTGGTATGCAAATATGATGTTAGAGGTTATTAAAAGTCATGCATAGGACTTTCAATTTATCCCCTTATTTTCAGCCCAAATTATTACCCCATTCTCTGGCATTTTCAAGCCAAAGATTTCATCATTTCAAGCTCTCTTTGTTTCCCTTTCAACAGCATATTCCTATGCAAGCACTTCTGCCCACGTTACCTCCCCTCCACCATGTTTCCCTAAGTTCTTCATTAATTTTTTTCTTCACTTACGACTCTTTACACTGTGCCTCATCATTGCTTTTTGTTCTTTTATATTTATCCCTTAGTGGAGTTTTAGGAAAATTAGTTGAGAGTCAGATGATCATCATGCTATGATTATCCAGAACTCAGCCCTCCCCACTCCCACACGCTTTAGTGTTGAGAAGAAAAAAAAAGTAGCCCTAGATAGTTTGAATCCATAGGAAGAAATAATTAACATTGCTTCTAAATGCTGAGAGCCAGATTTCAAAATCATTTCTAACATTGTTCTCCTAAGTGTGCTGGCCCTTTCAGGGCTGGTTGTGTATGGATCTTCAAGAGCAGAACAAGGCAATCCTGGACTTAGATAGCATTGGGTCAGAGGATATTCTTCCTTGAAGATTCAGAGGGCTGCAGCAGGTGCCCCTGGTAGACAAGCATCGTCTCCCTGCTGGGCTTTGAGAAACAGCTGCCAACTATGACTCAGCAAGAAGCAGCAGCATTACATAGATGTCAGATTTTGTTTACTTTTGACTGAAAAGATTGCCAAAACATAGTCTAAATCAGGACTCCACGTTGAAATTAAAATGAATCAACCTCTACCCCAATTATATGCTTAAAAAATAAACTCAGCGTAACACCAAATAATTGATTTTATATTATTTGTGGGGAAGAAGAAAGGCGAGTGATATTTGAGAAAACGAGGGTTTTTATTTGTACTTTTCCACCATCCTGCTTAAGGAAAAGCCCAGCTTTGATTTTCAATTACATTTGTGATTCTCTGCATTTAATAATGCTGGCCTTTCTTTATCCTTAATGTATGCTAATGCTTTAACCCACGTAAATGCATGAGTTGTTTCCAATCACAAAATTTCCCTATGGCTTATCAAGGGTAGGGTTATTTTACCAAAAGCATAGCATACGGTGCATAAATAGCACTCATATATAAATGTAGCATTCACAAGAGATTAATACAATTTTCCTTTTTCGAGTGATTAGTATTTACCCTGGCAGCTGTAGCATTTTAGCCTTCCATTAGCTGACAGAGGTGAATAAGGGCTGCATCTTGCCTCCACCAAGCTGCTATATCTCAATATGTGTTCACAGCTTAGGGACTATGAAATATGCTCCAGGAATATTTAGAACTCTCATAGGAATTTATTGTGGCTTCAATGGATTTGTTTTCACAAATATATTAAATTGAATATTTTATTTCTTCAGGGCAAAAAGTTAACTGGCTTGAAACTCACAGGCGCAGAACAATAAAGAAAATTCCAGCTTAAATCTGGGCATTCAAATATTGAGTCCTTGGCTTGTTACAACTGTCTCATAGCACAGAGCATCATGAGAAGTTTTAAAGGAAAGAATGATTTATAGGTTGGATCTGGGAAAGAATATGGAAAAGAAAACATGTTGATATTTGAAGGATAATTATAAATGTATTCAATTTTAGGTTTTGGGGAATCAGATGAGTCATGAGGCATTTTTACTATCAATAACTATCACATATACTTTTGAATAGAAAATGAGTTATGAGTTTGCCATCTCCCCATTTTATGTGTAAGTTTACTTTTATATAAGTTTTGTGTTATAATGATGGCTCGTGAAATTATGGAAAATGCTTAGTTTTGTTAAAATGCTAATTTGAATGAATATTTTTTATGTTACATCTAAAATAGTAGAAAAATAGAAGTACAAAGTATAAAATCTATGCTGTCACAATGTATATACAGTTTCAAAGTTATGTATGTATACACATACGTATATAAAAATATACACACATGCTTATATATATCTCTATATGTATCCACACATGTAAAATATATAAATTATATTTCAGTGTTGTGGATTATGTATATATTTATTGATTCTTACAATGTATATCTATTAGAAACTTTTGGCACACACATGTATTTCTGTGTATATATACACATTCGGATTTATACACAGGAATTTAACTAATGCACATATATCACTAATAATTCTTAGTCATATTTTTCCAAGTATTTGTTGAATAAATATTTGATCGGAATGTTAAATGCTTAAGATCTAGTAACATGGGGGCACATAAACAACCAAATGAGAAATAGCCCCTACTAATAGTGTTCAAACTCTGACTAGGAAACAAAAACATATAAATTATTGAATAACGATATCAAAATAAATTACAGTTCTATACATAATTATAAAAACTGTTACAAGGTCAGTACATATTGTCAACTGTTATGTTTCCAAAAATCACCAGAAAAAGTGATCAAGCAAAGGTGGGTTGTTAGACTGAATACAGTGAGGAACCATTACCTTGGCAGAATTTAGCAGTGTCTTATGAGGGAAAGTAATGGGAGGATATTAATTGGATCTTAGAGCTTGAATAGATTGATTTCAAGGCAAATCTTTCAAGACAGAAGGAAGGGAGGGAATGGGCAGAATTTAACACAGAATAGCTTCAGATTGGTGGGCACACTGAAGCAAAGTTTTGAAGCAAGTATAGATGAGCAAACTGTTAAGTAAACTATTTTATCTTGCAAATAATATTATTTCTCAGGAGCAAATATTTCCTGGAGTAAACAGCTGAATTACTTCTTCTCATTCTCAGTACCGTTTTAAAGAAAGCAATATCCTGGCCGGGCGCGGTGGCTCACGCCTGTAATCCCAACACTATGGGAGACTGAGGCGGGAGAATCACCTGAGGTCAGGAGTTCGAGACCAGCTTGGCCAACATGGTGAAACCCCGTCTCTAGTAAAAATACAAAAATTAGCCGGGCATGGTGGCAGTTGCCTGTAATCCCAGCCACTCGGGAGGCTGAGGCAGGAGAATCACTTGAACCTGGGAGGCGGAGGTTGCCATGTGCAAGATCGTGCTACTGTACTCCAGCCTGGGCGACAAGACCGAGACTCCCCCTAGCAACAACAACAAAAAGGCAATATTCTAAGTAGACATGAAAAGTTCTTAGGATTCCAAAATTATTTAACAAAGGAGCAGCTGAAGTTTGTTGGTTTCAATTTTCAGTCCCCTACTTTTACATTTTTCCGTCTAAGCTGAAGGATAGAATATTATTTTTAGGGGATATGATCAATCTGGATCTGTATCACTACTCAGTGTGTCATGATTACTCATACAGTTTTTGATGGTAGTTGTTTAAATCTTTACAAGCTTGCTTGCTGCTCTTTCTCCCCACCCATCTCTCTCTCTCTCTCTTTCAGTGGAATATCTCACATTTGATCATTTGACGGTACAGTGGCTAGAAAGCAGTATTTAAGACTAGAGAGAGCAGCCCTGTAACATAATATTAAGAGAAAGATTTGATCACCAGTTTAAGTCTAGGTCTATTTCAGGGACCAAAAATGCCCAAGGTAAGCCAAATGAACAGATTTTATGACAGCCCTCAGAGTTTACAGAGCCAGATAGGGAGTTAAATTTACCTAATTTCATGATTGCTTAGTTCCCTGATATTTTTAATAAAATGAAAGATTCCCACAAATCTGTGTAGCAATGAGAAGACAACAGTCCTTTAAAAAATGTATTTTCCACCTAAAGAGGTCAGCATTGTGTCTAAAGCCACTTAATTTTGAAACATCAACTGTCCAATTTCAGTACCTCTAAGACTAGGACTTCTATGGTCTTAAGGTCATTTCTCTCTTCCTTGTCAATCTCTGAACTGTCACATGTAACATTTTTTCCATTTTCCAAGTCTTTTATTATTTATTTATTTTATTATACTCTAAGTTCTAAGGTACATGTGCAGAATGTACAGGTTTGTTACATAGGTATACACGTGCCATGGTGGTTTGCTGCATCCATCAACCCGTCATCTATATTAGGTATTTATCCTAATGCTATCCTTCCCCTAGGACGCCACCCCCTGACAGGCCCCAGTGTGTGATGTTCCCCTCCCTGTGTCCATGTGTTCTCATTGTTCAATTCCCACTTATGAGTGAGAACATGTGGTGTTTGGTTTTCTGTTCTTGTGTTAGTTAGCTGAGAATTATGGTTTCCAGCTTCATCCATGTCCCTGCAAAGGGTGTGAACTCATCCGTTTTTATGGCTGAATAGTATTCCATGGTATATATGTGCCACATTTTCTTTATCCAGTCTATCATTGATGGACATCTGGGTTGGTTCCAAGTTTTTGCTATTGTGAACAGTACCCCAATAAACATACGTGTGCATGTGTCTTTATAGTAGAATGATTTATAATCTTTTGGGTATATACCCAGCAATGAGACTGCTGGGTCAAATGGTATTTCTAGTTCTAGATCCTTGAGGAATCGCCACACTGTCTTCCACAATGGATGAACTAATTTACACTCCCACCAACAGTGTAAAAGCATTCCTATTTCTCCATAGCCTTGCCAGCATCTGTTGTTTCTTGACTTTTCAAAAATAACCATTCTGACTGGCATGAGATGGTATCTCATTGTGGTTTTGATTTGCATTTCTCTAATGATCAGTGATGTTGAGCTTTCATACGTTTATTGGAAGCATAAATGTCTTCTTTTGAGAAGTGTCTGTTCATATCCTTTGCCCATTTTTTGATGGTTTTTTTTTCTTGCACATTTGTTTAACTTCTTTGTAGATTCTGGATATTACACCTTTGTCAGATGAGTAGATTCCAAAAATTTTCTCCCATTCTGTAGGTTGCCTGTTCACTCTGATGGTAGTTTTTTTTTGTTGTACAGAAGCTCTTTAGTTTAATTAGATCCCATTTGTCTATTTTGGCTTTTGTTGCCATTGTTTTTGGTGTTTTAGTCATGAAGTCTTTGCCCATGCCTATGTTCTGAATGGTATTGCCTAGGTTTTCTTCTAGGGATTTTATGGTTTTAGATCTTATGTTTAAGTCTTTAATCCATCTTCAGTTAATTTTTTTTATAAGGTGTAAGGAAGGGATCCAGTTTCATCTTTCTGCATATGGCTAGCCAGTTTTCCCAACACCATTTAATAAATAGGGAATCCTTTTCCCATTGCTTGTTTTTGTCAGGTTTGTCAAAGGTCAGATGGTTGTAGATGTGTGGTGTTATTTCTGAGGGCTCTGTTCTGTTCCATTGGTCTATATCTCTGTTTTGGTACTAGTACCATGCTGGTTTGGTTACTGTAGCTTTGTAGTATAGTTTGAAGTCAGGTAGCATGATGCCTCCAGCTTTGTTCTTTTTGCTTACGATTGTTTTGGCTATGTGTGCTCTTTTTTGGTTCCATATGAAATTTAAAGTAGTTTTTTCTAATCCTGTGAAGCAAGTCAATAGTAGCTTGATGGTAATAGCATTGAATCTGTAAATTACTTTGGGCAGTATGACCATTTTCATGATATTGATTCTTTCTATCCATGAGCATGAAATGTTTTTCCATTTGTTTCTGTCCTGTCTTATTTCCTTGAGCAGTGGTTTGTAGTTCTCTTGAAGAGATCCTTCACATCCCTCGTAAGTTGTATTCCTAGGTATTTTATTCTCTTTGTAGCAGTTGTGAATGGGAGTTCACTCATGATTTGGCTCTCTGTTTGTCTGTTATTGTTGTGTAGGAATGCTTGTGATTTTTGCATATTGATTTTATATCCTGAGACTTGGCTGAAGTTGCTTATCAGCTTAAGGAGATTTTGGGCTGAGACGTTGGGGTTTTCTAAATATACAATCATGTCATTTGCAAACAGAGACAATTTGACTTCCTCTTTTCCTAATTGAATACCCTTTATTTCTTTCTCTTGCCTGATTGACCCTGCCAGAACTTCCAATAATATGTTGAATAGGAGTGGGGAAGAGAGGGCATCCTTGTCTTGTGCCGGTTTTCAAAGGGAATGCTTCCAGTTTTTGCCCATTCAGTGTGGTATTGGCTGTGTGTTTGTCATAAGTAGCTCATATTTTTTTTTTGAAGTACGTTCCATCAATACCTAGTTTTTTTGAGAGTTTTTAGCATGAAGTGCTGTTCAATTTTGTCGAAGGCCTTTTCTGCATCTATTGAAATAATCATGTGGTTTTTGTCATTGGTTCTGTTTATGTGATGGATTATGTTTATTGGTTGGTAGGCTATTAATTACTGCCTCAATTTCAGATCTTGTTATTGGTCCATTCAGGGATTTGACTTCTTTATGGCTTAGAATTGGGAGGATGTATGTGTCCAGGAATTTATCGATTTCTTCTAGATTTTCTAATGTATCTGTGTAGATGTGTTTAAAGTATTTTCTGATGGTAGTTTATATTTCTGTTAGTGGTGATATTCCTTTCATCATTTTTTATTGTGTCGATTTGATTCTTCTCTCTTCTTTAGTAGTCTGGCTAATGGTCTATCTATTTTGTTAATCTTTTCAAAAAACCAGCTCCTGGATTCATTGATTTTTTTTGAAGGATTTTTCATGTCTCTATCTCCTTCAGTTCTGCTCTGATCTTAGTCATTTATTGCCTTATAATATCTTTTCAATTTGTTTGCTCTTGCTTTTCAAGTTCTTTTAATTGTGATGTTAGGGTGTTGATTTTAGATCTTCCCCAATTTATCTTGTGGGCATTTAGTGCTGTAAATTTCTCTCTACACACTGCTTTAAACGTGTCCCAGAGATTCTGGTTCGTTGTGTCTTTGTTCTCATTGGTTTCAAAGAACATCTTTATTTCTGCTTTAATTTTGTTATTTACCCAGTAGTCATTCAGGAGCAGGTTGTTCAGTTTCCATGTAGTTGTGTGGTTTTCAGCGAGTTTCTTAATCCTGAGTTCTAATTTGATTGCAATGTGGCCTGAGAGACTGTTTGTTATAATTTCCGTTTTTTGCATTTACTGAGGAATGTTTTACTTCCAATTATGTGGTCAATTTTAGAATAAGTGCGATGAAGTGCTGAGAAAAATATATATTCTGTTGATTTGGGGTAGAGAGTTCTGTAGACGTCTATTAGGTCCATTTGGTCCAGAGCTGAGTTCAAGTCCTGGATATCCTTAGTAATTTTCTCTCTTGTTGATCTGTCTAATATTGACAGTGGGGTGTTAAAGTCTCCCATTATAATTGTGTGGTTGTCTCAGTCTCTTTATAGATCTCTAAGAACTTGCTTTATGAATCTGGGTGCTCCTGTATTGGGTGCATATATATTTAAGACAGTTAGCTCTTCTTGTTGCATTGATCCCTTTACCATTGTGTAATGCCCTTCTTTGTCTTTTTTGATCTTTGTTGGCTTAAAGTCTGTTTTATCAGAGACTAGGATTGCAAACCCTGCTTTTTTCTTGCTTTCCATTTGCTTTGGTAAATATTCCTCCATCCCTTTATTTTGAGCCTATGTGTGTCTCTGCACCTGAGATGGGTCTTCTGAATATAGCACACCAATGGGTCTTGACTCTTTATCCAATTTGTCAGTCTGTGTTTTTAATTGGGGCACGTAACCCATTTACATTTAGTATAATATTGTTATGTGTGAATTTGATCCTGTCATTATGATGCTAACTGGTTATTTTGCCTATTAGTTGATATAGTTTCTTCATAGTGTCTATGGTCTTTACAATTTGGTATGTTTTTGCAGTGGCTGGTACTGGTTTGTTCCTCTCCATGTTTAATGCTTCCTTCAGGAGCTCTTGTAAGGCAGGCCTGGTGGTGTCAAAATCTCTCAGAATTTGCTTGTCTGAAAAAGATTTTATTTCTCCTTCACTTATGAAGCTTAGTTTGGCTGGATATGAAATTCTGGGTTGAAAATTGTTTTCTTCAAGAATGTTGAATATTGACCCCCACTCTCTTCTGGCTTGTAGGATTTCTGCCAAGAGATCCGCTGTTAGTCTGATGGGCTTTCCTTTGTGGGTAACCTGACCTTTCTCTGACTTCCCTTCACATTTTTTCCTTCATTTCTACCTTGGTGAATCTGACGATTATGTGTCTTGGGGTTGCTCTTCTCGAGGAGTATCTTTGCGGTGTTCTCTGTATTTCCTGAATTTGAATGTTGGCCTGTCTTTCTAGGTTGGGGAAGTTCTCCTGGATAACACCCTGGAGGGTGTTTTCCAACTTGGTTCCATTCTCCCCATCACTTTTAGGTACACCAGTCAAGTGTAGATTTGGTGTTTTCACATAGTCCCTTATTTCTAGGAGGATTTGTTCATTTCTTTTCACTTCTTTTTCTCTAATCTTGTCTTCTCACTTTATTTAATTAAGTTGATCTTCAATCTCTGATATCCTTTCTTCCCCTTGATCGATTTGGCTATTGATACTTGTGTATGCTTCATGAAGTTCTCGTGCTGTGTTTTTCAGTGCCATTAAGTCATTTATGTTCTTTTCTAAACTGGTTAGTCTAGTTCTTTTTTCAAGGTTCTTAGCTTCCTTGCATTAGGTTAGAACATGCTTCTTTAGCTAGGAGGAGTTTGTTATTAACCACCTTCTGAAGCCTACTTCTGTCAATTTGTCAAACTCATTCTCTGTCCAGTTTTGTTCCCTTGCTGGCAAGGAGTTGTGATCCTTTGGAGGAGAAGAGGGGTTCTGGCTTTTTGAATTTTCAGCCTTTTTGCACTGGTTTCTCCCCATCTTCATGGATTTATCTACCTTTGGTCTTTGATGTTGGTGATCTTCAGATGGGGGTCTCTGAGTGGATGTCCTTTTGTTGATGTTGATACTATTCCTTTCTGTTTGTTAATTTGCCTTCAAACAGTCAGGCCCCTGTGCTGCAGGTCTGCTGGAGATTGCTGGAGGTCCACTCCAGATCCTGTTAGCCTGGGTATCACCAGTGGAGGCTGCAGAACATCAAAGATTGCTACCTGTTCCTTCCTCTGGAAGCTTCATCCTAGAGGGGCACCTATTAGATGCCAGCCAGAGCTCTCTTATATGAGGTGTCTGTCAGCCCCTACTGGGAGGTGTCTCCCAGTCAGGATACTCGGGGGTCAGGGACCCACTTGAGGAGGCAGTCTGTCCCTTATCAGATCTCTAATGCTGTGCTGGGAGGTCCACTGCTCTCCTCAGAGCTACCAGGCAGGGATGTTTAGGTCTGCTGAAGCTGCACCCACAGCCGCTTCTTCCCCCAGGTGCTCTGTCTCAGGGATATGGGGATTTTATGTATAAGTCCCTGACTGTGGCTGCTGCCTTTCTTCAGAGATACCCTGCCCAGAGAGGAGGAATCTAGAGAAGCAATGTGTCCACAGTGGCCTTGCTGAGCTGCAGTGGGCTTTGCCCAGTTTGAACTTCCCAGTGGCTTTGTTTACACTGTGAGGGTAAAACTGCCTACTCAAGCCTCAGCAATAGCAGACGCCCCTCCCCACACTAAGCTCAAGCATCCCAGGTTGACCTCAGACTGCTGTGCTGGCAGCGAGGATTTCAAGCCAGTGGATCTTAGCTCGTTGGGCTCTGTGGCATGGGACTAGCTGAGCCAGACCACTTGGCACCCTGACTTCAGCCCTCTTTCCATGGGAGAGAACAGGTCTCTCTCACTGGCATTCCAGGTGCCACTAGGGTACAAAAAATAAACTCCTGCAGCTAGCTCAGTGTCTGCCCAAATGGCTGCCCAGTTTTGTGCTTGAAACCCAGGGCCCTGGTGTCGTAGGCATCGGAGGGAATCTCCCGGTCTGCCAGTTGCAAAGACCGTGGGAAAAGTGCAGTATCTGGGCTGGAGTGCACCATTCCTCCCGGTACAGTCTTTTACAGCTTCCTTTGACCCCTTGCACTTCCCAGGTGAGACGATGCCCCACCCTGATTCAGCTTGCCCTCCGTGGACTGCACACACTATCCAAACAGTCCCAGTGAGATGAACCAGGTACCACAGTTGGAAATGCAGAAATCACCCACTTTCTGTGTCAACCTCGCTGGGAGCTGCAGACCAGAGCTGTTCCTATTAGGCCATCTTCTCCACATGTCTTTTAAAGCCTGAAATGAAGACGCTTAGGTATAGAGGAAAGTAGGCAAGATCTTCCTTTGCGTGCATACATGTGTGCTTTGTATTAATTAAAGGTTCAGCATTTCCTCTTTTTGGATTATGAAAGGAAAAACTGATGGACAAAATGAACTCAGTGAAATCAGAAATATTCTGAAGACAGTTTTTATTTTTTCAAAATAATAATAGTCATGTTTAGTTTAAATATAGTAGCCAAAATGTTTTTGTACTACAAATTCATTATCAGTTTTTCAGAGCTATCCAATAATTTTGTGTGTGTGTGTGTGTGTGTGTGTGTGTGTGTGTGTGTGTGTGTGTATGTACCAAACTACCCTATATGATTTTGGAATAGTTTAGAGATGTTTTGCTACCACTCACCAAGAGTAGTCCTGGAATCTATTGATGAAATTTATAAAATAGAGATCATCAGGTAATTCTTTAGCAAAAATATTTGGGTTGAGTAGTGCTCCTAATGGCACTGAGTAGTGTTCCTATATTTTATGACTTACAAAAGTAAGATCATGGCCCTACAATATGTAGTTTCTGTGTTTTAAAGTCTATTTCTGTGTAGGTTTAGATTTAAAAATCTGGTTCCTACAAAAAGTGTTGTTTTTATGGAAAGAGCAACATCTCTGTCTAGAAAGAATATGACAGGTGGTTTTAAATTACTGGATGACAAGAGTCTTGGGTTGATTGCTTTCTAAAAAGTTGCTCATTGGGTGAGTCTAATTATGCAAGAAACCAACTTTACAAGAAACTGGTATCAAAGAAAGCTGGGTGCACTCGAAGGAAAGTGATACCAGCTCAACAGTTGTTTGATTTATGTTTTAGCTGCCTAGTCACTAGCATATAAGCTAATACCAAGGAGACACTGAAGAAGGAAGATGAAAAATACTAAAGGAAAAAAAATTTTAAATTTATCATAAATGTCTAAGATAATGCAGAATTATAAACTAGCAAAGATGAATAAAAATGTTGGGTAGAGAAAAATAAAAACTTTAAGATTACAGTGTGATAATGAAAGGTTTCAGTTTTCTGAATCTTGTGATTCTTACATGGAAGATGTCTACTTCATGCAGTCAGAAGGTCTTCCTTAGAAGCTGTCTTCTCCAAAATCATTTGTTTCTGGAAAATTTCTAGAAACCTTCACTTTCAGGTATGCAGTCTGAACAGTTTTCCAGTAATTCAAGGATGGTTTGTGTCTCTTTAATGAGAGATGTATATTTAAATGTCTAAGAGATTAATGTTACAATGTTAAACAAGTTAACAGCTCTTTTACTTAGGTTTTTTCATCAAGGCCTATGATTAGTGTGCAGGGGGAACCAAAGGTTTCGAAGCAAATACTGGTAAACAAGCAGTTAGTCTTGATAAATAGCGATTGTAATTGGCTCACATTCTCTTTTCTAATACTAGACTCTCAAAGCATCTTAATAGTTCATATTAGTCACAATGATTTAAGATAAATTAAAATCGGGTATTAGGATTTGCAAATCATTTGATTTTTATGTGAAAACTTATTTAAGATTATTTTATATTAATGAATTAAACCTGCAATTTTTAAGTACACTACATACTGGAGGGTATATCCACAGCCCTCCTTCACATGTAGCTTCACATTAGACATGTTTAATTGACTTATTGTAGGCTAGTATTGTACATTTAGAGTTCAGTGTACATCAACAGTCTCAGAACTGAGTTATCATTACTCAATGAATATGACACAGTTACATGGGCATTGGTATTTATAAGGCATCAATTTCAAGAGCTTAGAACTCTCTCTGTATTTATTGTCTAAACTGATCTTCCTGAAACAGTCCCTTGGCTAAGCAGTCACATTGGTTTTAATTTTTCACTCTCATTTTGCAATTTATCTTCTCCCAGTATACAAAACAATGCCATGCTTCTGGCATATCCTGTATTTCTCTATGGTGCCTTACCTTAATAGCACTGAAGAAATTAAAGTGGAACCTGTTGTTCTTGATATTGAGGGGAATGAATTTAATGACTGTATATAAAATAATTATACTGATCAGTGCTAAGAAATTATTTTCAATAGAATTTCACAAACACCAAAAAGAACTTTCTACATTTTTGATGATGAATCGCCATGTATTTTTTGACATTTAACTCAGAAGGAATTAAAAGTATTACATATTTTTCTTGTAATAAAAGCCCTATAGTTCCCATCTAATTTCTAAAAACATGGCTTCTTCTTTGTAAGTCTTACATCTATCAACAATTAGAGTAGAATTAATGCTTAAATGTCTCCAATATTCACGAATGGGGTCCTGAAATGTTGTTAAAAAAATACCAAGTAAGGAAAATATTGAAAGACTTTCACCATCTATTAAGAGATATCATTCTAATAAAATTTCAATTTTTGTTTAATAGCTATCATATTTACTTTGTTATAATAAATTACAAATGTTTTATTTGTAATGCAATAAATAACAATTTTATGCAGAAAAATTAGTTACACAAAATTCTGGATCTTCTTACAGAGATACTATTTGCTAAAAAAAAGCATAAGACATATATACGTTAAACTTCTAAATTTATATATCTTAAATTCTATTTTATAAATGAAATTTTCAAGAGTAAGTAGTAGAGGTAGTAGAGAATTAAGAGTTTAAGGAGAAAAATATGGCGAGGCATGGTGGCTCACACCTGGAATCCCAGTACTTTGAGAGGCTGAGATGGGTAGATCACTTGAGGTCGGGAGTTCAAGACTAGCCTGGGCAACATGGTAAAACTTCATCTCTACAAAAAAAAAAGCCAGGTGTAGGGGTGCACACCCATAGTCCTAGCTACTCAGGAGGCTGAGGCAAGAGAATCGCTTGAACCCAGGAGGCAGAGGTTCCAGTGAGCCAAGATCATGTCACAGCACTCCAGCCTGGGCAACAGAGTAAGACTCTGTCTCAAAAAATAAATAAATAAATAAATAAATAAATAATAGTTTAAGGATAAAAATAAAGATAAATGATATACAATTTCAAATTATTAAAAAAAATTGAAAAATTATGTATGTTTGTATATGGACAATGGTGACTATTTAGATCTCCACTGGATACGTATAAAATGAGAATTTTTAATTTTTAATTTAAAAGTTTAATAGTAGAAATAAAATTGAAATTCTATTCATTTCAACTGCTTAAATTCAGAATAAAAATTTTAAAGACCATAAAAATGTGTAAAGGAGAGCATTGTAATAAAAATTATTTTCAATAATGTGTAAAGAAAAAGGTTCATAAACAATTCATATAAATAATTGAAGGCAGGGGTGGGGCCAATATGGCCAACTAGAAGTGGCGGTCGGGGTCTCCCATCAAAAAGAACTGAAACAGCATGCTAATTCTGCACCATCAATCAAGGTATCCAGGTTCTATCATCACACTGACTATGTGTGTCAGTCACACTGGCTGGAGAGGAAGGAAGAGCAGTTCAGCCCGGGAAACTGTGCTTTTTCCATGGCACTGTGCAACCCAAAGTCACAAGATCCTACTCATGATCCCACACCACCTGGGCCTGGGGTCGCAAACAATAAGCTTCAGAGATTCTCAACAGTCACTCAGCTAGCATATGCCAAAGCCTGCCGAGTTCCTGAGGGGAGGGGGTGGTCATCACCACAGCTACAGCTGCCTGCTGTCTAAGCCATCTGAGCTTGTTATGGGAGGGACAGCAGCCAATACTAGGACTGATAGCTGCCTAACACACTAAGTTCCCAGGGTGGGGGAAGGGTGGCAGCCATTGCCATAGCTCCAGGCTGCACTTCTCTCCCTGCTGGAGCAAGGGATGGCTTGGTCCCAAGAGGTATTCCCCACAGTCCATCACACCGGCTGTGGCAGACTGCAGCCAGAGTGTCTCTTCAGGTCTGACCCTGCCCCATCCCTCCTCACCAGGCTGGGCCTCCCTGCAGGAACTCCAACAACTCCAGCCAGGGGCTCAAAGACAGAACTCTGATCTCCCTGGGCCTGAGCCCCTAGTGGGAGGGGCTAAGTGCAAGCCAGCAGACTTAGTCTTTCCTCCTGCTAGTTCTGAGGAATCTGGGCAGCCCAGATGAGTGGGTTTTCCTTCAGCACAGCATAGCCGCTCCACCAAGGGACAGCCAAAGTGCTTTGTTAATCAGGTCCTGCGTCCTGTGCCACCCAACCGGATGAAACCCTTCAACAGGGATTATCAGACACCCTATACAGGACCACTCCCACTGGCATCGGGTCAGTGCTCCTCAAGTCAGAGATCCCAGCGGAAGGAGCAGGCACCCATCTTTGTTGTTTTCGAGCCTCCTCAAGTGACATCTCCAGATGCTGTAGTGAACCAGATGAATAGAACTTGAAGTGAACCTGCAGCAAACCGCAGCAGACCTACAGAAGAGGAACCTGACTATTGAGGGAAAAACAAATAGACAGAAAGCAACAACAACAGCATGAACAAAAAATATTCCCACAAAAACCTCAGCAGCCTCGAAGATTGAAACTAGACAAACTCATGAAGATTAGAAAGAATTAACAAAACAACACTGAAACCCCAAAAAGCCAGAGTGCCTCTTCTTCTTCAAATGATTGCAACACTTTTCCAGCAAGGGTGCAGAACTGGATGGAGGATGAGATGGACGAATTGACAGAAGTAGGCTTCGGAAGGTGAGTAAGAACGAACTCCACTCAGGTAAAGAAGCATCCTCTGACCTAATGCAAAGAAGCTAAGAACTTTGATAAAAGGTTACCGTGGCTGCTAACTGGAGTAACCAGTTTAGAGAGGAACATAAATGACCTGATGGAGCTGAAAAACACAGCACAAGAACTTTGTGAAGCATACACAAGTATCAATAGCCAAATCGACCAAGCAGAAGAAAGGATATCAGAGATTGAAGACTATCTTGCTGAAATAAGACAGGCATACAAGATTAGAGAAAAAAGAATGAAAAGCAGCAAACCAAACCTCCAAGAAATATGGGAGCATGTAAAAACACTGAACCTACAATTGATTGCAGTATCTGAAAGAAATGGGGAGAATGGAACCAAGTTGGAAAACACACTTCAGGATATTATCCAGGAGAACTTCCCCAACCTAGCAAGAGAAGCCAACATTCAAATTCAGGAAACACAGAGAACACCACTAAGATACTTCAAGAGAAAATCAACCCCAAGACACATAATCATCAGATTCTCCAAGGTCAAAATGAAGGAAAACATGTTAAAGGCAGCCAGAGAGAAGGGCCCAGTCATCTACAAAGGGAAGCCCATCAGACTAACAGTGGATCCCTCAGCAGAAACTCTACAAACCAGAAGATAGTGGAGCCAATATTCAACATTCTTAAAGAAAAGAATTTTCAACCCAGAATTTTATATCTGGTCAAACAGTTTCATAAGCAAAGGAGAAATAAAATCTTTTTCAGACAAGCAAATGCTGAGAGATTTCATCACCACCAGGCCTGCCTTGCAAGAGCTTCTGAAGGAAGTAGTAAATATGGAAAGGAACAACTGGTACCAGCCACTGCAAAAGCATACCAAATTGTAAAGACCATTGACACTATGAAGAAATTATATCAACTAATGGGCAAAATAACCAGCTAGCATAATGATGACAGGATCAAACTTACACATAACAATATTAACCTTAAATGTAAATGGGCTATATGCCCCAATTAAAAGACACAGACTGGCAAATTGGTTAAAGAGTCAAGACCCGTTGGTGTTCTGTATTCAAGAGACCCATCTCAAATGCAGACACATTATAGTCTCAAAATAAAGGAACATTTACCAAGAAAATAGAAAGCAAAGAATAACCAGAGGTTGCAACCCTAGTCTCTGACAAAACAGACTTTAAACCAACAAAGACCAAAGAAGGGAATTACATAATGGTAAGGGGATCAATGCAACAAGAAGAGCTGACTATCCTAAATATATATGCACCCAATACAGGAGCACCCATATTCATAAAACAAGTTCTTAAAGACCCACAAAGAGACTTAGACTCCCACACAAAATTAATGGAAGACTTTAACACCCCACTGTCAGTATTAGATAGATCAACACGACAAAATTAACAAGGATATTCAGGACTTGAACTGAGCTCTGGACCAAGTAGACCTAATAGACATCTACAGAACTCTCCACCCCAGATCAATAGACTATATATTCCTCTCAGTGCCACATGACACTTATTCTAAAATTGACCACATAATTGGAAGCAAAAAACTCCTCAGCAAAAGCAAAAGCACTGAAATTAAAACAAAAACAGTCTCTCACACCACAGTTCAATCAAATTAGAACTCAGGATTAAGAAACTCACTCAAAACAATACAACTACATGGAAATTGAACAACCTACTCCTGAATGACTCCTCGGTAAATAATTAAGGCAGAAATCAAGAAGTTCTTTGAAACCAATAAGAACAAAGAGACAATGTACCAGAATCTCTAGGACACAGCTAAAGGTGTGTTGAGGGAAATTGATAGCACTAAATGCCCACGTTGGAAAGCTAGAAAGATCTCAAATGAACACCCTAACATCACAATTAAAAGAACCAGAGGGCCAAGTGTGGTAGCTCAAGACTGTAATCCTAGCACTTTGGGAGTCTGAGGCAGGTGAGTCACCTGAGATCAGGAGTTCGAGACCAGCCTGGCCAACATGATATCCTTTCTCTACTAAAAATACATAACAATTAGCTGGGCATGGTGGCAGATGCCTGTAATCCCAGGTACTTGGGAGGCCAAGGCAGGAGAATTGCCTGAACTTGGGAGGCAGAGGTTGCAGTGAGCCGAGATTGCACCACTGCACTCCAGCCTGGGTGACAGAGCAAGACTCCATCTCAGGGGGAAAAAAAAGGAACCAGAGAAGCAAGAGCAAACAAATCCAAAGCTAAGGAGAAGACAAGAAATAACTAAGATCAGAGTAGAACTGAAAGAGATAGAGACACAAAAAAAAACCTACAAAAAATCAACAAATCCAGGACCTGTTTTTTTTAAAATTAACAAAATAGATAGACCACTAGCTAGACTAAAAAAGAAGAAAGGAGAGAATAATCAAATAGACACAATACAAAATGATAAAGGGGATATCACTACTGACCCCACAGAAATACAAACTACCATCAGAGAATACTATAAACATCTGTAAGCAAATAAACTAGACAATCTAGAAGAAATGAATAAATTCCTGGACACATACACCTTCCAAAGACTATACCAGAAAGAAGTTGAATCCCTGAATAGACAAATAACAAGTTCTGAAATTAAGGCAGTAACTAATAGCCTGCCAACCAAAAAAAAGCCAAGGACCAGACAGATTCACAGCTGAATTCTACCAGAAGTACAAATGGGAGCTACTACTGTTCTTTCTGAAACTATTGCAAACCATTGAAAGGAAAGACTCCTCCCTAACTCATTTTATGAGGCCAGCATCATCCTGATACCAAAGCCTGGCAGAGACACAACAAAAACAGAAAACTTCAGGCCAATATCTCTGATGAACATTGATGTGAAAATCATCAATAAAATACTGGCAAACCAAATCCAGCAGCACATCAAAAAGCTTATCCACCACGATCAATTCAGCTTCATCCCTGGGATGCAAGGCTGGTTCAACACATGCAAATCAATAAATGTAATCCATCACATAAACAGAACCAGTGACAAAAACCACATGATTATCTCAGTAGATGCAGAAATGTCCTTCGATAAAATTCAACATCTCTTCATGATAAAAACTCTGAATAAACTAGGTATTGATGGAACATATCTCAAAATAATACCATATTTATAACAAACACACAGCCAATATCATACTGAATGGGCAAAAACTGGAAGCATTCCCTTTGAAAACCAGCACAAGACAAGGATGCCCTCTCTCCCCACTCCTACCCAACATAGTATTGGAAGTTCTGGCTAGGGCAATCAGGCAAGAGAAAGAAACTAAGGGTATTCAAATAGGAAGAGAGGAAGTCAAGTTGTCTCTGTTTGCAGATGACATGATTCCATATTTAGAAAACCCCGTCTCAGCCCAAAAACTCCTTAAGCTGATAAACAACTTCAGTAAAGTCTCAGGATACAAAATGAATGTGCAAAAATCTCAAGCATTTCTATATACCAACAATAGACAAGCAGAGAGCCAAATCATGAATGAACTCCCATTCACAACTGCTACAAAGAGAATAAAATACCTAGGAATACAGCTAATGAGGGACGTGAAGGACCTCTTCAAGGAGAACTACAAACCACTGCTCAAGGAAATGAGACAGGACAGAAACAAATGGAAAAACATTCCATCCTCATGTATAGGAAGAACCAATATCATGAAAATGGCCATACTGCCTAAAGCAATTTATAGATTTTATGGATTCAATGGTATTTCTATCAAACTACCATTGACATTCTTCACAGAATTAGAAAAAAACTACTTTAACTTTCATTTGGAACAAAAAAGAGCCCAGATAGCCAAGACAACCCTAAGCAAAAAGAACAAAGCTGGACGCATCATGCTACCTGACTTCAAACTATGCTACAGCTACAGTAACCAAAACAGCATGCTATTGGTACCAAAACAGACATATAGACCAATGGAACAGAACAGAGGCCTCAGAAATAACACCACACATTTACAACCATCTGATTTTCAACAAACCCGACAAAAACAATCAATAGGGAAAGGATTCCCTATTTAATAAATGGTTCTGGGAAAACTGGCTAGCCATATGCAGAAAACTGAAACTGGACCCCTTCCTTACACCTTATACAAAAATTAACTCAAGAGGGATTAAAGACTTAAATATAAAGCCCCAAACCATAAAAACCCTGGAAGAAAACCTAGGCAATACTATTCAGGTATATAGGCATGGGCAAAGGTTTCACAACAAAAATGCCAAAGAAATTGCAACAAAAGCTAAATTGACAAATGGGATCTAATTAAACTAAAGAGCTTCTGCACACTACTGCATAAATAAGTAATCTTATTGTGTAAATATACTACTGATTATTCTTTTGTACTGCCACTAAATCAACTGTTTATTGTATTTATTATGTCTCTGAAGTATTGTTTTGGCCCCTGTAAATATGTTCTATATATGATAAAAATTAAATGATAACTTATTCAATACCGAAATTTTCCCCAAAATGGTTTCTTTATTTATACATTTTGAATATTTACTGTCATGGAAAATTATATTTCAAAGATAAAGGGAAGAGTGAAAGGACTTCTGATTGTGACGGTGTGAATAAGCAGGTGAATCTTCACTCCTCCCAAAACACGTGTTTAGCTGGGTAAAATTGTGACAGCAACCGTGGCAGCACTTTTAAAATCAACAATGGCAAGCAACATCCTGAGGTGTTTATTTATGAAAAGGGAGAACAGCTGATCTTGGCTGAGGCTCGCCACCCTCCCTCACCTCACCTAAGGCCACCGTATCTTGGTCCCATAGTAGTTTCACCACAAGTTCGCTGCAAAAATCATCAGATTGCTGATATGAGAATGAGGAGACTTGATTTGGTGCAGAAAATGAAGATGCAGTTTTGCTAGCCTAAAGATGCTGTCTTGGTAGGGGCAAGTGTTGACTTAATAAATACTTATATACATAAAATACTTGCATAATATAAACTCTTCCCAATGTTGAGGTATGATGCTTAATTAAGTTACAGAATGTTTTTGTTAACATTATCTTCTTCTTTGTTTAGTCTTATTCCTACAATGTAGTCTGCAGTATTCCAGCCCAGAAAGAAAAGCGATGATTTGCTTAAGTGAGAAGAGCAATACTTAGGACAGGGATAGAATATCCTGTCAATTTTGAGAAGAGTTCTCAGAATCCACCTGAGACAAGGTCCTCTGTTTCCAGAATGACATAGAAATGAGGGAGTACAAATGTGATCTTGCGTATTAAAGTACATTAAAAAATCTGATTGATGGTAGATCTTCAGTGAATTTTGCTTTGTTCTTCTCCCTTTTCCCAGTTTGACAAATGGGCGATATTATTATCCCTTTAAAACAAGTGACTGTAATGTCTGGAAATTTTTTGGCAAATTATGAACTTGGTTCTCTGATGTATACAAACCACTGTATATTTAAAATCTACTACTGATACAGAGAAATATTCTCAGTCAAAACAAAGAAGTTAAGCAGGGCCCAGCCCTGCAGAACCTGGCTTTTAAACTTTCAATCTCCCCCCTGCCTTTTTTTTTTTAACATTTTTAATATCTTTTCTGAATTCCAATAATCTCAGACAACCCCATATCCACATATAAGTATACAATTTATTATAAAGCCAAATATATTACATAGAATCCATATTCTACAACTTCAGCTCTTTTTAAGTTTTTGTGCCAGTTTCACCTCTAGTGTTGTCCAGTGATGAATGTTCTAATTTGTAATGAAATAGAGAAAACCTTAATAAATAATTTGTAGAAGATTATGTATTTTTCCTTATTTGTATATTTCTATTTAAGGTTGATATACAAAATCTTCAAAGTAGGCAATTTAAGGCATAGTGCTAATGAAGAATGAAAAAATACACAGATGATATTGTAGTCTAAATGTTACTACCTAACTTGAGAATATTTGATCCAAGTAACACAAGCCATAGGCCATATAATTTAACTGAGATTTTTCATGGCATTCTGCTCTTCAGACTTTTTTCCCTAATAGATAACATGTTATAATTCAGTAAGGAAGCATATTGCAGTGGGGCAGATACCAAAAAAGTACTGAAGCCAGATTTGCATAGGACAACGTTATTTTAGTTTTGATAAAGTTAGCTCGTAATATTTAACTGACAATCTCAACTTCTGGAAGCCTTCTGTCCTTATAAAACCAGGAGAAAGCCTCTGATGATATAATATTTTGCATTTTAGAAATGTGAAACAACCAGTCATTACAGATGATTGGAAGGAATAAAACAGTTAGAAAAATACTATGTTCAGAATTCTTAGGCTTTACGTAAGACTATCTGAAAAGGTAAAATTGCCTCTGGCTACATTCCCTAGGAAGAGCGTGGAGTACATGAAAAGTGCTTTATAGTCATGAATTAATCGGCAGTAACTTCTCTAAATAATTCTTTTTGATATTATTCTCATTCTATAAATAAAACATTGTCCCCGAGAGAGAAAGAATTCTGTCTTGGCCCAATAGTAGATCAGTAGGAGGATCTTAATAGGATTCTTAGAGAGGTTAAGTGGGCTGAACCTTTCAAACCAGAAATGAAGACCAGGACATTTGGGAACGTCATACTTTGTGGTTGAGATTAATTTACAATTGAATGGTTTTAAAAGTCATTTCTAGAATATAAAATTATAGCATCTTTATCTACCTGTTTGTTTGATAGCAAAGCTACCAGTGATTGTGCCATGGTTGTATTAACGTCAAATAATTTATTAGGCTTTTGCTAAAGAATTTTATTTGAAATTTTCAAGTTGTTTGGAGTTCAATACAGACTAAAAATAGTTTTATTCATTCTGTACTTTTTTATATTTTAATATTTTCTATTTTTTTCCTATAATAGTTCCAACATAATAGGATTTTATAGTTTATTTAATGAACTCGAATTGCTGATCAGTTTACAAGTACTCTCTGTGTAGATTCAGATGAAAAGTTTGATGTTGAATATAAATGGATCAAATATATGGAATAAATCTTACCACATTTACTTTTAGTTAAACAAAATATAAACAAGAGATTATTCTCAGAAAGAACTGTTTTCTAATTAATATCCTGCAATGTTACTTGAGCCATCTATAAAATGGATATAATGGTACCGTAACCTGACATCTGTTTCAAAGAAAAAAAATTTGAAAGCACATAGAAAGAGCTGGGAAAAAATCCTAGCTTGAATAATGTGTTACCCAAAGTGTTATTCATTTTAACATTACTTGAGGGTTAGTAGGTTTGTCAGCCACTTTATTACAAGTAATAAACCGATTCCCATTTTAACTTATTAGAAAGATATATTTGCATTTTGGCATTTTGGTGAAAAAATAATATACTCTAGCCGTGTTCATTTTATTTATATCGTCATTAACAACTCAATGAAATAGAGCCTTTAGCATCATGTATTGAAATTCATACATATTTGTATGTTTTATGTTCATACGTTTAAGCGAATATTAATGTTCACTAAATTGAAACTGAGAGATGCATCGTTTGAAACCCATGAATATTCATGGACTTTCCTGATTTATTCTTTGGGTTTTAATATAATATTTGAGAAAACAATCAAATTTTATTCTTCTAAATATTCATACTTGAATTATAGGGTAAAGTGGAAAGTTGCTCATATTTCTTATACTGAGATGTGTGAGCTTATAAAAAATAAAAGGCAAACTTGATCTAAGGGTATCATATTATAACTACATATGTTGATTTTAATAATTTCTTTCAGGGTCTTTTTGCTCTAAATTAAGAATGGCACACATTTTGGTCCAGTTCTGTGATATTGCTGTTGATCAAGGGCAATGAAATGAATTCGACCAGGAACTTCTGCTTTTATGCCTTTATGAGATGATTAAGGAATTGATTACCCTTCCTATAGAATGAGTTTATGCCTTCTTACTATGGGGCATATATTAGAAAAAAGCAGAAATAGCTATTTTTCCCCCAAGATGATCTTAATGTAGAAACAAGAAGTTAGGCCATGTTTAATATATAATTCCCACCAGAAGCCGGAAACTAAATAGAGGCATATTATTAGTCAGACTGTATAAATGGAATGCAGGGGAGGGGCATAGTTCACCATCACATGAATTCAAATGTAGTGAAGGTTTATTTGTGCCTTTCTCCATCTCCTCCTAAATATGTAAGTATATGCAATAAAACCCCCTTTGCATAATTAATTGTGATGTCCTTCAAGAAAGTAATTCAGAAGCGGATGAAATTTCTTTCTTTTTTTTTTTTTTTCTTTCTTTTTTGAGACGGAGTCTCGCTCTGTTGCCAGGCTGGATGGAGTGCAGTGGTGCAATCTCGGCTCACTGCAACCTCCAACTCCTGGGTTCAAGTAATTCTCCTGCCTCATCCTCCCGAGTAGCTGGGACTACAGGTGCATCATGACACCACGCCCAGCTAATTTTTTTTTTCTTTTTTTTTTTTTTTTTGAGACCCAGTCTCGTTCTGTGGCCCAGGCTGGAGTGCAGTGGCGCGATCTCTGCTCACTGCAAGCTCAGTCTCCCAGGTTCACGCCATTCTCCTGCCTCAGCCTCCCGAGTAGCTGGGACTACAGGCGCCCGCCACCGCGCCCGGCTAATTTTTTGTATTTTTAGTAGAGACGGGGTTTCACCGTGTTAGCCAGGATGGTCTCGATCTCCTGACCTCGTGATCCGCCCATCTTGGCCTCCCAAAGTGCTGGGATTACAGGCGTGAGCCACCGCGCCCGGCCCTGAGTTTTGCATTTTTAGTAGAGATGGGGTTTCACCATGTTGGGTAGAATTGTCTCGCTCTCTTGACCATGTGATCCGCCCATCTCGGGATCACAAAGTGCTGGGATTACAGGTGTGAGCCACTGCACCTGGCCGAAAATGTTTTTTAAATTCTGTGTGGAAGGTCTCAAAGTTACATGTTTAAATTTAATGAATGTGCTTTAGTGTTTTCTGCAAATTGTATCCAAGATTTTTAACATTATTATTCCTGGTGAATTTATACAACTGGAGGAGTACATGTAATTAATGAACACAATAGCCTTACAAAATTAAAGGAAAATAATTTTCTGAAACTTTATGGTTACAGGGCAAATCAGGTAAATAATCTCTTGTTAGTCCTGAGTTTGACGGCTTAAATAGAGTGGCATCGTAGAAGCAGGCAGAATTTCACAGTCATCTAAGCACACTGTATTATTTTGTGCTGAAAGATCTGAAGGTCAACATGTATAGTCATCGAGTTGAGGCCATCCATGTGGGGAAGCACAGCCGGCACTAGGTCCTCTCCCCAGATGCTCACTTCTCCACAGTTCACACCAGCTTGCACACTTACATTAGGAAATTGTGTTTCAAATTTAAACCACGCTTTATTTTATTATTTCCAATAATATAGCGCAAAAGGCCAGGCATCTTCTCCATTTGATATGACTGTGTGATAAAACTGAGAATTAATATTGTATTTATCTTCTCTCTTTAGCCTGTAATAAAGTGGATATTGCACATACCTTGAACCAAATTTGTTTTTGGATAGAAAATGGAATCAAATTTGGGGGTCATCCTTAATAGCTTGTATAATATAGTTTGACATTTTAATATGGCAGGTAGGAAATTAAACACAAAGTCCTTTCTATGATGGCATTCTGATAATTTAAATAACAGACATCACCTAAATTATTATCTTGAAGGCTGTGGCATTTCAAATCCATTGTCATTTTAAATTCTCTGAGGAATTTGGAAAGGTGGGTATTTGTTTATTTGTAAATATTACAGTGAAAGGTTGTATAGCGTTTCATTTAGCTCTGTGTTAGCTATGAATTTAAAAAATCACAGAAATGTGAAGAGCCCCTTTGAAAGTTTTCTTGGGTTAAACATCAACACCAAATGACCTATTAAATATTATTTCATTGATTAATTCAGATTAGACTAATCTTTCTGTAGAATGCCTCATCTACTTTTTTATATTGCTAGTTCAAATGTATTCTGTCAGTATACAAAAGATTTGTAAGAAGATAAATCACTTTAGAATGAATTCAGTCTGTCCCCTGAGAAATGTAAAGTTAAATAAGTGAAGAACATATATACAGGCAGTCCTTGACTATGGTTAGATCTACAAGTTTTTAACTTTATGATTGTGTGAAAGCGATATGCATTCAGTAGAAACAGTACTTTGATTTCTGAATTTTTACTCTTAATCTTTTTCTGGGCCAGGGATATGCAATACTTTCTTGTGGTTGCTAGACAGTGGCAGGGAGCCGCAGCTCTCACGCAGCCATGAGATCACATCACCAGGGGAGGCAAGCCAGGCTCTTCAGTGGCCTGTGTTGCCAGATGATTTTGCCCAACTGTAGGTGAAGGGAAGTGTTCTGAGCACACTTGAGGGAGGCGAGGCTAAGTTATGATGTCGGGTAGGTTGGGTGGATAAATGCATTTTCCACTCGTGATATTTCCAATTTGCAAGTTGAGGGGCATCTATACTTAGAGAGCAAATGCATTTGCCTTAATTTTTAAGCCTGAAATCCTTCAATTTTCTTAGTTATTTTCTATGCACATTCATTGAATCTACTTTGCTTCCAGCAAATGCATTTTCTTGGGACCACTAGGTGGCATCATATCTGTTTTTAAGGTTTTTAGTGTACCAGTGACTTTCACACATTTCTATTCTTGAAGACTTTACCAAGAGTTCAGATGACAAGACAACTCTAGGGGAGGGAGGAGCTGGGATATAATTAGAAAGTATAATCTAGATCCTGAAAAAAAAAAAGGGGAACTACTGATAGTATAAAGAAAGTTTTGGTCTTTTATATCTGTTCCTTTAGTAAAATATCAATGCCTTATTCCATATTGTGGTATAATATGAAAGAAATCTCTATGTAAATAAGTTAAATTATTTTAATATCTTGCGTAAAAGAAAAAACACAAGCTAACCATATGAATTTTGCTTGGAAAAAAATCTTTTTACAGTGTCACTGGTATTTATATTTTTAGCATTTGTTAAATACTTCCTATTAGAAGACGGGTGTACGTTGAAGTTCATATAAAATAGATAGAAAAAAAGTTATCACCTTCTATTTCAGTGGAGTTTATAATCCCTTGAAGGAATAATATTTAATGGATAAATATACTATGCACCTCAAATAGTCATATATTTTAATAAAAATATAGTATATATAATATAGGTCTTGGCAAAATGAGTTTTGTTTCAACAAGACAAAATACATGGAAAGTCACATTACATTTTCTACAGATCCACCATGTTACCACAATGTAGGGTGAAAATGCATGAGATATTGGGACAAGACCTTTCAGATGTTTCTCCCTCACTCCTGCCAGAATGCTAGGTCTCCCCTAGTCCTTAAGGAGGTCCTGCTAGTGCACTGTGGGGAGGGGATAGGAGTAGAAGGGGAGGGCTTTCTAGATAGGGAGGAGCACTCCATTCCTGGTTCTCCCACCTATTTATTGAGACCTTAGAAAATTACATAACTTCTTACATAGAATTCAAGTATCTTCACTTGTAAAATATGACAAAATAATACTAATCTCACTGTGTTATAAAAGTAAAAGTGGTATTAGTAAGGATTTGGGCAGAATAAAAGGTATAAAAAGTGGTCCATTCATATTGGAGAATTACAGCAGAGTTTAATAAGGGGACTAAACAGGCAGAGTGTAAGGAAACCACAGGGGATAGTGCAGTATCCCAGCACAAGTATGGCGGGGCTGTACCACCTAGACGGAGCCACCTGCAGGTGTTCTGTCTTGGTTGAGGGAAACAGTAATTCTGAGACAACCAGGAAAGAAACCAGGGAAATATATTCACTGATGTTTATTTCCTCTCTTTTGTCTTCTGGTGAGGTTATCCATTGATGGACCCCTAAGGCAGTGAGTTCCAGGAAACTCTGATATAGTCCTACAGATTATTCTTCAAGGACACATTATAGTCTCTAGAAGGTCAAAACAGACCTGGTGATCAAAAAACATGTCCATCTCACTGGTGCCAGAGATATCCTTCTAATGTACAATTGGACCATCCCAGCACCCTGCTTCCAATTCTTCTTTATTTTATCCTGGTAGCTCACAGGAAAAAAACCATAATGCTTAATTTAGAAAAAGACCATTTATTATCTAGCCACTGCCTCCTTTAAGTTCTCTCTCCTCCAGCTATGGGGAACTCTCCTTGATACCTCAAGGTGCCATGTCATGTCCTGCATTTTCACCAACCACGCTTTGTCTATGCTGCTCCTCTTCCTAGAATGCAATTTTCCTGTTTCCTATTCAACTAACTCCTGCTTATATTTCAAAACTCAATTCACCAAGAAGAAATTCTCATATTAAAAGTTGGATTTATATGCTCTTTTTCAGCGCACCTATAATACACTCTGTTTGCATCTATCACAATATTAATTATATCATATTGTAGTCATAGGTGACAGGTCCTTTCTTACTAGACCTGGATTTCTCCAAGGAGAAGACAGTGTTTTATTTTACTCTGTATCCTTAGCACCTTGAAAAATATATATATATCTCATATGAACTCAATGGTTATTGAATGAATAAATGAATGTGTAAAAAGCCTAGTTCAGTGCTTTCCATAGTAGGTACATCACGTGCTCATGTGATATAAGCTGGCATCCAGTGGGGGTGATAAAAAGGAAAATGCCTCAAGAACTCACGAATCCTTTCAAACTGAGATATCCCCTAAAAGTCAGACTACAAGTAAGCTGGAATTTGCTTTCCATTCTCTCTTCCCAGTCTACCTTAGACTTGCAAAAAATTGGCATGTAATTGAAAACTATTTCAGAACATCTGTCTCAAGATGTGAAGATGCCATGAAGCTCCTAAAGTTTATAAGCCTCTGCAGACAGATAGTAATAACGGCTTATGGAGAAATCTGCGAAAATCATCTATTAGGGCTCTACGGTATTTCATTAATTTACACTGTCAAGAGAATTACATTGCTCAACCTTCATAATAAAGGAATTATAGAAATTTCAAGCAATAGTAAACTCATAACCCCAAATCTCCTCAATATAGTAATTATGAATTCTTCCAAACTAATTAAACACTAAATATTCCAACCCAAACATACTTGTGAGTGTGTGAAATTTTTGCAACGGATATATTTAGTGGAATGGATATAAGTATGTGTGTGTGATGAGGTGTGAGTGTGTATATATACACACAAATACATATAGCCATTTTTTTTTTCAAAATTGTTAATGGAGCTCAAATAAAATGCAATTGTTTTTCCAAGCCAAAATGAGTATAGAAACATGAGAATCAGCTAATGGACTGGTATAACTTGCCATTTAAACCCAAACTGTTTACTATTAACAACAGGAAAATTTTTAATATATATTTAGTTTTATTTCACAAAATTTTTATATCTGTATCTAATTAGCATAGTTCTGCAGATTACATAACATTTGGAGGACTTGCATATAAAAAGATGACTTAGGAAAATTCCAAAAGATGGTTGAAAGTACACAAATTTTGATATGTGCAAGAAATTATCCATAGTATTTGTGCTAGGCTGAATAATGTCCCTCACTCCCCCACAATGATGTCTATGTCCTAATTCCTAAATCGTGTGAATATTACTTTACATGGAAAAAGAGAATTTGCAGATGAAATTTAGGATCTTGAGATGAAGAAATTATAGTGGATTATCTACCTCAACTCAATGTAATCACAGTGATCCTTGTAAGAGGGAGGAAGGAGAATCAGACTCGGAGAGAGAAGGTGCAAGAATGGACCAGAGGCCAGAGAAGAGAGAAGACGATACTCAGCTGGCTTTGAAGATGTCAGAGGGGCCCTGAGCCATGGATTACGGGTGGCATCTAGAAGGTAGAAAGGGCATGAAGACAGATTCTCCCATAAAGGTTCCAGAAAGAACCAGCCCAGATGACCCTTTCATTTTAGTTCAGTGAAACTCATTTTGAACTTCCACCCTCCAGACTGTAAGAGAATAAATTCATGTTGTTTTAAGTACTAAATTTGTGGCAATTTGTTATAGCAGCAATAGAAAACTAATAAAATTTCCAAAGGCTTGGTTATAGAATTAGAATACATTGTATATCCCGTATAGCATTTATTATACTTTGTTTTCAGTCTCTTGCCTCTAATTAGATTATAATAGTCTTGAGGCCAGGAATTGCCTTATTTGTCTTTGTATCCAATGCTCTTGTTACTTAGAAGAGCTCAAGATATCTTGTCGAACTAATGCCTGGATTCACTGAATGAGCTGAATCAGTGCATTGCTGCTACGTGTTTTGAATTTCTTAGAGCAGGGGTCCCCGGCCCCCAGGTCACTGACAGGTACCAGTCCATTGCCTGTTAAGAACTGGGCCACACAGCAAGAGGCGAGGAGCAGGCAAGGCAGAAAAACTTCATCTGTACTTACAGCTGCTCCTGATCCCTCACATTACTGCCTGAGCTCTGCCTTCTGTCAGATCAGCAGGCGACAATAGATTCTCCTAGGAGCACTGATGCGGTTTGGCTCATCAAACCATATCTCACCAAAGATCTTACCTGGAATTGTAATCCACAGGTGTCGGGGGAGTGGCCTGCTGGGAGGGGATTAGGTGATTGAATCATTTGGGTGGACTTCCTCCTTGCTGTTCTCCTAACAGTGAGTGAGTTCCCATGAGATCTGGTTGTTTGAAAGTGTGTGGCACTTCCCCCTTCGCTCTCTCTCCTGCCGCCGTGTGAAGAAGGTCCTTGCTTCCCCTTCGCCTTCTACCATGATTGTAAGTTTCCTGAGGCCTCCCAGTCATGCTTCCTGTTAATCCTATGGAACTGTGAGTCAAACCTCTTTTCTTCATAAATTACCCAGTCTCAAGTAGTTCTTTATAGCAGTGTGAGAACGGACTAATTCAAGGGCCAACCCTGTTGTGGACTGTGCATGTGAGGGATCTAGGTTGCTTACAGCTTATAAGAAACCAATGTCTGACGATCTGTCACTGTTTCCCATCACCCCCAAATGGGACCGTCTAGTTGCAGGAAAACAAGCTCAGGGCTTCCACTGATTCTACAGTATGATGAGTTGTATAATTGTTTCATTATTTATTACAATGTAATAATAATAGAAATAAAGTGCACAATTAAAACCATCCTCCTTCCACCCCTTGCCCCCCATTTGTGGAAAAAGTGTCTTCCACGAAACCGTTCTCTGGTGCCAAAAAGGTTGGGGACCACTGTCTTAGAAACATGAAAGCAATATCTATGTGATAGGGCTTCCAATTACTTGTGTCCCAACTTGATGTTACCAGGGGCCTAAGGAAAAACATATTCAGTAAAAATAAATGCATGTTAAGCAGGAATATGAGCAGATTCATAGTTTTGTTCTTCTGTGTTTTATGCCTTTTTTAAAGAGCAAATATTTGGAATTTGGCAAAATGAAAATTTATCTGAGAACTAAATTTGATTATTATCCGTAATTACTGTAATTTTGGAATCATGTATTTGAAAATGATGTGATGTCAGACAGCTCAGCTTCTCATTCCATGTTACAGTCTCTCCAACATCATGCTTGGTGGTAGTGTGATTTAATCACCAAAATATTTGGAAATGCAGATAAGGTTTCCTCAGACCAAGTCCTTTAATATTGGATCTTGATCCTTACTTTCCAGTTGTGTAGGGTTATGAGGAATGACGTGATCTGTAATATCCTCTCCATTTCCCAAATCTCAGACTTTATATGAGCAATGACAAAATCATTCCTAAGTGGGAAAGGTTGAAAGAGTAATTTGGCAAATGACACAGTTACTCTAGGTTGTGTTTATTGTAGTATAATATTTCAGTGATATTTTTAAATGGAAGGCAGAATAGCTGAGGTAATTTTTCAATTATAATAATTATAACAACAATATTGATGATGAGTTTTTTTGTAAATATGTAATGTTTCTATTGTACTCTTTTAGTACACAAAATGTTATCAGGTGTTGTTTTTATTGTTGCTGGTTTAAAAAGTAAAAACTTTCCATACTCAAGGTGCAAAGAAATCACCTCAGAAGGTGACATTTCACTAATGACTCCTCTAAGAAATCGACAAAGATGGATGTGGTACCTTTATTGATGGCCCCTGAGAAACATGGTACTTTCAAAATGACATTATAGCTACACACAAAAAAAGCTGTGTTTGCTTTTGCTTACAGGAAAGAATGTTACATACCTTAATTACATAGTGCATATTTTATCTTAGTTTATAAATTCTCACTTGTCTTCTATTTAAACATAGAGAGTTAATTATGCTATTTACTAAGATCTAATAACTTCAACATTATGACTTAATATTATGCAACACCTTACCTGAGAGAATCTCAATGAAACTTACACACGCTTTACTAATGAAATCTTGCCACTCCCTTGTGGATGGGGTTCAGTTTCAAGGCTTTGTGTTTATAAAATGTGTAGAGAGATGTGAGTAAAATATGTATGGAAGTGTCAAGCCAAGAAATCCAAAATTTGAAATACAATTCAATCTCTATTGCTAATATATTGACACTTACTTAATGTGAAATATTTTTCTTGTAGGAAACAATCTCAGGGCTTTTCTATTCCCATAAAGAGAACTGATCATTAAATAACTGAAATTCTGTTGTGCTTCCTTGAGGGCAGATTCAGTTTGCCATCTTCAGGTGTGTCATCTCACTTTATTTTCCCCAATGCTCATTTTGAAACCAAGGGTGGCTTCAGGGCTCTTGAGTCTCTCAGAGCTTCATTCTGGACCAAGTTCTCTGGGAAATAAGTAAAATTAATACTTTTCTGCTTAGTCTTCCCCTACATAGGAGATATAAGCCTAGTAACTGATTTCAAAGGTTCTCCTCAACTATAAATTTCAATCAGGTTCAGAAGCTCATGGTTTTGGACTCCTTTATGAAGTACTTAACAGCCTAAATAAGACCATTTATAAAGCAGGGGTAATAGATGATAGTCATCTAGCAAAGTTGGGGTTAGTCATCCTAGTGGTTCATAAAATTGGAAATTTTCATCAAAAGAAGCTATAGTCATTTTAAGGCAGAAAATGAAGTGATCTGTGTATTCTTCAAATCAAAATTATTTTGGATTATGTATCATACCCAAACATATGTATATCAAGTGATATTGACTTGATTTTCTTTCTGAACAAAAGCTTACATGGGAACGTGCCCCTGTTTTACTCTACTCTTAATGGAGGGTCTCCCCCTACTTTAGCTTTGAGCTTAATATCTATTTATCTATGATACTAAAATTATTTTTTAAAATAAGTAATTAAAAGACATATATAAAATAGATTATTAATAATTTTTTCTATACCAAATAAAAGGCAACACAAATTACATAAGAGAAGCAATTATTTCAAAATATTTGATACATAACTTTTCTTTCTCACTCATTAAAATCATATTAGAAAGTTTCTATGCACAGCCAGTTGGATTCAAGTACCTCCTCTATTGCATTGGCATTGCTTTGTGGTGGGTAGAAATCAATTCTTATATGCTTGCTACTTGACTTTCACTCTAGAAAACTGTTTCTTATATTAGGTTTTGATACCATTTGACTGAGAAGCCCATGAACCTTTAGACTTAATAGTGCAAGTTGTATTAAATAGGATACAAATCTTGATGGCTGGTAGATAGAAGATTTGGTATTCTGCAGCAAAAAAGAATTAAGTCTAACAATCCCATCATTACTTCAGAAGAAATTCTTTTCAAGTGAAATAATGAAAAAGAAGTCATTCTATTATTGCATGACTTAGAAATGGCTTTTAAGACTGTTTATCTAGTCTGTCTATGTCTTACTTCATTTTTTTCCTAAAGAGACTGAAGCAATTTATGGAAACAGACAGACATCTGTAACTTGATAAACCTCTGTATTGTTAACCTTGATCTTGAAGAAATTAAAGCCTGAACCAGTAGTTTGCAAAGGGAAACTTCTTGTGTGTGTGGTGGTTATATTGATTGTACACATTTCACTTTTTATAAACCTTATTTTATTTCTTACTTGAATCTGTGAAAGAGGCAAAGCTAAAATAGTGAAGGCAGACAGTTAATCATTACTGCTGACAACAAGCTTTTACCTTTCAGTCTTATCAAATGGAATACGGACGAAAACCAAACCAAAACACAGTATTATCCTCTCTGTGGAGTATCAGTGCATTAATCACATCTGGATGAGAAACACTGGTTGGATCAATAAGGCATTTTCCCACATTTCCATCCTGGCCACAAAGACTCCAATTTCCACTTTAGCTATTAATTGATTCAAAATGTCTGAAATTGTACTGTATTATAAGGAAGTCACCCCATTAATCCTGTCTTTCCTTTTAAACTCTCAACTGCTCTTGGTAACTTCTATTCTTCAAGACAAATTTATGATTGTGTTCATATTTTCCTTCTCTTTTATCTCATCTTTAAAGTAGCATCTATCCCTCTCATGATTATTTAAAGTATTTGCAATCAAGTCTTTAGCATATGAGAAAATTGTTTTTCAACCTTTCGGTAGGAATTATATTCAACATATTACTTCATTTTTTTTCTTGTTATATTTTTAGATGCCTGATTATGCACTATTTGTCCCACTCTTTTGCCTATGTCCCTGGTAGAATAAGTCTCTATAACCAAGCATTTAGATGAAATGAATTTTACTCTTCACCCACAACCTTCAGATTCATCTTCACCAACTCCCTTGAGGACTCTCAGCACACCTGACCTTTGGCATGGACCTTTAAATTGAAAAATATAAAATGCCAACGCTCTGTTTTAGATATGTGAGCTGGGAGTGTTCATAGTTAGGCCATAGCAACCAATATCTTCTTCATTTCCTGGTGGTGCTCATGGACATTTCCATTTGTCTATGGGATTGAAGGATACTCTGGGGTCTTTGCTCATCTTTGCATTTCACCAGTGCCCAGCCCATTCCTGTGGTAATAGATGCGATATTGATTTTTTTTAAAAAATAAATTGAAAGAGCTGTGTGTGTGTGTGGGGTGGGGGGCATCTTTTTCCATCTTCAACACTTACAGATAACATGATGAAATTATACCTTACTGGCCATTTTGAGTTGTACATTGTGAAGTGTGAGCTGGAAATCTGTGTATGTTAATATTTCATTCTGCAGTTCTAAGTTACGTGGTGAATTTAGAAGGAAATCACATCACTGCATACCCACCTACAATGGTATTTATTAAGAATACACAGTACTAAAAATTCACTCTAGGAAACAGAAGAAGGGGTGATAAATATTGTATGTGTGCATTTTTATGTGTTACATGTGACCTCGAGGGAATTGTTTCCCATACTTTCATTTTCCTGCCTAAATCTAAACTTCCTTGACCTTCTTGCATCTAGGGTCAGAGACTGGACACTGTAAGTTTGATGATGGTGAATGACCTTAATTCTGTCAGTGTTGGATGACCCCTTGACTCTGTGGCAGATCAGTTGTCCATCATTTTACACATATTGTTTGGATTCCTTTGTCCTTTAGATTTTATGATGACATATCTGAAATCTATAGTTTGCCATGCCTCGTTGATTTTACTTGGGTGCCTTCTGGGTTGTCTCCTTGTACATAGTTTAAGATTTCTTAACTCCTCCAGTCATCTCTGAACCCAAAATAAACCCTTATCAGTATGTGTATTTTTGGCAGGAGCAAAATTACTTGAAGCAAATGCTCTTTTTTCAATAAAAGATTTGACTTATATTTTTGATAAATATAATTTCTTTTTAAATTTATGAAATGTACCTTTAGGAGGTCACACAATTTTAACTGCAAAATCTTCTAATTTCTCTTCAACTTGATGAAATACTGGATGAAAAACATTGGCAAAAATCTCCAATTTATTTTGAATCCACAGGATAATATCAAAAAATAACTACTTGCCAATTCCACTAAATTAATATATTTAAGTTTTTTATTTGATATCTTGGAATTTTTACTAATTAGCACAAGGCTTGGCATAGTAAATGGTATTAATGCGAGCATGATAGACTATTTATATTTTACTATATTTCTTCCTCTAACGAGGTAATATCTTTTGACTCTGAAAAGACAGAATTAGTTTAGACTATTCCTCTTTGAGCCTGTTTTATACCAAATAAGCAAATTAATAAATGCTTAAAATTATAAGACTTCAAAGAAAGGTGTTTTTATTTTACAAGGAAATATGGTTATTCACATAGCAAACTGACATCACTAGGTAGACTTTTATACACAACTGCATGGAGTGATTATTATTGCTTTGAATAAGTATTTCTAGAAACATTTTAATAATTTAAAATTTTCTAAATTATTATTTAGAAACTCATGACAACGGAACAAGTCAGTGTACTTATTATTTTAGTGAATAAAAAATCATTATTCTCCATTACTATTCATTCTTTATATGCTTACAAAATATGGTGGAGAGGATAGGAGGTAGAACAAGATGGCTGAATAGCCTCCACCGGTCATCCTCCCTGCAGGAACACCAAATTGAACCACTATCCACAGAAAAAAAGCACTGTCATAAGAACCAAAAATCAGGTAAGCAATCACAGTATCTGGTTTCAACTTTCTATCACTGAAAGAGGCACTGAAGAGGGTAGGAAAGACACTTGAATTGCCAGTGCCACCCCTCCCCATGTCCCAGTGGCAGCAGCTTGGGGCAGAGAAAGAATCTGTGCACTTAGCAGGGGGACAGAGCGGAGTGATTGTGGGACTTTGCATTGGAATTCAGTGCTGCCCTGTCACAGTGCAACACCAGGCATAGCTCAGCCAGTGCCCATGGAGAGAGCAGTCCAAGGCAGAGGAGAATCATGCATCCCAGAGATTACAACCTGAGTTCCAGCAAGCCTCACAACTGCAGGCCACAGTGCTCTGGATCCTAAATAAACTTGAAAGGCAGTCTAGGCCACAGAGACTGCAATTCCTGGGCAATCTAGGACATAGAGACTGCAATTCCTGGTCAAGTCCTGGTGCTGTCCTTGGCTAACACCCAGTGGACTTAGGGGGCACACAACACAGTGAGACATCAGCTTGCATTGCCAAGGGAGTGCTGTGTCACTCCTTCCCCAACCCCAGGCACTACAGCTTGGAGCTTCAAGAGAGAATCCTTTCCTTTGCTTGAAGAGAGACAGGAAAGTGAAGAGGACTTTGTCTTGTATCTTGTATCCCAGCTTAGCCACAGTAGTATGGGGTGCCAGGCAGAGTCCCAAGGCCTCCATTTCAAGCCTTAGATGCTGGACAACATTTCTAGACATACCATAGACCATAAGGGAACCCATTGGCTTGAAGGAAAAGACCCAGTCCTGAAAGGATTCATTACCTGCTGACTAAAGAATGAGCCCTTGGGTCCTGAATAATCATCAATGGTAGCCAGGCAGTACTCAACACAGGCCTTGGGTGAGACTCAGAGCATTGCTGGCTTCACATGTGACCCAGCACATCCTCAGCTGTGGTGCTTGTGGGGAAAGACTCCTTCTAGTTGAGGAAAAGAGTAAAGGGGACTTTGTTTTGCACCCTAGGCCACAGTGTGATAGAGCACCAATCAGGTGCCTGGGGTCTCTTATTCCTGAACTTAGCTCCTGGATGGCATTCCTAGACCTGCCCTGGGCCAGAGGAGAGCCCATTTCTTTTAAGAGAGAGAATCAGGACTGGCAGAATTCACCACAAACTGACTGAAGAGACTTTGGGACTTAAGTGAATATTGATAGTAGCCAGGCAGTATTTGCTGCAGGCCTCAGTGGTGCTGGCCACAGGGAGAAACTCCTCTGCTTGTTCAAAGGACACGGAAGGGTAGGAAGGGCTTCATCTTGTGGATTGGGTCCAAGATCGGCTGCAGTAGAATAGAGTACCAGATTGGTTCCTAAGTTTTCCAAATCCAGGCCCTGGCTCGCAGGTGGGACCTCTGGACCCACCTGGGACCAGGGAAATCTTGTCACCCTGAAGGGAAGGACACAAGCCTGGCCAGCTTCACCACATGCTGATTTTACAACACTTGGGTCTTTCATGAACATGGGTGGTTTTCAGGCAGGCTTTGGGTGAGGCCCAGTGCTGTGCTGGCTTCAGGCCTGACCCAGCACAGTCCCACTGGTGGTGGCCACAGTGGTGCTTGTGTCACCCCTTCCCCAGCTCCAGGCAGCTCAGCACACAAAGAGGGATTCCCATTTATTTGGAAAAAGAAAGGGAAGAGAACAAGAGTCTCTGCCTGATAATCTAGAGAATTGTTCTGGATTTCATCCAAGACCACCAAGGTGGTACTTCAATAAGCCTGCAAGGGCCGCAGTGATATTGGGCTTGGAGTGTCCCTTAATGCAGATATGGCTACAGTGACCAATGACTTATATCACAACATTCAAGTCCCTTTGAATACCTGGAAAGCCTTACTAAGAAGGATGGGTACAAACAAGCCCAGACTGCAAAGACTACAATAAATATCTAACTCTTCAATGCTCAAACACTGATGAACATCCACAGGATCAAGACCATCTAGCAAAACATGTCCTCACAAGATGAACTAAGTAAGGCACCAGGGACCAATCATGGAGAGACAGAGATATGTATCCATTCAGACAGAGAATTCAAAATAGCTATTTTGAGAAAACTCAATGAAATTCAATATAACACAGAGAAGAAATTCAGAATCCTATCAGAGAAATCTAACCAAGAGATTGAAATAATTAAAAAGAATCAAGTAGAAATTCTGAAGTTGAAAAATGCATTTGACACACTGAAGAATGCATCAGAGTCTTTTAATAGTAAAATTGATCTAGCAGAATAAAGAATTAGCTGAAGACAAGCTATTTGAAAACACACATTCAGAGGAGACAAAAGAAAAAAGAATGAAGCAGACTGAAGCATACCTACATGACCTAAAAAATAGCCTCAAAAGGGCCAATCTAAGTTATTGGTCTTAAAGAGGTGGTAAAGAGAGACGGGGTATAAATTTCATCCAAAGGGATAATAACAAATAACTTCACAAGCCTAGAGAAAAGTATCAATATTCTAATACTAGGAGGTTATAGAAAGCCAGCACATTTAACCCGAATAAGACTACTGCAAGACATTTAATAACAAAATACCCAAAGGTCAAGGGAAAGAAAGGATCCTAAAAGCAGCAAAACAAAAGAAACAAATAACATAATGGAGCTCCAATATGTCTAGCAGCAGACTTCTTAATGAAAACTTTACAGGACAGGAGAGAATGGCATGACATATGTAGGTGCTGAAGGAAAGAAACCTTTTATTCTAGAACAGTATATTCAATGAAAATATTATTTAAATATGAAGTAGAAATAAAGACTTCCTCAGACAAACAAAAGCTGAGGGATTTCATCAACACCATACCTCTACTACAAGAAATGCTAAAAAGGAATTCCCCAGTTCTAAAGAAAAGGACATTATTGGGCAATAAGAAATCATGTGAGGGTACAAAACTCATTGGTAATAGTAAATAAATAGAAAATAAATAGAAAAACACAGAATATTATAACACGGTAATTGTGCTGTATAAACTACTCATATCTTGAGTAGAAAGACTAAAAGATGAACTGATTGAAACTAATAACTACAAAAACTTTTAAAGAAATAGTACAATGACATATAAATAACAAAGTTATTTTAACAGGTTAAATTACAAAGTTATTTTAACAAGTTAAATAAAAAAGTTATTTTAACAAAGTTAAAACACAGAATGATAAAGTTAAAGGGTAGAGTTTTTGTAAGTTGTCTCTTTGCTTGTTTGTTAGTTTTTGTTTATATGTTCAGTGTTAAGTTTTCATCCGTTTAACAGGATATAAGATATTATTTGCAGGGCTCATGGTAACCTCAAATAAAAAGACATATAACAGATACACAACAAAATAAAAAGCAAGAAATTGAAACATATCACCAGAGAAAAATCACCTTAACTAAAAGGAAGACAGAAAGGAAGAAAAGAAGGAAGAGAACACAACAAAACAATCAGAAAAACAAATAAAAACATGCAGGAGTAAGTCCTTACTTACTAATAATAACATTAAATGTAAATGGACTAAACTTTCCAATCAAAAGGCATGGAGTGGCTGAATGGATTTAAAAAACAAGACCCAATTATATGTTGCCTTTAAGAAACACACTACATGTATAACTACATACATACGCTGAAAATAAAGAGATGGAAAAAGGTATTCCATACAAATGAAAAACAAAAAAGAGCAATAGTTGCTATACTTATATCAGACAAAACAGATTTTGACTATTATACTATAGACAACTACAAGACAAACCAAACTATATTATAGTTGTTTATAATATATAGCAACTACATTATTATATAATAGTATAACATATAATATATGGAGAGTACATTATATTACTGTAGTCATCTATTACAGACAAAAATTGTAAAAAGAGACAAAGAAGGTAATTGTATAAAGGGATCAATTCAGCAAGAAGAAGTAGCAATTGTAAATATATGCAATTCAACATAGGAGTACCTAGATATATAAAGCAATTATTGTTAGAACTAAAGAGAGAGGTAGACCCCAGTATAATAATTACTGGAGACTTCAACACCCCACTTTCAGCGTTGTACAGATCTTCCAGACAGAAAATCAACAAAGAAATATTGAACTTAATCTTCACTATAGACAAAATGTGCCTAATAAATATTTACAGAACATTTTATCCAGTGGCTGCAGAATACATATTATTCTCCTTTGCACACAGATCATTCTCAAGGATAGACCATATTTTAGGCCACAAAACCAGTTTTTAAAAATTCAAAAAAAAAATGAAATTATGTCAAGTATCTCCTCTGATCACAATTGAATGAAAATAGGAATTAGTAGCAAGAGGAATTTTGGAAACTATACAAACACATGGAAATTAAACAATATGCCCCTGAATGACTACTGGGTCAATGATAAAATCAAGAAGGAAATGGAAACATTTCTTGAAACAAATGATGGTGAAAATACAGCGTACCAAAACCAATATGATACATTGAATACAGTACTAAGAGAAATGTTTATCATGTTGTGTCTAAATCAAAAAGTAGAGAAACTTCAAATAAACAACCTAATGATGCATCTTAACTAGAAAAGCAAGAGCAAACCCAAGCCAAAATTAGTAGAAAAAAATAAAGATCAGAACAGAAATAAATGAAATTAAAATGAAGAAAACAATATAAAATATCAATGAAATAAAAAAAATTTTTTTTTAAAAAGATAAAATCAACAAACCTATAGCCAGGCTAACAAACAAAAAGAGAGAATATCCAAATAAATAAAATCAGAAATGAAAAGGGAAACATTACAAACAATACAACAGAAATTCAAAGGATCATTAGGGGCTACTATGAGAAACTATATGCCAATAAATTGAAAAACCTAGAAGAAATGAATAAATTCCTAAACACATTCAACCTATCAAGATTGAACCTTGAAGAAATTCAAAACCTGAACAGTCCAATAACTAGTAATGAGGTCAATGCTGTAATAAAGAAATCTCCCAGAAAAGAAAAGCCTAAGACCTGATGGTTTCACTGCTGGATTTTACCAAACATTCAAAAAAGAATTAGTATCAATCCTACTCAAACTATTCCAAAAATAGAGGAAGAGGGATTACTTCCAAACTCATTCTACAAGGCCAGTATTACCCTGATACCAAAACCACACAAAGAAACACCAAAAAATAATCATAAAAACTAAAGGCCAATATCCCTGATGGACACTGATGCAAAAATCGTAACAAAATATTAGCAATATGGATGAATCTGAAGGCCATTATCATAAGCATTTGCTTATTATTGTAAACAAATTATCAAAGGAACAGAAAATCAATTATCACATGTTCTCACTTACAAGTAGGAGCTAAACATTGAGTACACGTGGAGAAAAAGAATGGAAGAATAGATGCTGAGGCCTATTTGAGAGTAGAGGGTAGGAGGAGGGTGAGGATAAAAAAACTGCTTATTGGGTACTATGCTCACTACCTGAGTGATGAAATAATTTGTACACAAAACCCCAGAAACATGAAATTTACCCATGTAATGAACATGAACATGTACCTCCTGAACCCAAAATAAAACATTGAAGAAAAAAATACTAATGAACCAAATTTAACAGCACATTACAAAGATCATTCATTATCACTAAGTGGAATTTATCCCTAGGAGGCAAGAATGGTCCAACATATGCAAACCAATCAATGTGATGCATCATATCAACAGAATAAAGGAAGAAAACCATATAATCATTTCAATTTATGCTGAAAAAGCATTTGGTAAAATTCAACATCCCTTCATTGTAAAAACTGTCAAAAAAACAGTATGGAAGGAACGTACCTCAACACAATAAAAGCCATACATGACAAACCCACAGCTAGTGTCATACTGAATGGGGAAAAATTGAAAGTCTTTCTTCTAAGATCTAGAACATGACAAGGATGCCAACTTTCACGACTGTTGTTCAGAATAGCCTTGGAAGTCCTAGTTTGAGCAACCAGACAAGAGAAAGAGGTTTAAAGACTCCACCAAAAAGGTAGTAGCACTGATAAACAAATTCAATGAAGATGCAAGGTATGAAATCAACACAGAACAATCAGTGGCATTTCTATATGCCAATGGCAAATAATCTGAAATCAAGAAAGTAATACCATTTCAATAGCTACAAATAAAATAATATACTTAGGATTTAACTTGACCAAAGAAGTTAAAGATCTCTACAATACAAGCTAGAAAACATTGATGAAAGAAATTGAAGGGAAAACCCCAGAAATGGAAAGATATTCCATTTTCATGGATTGGAAGAAACACTGAACTTAATCTGCACTGTAGGCCAAATGGACCTAATAGAGAAGAATCAATATTGTTAAAATGTCCATATTACCCAAAGCAATTTATAGATTCAGCACAATCCCTATCAAAATACCAATGATGTTATTCACATAAATAGAAGAAACAATCCTAAAATTGGTATTTTCTGCATTATGTGTCCAAGGAATATCTTTGTGAGATATTGTATCAAGATGTTCAGGGTACTTAATTCTTTAAACAGTAAGCAATTGTCTATGAAATGACATTTCATTTTATTTTTTTAATCTAAACATCCCTTTTATGACCTGTAATGTGCTTGATAATTTGACTAGTATTCAGTTGTAATATATTTTTGCCTTAATTAACAATTCACAATTATACTATAAATAAGGAGAAAAAGACATGTTATGAATGAAACTACTAAAAAACTAATTATTTATATTAGGCATAGATAATACATTATCAGCATAGTTGAGACTCATAAAGCTGTGTTAGGCATACACACTTTGTATGTAAATAGTATGTAAGATATAAACAGAATTCATAAAATGTGTACATTGATGATTAAGTTCCTTACCTATGAGACATATTAGACAAGAAATAAAATAAGATTCTATATGTTGAATATAAATAGAAGGAAATGGAATGGCCCAGAGGAAGCTAATATTCAAAACACACAAATTCTTTAAACAGTAAGCAATTTCCTATGAGATGCAGTTGATGCACCTGAAGCACTCAGTATTCATGACATCTTAAAGTGACCGCCCTCTGCTAACAACCATTATGATTCCATCTTACCTACACCTGTCTTTTGTCCAAGAAACTTATATAAAATTCATAGCTCTTCTTCCAGGTAAACTTGAGAAGAGATTCAGATTAGTACTACTAATGAATGATGTTTTCATTGGGTAAGATAATTCCGTGTAATATTGAGAGCTTTACAATACTTCTTCCGCATATTATAATTTTGTTTGCTAGGCACTTTTCTTTCTTGACACCTTTAATTGTTGCATTCATAGAATATATATTTCTCTGTACTTTTTCATCTTTTTCTACCATTACATTCTAGGGAATGCCATCTTTCATATCTATGAATCTCAAATCTCCACCTCTAGTCCCAATCTTGCCCTTGAGGTCCAGAGTCATGCATTCAACTGCTTCTGCACTTGTTTGTCTGCATGCTCCTCAGGAGTCTCTATTCTAGATGCCCAAACTCAATGTGTCATTTGCTTGTTCCCCAGCCTCCTATATCCCCTCGTTATTCATCCTCCAAAGTTACTTCTCTCCTATATTACTTTCTTCTGTGGAAGGTGCTGAAGTTAAGAACCAATGAGGAACCATAGATTTCTCTTTTCCTTTTCTAGAATGCCAAACTAAATATTACATCCTGTAAATTTCACTCCATAACTGTTTCTCAAAATTTCCCTCATGGTATGTGCCTATTTGCCTTAAATTACTATTTCAATATCCTTAATCTGGAATGTTTTAAGAGTTTTCTTATTGATACCTTTCCCTTTCATAGTGTTTTCTTCCAAAAACTATAATGTACACTGTTGCCAGTGTGATTTTCCTAAAATAAAAGTTTGATATTATACTTTCTGCCCCACATTGAGCTTATAGCTCTCTGCCCTACTGAAAACTCCCTGAGGATTCACATTGCTAACAATATGAAAGCCAAGTTTCTTCGTATAAATAACAAGGCTCCCCATTACCTAGTCCCTACTTTTTGCTGCAAATTTTTGTCTTTTTTTCTCCTTGCCCTGCAACATCAAGCAACACGGAAAGACTTGAAGTTCCTTGAACACTGTATGTTTATTCATCTATTGATGCTGTTCTCTTTGCTAGAATCCCTTATCCCCCTTCCCTCCCATCTGCCTGGTAAATTTGATTGGCTTTAAGTCCTCTCCAAAGCTTTCATTGTATGTCCTGATAATTAATAATCTTCTATTCATGTTGCCTATACACTTTCATCATTGAACTTCTCACCTTGTATTGTATTCCTTTTCCTTGTAATTATAATGTTATAATTATCTGTTCACTTAGTTGATTGTGAGGTGCTGACAGTAAGGACTGTGTTTTCTTCATTGTAATATACTGAGTGCCAAGAATAACGTAGCATCTCAGCAAATATGTGTTAAACATTTGAGCTGATGATGGTCTCTGGAGAAAAAAAAGAGACATTAGCAAATTTAACTAACAGAAGAGCCATATTTTCCAGGTCTGAAAGGAATCATGCACCTTATTCTGTGCAAAATCTTTCCTGAGATGTTCTTAAAGATTATTTTAAGCTATTTTTATTAATTATGGTAAAAAGTAACATGAAGTTTACCATCTCGACCAGTCTAAATGTACAACTCAGTAGTGTTAGGAATATTCACATTGTTGTGAAATGTGTATGCAGGAAGTTTTCATCTTGCAAAACTCAAACTCAGTACCTATTAAACAACTCCTCTATTACCACAACAAGGATGAACATATGCCATGTGAAATAAGCTAGTCACAAAAAAAATAAATACTGGATGATTCCACTTATATGAGTTGGAAACAGGAAAATTCATAGAAATAGAAAGTAGAATGGTGATTAGCAGGCTCTGCGAGTAGGGATAATGGAGGAGTTGGCATATGTTGCCAGAATTCATCCTTGTTGTAGCAGGTGACAGGATTTCTGTCTTATTTAAAGCTGAATAATATTTCTTCATAGGTATACACCATTTATGTTTTGATAGATGTTTGTGTTGCTGATACCATTTGGCTGTTATGAATAGTGCTAGTATGAACATGGGTGTGCGAAAACATCTCTATTCAAAACCCGGCTTTCAATTATTTTAGATATAAGTCCAAAGATGAGATTGCTTGATCATTTGGTAATTTTATTTTTAACTTTTTGAGGAATCTCAATATGGTTTTCCATACCAATTTTGCCATTTTATCATCCCACCAAGAGCATACAAAAGTTCCAATTTCTTCATATCTTCCCCTGTTTTTTTTTTCATAGTAGCTATCCTGATGGATGTAAGGTGATGTTAGAGTTTTGATTTGCATTTCTATGATGATTAGTGACACTGGGCATCTTTTCATAGCCTTGTTGACCATTTGTGTATTGTCCTTGGAGAAACGTCTATTCAAGTCTGTTGCCTGCTTTCTAATTGGGTTGATTTTTGTGTGTGGATGAGTTGTAGGAATTTTTTATGTACTCAGTATATTAACACCTTATCAGATATATAATTTGCAAATATTTTCTTCATTCCATAGGTTGCCTTGTCACTTAAAGATAATTTTAACACTATTCATAGCAAATTTTATAAAGTTCATAAAAATGTATGCACTGTGTGCATTTGAGTAGTTGAGACTTCGGAAGGAAAGTGAGCTGTTAGACGTATTTGGGAGTTACTGCATCATACTGCATTTCATCAGATGATACAAGTTTTGCTTCTATCACTTTTATTGAAGGTTTTTAAAAAATTCCTGCTCACTGTACTGCTTAGATGAAGTAGATGGCAGTGCAACTTGTGTTTTGATATTTAAAAAATTTTATGGAAGTGAATAGGAAAGGAAGAAGGACACCCAAAATGGAAGCTTGAGATGTTGACATCCATGGCATTTGTGGGCTACACAGGAACTGAGGCTCTTCAGGCTGGGGAGAATGGGGAAAAATATTTTAATGCCCTATATAGAAATGATTTTTCAAATCCTATCAAGGTAGTTGGTGCTATTTCTAATGGAAAGTATCTTCACTCTGGCTTCTGCAATGTAATCTATTTCCTCAGCTGAACTAACTTCTCTATTTTCCTTTGTCCCTCACCCCTCCTTTTGTGGGTGGGACAGGGAGCCTTTTTCCTAAATCTTCTTGTGTCAGTCATGGTGTTCTGAGCCAGCTTCTCCCTGATTTGTCTTCCCCTTAAGAATTTTATTCTAGCTCTAATACACCAGTGTTTCCGTCCAGTATCCTATTTGACTCCTGGCTCAGGTTCTGGAACCAGGAACCTTTCTGTCTCACTCTTTTTAAGTGAATTCTCAAATTTAGAATCCCATTTCTTCCCAACTTCTCCCACATATTGCTCAGTGTTCATCTGTAGAGAAAGGGTGCCTGACAGAGCAAGCATGTCCCTTCTATCATCTTCCCACTTGCCTAAGGATTCCCACATGTGGCCATCAGAATTCAGCCAGAAAAACACAAGCTGATGTATGTAGTCCAGCAATAAAGGGCTTAATAAAGGAACAGGGGTATTATGGTTTGGCTCTGTGTTCCCACCCAAATCTCATCTAGAATTGTAATCCCCACGTGTTGGGGGAGGAGCCTGCTGGGAGGTGATTGAATCTTGGGGGCGGACATACCCCTTGCTGTTCTCATGATAGTGAGTGAGTTCTCATGGGATCTGATTATTGGAAAGTGTGTGGCACTTCCTCCTTTGTTTGCTCACCCTCCTGCTGCCATGTAAGATGGTGCCTTGCTTCTGCTTTTGCCTTCCTCCATGATTTTAAGTTTCCTGAGGCCTCCCCAGCCATGCAGAACTGTAAGTCAATTAAACCTCTTTTCTTTATAAATTACCCAGTCTCATGTAGTTATTTGTAGCAGTGTGAAAACAGACTAATGCAAGCAGTTTACACAAATGTAGCAAGAACTAGAAAAGCAAAGTTTTAGGAAGCTGCCAGTGAAGTTCAGGAAAGACCTCAGCCAGAAGCTCAGAAGCAGGTTGTTCTCAAGTAGTTTCTAAGAAATGATGGCAGTTCTAAAGAATCTCTGGGACTCTACCAGCAGCTCTCTCAGTCTGTAACAGTGCTTCACAGGAGCTCACTGTGACATTTCATGTCTGTCCACACATCTGCCTGCAACCCCCAAAGAGAATACTGGCTTCGCCATCTTTTCTGCATTCCAAATCTTATGCAAGAGTTTCTTATTGGCAAACTCTAAGTAAGTCCTATCTAGGCAAGTGAATTTTGGAAATGTATTTGCAATTCCTTAGGAAGACAGTTCATTGGGATGAGAACTACCAAACCTTTAGAAGCATCTGGTAGCAATCGTGAGTTGCCAGCAGGCGACCTAGTCTATCATTCCGACTTTGCTCTCTCACACTTCTGGATTTTTTAAAACATTTTACCTGAGCTGTGGTGGCACACATAATTTTTTATAGATCATCATTTTATTTGAGTTCAAATCTATGGGGTGGGCGGGGGAGGGCAGAAAAAATAAACAATGAAAAGGAAAGAATTTTTGAAATCCCAAGCAAAAGTCTTTGCTGTTTTCAGCACCTCTAGGTGGCAATCCACAACATGAGGACCAGAATAACTGAGGATAGATTTAAGAAATTGGGTATAGGCATCTGGAATAGGGTTACAGATAGTGAAGAAGATATCAAAATGTATCAATAGCGCAAGGAGCACATATATCCAGCTTTAATGTTTTGCATTAATTTTACCTTAAAGTATTTCCATCCAACTCTTTACCTGAACATAGTGGCATTTATCATATAATTTCTAGTGATATTAGTTTATATTGGGGGTGTGTGTGTTCTGGCTCTCTAACAAGACAGTAAGCTCTTTGATATTGGGTCCGTATTTTACCTCTTTCTGAATTATTCTCACCTAGCAGAGTAACTTGGCCCTAGTAGACCCTCAGTAAGTGTTTGTTGTTTGATTGATAATCCTGTATTTCTTTAGTGTTTAGACTTCCTTCCCCACTGAATGTGTGTGTGTTAGGACCCACTGGAGTGTCACACTGAGAAAAATGGACATCATAAAACAGTCCAAAATAGCAATGTAGCTGAATTGACAGTGAATGCCTTGAAAAATGTGCCATAAATTTCCACTCAAAGAACATATATCATCAAGTGCAGTGTGTGCTTTTGTGAAATATTAAAAGTAAAAAGCAGTCTTTTTAAAATGCTCTTACATTCCTGCATTTCCAGGAATACACACAGGCAGTAGTACCCAGAAAACACGCTGAACCTAAGACAATGAAATTGGATTGTAAAAGCTCCACTTCTAACAACAATAATAGCAAATTGAGCAATAACCAAAAGAAAAAGAAGTGGTGGAATTTCAGATATCCTGACACTTGCTGATTTAGGGAAGGTAAAGTCTCTGCTGCTACAACATAACAAAAACACATAATGGCTTGAGTAAGGTGGCAGCCTAGAGGTGCCCGGCCCAGACAGACACAGGTGTTTTTGTCTCATCAAGTGATTCACGAAGCCAGGTTCTTCTTATCTTGTTGCTCTGCCATCCCGAGGGTGCATGGTTGAAGCTGCTTTGCTGCTTTATATGGATTCCTACCTAAAGAAACTGGAAAGCAAGGTGAGCAATTTCTTTTCTTTTCTTTTGGTTTTTTTTTTTTTTTTTTTTTGAGGCGGAGTCTCACTCTGTCACCCAGGCTGGAGTGCAGTGGCGCAATTTCGGTTCACTGCAAGCTCTGCCTCCTGGGTTCATGCCATTCTCCTGCCTCAGCATCCCAAGTAACTGGGACTAGAGGCGCCCGCCACCACGCCCGGCTAATTTTTTTTGTATTTTTTAATAGAGACGGGATTTTCACCGTGTTAGCTAGGGTGGTCTTGATCTCCTGACCTCGTGATCCGCCCACCTCGGTCTCCCAAAGTGCTGGGATTACAGGCGTGAGCCACCGCGCCCGGCCAAGGTGAGCAATTTCTTATGAAGCAGATGGGTATAGTAGTTGCATGCCTTACGTCCAATTACACTCTATTTGTGAGTACTTAGATATTTTTATTGTGTATGAAATAGGGTAGAGATAATGTATCTAGAAAACGTTTTCTTCTATCTTTTGTCTCATAATTCCTTGAATATATTAAGCATTACTTTTGAATTCAATGTCTGCTTTATCCATTACCTAGATTCCACAGATAGTACATTGTGATCTGAATGTCTCACATTTCCAGTATCTATAAAAGAAAGTCCACAAATATACTTTAAACCATATGCTTCTGTTTGTTTATTCTTCTCTGAAAACAAATACATTTTATAATTGCATAGTCTACTCTTTTGACTATTTCATCTTTTTTTTCTTTCTTTCTTTTGGTTTTCAACAAAGTCTATCTCTGTCACCCAGGCTGGAATGCAGTGGCACAATCTCAGCTCACTGCAACCTTCACTTCCCGGGCTCGAGCCATCCTTCCATCTCCGCCTCCTGAGTAGCGGGGATTACAGGCGTGTGCCACCATGCCTGGTTAATTTTTTGTATTTTTTGTAAAGATGGGGTCTCACTTTTTTGCCCAGGCTGGTCTCGAGCTCCTGAGCTCAAGCAATCTGCCTGTCTCAACCCACCAAAGTGCTGGGATTACAGGCATGAGCCACTGTGACCAGATTGTTTCATCTTTAAAATTTGATTATGTGTTTTAAAATAAGAAAGAACATTTTTATTCATAGAAAGTATGTATAAGGATATTAGATTTGCTATCACTAGTACTAAATAATGGTCAAATATACAGCTTATTTCTCCTTTAGATTATTGATAATGTAATCATATTGTTTACGTGCAGAAGGGAATAACAATATTTAACTGTTTAGTTGACATATTTATTAAACATGCCCTTAATTCTGGTATCTAAAATATTTTAAATAATTAAATATGGCCTTTTTCTGTTGAATAAATGTGAATTTGTAACTATAAATGATGTATAAAGTATGAAGTTAAATTTCTTTTGTATGTTAAAAATATTTGGTGAGGTAATTCATCATATCTCACATAGATAATAGCAGTAAATATCTGAGTATTTAAAAATAAATATTTAAAAGTGTAGTGGACTTTTCGTGGACTCTGAGAAGGTTGGTGATGAGTCTGAAGGAATTCTAGGATAAACACCGTATTGAGGCAGGGCAGGCAAGCCCCAGAACTGGGGTTTAGTCTGAGAGGTTCTTGGCATCGCCCAAGAAAAAATTTCAGAGCGGCCGGTGGTGGTAGACAGCACCTTTGATTGAAGCGGCCGTGCACAGCAGCAGAGGGACTGCTCCTAGCAGAGCAAGGTGATCCCGTAAGCAGTGTGCCCACAGCAGCAACCCAGAGCAGTTCTGCACTCATACCCACCTTTAATGATTTGCAAATTAAAGGACAGGTTATGCAGAAATTTCTAGAAGTAGGGTGGTAATTTCTGGATCATCGGGTTGTTGCCATAGAAAGGGGCGGCGACTGCTGGGTGTTGCCATGGCAATGGTAAACTGACATGACAGTGGAGGGCACGCCTTACAGAGAGGTGCTTTCGGCTCCCTGTTTCTGTTTCAGCTAGTCCTCAATCTGGTCTGGTGTTCAAGCCCTGCCTGCAGAGTCAAATCCAGCCTCCGACTTCATCATGACAAACACCCTAAGTAACTAAAGAGGTGAAAATAGGGAAAGGCTTGGTCTTCCAGTATAAAACTGCTTCTTAATTGTGCTTTTTTGTTGTTGCTGCTTCAGGTTAAACGTAAAGACTAATGAAAAACGTTAAAGGAAGATATGTTTTGGCTCTCAGTAGGAAAGTTTACCACCACTCGCAGCACTACTCGCCTTCTGTGGTCATAAACAATAGAGCAAAGACTAAGTGATGCTTGGCCAGGAGCACTGTGGAGAGGACACTTGCTTGGGAAGTAACGTTAGGTGACGCCTGGTATCTCTTCTAGTAGTCAGATTCTGAACAACCAAGCATGATTGGACTTCTTCTGAGTTTCTCTCTTCTCTTAGGTGAGGTTATGTGGCCAACAAGCAAAATCGAGTAGCTTGTGAATAGTTATAACAGGAAAAAGTAAACTTGGGTGAAGACGTGCCGCTCTTGTAGGTGGCCTTGTCCTCTGTTGTTTTTGACAAAGACAGGCTGAGGTAAAATTAGCTAGCAGCAGTCAGGATTTGAGAAAATTTCGGCAGCATCTGAAGGAAGACTCAAGTAGAGCCCTTAGTGCAGCCAATAACTTGATCAATGTCTAAACTGAAGATGACTCTTTAATTCATGAAGCTCCTGGTCTGTTTGATAAAACCTGCCCAGAAACAGACTCTTATATTCTAGGAAAAATAAGGACATTCTTAAACAGTTTTGTATTGTCAATATTTAGGGTGGTTTTGATCTCCATGGAAGACACAGAGTCCAAGCTATGAAATGGCAAACATTTAGAATATAATTCTTTTATTTAGAATATACAACTTTCTTCAAAAGTATTGTTTCTTTAAAACATGTTATTTTAGACTGTGTAATTTACAGAGAGTTTAGATTACAGGAGACAAAGCATTTTAGTATTAAATATGATGTTTACAAATGAATTAGACCTTGTCTTTAGCATGCCTCATTGAGTTCATGACTTCTTGTATATAATAAAGATGCATATGCTTTAAAAGAGCCAGTTTTCACTAGTGCTTGATGATCTGGCCTTATGATCTCTTGAGTAATACGGCCATTTTTTTTTCATATGGCTCAAAAGTGAATTAGCAGAATTAAATATTTTAGTTACATCCTATTCCATACAATACTAGATGTGACATTTATTTAAGTAAATGTTTTTAAAGATCAAATCCATATTTTCTTTTTTTTATTTTACTTTAAATTCTGGGATACATGTACAGAACGTGCAGGTTCGTTACATAGGTATACATGTGCCATGGTGGTTTACTGCACCTATCAACCCATCATCTAGGTTTTAAGCCCCACATGCATTAGGTATTTGTCCTAATGCTCTCCCTCCCCTTACCCCCCAACTCCCCCTACAGGCCCTGATGTGTGATATTCCCCTCCCTGTGTCCATGTGTTCTCATTGTTCAACTCCCACTTATGAGTAAGAGCATGTGGTGTTTGGTTTTCTGTTCTTGTGTTAGTTTGCTGAGAATGATGGCTTCCAGCTTCATCTATGTCCCTGCAAAGGACATGAACTCATTCTTTTTTTATAGCTGCATAGTATTCCATGGTGTATATGTGCCACATTTTCTTTATCCAGTCTATCACTGATGGGCATTCGGGTTGGTTCTAAGTCTTTGCTATTGTAAACAGTGCTTCAATAAATATACCTATTAATATCCTTGTTCTGTAGGCCTATTTCAGATTATTCCTGTTCCACTCAATGGCAAGAAAAACTGTTGAGTGCTATCAATATACACAGTTTTGTTGATTGTTAACATAAAACAACAACATAATTTTGCTTTTGTAGGAGATACTGATCATGACTGGTGCATATCACTATGGGTCTCACCGTTTTTGTGCATGATGCTTATGGCCCTATTGCCTTCAGCCTGAGGGTTTCTCTTTTCTTTTTTTGCACCTGAGCTTATTACATTTCTCAACCCAACAGCCAGAAGCACCTGACATATTATAATATTCCAGGAGCAATTCTCAAACCATGACTAGAGGAAGTTGGTATATAAATACTTCAACACTTTCTCCCTGATGGGGATAATTCTGAGGCTGCTGTTTATTATACATAGTCTCCCTGATTTTCCAGAATGATTCATTTCTAGTTACCTACAGTGGCATATGGCTTGATAACTCAGGCTTAAAGATTTTTTCTTCTATTCCTTTTCTCATTTTCTTACTTCCCTACTGGTAATTTTTGACATCACCTCCCCGCAACTCCTTTCACTTGAATCCTCATCTCAGGATGTTTCCTGAAGGAAATACAAACCAAGACTCCCAGTAGGTAGAGTGAAAAGAAAAGAAAGTTCCATGTTGGGAGGCAATTCTCTGTTATTTTCTCACATTTTAGTAGGTCTAATGAGTACACACATTAACTGACTTTGTTCCAAACTATTCAATTATACTTCTGCAGGAAACATCCATAGATAATATGTCTAGTGTCCTCTTCTGGAGTAGAGGGAAGTTTCTTTTACTGTCCAGTATGATAAAAATATTATCTTTCTCGGAGGCAAAATTTGGGTGTGCTCACTGCCCATTAGAAAATATTCAGGTTTCTAGCAGAGCACAGTGGCTCACCCCTGTAATCCCAGCACTTTGGGAGGCCGAGACAGGTGGATCATTTGAGGTCAGGAGTCTGAGACCAGCCTGGCCAACATGGTGAAACTGCATCTCTACTAAAAATACAAAAATTAGCCAGGCATGGTGGCACATGCCTGTGGTTCCAACTACTCAGGAAGTTGAGGCACAAGAATTGCTTGAACCTGGGAGGTGGAGATTGCAGTGAGCCTCGATTATACTACTGCACTCCAGCCTGGGCAACAAAGCAAGATGCCATCTCAAAAAAAAGAAAGAAAGAAAGAAAACGTTCAGGATTCTAAACTCAGGGCTCCTCTTCTGTGATTCAGTTTACTTTGTGTGCCGGCATCACCTCTTTACATTTCCTGAAGAAATTGAGCCTTGGAATAGCAACCCAGATGCTGGTAATCTGGCTACTCCCACCACTGTGAGTACTAAAGTTCTTTGTCTCTGATGCAGGAGTCTTGTGTCTTTTGCCAGCATCTACAAAACTGTTAGCTAACTTGTGGGCTTGTACGTAGATGAATTTTTCAGACCCTCCATAGTTTTGACGCAACCATACATGTGACAGAATCAAAATATATGACCGGCATTCTGTCAGGAAACAAAGAAAGTGCTTTGCAGCTCTGAGTAGAGAGAGGTAAATTCTGGTAGGCATGAAAGAAGTCAAGGTTACTAAGACTTCATGATAGGATATTTGAAGTAGACTTTGAAGAGTAGGTTAGAAAGGTGTAAGATTAGTATTAGTTATTAGAGACCACATGAGTAAATACAAATGGACAGGACATTTAGGCAACATGGTGGAAGCAAGAAATCAAGTCAGAAAAATCATTTCACTCTAGATTATTAACGTAGGGGTTCATATACTTTATTGAAAAGATTGAATTGCATAAATCATTTCTTGATCCCAGCAATTTGATGGGGGATAGCATGTCTCCCTTGAACTTCAAAAACATTTTATGCTTAATGTTCTTAAATATACTGTGTATTACCCAAGAGCTAGATAGTCTTTCTGTCATTAGAATTGTAATGCCATAAAACTGGTCACTTATTTACCATGACATGGATATATTTGTGTGGCCATGCAATGATGTGAAGTTATCACCCAACATGAATTTAAAAATATTATTCTTAGTCTAAAAGACAAGTGAACTAAATTATAATTTCATTTGAAAGCATTATACATTAATTGCTCATCCAAATTTCATTATTTGTAATTAATTATTACTATATTAAGTATTTTATTTTTAATCCAAAGAATTTTAACCAATACTTTTATATTTTAAATCTCCTTTTGTGTACTCCTTTGACATTTAATTGCCTGTTAAAAAGAGTACAATAAAATCTTTTAGTAAGGCATTAATTCCTAAGAATCTAGTGGTATAAATTGTCTTTTGAGTAGTTTGTGAATAAAAGCTTATACAGTTCTACATGCTTATATAAAATTATTTTTAAGAGGTGGTCTCAGGAAGACCATTTTGATATTTTATCACTTTATAAAGGAAAAGGAAAGGTGGTTCCCTGGCACATGTATATCTATGTAACAAACCTGCACGTTCTGCACATGCATCCCAGAACTTAAAGTAAAATTAAAAAAAAAAGATAAAACAATTAGGCTAAACAAATGCCAAAAAAGAAAAGAGAAGGTAGTTATCCAGCTGTTTATTTCCTAAGATTTTGCAGAAATTTGTTAACATTTATCATCAACTCTAAATAATTTATGTTTTAAAAGTCACTTATTTAGTTATCTAGTCTACAGAAAATATTACATATCACCCATATGCAGAGCAATGTAGCAGATAGTGAGTAGAAAAATAATGTTTATATAAAAACATTGTATAAAACAGGGGTCGATAAACTATACTCCACCAGCCAAATCCAGCCTGCTACCTTTTCTTTTTTTTTTTGAGACAGAGTCTCACTCTGTTGCCCAGGCTAGACTGCAGTGGCACAATCTTGGTCACTGTGACCTCTGCCTCCTAAGTTCAAGTGATTCTCCTGCCTCGGCCTTCCGAGTAGCTGGGATTACAGGCGTACACCACCACATCTGGCTAATTTTTCTATTTTCTTTTTTCGTAGAGATGGTGGAGATGGGGTTTCACCATATTGGCCAGGCTGGTCTTGAACCTCCAACCTCAAGTAATCTGCCTGCCTTGGACTCCCAAAGTGCTAGGATTACAGGCATGAGCCACCATGCCTGGCCCCTATTTTTGTAAATACAATTTTATTGGAACACAGCCACCCTCATTCATTTACAAGTCGTCTATGCTACTTTACCATTGCAATGACAGAATAAAGTAGTTGCAACTGAGACTATAAGGCCCACAAGAACTAAATTATTTATTGTTTGACTCTTCACAGAAAAATTCACTAATCCTTGATATAGACTGTTACTTTGGTAGCAAAAATATAAATGCCTAGTAGAGATCTTGTCCGTATGATATTTAATAAGATTGTCAGACCAGAGAAAAGTACTTTCTTAATTTTGGGTATTAAAAAATTGTTTTAAAATAGCTGAAAAGATTACAGAGGGAATAAAAAAAAGCAGCAGGTAATGAAAATGTAAACTTTACAGTCCTGAGCAGGTGTTAAATTCATTTCTTATTAGTGCTTCACCCTCCCTGCTTCCTATTCAGTGGCAATAATCCAACCAGGTGATTTTCGGTTGTGTTGTCTCTAACATCTGGTGAATTCCCAGTATGATCATAACAGAGCGATCAGCTATGCTTGGTCCACCATCCAGGAGCAGCAAGTAATAGCTTCTGATTTCACCGGAAAATTTGTAACTACATTGGATTGCTATAAAATTTAAAATGCATCCTTTCTTTATATTACTATTTTTACTTATAATTTACATTTCAATTACCTTCACCTAGTTCTTTCCTAGCATTAAAAAAGTCTGCAATTCATCCATGATTCCCACCAAGACATCAAAAATCCTATGGGCTTATGTATCATTCCCTGCTGAATTTCAAGTTGAAGATACAAACCAAGCAATACAATGCTGTCAGTTGAGGATTGCATCTGAATCAGGTGCAGCTCTTACAGCAAATGATTCCAGATCTGGACTCCTGGTGAACCTGCACTGACTAGGCAGCCACAAACTCAGTAAAAGATTAGCAGAAACAGGAGATCTACCTGCTTCCAGAAATACTTTCCTCTGGTTCTCTTCCTGCAGTTCGTGCAAGACTCACATTGCTGAGTTCGTTCAATAAATCCCAAGTGAGCATGAACATGATCACTGGCAGTGATAGCAAATTAAACCTAAATAAACCATGAACATTTTGGCTAAATCAGTTAATCAGATGAACTAGCAGAGACCGGAGGTAAAAGATAAATTTTAATGATAAAAAAGGTGATAAAACCTCTGGATTACAGTACTGTGGGAAGATTCAACCTGTGTTTGGTGTCACCTAAAGGAGCTATTAATAACAGAATGCCCTCTTAGGGCATCAAAGACTTGGACTGGAGTCTAGCGGCATCGGCAATGAAAAGAAAACAAGTATGTGAGAGAAAAAGAGCTTTATTTTGCTAGTTAATTCATAACCAATACTGAAGAGTGACTTCAGCATGGGTGCAGACACTGTATTAGGCTGGCAGCAACTGATGCATGAACAATGGGTCTCTGGGAATTGAAATGGCCATGTTATCTTATAATTCTCAGAAGTTTCAAACACCTGCATCTATGCATCTGTGAGTTGTTGGTTGCTTGTTGTGTTAGCTCTTACTGCAGGTGCACTGCACTATATCTAATTATTATTATTTTGTTGTTGTTGTTTTGAGACGGAGTCTCACTCCCTCACCCGGGCTGGAGTGCAATGGCATGATCTCAGCTCACTGCAACCTCTGCCTCCCAGGTTCAAGTGATTCTCCTGCCTCAGCCTCCTGAGTAGCTGGGATTACAGGTGCGTGTCACCACGCCTGGGTAATTTTTGTATTTTTAGTAGAGATGGGGTTTCACCATGTTGGTCTGGCTGGCCTCGAACTCCTGACCTCATGATCCGCCCACCTCAGCCTCCTAAAGTGCTAGGATTACAGGTGTGAGCCACCACTCATGGCCTATCTAATTTTAATGAAAAGATAACTTCGTCTTTTATATTCAGTATTATTTAAGAACCAGCCACTGGAAGGTGGCCACTCCCAATGATTTATGGTACCTACTGTCTAGTGTGAAAGACTTTGACACTTTTAGACTGTGTTAGACCATGGACCAATTTCCTCTATCTTTATCTGGGCATTGGGTCTAACAGCATCAACCCACCAAAGGTATGTGAAACAGATATTGTTGGCTGTGATGAACCATGTTATTAATTTCAAGTTCTAATGTTGATTGATGAACATCTTCAGTTTGCAAAAGTTGAAAATACAATAGAGTCATTAGTTTAGTTACTTTTTAATAGAGAATCAACCATTTGCAATAGTCTAAGTACTCTCCACCAATATCACCACAAATATGCCTTGTTGCTTTCTGTATGAAATTTCTATTTATTATTTCCATTTAACATGTGAAAGTAAATTTCTGATATTTTTTGTTATTTGCTTATTTAAAAGAATTCAAACATAAATCTATTTTTCCCTTTAGACATTTTCTGTTTGAAATATAGAATTCCTTTAAATTCAAGTAATCTATTTGAAGATACTTGTTTCTACTACATTCCTATAACTTTGACTCCAACGCGACCTTGTAGGAAACAAAAAAGGAAAATCATTTCCTATATGCTGTCTTCTATTTATCATTTTAAGTTACGTAGGTCCTTCCTGGCTTCGAGAATGTAATGAAAAATTTTACAACTCTGAATAAATGTCACCCTCTGACTAGGACTGACAAGGGGAAAAATTGTGGAATATACTTCAGATTTATTTACTGTAGGGGTATGGACAGGCTTATTTAGCATCTTTATTTTTTAATGAAATGGGCTTATGAATATGTTGAGACTCAATGATCATTTGTCTAATTCTTTGAATCTTCTATCCCATTGGTTCAGTGCAAGTAGGAGTAATGTTAGTGCTGTGAAAACATAAAAATTATTATTGCTAAATAAAATAACATTGTATAGTATCCAGAAAGTGTTACTACATAGATGTCAAGAAGTAACTTGCTTCATTGAACATATTTTAATTTATTAAGAAACAGCACATTATATTTCTATAGATTTCAAACTATGTTGGGTCTTTCTTCCTACCTTCCTTATACTCTCTTCTTGCTCTGATACATCAGGAAAACTCTCTGTGTAAATAAAAACAAGGGAATAGTGTTGGGTCACTTTCATTTACCTTTCTTAATTTTACATTCTGTGTGATAAAGCACATTTACCTTTGCTATTGGACTCTTGGTGTTACATTTATGGATGATGTGATTAGTTCTCTTCATTTATGTTCTAGCAATGACCACGGGTTAATCTCACATCCCTGCGAGTAGGGCAGAGTCTCCCTGACTATAATCCTGGAGTCAGGATTTGAAAAAGAGTGAGATCCTCACTCAGGGAAGCAGAATCCTGAAGGAGATGGGAGGAGTTCCTGCCACTCTCCAGTGAGAAGCATCACTGTGGAGATGATGGCTACAGCAATGGTTCTAGCATTACAGAGTCAGGATAGAAACTTGAAGGATGAATAAGGTACTGGAATTTGGTCTGAAATCTTTGAATGCAAGCCATGTTTAGTTTTATGTTACTCTTGACCTTTATTTCCACAGTAAATTCTTGTTGAATTTGGCTTAATATTTCAGATTTGTTTCATCTAAGATAATAGGTAGCATCAAGAAAAGGCTCCTGGGTCATAGTTTTTAAGTACGTGATGTTAGCAGCCATGAAAAGTGAACTCTCAGGGGGATGGTGAAATTCAAGAGAAGAGTCATGGCTTTGAGCCATATGCATGGCTTTGGAGAAATCTCATTTCTCCCATTGAGATTCATTTGTAACTGTTAATCTTAATAAATCTAGGTCTATTTTTATTGCAGAAGTGTTTTTTTTCCCTTCTTTTTTTCTTAAAACCCAACCCAGAATCTCAGATATTTGTAAAAGAGGTATATCCTATAGAACCATAGAAACATGCCCTTGTTCAGTATAGGTTTAAGAAAAATTGTGTCAGGAATTGGGAATACAAAATCCAAATCATGTGGCTTTTACCCTAAGGAGATGTGGTAGATTGACACGGCTGAAAATCGTTCACAACTTCTCCCATTGAGAGGTGGAGTCTGTTTTCCTACCTCTGGACTTAGGGCCAGCCTTGGGACTTCCTTTGATCAATAGTAGGTAGCAAAAGCGACATAGGAGTTCTGGGCCTGGGCCTGGGCCTCAAGAGCCTTCAGCTTTTATCTCACTCTTTTATTTATTTATTTTTGAGATGGAGTCTCGCTTTGTCACCCAGGCTGGAATGCAGTGTCGCGATCTTGGCTCACTGCAACCTCCAGCTCCTGGGTTCAAATGATCCTCCTGCTTCAGCCTCCTGAGTATCTGGGACTGCAGGCCAGCCTGTGCCACCATGCCCGGCTAATTTTTGTATTTTCAGTGAAGATGGGGTTTTGCCATGTTGGCCAGGCTGGTCTCGAACTCCTGACCTCAGGTGATCCGCCTGCCTTGGCCTTTCAAAGTGCTGAGATTACAAGTGTGAGCCACCACACATGGCCTATCTCACTCTTTTAGATACTGCTATTTTTGTGTCCACAACATAGATTAGAGTGCCTACCACAGAGTGGATCCTTGTTAGGTAGATAGAGAATGACTGCACAAAGAAGGAAGAAGAGGCCCTGCTATGACTTTGTGACAATAGAATTCCTAGATTCTTTTCTGTCTCAGCTCATTGTCTACTCTGATCTTAATTTTCACTCCAGCAATTTCTGTGAATCCTTTAAAAAGTGTGTGCACTCCTCTGTGTATGTGTATGCACAAGTGCATACGTGTAACAGGTACTGCAATTTGGTTTGCTGAGAAAATAACTGGAACATTTTAATGAAACATAAGTATAGCAGTTTTATGTAGGGCAAAAGGCAATTTGGAAGCTTTCAATGATAACATTTCTAATAAAAGGCACTGTGATCATTTCTACAAGATGACGACACTTTCTGTATAGGCCTTTTACTTTGACCTAAGTGTTCATCACATCTGATAAAAGGCAATAAAAGAGCAGACTTTGAAATAATCCCAGCTAAGAGATGTTAAGAGATGAATAGTGGGCCATGTCCTGAATGTGAGGTTAATTGCTCAAATGCAAAACATCCTGGGGGAAAATGCTGCTCAGAGGTATGATCTTTCAACCCTGGAGTATTAAAATCCCAGTTCTTGTCATCAGATATTCTAATTACACGTTCTGTGCGAGAACTTCTTTATTGTGAAGAATTTGAAATCCTCTAATTAGCTAAGATTTAAAAAGCAAACAGAAAATTGAAATGCCAAAGGTCAATACAAATAAAAGCAAGACTGCACTAAGCCTGGAATAAAAAGGAAGCAGGAATCAGAGGGAAACAGAGTATGCAAAAAGAGCTAATTAGCAAAGTCCACTCTTTAAAATAACTAAGATAGCAGTTATAAATAATGATATAATGAATAGAGCATCACAATTATGATGGGTTAAAAAAGGATAACTTTGTATATAAGCAAACAGTCTCAACGCACTCAAAAATCTTGCATTATAAATAAATTACAAAGCTGAATCACTGCATTTTACCCATAAACACAATCTTTGTATTAAAATAGTTTAATTTTTAAAAACATACTTACTGTTTATTTGTGAGTTTTGTAACATGGTATAGTAGATTATTTTTATGATGGAAAATCTTATACATTCTAAGTCATTATTACCCTTTATTAGTTTTTCAAACTGTCAGGCAGTGTTCCTATCCCATCCTTTCTCAGTTCAGTTCCTCCCTTCCTTCTCACCGTACACAGCTACTTAGTTTCTATCATAAACATGAATTCTCATCCTACATTAGAGTTTTTTAAGAACAAAAACATAGAAAATGTTGAAATTTGTGTAATAGCTTCCTAACTAGCCTCCTTATACTCAAACCTGCTCTCCTGCAACCAGTGTTTTAATGAAAATCCTATCAGATCACTACTTCACATAAAATCCTTTAGAAGTTCTGCATCTATCTTTGGCATAAATACTAATGATCTTATCATGCCATCTTTGGTTACCAGTCTGGTCTAGCCCCCATCACTCATGGCTGATGCTATTTCATTAGGTTTCTAAGTTGGCATCCAGGTTTCTCAATTGCTCTGCAGTGTAGATGGTCCACACAGTAGCCACTGTGAGTCTCTGATTAAAGCCTCCAGCGGTTTCTCATCTCTCTATGATTCATGGCTTCACCTCCTACTACTCTATCCTTGTTCCAGCCACAGCTTCCTCCCACTTCCCCTAAAATGCCCAGCTCTCAGGCCTAAGGTCTTTTGTACTGATCAATTCTCTGCCTTGAAACAGTTTTCCACAAGCATCCTCATGACTTACTTAGTCCTTTACTTTGTTTGCCTTTCTGCTTAAATATCTCATTATGCACAAGGACTTTACTCTCCATCTTATATAAAATAACAGTATCTCTCATCTCAATCTGGTACTCCCTCTATCCTTACCTGCTTTATTTTTCTGTCATGCATTTATTCCAACCAACCAAATAGTTTTTACACACATAGTGTTTGTATGTGTGTACATGATTCTATTTCTGCCCCTTCCATAAGAGCAGAAACATTTTCTTCCTGGTAAGTTGTAGGTGCTCAACAGATATTTTAGTAGGACGAAGATACTACAAAGTATGGTTCCTCTTTTCCCTTCTGACTTACTTATACTTAACATTTATTTACACGTGCCTAAAACTAGTTTTTCTGAGTTTTCTGAGTACCATAAAAATTCGCAGCACTCTTGCATCTAGAACAAGCATGACATATATTGTAAGTCCCACATGTGCCAGGGCCATTGCAGCCACATCCTGCAGTCTGTCACCAATTCTTATCATGAAACCTGGAATGTTTGAGGTCCTCAATATTTCTTGATGAACAGACTGCATTTTGCTGAAAATATTGTTGAATAATTTATGATACATTGTTATATAAAATGAGTTAACTCATGAGTTTTGGAGTAGGTTCCATATTCTCTCTAGTCTTCACATATTTCTGAGGTATACAAACTTGATTGTGGACTTTTCAATCACCTAGAACATATTTGCATAATAAAATGAATGGTAGAACATCTCTTTATCTTCATAGGACATAAAAAATACTATTGAATGACATATATCACAACAGTGTAGAACATGCATGATTCATTCATTCAATAAATTTCAACTGAGTGCCTTTTATATGCCCGGCAATATTCTAGTCGCAGAAACAATAGTGAGTAAAACAGACACAATCCTTGTTCTTTTGAAGTTTATATTCTGGAATAGGGAGGTAAAAATAAAGAGCTAGCTATTGTTCATATGGGATAAGTCTATAAAGAAGAAGAAAGCAAGACTGGGGGATAGACAGTGGGATCAGGAAGGATGTAGCAGAAGATGTTATTGTACATGCTGTAACAACAGTGGACTGTGTTCAAATTTTAAGGCATTGTTTTGGTCAGGTAAAAGGTAAGATTATGTAGAAAAGCTGGGGAGTACTCCCCTCCTTAAAGAGTCCAAAGGGTTGATTCATACATGAATCATTTTTACAGCAAACATCTGAAAATATATTTGCTGTATACTTTTAAGTGTTAATGGGTTATGCTAAATTTCCTACGTATCAGGGCCCAATAAGAAGTTCTGCGTTTTAGATCATGAAGAGCCAAACCCATCGGTATTAGTTAGGGTTCTTCAGCAAACAGAACCAATAAGATATATGCAGACACATTAAGGGGAATTTAATATGGGGAATGGCTCATGTGAGTATGGAAGCTGGAAAGTCCCATGATATGCCATTTGAAAACTGAAGAACCAGGAAATCTGGTGTAATTCAGTCTGAGTTTAAAGGCCAGAGGACCAGGGGCTAGGGAGTGGTCACTGGTATAAGTCCTGAAGTCTGAAGGCCTGAGGACCAACAGCAACCATGTCCTAGGGCAGGAAAAGATGAATGTCCCAGCTCAAGCAGAGACAGCAAATTTGCCATATTTTTTTCCAGAATGGGAAAAACATCTTTGTAAACTATTCACCTGACAAGAGATTAATAACCAGAATATATACGTCACTCAAACAATTCAATATGAAAACAAACAAACAAGCAAACATTAAACACCCCACAAATAATCCAATTAAAAACTGGGCAAAATATCTCAATAGACATTTCTAAATAGAAGACAAACAAATGGCCAACAGGTATATGAGGAAATACTCAACATCACTAATTACTGGGGAAATGCAAATGAAAACCGTCATAAGATATCATCCTACTCTGGTTAAATAGCTATTTAAAAAAGACAAAAAATAAGTGCTAGCAAAGATGCAGAGAAAGGAGGAAAGTGTACACTGTTGGTGGGAATATAAAGTAGTACAGCCGCTGTGGAAAATTGTATGGAAGTTTCTCAAAAAACTGAAAATAGAACTATCATATGATCCAGCAATTCCACTGCTGCATGTATATATATACATATGTACACACACACATAGTGTATATATATATACACACACACATATATATAAACACACATATAGTATATATATATATATATATATATACACACACACACATATAGTATATATATAAGGCCATTTTCATGCTGTTGATAAAGACATACATGAGACTGGGAAGAAACAGAGATTTAATGGAGTTACACTTCCACATGGCTGGGGAGGCCTCATAATCATGGCAGAAGGCAAGGAAGAGCAAGTCATGTCTTACATGGATGGCAGCAGGCAAAGAGAGAGCTTGTGCAGAAAAATTTCAATTTTTAAAACCATCAGATCCTGTGAGACCCATTCACTATCATGAGAACAGCATGGGAAAGACCCACCCTATGATTCAATAATCTCCCACCGGGTCCATCCCATAACATGGGAGAATTATGGAAGCTACAAGATAAGATTTGGGTGGGGACACATAACCAAACCATATCATTCCACCCCAGGCCCCTCCCAAATCACATATATTCAGATTTCAAAATGAAATATGCCTTCCCAACAGTCCTCCAAAGTCTCAACTCATTTCAGCATTAACTCAAAAGTCCACCGTCCAAAGTCTTATCTGGGACAAGGCAAGTCACTTCTGCCTTTGAGCCTTAAAATAAAAAACATGTTAGTTATTTCCTAGATATAATGGGGGTACAGGCATTGGGTAAATACAGCCATTCCAAATGGAAGAAATTGGCCAAAATAAAGAGGCTACAGGCCCCATGCAAGTCTGAAATCCAGCAAGGCTGTCAAATCTGAAATCTCCAAAATGATCTCCTTTGACTGCATGTCTCATATCCAGGTCATGCTGATGTAAGAGGTGGGTTCTCATGGTCTTGGGCAGCTCTGATCCTGTGGCTTTGCAGGGTACAGCCTCCCTCCCTCCTGGCTGCCTTCATGGGCTGGCGGTGAGTATCTGTGACTTTTCCATGCACATAAAGCAAACTGTCAGTGGATCTACCATTCTGGTGTCTGAAGGATGGCGGCCTCCTTCTCATAGCTCCACTCGGCAGTGCCCCAGTAGGGACTCTGTTTGGGGTCTACACTCCCACATTTCCCTTCTGCACTGCCCTAGCAGAGGTTCTCCCTGAGGGCTCTAGCCCTGCAGCAGACTTCTGCCTGGACACATCCAGGCATTTCCATACATCCTCTGAAATCTAGGTGGAGGTTCCCAAACTTCAATTCTTGACTTTTGTGTATCTGCAAGCTCAACACCACATGGAAGCTGCCGAGGCTTGGGGCTTGTACCCTCTGAGGCCATGGCCTGAGCTGTATCTTGGCCCCATTTAGTCATGGTTGGAGCAGCTGGGGCACAGGGCACACAGCACCGGGACACTGGGCCCATCCCACAAAACCATTTATTCTTCCTGGGCTTCTAGGCCTGTGACGGGAGAGGCTGCTGTGAAGACCTCCGACATGCCCTGGAGACATTTTCCCCATTGTCTTGGGGACTAACATTTGGCTTCTCATTAGTTATACAAATTTCTGCAGTTGGCTTGAATTTCTGCCCAGAAAATGGGATTTTCTTTTCCATCACATTGTCAGGCTGCAAATTTATCTAACTTTCATGCTCTCTTTCCCTTTTAAAGCTGGGGTGACCCAAGTCACCTCTTGAATGCTTTGCTGTTTATAAATTGCTTCTGCCAGATACTCTAAATCATCTCTCTCAAGTTCAAAGTTCCACAAATCTCTAGGGCAAGGGCAAAATGCCACCAGGTTCTTTAATAAAACATAACAAGAGTCACTTTTGCTCCACTTTCCAACAAGTTCCTCATCTCCATCTGAGACCACCTCAGGCTGGATTTCATTGTCCACATCATTATCAGCATTTTGGTCAAAGCCACTCAACAAGTCTCCAGGGAGTTCCCAACTTTTCCACATTTTCCTATCTTCTTCTGAGCCCTCTAAACTTTTTCAACCTCTGCCCATTACACAGTTCTAAAGTCACTTCCACATTTTTGGGTATCTTTTCATCAACACCCCACTCTAGTGATACCATTTTACTGTATTAGTCCATTTTCACACTGCTGACAAAGACATACCAAAGAATGGAAAGAAAAAGAGGTTTAATGGACTTACAGTTTCACATGGCTGGGGAGGCCTCACAATCATACCAGAAGGCAAGCAGGAGCAAGTCTCATCTTACATGGATGGTGGCAGGCAAAGAGAGAGCTTGTGCAGACAAACTCCCATTTTTAAAACCATTAGATCTCATGAGACCTATTCACTATCACGAGAACAGCATGGGAAAGACCCACCCCATGATTCAGTCATCTCCCACTGGGTCCTTCCCACAACATGTAGGAATTATGGGAACTACAAGATGAGATTTGGGTGGGCACCCAGGGCCAAACCATATCATCTAAAATATACATATACATATACATATACATATACATATACATATACATATACATATCCTAAAGGAAGGAAATATTTATATCCTAAAGAAATATTTATATCAAAGAGATATATTGCCTCTAATGTTTATTGCAGCATTATTCACAATAGCCAAAATGTAGAATAAACCTAAGTCTCCGCCAAAAGATGAATGGATAAAGAAATTGGGTATAAATACACAATGGAATATTACTCAGCCAGTTTTCTTTTGATTAGTGTTAACATGGTGAGTCTTCTCCATCTCCATATTTTTAACCTACTGGAGTCTTTACATAAAGTGGGCTTTTTGTAGACAACATATAGTTGGGTCTTTTTTTAAATTTATTTGAATTGGTATAAATTCTGTCTTTTAATACATGTGCAGTATTTCGACCATATACATTTAAAGAGATTATTGATATACTTAGTTTAATATCTACCATATTTGTAAATGTTTTCCATTTATCTATTCTTTGCTTCATGTTTCTCTAAAGCCCCATTTTTCTGCCTTATCTGGTTTTAATTGAACACATACAATTTCATTTTATCTGCTCTCTTATATTTCAATTACATTTATTCAAAAAAAAGTTTTAGTGATTGCCTTAGAATTTACAATATACATTTTGAACTAATCTAAGACCACCTTCAAATATGTTACTTCATATATAGTGGAAGAATCTTGGAGCCTTCCTAGTTCCTCCCTCTTAATACTTGTGACATTTCCTTGGAGTCTACTGATGCCTATCAAAGGCATTCTTCATCTTTGTTGTGGTGCTTTAACTTCTAGCATTTCCTTTGAATATTTTCATAGAATTTTCATCTCTCTGTATTTTTTACCCATCCATTGTTACTTGTATAGTTTCTCTAGTAGAGACTTTTACATATTACTTATATGTCAGTTCCTGTCTGATAATTTCAACATGTGTGTAATATCTCAGTCTGCTTTTAATGATTGCTTTGTCTGCTCAGACTGTCTTTTCTCTTGTCTTGTGGCATGGCCTGCAATTTTTTGTTGAACGCTGGACATTTTGTATTGGGTAATACAAATTTGGGGGAATAGGCCTTTAGTGTGAGAATTTATGTTTATATGTCTAGGAGTTGGGCTGCATTTAATGTTTGCCATACCTGTAGATGACAGAGCCTTCAAATTCTTCTAATTTCCTTGTTTTTGTCTCCTCCTTGACTTTAAGCTTCCTAAGTACTCTTTTATAGAAAGAGTCAGTGTGGTGAAGCTCTTCATCTATAACTCATTGTTATTATACGTCCATTGGTATGGTGGTTATGTGTAAAAGAAAAAGAGTGTTCTAAATTCTCCCAGTTAATTCTCAATCTCTTATTAATCCTATGTCTTCCGGTTTGCAACCTTCGTAAGTGACCCTTTGGTACTATAGCTCTTTGTCCTGCTGCCCGCTACTCCCTTTCCTGGCTGCAGCATTCCTAAGATATTTTCTTGAAGCCTGACCCCTGTTGACTATATTTTATTCTCTTTAAGTTAGAAAAGAAGCTCAAGGTGGCTGAAGTGGGAGGAATGTTCTTCCACCCGCTGGATAAGGCTCTAGAAAAGTCCTTTTCCTAGAAAGTAGGACTATCTTATGGAGAAGCCCCTAGGTGTATTTAACAATGATTATTTGTGTTAAACCTCATCCTATCAGAGCCATAAGGGGATTCTTCTTGGGTCTTTACCATGAGAACCTGGAAAAGAGCCCACAAAAATGTGGGGGTCCTCCCTAAGATTAGGGAGCCCAGGAGTTTCTTTTTTCTTTCTTTTTTTTTTTTTTTCGAGAGGGAGTCTCGCTCTGTCCCCTAGGCTGGAGTGCAGTGGCGCGATCTCAGCTCACTGCAACCTCCGTCTCTCAGGTTCTAGTGATTATCCTTCCTCAGCCTCCAGAGGAGCTGGGATTACAGGCGCCTGCCACCACGCCCGGCTAATTTTTATATTTTTAGTAGAGACAGAGTTTCACTATGTTGGCCAGGCTGGTCTTGAAACCCCAACCTCATGATCCACCCACCTCGGCCTCCTAAAGCGTTGGGATTATAGGCGTGAGCCACCATACCGAGCCTAGGAATTTCTTACTTTCATGCTAGTTCATACTCAGCTTCTAGTAATTGCCAAAATCATTATTTAATTAACCCTACTGGTTTATAGTTCCAGTGGCTTCAAGGTCAGGCAAGTAGCTGTGTGTTTCTGAATGTGCCTTTCTCTCCAAATTTTATGGAAGCAGATAACCTGCAACCTCAATTCTCTGATAGACCAAAAAATTTTGATTTTAAGTTGTCCAGCATTTTCTTATTGAAGGACAGAAGTCAGGGCTTCCAAGCATGTTAAATTTTGGACCTGAAACCATAAACACAAACATATGTTTTAACCTAGCTAAAGATGAATTTCCAACAACCTTATTATCTGTTCATAAGTATATAGAAATTAGAAGAAAAATTGTGATCAGAATAGACTGATACAGTAAAGATTAAGATAAGGCAACAATTGAGCATGCATTGGAAAGAAGTCAAGGAGGAAACCATATGGATATTTCAGGAAAAACATTCCAATCAAAGAAAACCTGAGGCAGTCATATGCTTCGTGTATTTGAAAGGCCGAAAGGAAGACAGTGTTTGCATGGAGGGGGATAAGGTATGAGATAGCAGAGAAATATCTGATAGGCCATGTGGAGGACTTTGGATGTACCGAGAATGAAATGGACAACTCTTTGAATATTTTATGCAGAAGAGTGACACTATTTGATTAAGAATTTAGAAGAATGGTTCTTAATATTCTATAAAGAATAACTATAGGGAGATTAGGTAAAAGGCTAGTTCAGGCGGAATGCTCTAGTAGTTGAGGTAGGTTTAAAAAAAGACCAGATTCTGGATAGATTATGAGTGTACAGTAGAGACTTTTTTTTTTTTTAAATGGATTTGATTAGGTTGTGAGAGAAAAAGCAGAGTCAAGAATGATTCCAAGGTGTTTGGCCTGAACAACTAGAAAAAAAATTGTGTTGGCATTTATTGAGGGCAGTGCACCTTCAAAGGGAAAATCAAAAGTTCCAATTTAAACTACTTAATTTGATGTACCTATCAGAAAACCATGTACTAAAATTTTATATGTGAAGTGGGCATGTTATGTGTAACTAAAATTTAGATACAATATTATGGTGAAAGATATAAAATTTGGTTTCATCGGGGAGAGGGTAGATAAACAGGTCTGAGGTTTTAACATTAGGAATCCCAGCCTTCAGGGTGCAGCAGACAAAGATACCCTAGCGAAGAAGAGTTTGGAGGAGCAGCTCATGAAGTAGGGGGATTAAAAAGAGACTCAACTCAAAATCCTAATGATGTATTTCATGAATAAAGTAGTGATTGGCTGTATCACAGATGCTGAAAGGTTAAGTTAGATTATCATAGACATCAGCATGCCGGAAGTCACTGGTAATACTGACATAAACAATGTCTGTGGAGTGATGCAGACCAAGCCTGGCTGCACTAGGCTCCAGAGATAAACTGTTGGAGAAGAGGGGATGACAGTGAGGATACATAACTACCAGGAGCAATGATCTAAAGAGGAGACAAAATAGAGAAGTGGCTGCAGGAGGCTGTGATGCCAAAAGAAGAAAATTTTAAAGATAGTATCCATTGTACCCTGTCTAAATCACAATAAAAATTGCCAATAGACGGATTAATTGATGATGCCAGAAAGAGAGAGAGAATTATAGGAATAATGACCTTGAGGAGATGAGAGGGTCTGAGATCAGAGCTCCCACGCAGAGGGATGCCTGACAGAAACACAGGCAAATCTTTTACATTGTAAAAAGAGGGGTGGGGAATTGTGTAGGTGCACCTGTAACTGTATTTGTATGTCTGTTGTTAAGTATATCTGTTGTTGGGAGTTTCTAGGTTCTCTTTTGATTGATTCTTTTCTCTTCTGATAGAAAATCAAACTCAATGTAAGTATAAGAAAAATAAGGAAGGAAAGAAAAATGTAATAATAAAAGAAAAATAAATAATATAAAACAAAGTTAAAATTATCTAAAAAGATAATGAAAATAATATACTATTGTAATATTAATCAATAAAAGATGGTTTTCTAGCATCGGGGGAAGGAGATATTGCTACATATCTTTAAAAGGAAAATAAGGGGATTTTATGTTTTTTTTCATATACTATTCAAAAGTGGCTCAAGAGGACATACAAAAATTTGAGTGCATATGTGTATTTTATATATATATACACACACACACACATATCTGTGCATATAAATATCAGGAAATATATATAATATGTATATTTCCTCAGAATTTATATATACTCAGATATATAAAATCTAAGTGTGTATATACATATATAATAAGCTATACAGTGTTGAAGAAGAATAGCATAAACAAATTTTTCATACCAGATACTGACTTAATAAATAGTGGTAACAATTAAAGTATGGTACTAGTAGAGTATATGGAAACAAATGATTTAAAATAAAAAACCCAGTAATATACGTGGTCACTTATGTGACAGAAGAGGCAATAGAACTGGTAGGAAAAAATAAACTATTGAATAAATGTTGTTGGGACAACTGGTTATTCATATTTAAAGAATAAAGATACAACAACTTTATTCCATGTACAAAAATTACCTCCAGGGTGTAAAAAAGTATTAATTATGATAGCAACAATTTAAAATATTTAGGAAAAATATGAGATAACACAAAAAGAAACAAAATATTTGATTACATGAAATTTGTCCTTTAAAAGTTAACATAATGAAAATACCAGTTATATATCCTTCTTAAGAAGAGATCTAATATCTATAAATCATTCCACAATGCAAAATGAGCCAAAGATATGAGCTGATATGCAACTAACAGACGTGGAGTCTTTAAAGGGGTGTGTGTGTGTGTGTGTGTGTGTGTGTGTGTCTGTCTGTCTGTCTGTGAGAGAGAGAGAAAGTGAGAGAAAGAGAGAGAGAAAGTAAGAAAAAAGTGCTTAACATCACTAGTAAGTAGGTTTATGTACATTAAGGCATCAACTTAATACCATTTGACTCAGTATCATGTTGGTAATTATAAGGAAGAAAAACAACTCAAACACTGATGATGAAATAAAGTCCATACTCTGCAAGAATAAATGACAATATCTAGAAAAGTTGAAGATCTTACCTCCCTTAAAATTCAGTAATCAGAGTATGTAAAAAATGTTAATTGCAGCATTGTTTATCTATGAAAAGTAAAAGAAATACCTTACATGGCAGTCAACAGAAAAATGAATTAATTATACTGTATTATGTATGAAATTTCTGTCCATTGTTAAAATTAGACAAAATACAACTACTTGTGTCATAATAGCTAAATTTCAAAGACATAAAATGCATTAATAAAAGAATGTGTAAAATGATTCAACAATATGAAACATGTTTAAAGCCATGCAAAATATTTGTGGTTTTGTATATATGTAGTAAAATTATTTTTGAAAATATTTATTTCCAGTAACAAACATCAAATTTAGAGAAAGCAGAAAAAATAAAATTTTGTTTCCTCTGTAATATTTACCTAAGTTGTTTGTGGAATATATATTTTAAAACTATTATTTTTATATAACCTATATTTTTGAATACCCGAAATACAGACACAAATCTGCTTATATTGTTTTACTTTTGTGTTCTGTTTAGAAAAAAGAAATGCTGTAAGAAATTTTTGAGTGTATTTGTGTTTTCCACTGACACACTTTCATGACTATGACAATACTAAAGCTGATAATCTACGTTGTTCATTATAGCAAAACTTATTTAGCTTCTTTACTGGATTACTATGAATGCATACTTATTTCTGTAAATACCTTTTATATTTGTTTTCTCTGTGTCTATAAAATAATTTATGCTGAAATTGATAGTAAAGGGATGCGTGAGACGGCAAAACCCAGTTATTTTAGAATTCACTATATCATTTCTTAGGGATTCTATTCTGTTGATTTTCCCTCTGTTTTCTGTGTTATAATTATGTAAAACACATTAAAAGAATGTTTGACAACTGGTGCCTTTCATAGCGGGTGAGGTAGAAGTTAGTATTTTCAGATGAGCAGAGAATGCACCTGTTTTTGTTCACCACAATGTCTGTAATACTTAACACAGTGTCTGGCATATAGTAAAGATCCCAATAAATGCTGTTTGAAATAAAACACAGCACAAAAAAAACAAAAAACAAAAACAGAAGTGCATAAATTTCAAATTTCAAAAACAAAAATTGCATAAATGTTACTAAAATAAGTAAATCTAATAATAATGTACATAATTTTATAGCTTGTTATGGTTTTCATATTTTTAAATATAGATTTCATATGAAATACCACCAATATTTAAGATGGAGGATTAGTGTCCCATGAAAAGACATAGAAATATTTCACCCAGGGAAACAAGTGACTTCTTCAAGGTAGATACCAACTAAGAGGTAGAGGTGAGATTTGCATCCATGCCTTCATTCTTAATCAATAGCCATATCTTCTTATCAAAGTTAGTTTTGGAGATAAAAACAACTTTTGAGTATGTCTGTTCCAACCACCTCATTGGGAAATAGGAGATATGTGATCTAGAGATTAATCTTCTCAAGGTTGTATAGCTTGGGGATGTGAGATTTGGGACCAGAATCACAGTCCTTGGGTTGTTGTCATTTTAATTCTCCAAAAATATTCAAAGAGAAAGTATTAAACATATGTCACATAAACAAATATAAATTTTTGTGTACTCAGAATATTTTCTGATTATTGTATCTATATAATTCAGTTGTTCTAGAATTTTTAATATATCTTAAACACACAACTACATGAAAACTTAATTAAATCATCAACACCAATTTATAATTAAATTATATCAAACGTGAACTTAAGTGTGGTCAATTTCAAAAATAAGATGAATTTAGGACTCAAAAATATTGACATTTTAGGCAGATTTCTGGAAGGGACACACTTCAGTATAAAAATGTCAATGTGTATAGATCTTAAATTCTTTTTGGCTTTGAATTCATATAAAATCAAATGCCTCATTGTGGATAACTTATTTTTATGTTGGCCATGGAATAATGATAATAAAATTACCATTTACATTTAGATAATACAGAATTTTTAAAGCAAAATTTAAATTTTAATATAGCTCTGTGCCAGTAGCTGTTTTGTCAGTTGAAGAATCTGAATCCAAAAATTATACATGAAACTTAGAGCTTGGTTCTCCTGTCTCCCAGTCTAATAGTTTGTAACTATGATAAAAGACATAATTTCCTCATGTTAACTCCTAAACATATGGCAATACATGGACATAAACAAGAACATCATGAGTTGATAGAGTACTTGAAGCTAAATTTAGCAATTAACACATTCAATATTTTCCATGTACTATCACTGATCCAAGAATTTTACATTGATTATTTTATTCAATTATCAAAGCAACTTGAATAGTTAATGATGACTATTATCCAACTTATGTAAGAAAAAAATGAGATTTAGCAAGGTTGTTACTTGCAAAATGTTGAATACTCAGAAAGTAACAGAGCTGAGATTTGAGTGCAGAGGTAGTCTAGCTCTTGCACTCTTCTGCCTATATTAAAGAAGTGAGGAAAAAAATATAGGTGGAAGAGTTCAGAAAGGATAGATTGTACTTTGTTGATTTTATAGTCAAAAAGCCTGACAAAGTTTAAGGATATATAATATACCAGAATATATGCATTACAGATTTAATCCTTTTATACTTGTTTTATGCTGTGAGTATACACTTATCCTCTGGTTCACATAGAGCAATTTATTACATGTGCTCCATTGCTCACAAAGATAATAAACGTAGAAGAGGATAGGCTTTCAATAAAATTAGCAAGGGAGGTTCCTCTCCATAACATAGCATCTTGGCTCAAAAAATCTGGAGCCAAATAGCCTAGATTCAGATCCTAGCTCAAAACAATTACTAACTGTGTTACCTTGGTTAAATTTCTTAAGGTATTCCCCCAATACCTTAAGGTATTGGGGCTTACGGTATTGAGGCTTAAGGTATTACTTGGAGCCTCAGTTTTTTCTTCTGAAAAATGGGGATAAAAACACTTTCTATCTCATAGGATTGTAGCAAAGATTAAATGAGTTACCTTAGGGTAGTGTTAAGTCCACAGTACAAAACCATTAAAATTGCTAGAGGTCTTTAAAAAGTACTTGTATTAGTTAGCTTAGGTTGCAATAACAAAATAGTATAGACCAAATGGTTTGAACAAGAATTTATTTCTCACAGTTCTGGAGGCTGGAAAGTCCAAGATCATGCTATGGTGTTGGCCAATTAAGTTCCTGATGAGGGCTCTCTTTCTGGTTTGCTGATGGTCACCTTCTGGCTGTGTCCTCATATGGCAGAGAGGGAGTGAGTGAGAGAGAGATAGAGAGAGAAAGAGAGGGAGCAAAAGAGAGAGAGACAGAGAGGGGGTGAGAGAAAGAGAGAGAGAGAGTGAGAGAGAGAGAGAGAGAGAGAGGGAGAAGGTCTCTGGTGTCTCTTCTTATAAGGACACTAACCCCCAAATGAGGGCCCCATCCTCATGACCTCATCTAACCCTAATTAGCTCCCAAAGACCCCATCTTTAAACTCCATCATATTAGGGGCTAGTGGTTCCACATATGAATTTTAGGAGAACAGAATTCTATTAATAGCACTATTATTTATTACTTATGTGCCAGGCACTTGACAAATATCATCTAATTTTATCATCACATTAATCATGTGATGTTGGGCATTATTATTCCTGTTTTATACAGGAGGAACTTGGGCCAAGGTAGTCTGAAGGGATAGGGCCTGGTCACTACATCCTCCTCACTGAGGGAGCCCAGTGATGTAGTGTACTTTGGCGTCATTACCCACTGTTGTTTCCTTAAAACCATGTATATATCCCTCTATTAACAGCCTCTCAAATTACAGCATGGAATTGTCCTACTTTCCTGTTGGGATTCTGACTGATATAGTAATTGGGGGAAGAACAAGCCAGGAAACTTACCCTCAAAGTGGGATTCTGGGAGTGGGTGCCTCACATGTTTGAAGAGCTAGCAGATAGCCTCCCTACTGGAAGGAGACAGGGCCAGCATAATACAATGCATCTGGTGGCATCTCCATTTCCCAGATTCTCATCTGTGCTGGCACAGGGCAATGTGCAGGTGCAGCTGGAGGGTCAGATATCAAGACAGCTAATGGCAGTGACACTTAGTCACTATGGTGACTATACAATGGGAAAGATAGTAATCTGACTTCTAATGGAGCCAGACAGCAGACAGGAAACAGAGGAAATAAAAGCTGTTTGTGTCTAATAGAGAAAGCAAGAGGATAATCGGAAACTCATGTTGTTGACTTTGAAGAAGTCCCTCATCTCTGATATCTGCAAGACATACATGCCTACGGATCAAACCAAGAACCTGAGTATAAGGGTGGAAGAGCCAATTAAATCGTCAAACCCCACACTTGCGGAGAGAAGTGGGATGCTAATATCTGCTAAGAAGACAGATAGACAGTAACTGAGGACTCATCCTCCAAACCCTCTGAATCTCCCTCGATGAGAGGCAGATCCTCCGTACCCTGTCTGGGGAACCAGCTTCCTCTACATAAAGTGGACTCAGTAAATGTACCTGGGTCAGATTCTTTATATGGGGTGCCTGGTATATTGACTCCTCTTCTACTACTTGTCATTGCCACCAGGTTCATAGCTAGAATTATATCCCAGTGCATGAATAATAGACAGTATAAGGCCTGCCCCAAGAAGAGAACACATGAAACAGGAAAAGATATTTATTGCCATTATGCATTGCCATGATTACTCTTCACTGTCTAGTTTAAAGATAGTAACTGAGAATGGCACATGGATTCTCTGACCTCTGGAATATAAGCTATTATGAAGGAAAAGAAGAAGTTCTGGAACGAGTGTTCATGCTCCATCAAGGCAATAAGCCCAAAGCAATACCATGTCTCTGAGGGAAATGATGAAATTAGTGTCATTTTCAAAGGCTTCACAGATGCAGGGTTGCACTTCCTACCAAATCCCAATTTAAACTGCTTCTTTGGTTATGGCAAAAGCCAGATGGATCAGGAAGAAGGACAGGAAATTATTGTAACTTAATCAGATGGTGTTATCAATTTTAGCTGGATTTCTGGATGTGTTGTCTCTATTCTTACAAATCAGCACAGCCTCCGGCACCTGTTATTTTGCTCTTGATCTAGCAGATGCTCTTCCTCCATTGTTTTCAGTAGAAAGCAATTTGCTTCTAAAAGAGAGAGGAGTATACCTTAACTGAACAGCCTCAGAGCTGGGTCAGTCCTTCTGGTCCAGTCATAATAAAGTCCAGAAATATCTAGATTATTTTGAAATACCACTGAACAGTAAACTTAAAAAAAATTCATTAAGCTAATTGGACCCGTAAGTAGGAAATAGCAAGCGTGGTAGATAGTTTAGAAAGACACATGCCAGGGTCTACGAGATTAATCCTGCAAAGTGTCAGGGATTTGCCTCTTTGGTAAAGTTTCTAGGAATTTACTGGTTTTAGACACATCAGGTATCTTTTCAAGGCAAGAGACAAATCACCATGGTACATTCACACCCAGCAGGCCATATCTACAAGATAACCCAGTAGGTTGAGTGGGAAAGGGTTCCATAGTCCGAAGAATATAGCTGTCCTGATAATTGGGCCAGAGGACATCACACACTTAATGCTATTGGCACTGACTATGGAAGAGATGCAGTATAGAACACCTGTCATACCCCAATCCTCCCAATAGAAGGATAATAAAAACATCTTGACTTGCTACTGAGCATTGGTGGAGCTTCAGCAGCTGACCATGGGATACCAAGAAACTATGCCACTTTATGACAATTCAGGTCACAGATGCCAAGACAAGGTTTAAAATGCAGACTTGCTGGGAGAAATACTTGTAAGGGATAGGGAATGGGGGAAGCTGTGAGTCGGAGTAACTGGGAAGAGCATTCATTCAGATCACAATAAAGATGTGATAAGTGAAAAGAGAGAGGGGAGGCAGGAGCATTGAATAGAATAGTTCCAGATTGCAGTGCAATTCTGAGAAAGTTTTTTTCCCAGGCTGTTGGGAGGTCCAGGGCAAAAATTCACTATTAGTGTCCAGCACTGAGCAGAAATGACTCAACTCTAGTATTCCTGCTGTGCCCAGGCATCCACTAGGAGCAGCCCAGAGTCAGCAGGGCCTTGATGTTGATGCTGAAGCAGATCCTAAGGTGTGGCAAGAAGGGCTGTCAGTTGACGGCATACCTCACATCAGCATCTGGGGGAGATCTGAGGGCACACCACCCCCACCCACACTTCCTTTCATGAATTGATGTTTATATTGTTTCTCAAAACATGCACCTTCCATTATAAACTGGAAATGGTGAACATGAGATGGGCTCCTAACAGGTCTGGAAGGCTCAAGTAAACTTTAAGAGCAGGTGGCTCAGATATTCATGGTAATTAATCACCCTGTTTCAGCTTTGAGGGGGTTCCTATAACCTGATAATGGTCGACTAAAGACATTTCATGGTAAACTGGTGCCAGTTAAAACTGAGAGGCTGTGGAATTATGGCCTCATTCAGATTGGTGCTATAAGACATTGATGAAGAGAATGCCACGGGCAGAAGTTTGGGTAGTGTATCAGCCCACTTTATGTGGAAAGAGAAATAGCCTGAGGCATGTGTTTACATTGATGTGTGGGCAGGAGTTAATTGTTTGGCTGGCTGGACAAAGACTTGGAAAGAATAAGATCTAAAAGCTAGTGACAAAGACATCTAAGAGAAAGATGAAAGGGGAATAGAGTATAAAAATATTTGCAACCCACACAAGATGCCTATCTGAGGATATTGACGCTTAAAAAAAGAAGAAATAAAGATGCCACTTACTAGGTGGACAAAATGACTTACTAGTGCATGGGAATCAACTTCTCTGCCTGGTCATCCAGGTGTTTCTCAATGGGCCCTTACACAAAATGGTCATGTTATCAGAGATGGTGATTTTGCATTGACTGAGCAATGCTACATTTTTGAAATCAAAATTTTATGGCAACTGCTGCTGCTGTGTTTTCTACCTGCTGAAGAATAAGTCTACCCTGAGTCTCTCTGTGAGAGGACCAATCATTTGGAGGAGAGCTTCATTACTTTGATGCCCATTGTGGCAGGCAGCCTCCAAAAAATGGCTCCTATGATCTTGCCTCTTGGAATTCATGACTTGTGTAATCTCTTCTTGAGAGTGTGCTGGGCATAGTGAATTGCTTCTAACTAATGGATTTACATGGTCAACTTCCACAGTAGATATGTATGGCATAATGATGAGATTAGGTTGTGGAAACACTCTGAATTCTCTTCTTTCTTTCTCTCTCTCTCTCTGCCCTTTCTCTGGGGGAAGGAAGTTGGAATCTACTACATCATGAATAGCCATATTCAGAGCTCACATGTTGAGAAACAGATATATCCCATCAATAGGCAGCTAGGACCTTCGTCCTACCAACAGCTACAAGCTTGAGCTTGGAAGAAGACTATCCTTCGACTGAGCCTAGAGATGATGCTTGATTGCAGCCTTGTGAGAATCCCTGAGTCAGAGGTCAGCCAGTTACCTGAAACTCTGATTCTTAACCCACAAAAACTGTAAGATAAAATAAATGTTTGAAACTGAAGCTAAATCTTGTATTTCAGTACATAGAAATGGATAACTTACAGATTTTGGTACTGGAAGTGTGGTGCTGCAATAGAGAATACCTAAATATACAGGAGTGGCTTTGCAACTTGGCAGTGGACAGAGGCTGGAAGGATTTAGAGAGGAGTGTTAGTGAAGGTCTTAGTTGCTTTGAGCTTGCAAGTAGATCTCCTAGGGTCTGCCAACAGCTTTATTGGTGATCAAAGAAGTGGATCTTCACCTGCAGTCTTGTTGACTGCAGCCCTGGCCAACCCCTGGTTGTAGCCTCCCCAGCCATTTGGAACTGTGAGTCAATTAAACTTTTTTATTTATAAATTACCTAGTCTCAGGTAGTTCCTTATAGCAGTGTGAAAATGGAATAATACAGAATATTGGTACTGCAGTTTGGGGCACGGCTATAAAGATGCCTGAAAATGTGGAAGTGACTTCAAAACTGGGTAATGGGCAGAGGTTGGAACAGTTTGGAGGGCTCAGAAGAAGACAGGAAGATGTGGGAAAGTTAGGAACTTCTTAGAGACTTGTTGAATGGTTTTGACCAAAATGCTGATAGTGATATGGACAATGAAGTCCAGGCTGAGGTGGTCTCAGATGTAAATGAGGAACTTATTGGGAACTAGAGTAAAAGTCACTCTTGCTGTGCTTTAGAGAAGAGACTGGTGACGTTTTGCCCCTGCCCTAGAGAATTGTGGAACTTTGGACTTGAGAGAGATGATTTAGATGGCAGAAGAAATTTCTAAGCAGCAAAGCATTCAAGATTTGACCTGGCTTTTTCTAAAAGCCTACAGTCATATGTGTTCACTAAGAGATAATATGAAATGTTTAAAAGGGAAGCAGAGAATAAAAGTATGGAAATTTTACAGCCTGACCATGTGGTGGAAAAGAAAAACTAATTTTCTGGGGAGAAATTCAAGCCACCAGCTGCAGAGATTTGCATAAGTAAAGGAAAGCTGAATGTTAATAGACAAGACAGTAGGGAAAGTGTCTCCAGGGCATTTCAGAGACCTTCACGGCAGCCCCTCCCATAACAGGCCTGGAGGCCTAGGAGGGAAAAATGGTTTTGTGGACCAGGCCCAGGACCCCATTCTGTGCAGCCTTACAACATGGTGCTGCTTCAGCTCTGCCATGGCTAAAAGGAGCCAACATAAAGCTCAGGCCATTGTTTCCTAGGATGCAAGACCCAAGCCTTGGTGGCTTCCACATGATGTTGGGCCTGCAGGCACACAAAAGACAGGAGTTGAAGTTTGGGAGTCTCTGCCTAGATTTCAGAGGATGTATGGAAATGCCTGGATGTCCAGGCAAAAGTACAGGATGGAGCCCTCATGGAGACCCTATACTAGGGCAATGCAGAGGGAAATGTAGGGTTGAAGTACCACCACACAGAGTTCCCACTGTGGCACTACCTAGTGGAGCTGTGAGAAGAGGGACACCATCCTCCAGACCCCAGAGTGTAGATCTACTGATAGCTTGCACTGTGTACCTGGAGAAGCTGAAGGCACCCAATGCCAGCCCATGAAAGCAGCTGTGGGAGGTGGACCCTGCAAAGCCACAGGGCCAGAGCTGCCCAAGACCTTAAGAGCCAGCCCCTTGCATCAGTGTGTCTTGGATGTGAGACCTGGAGTCAAAGGAGATTTATTTTGGGGCTTTAAGATTTAATGACTGCTCCGCTGGGTTTCAGACTTGCATGGAGTCTGTAGCCCCTTTGTTTTGTCCAATTTCTCCAATGTGGAACAGGAACATTTACCCAATGCCCGCACTCCCACTGTATCATGGAAGTAACTAACTTGTTTTTTATTTTACAGGCTCATAGACAGAAGAGACTCACCTTGTCTCACATGAGACCTTGGACTTGGACTTTTGCATTAATGCTGGAATGAGTTAAGTCTTTGGAGGACTGTTGAGAGGGGAAAATTGCATTTATCAATGTAAAAAGACATGACATTTGAGAGGGGCCAGGGTAGAATGATGTGGTTTGGCTCTGTGTCCTCACCCAAATCTCATGTCAAATTGTAATCTCCATGTGTCAAGGGAGGGAGCTGGTGGAAGGTGATTAGATCATGGGGGCAGTTACCCCCATGCTATTCACATGATAGTGAGTGAGTTTTCATGAGATCTGATGGTTTAAAAGTGTAGCACTTCCACCTTCACGCTCTCTTTCTCCTGCTGCCATGTAAGACATGCTTTGCTTCCTCTTTGCCTTCTGCCATTATTGTAAGTTTTCTGAGGCCTACCCAGCCATGTAGAACTGTGGGACAATTAAACTTATTTTCTTTATAAATTACCCAGGCTCAGGTAGCTCTTTATAGCAGTGTGAAAATGGAGTAACACAACCACCATGGTATCCTGCAATGTTGCTTCAAACAGAGGCTATGTTTTGTGTTATTGGGTTTATAACCACTGAACTCACTGGTATCTCCATGTTCCCATTTACCCAGGAGCAGTTCACTTGACCAAATGTGGCTCAGTTTGAATGTCAGCTTGGAGACGAAACTGTGTGATGTTAGAATACTGGTTCTATTGAGCTCCTTATGTGCTTGAACACCACCACTGATATTTGGGTTTTTCTTTGTCATAACCAGAGCACACAGATCAAATGAAAGTTGAAACTTCTCCCTGGCCATTTTAGGCTCTTCACATGGCTGACCCAGTAGAAAAGAAGATCATTCTATTGCCTGGGAGAGCTGATCTTGATTATTTGGGAGAAATTGGGTTGCTGCTATAGAGGAAGGAAAAAGAGGGCTATGTCTAGATTCTAGTTGGGATTCAATTTGGCACTTTTCAATAACCCCTTGGCTAAAGGTCCAGGTCAGGCAACAGATTTAGAAATTTAACTAGAGCATATTGCTTTCTAACTTAAATTTGCCAAAATGGCCAGTTAAGAGTAATTCAAAGAACAATTCAGGCACCCCATGCTGGATTGGAGGGCAAGGTCCAGCATATTTTTCTAGGAATGCAATATATTTTGGCTTACTTAAGGACAATCCCACATGTCCCCTTCTAAGGTTTATTCCTTACAGCCACTGGATTCAAAGCTCTGATGAGCCTTCTTGAGGTTGGAAGCATTGGTCAAAGTCACTAAAAGTCCTTACTTCAGAAATAACTAACACTTTGCTACAGTTTCACTAAAACCTGAAAATTCTGAAAAGATAGTTTGCTTACAACTTTTGCCAGGAAAGTCATTTGGCTAGAGCTTTGTCCCTTGCAGGTATGGGGCCTTCCCAAAGCTGTATTGGTTTTCAAAGCAAGGACAGATGACCATTGTCTTGGTATATTTGTACTGCTACTACAATATACCAGAGACTAGGTAATTTACAATGCATAGAAATTTATTTATTATGGTTCTGGAGGCTGGGAAGTCGAAGATCAAGGGAACAACAGGAATGGTATCTAGTGAGGGCTGCTTTCTGCTTCCAAGTTGATGCTTTTTGCTGCATCCTCTGGAGGGAGGAATGCTGTGTTCTCACATGACTTCTGTCTTCACATGGAAGAAGGGACGGAAGGGCAAGAGAGCACTCCTATCAACCTTCAGCCCTTTCACAAGGGTGCTAATCCTGTTCATGAGGTCAGGGCCCTCAGTGTCTTATTTACCTTCCGAAGGCCAGGTCTCTTAATACTGTTGCATTGGGAATTAAGTTTCAATGGGAATTTCAGAGGGAACACCATTATTGAAACCATAGCAATCATTCAATTTGTTCCCCCAGCCCCCCACCATGCTTCTTCAGTCTATGTGTGGGAGGGCAGTGGTGCAAGTCCACCATTGCAGCAACAGAATGGAAACAGGTTTCAGTGTTTGATACTTCAAATCCCACCCACCACCATGCTCCTTCACTTGCTCAATTCATTATGGGGCGGCCAAACACTTTGAACCCATGGTTTCCTTCCTCATGGTGATTTTATCATGCTGATCCCATTTCTTCTCAGCCACAAGGTCCATTCTGAAAGGTTTCAGTGACTTTGTATTTCACAAGTAAGGGATTCAAATTTTCTCTTCCCTGGGAGCCTGGGGTTTCTTATTCAAATATGCCTGCCCACTCCTAAGTGAACTTCCTCACCTTATGCCAATATCTTCTTCCTTAAAAGAAGACAAACTATTCTTAAGTCACAGACCATACTTCCCCAGATAATTCTGTGTTATTTGTCTTTTTAATATTGATTTTTTGTAGGTTGCCTGTTCACTCTGATGGTAGTTTCTTTTGCTGTGCAGAAGCTATTTAGTGTAATTAGATCCCATTTGTCAATTTTCACTTTTGTTTCCATTGCTTTTGGTGTTTTAGACATGAAGTCCTTGCCCATGCCTATGTCCTGAATGGTAATGCCTACGTTTTCTTCTAGGGTTTTTATGGTTTTAGGTCTAATGTTTAAGTCTTTAATCCATCTTGAATTAATTTTTGTATAAGGTGTAAGGAAGGGATCCAGTTTCAGCTTTCTACGTACGGCTAGCCAGTTTTCCCAGCACCATTTATTAAATAGGGAATCCTTTCCCCATTGCTTGTTTTTCTCAGGTTTGTCAAAGATCAGATAGTTGTAGATATGTGGCGTTATTTCTGAGGGCTCTGTTCTGTTCCATTGATCTATATCTCTGTTTTGGTACCAGTACCATGCTGTTGTGGTTACTGTAGCCTTGTAGTATAGTTTGAAGTCAGGTAGCCTGATGCCTCCAGCTTTGTTCCTTTGGCTTAGGATTGACTTGGCAATGCGGGCTCTTTTTGCAACCTACAAAATGGGAGAAAATTTTCACAACCTACTCATCTGACAAAGGGCTAATATCCAGAATCCACAATGAACTCAAACAAATTTACAAGAAAAAAACAAACAACCCCATCAAAAAGTGGGTGAAGGACATGAACAGACACTTCTCAAAAGAAGACATTTATGCAGCCGAAAAACACATGAAAAAATGCTCACCATCACTGGCCATCAGAGAAATGCAAATCAAAACCACAATGAGATACCATCTCACACCAGTTAGAATGGCAATCATTAAAGAGTCAGGAAACAATAGGTGCTGGAGAGGATGTGGAGAAATAGGAACACTTCTACACTGTTGGTGGGACTGTAAACTAGTTCAACCATTGTGGAAGTCAGTGTGGTGATTCCTCAGGGATCTAGAACTAGAATTACCATTTGACCCAGCCATCCCATTACTGGGTATATACCCAAAGGACTATAAATCATGCTGCTATAAAGACACATGCACACGTATGTTTATTGTGGCACTAGTCACAATAGCAAAGACTTGGAACCAAGCCAAATGTCCAACAATGATAGACTGGATTAAGAAAATGTGGCACATATACACCATGGAATACTATGCAGTCATAAAAAGTGATGAGTTCATGTCCTTTGTAGGGACATGGATGAAATTGGAAATCATCATTCTCCGTAAACTATCGCAAGGACAAAAAACCAAACACCGCATGTTCTCACTCATAGGTGGGAATTGAACAATGAGAACACATGGACACAGGAAGGGGAACATCACACTCTGGGGACTATTGTGGGTGGGGGGAGGGGAGAGGGATAGCATTAGGAGATATACCTAATGCTAAATGACGAGTTAATGTGTACAGCACAGCAGCATGGCACATGTATACATATGTAACTAACCTGCACATTGTGCACATGTACCCTAAAACTTAAAGTATAATAATAATAAAATAAAAAATAAACTAAAAAAATATTGATTTTTAAGGATAAAAGTATTGACATTTTTAACTATGCATTTTTTATTAGGAAATGCCGTATTATTCTCTAAGTAGGATTCTTTGATGCAGTGTTTGTGAAAGACAGATGGGGATCTAGCAAATTGCTCATAATCCATGAAGCAGTGGCTATTGAGCCGTAAAGACAAAATAATACCCATTACTATTAGTAGAAGTAGATTACAATTGACTACTTTAATATTGGTCAAACATATTTAATATACTATCAGCATCTGCAGAGTGATGCACTTATGTATTAAAATGCCATTGATCAAGGTGATAATTAGGTGTTGAAAAATTTAAGCATATTGTATTGTCAAAACCAAACAGTGATTTCATTAATGTTATAAGCTCTTAATTGTAGTGCCAGTGTTCTCTTTATGGAATCCTTATTAGTAAGGATAATTTGCCAATAACATGTCTTCCTACACGTATCAATCAGCAGTACCACTATTTCATAGATGTGAGCCTTTACAGAGATTAGTGAATAAATTTATACTAAGTCAAAAGGTACTTTTGGTATCAAACTCTTTTAGCACTGGGCTTGTGCTCATGGGGTGGTATGATAGCACACAACTGGTCTTTGTTGTTTGGCTACCTGCTTTGAATAATGGAAAGTGACAGCAAAGAACAGAGAACTAGCAATGGCTTCCCCTTAAAGACCTTCCTATGAACTATCTTTAAGTGTTGGTATTAGCTAATGGTCAATAATTAATAATACAAGCAAAAGTGTTTGCTTTAGAATCTTCTTCGTTGCTATTAGAGAAAAACAATGTGCTACTTGTGTTCTGTCCTAGATGGGAGAGGCATTCTTTAGAAAACAATTAAAATAAAATGCAAAAAAGCCTGAAGACTAGACTAAGTCTAGATGATGTGAGAGAGTGGATACTTACTTTTGTTGTGGAATGCAGAGAATAAGATGAGTCAATGCTATAAGATTGCTAGTCAGATTACTTACAGATTGAATTTCTAAATATGCCTAAATGCTGAGTCAAACTGTAGTGTATTTCCCTTTCCATGTACATTAGTGGTTCTCTTATTGGTCTGTTTTAAGTCTGATAACATCAGCCCTGGCTTGTAATCTTATTTTACTTTTGCCATTCAGCCTCAACAATAGTTATTAGTTAAATTTCTTTATGAATATTTTACATGTTGGCTTTTATTGAAAAATTCTAATTGACTATTAATATTATAAAATATTGAAATATGTGTGTGTATTTACAAAGCCTTTATCATATTTTTTAAAGCAAGCTTGTCCAACCTGCAGCCCACACACCACATACAACTCAGGAGGGCTTTGAATGCTGCCCACCACAAATTGGTAAACTTTCTTAAAACCTGGGATTTTTTTGGTGAGTTTTTTTTTAAAGCTCATCAACTATCATTAGTGTATTTTGTGTGTGTGGCCCAAGACAATTCTTCTTCTTCCAATGTGGCCCAGGGAAGCCAAAAGATTGAACACTCTTGTTTTAAAACCTTGGTCTTATAATTTTAAAAACCTTAATAATAATGGTTTGATATTTCTTAAATTATCCCCAATGAGAAACTTTGACAATGTTTATAAAATGTATTTTCAGATCATATGTGTGGGTGTCTGTGTGTATTTCAAACCATATATTTATATATTTTAAAATACATGTGTATAGGTAGATATAGATAATATAGATATAGAAAGCAAGTTTAGACATTATTTTTATGATCCCTACTGGGGGCAAAGCAGATTTGGGGAGAGTGAGATTTATCCAAATTTAGTATTGCAAGAGTCAACCTCAAGCCTTTGGTATGCATGGAGGTGCTCATTCAGAGATCTAAATCATCTGTTATTATGAAACTCTTTTTCTTATCTTTTTCAAGAAGAACTGGGAGAAGATTTATTTGGAAATAGTATAATTTGTAACAACAAAACATTTTGGAAGAAGATACTGTAACTTTCACAAGAAATGATTTGACTTTAGGAGAGAAGCTGAGTAACTTTAATGTAGATGGGACAATTAACTTTTCTTTGCATTCTACTTGGTCAACTGAGTGACCATCACAAACCAGCTTGTGACGGTTGGTGCAAAATTTTTTTTTCACTTGTATTATCTAATTCCCTGCCTTTCTTTATGAATTGCAACTAGCTAAGAACTAGTTTATAACAACTAGCTAAGAAAAACTAGCTAAGAAAAAAAATAAGCAATGATGCAATCAAGTATAGATTAATGTAATTAATTGCTACTTTCTCTGAATTTAAAAACAGAGCCACAGATAGTGTAATGGGACACAGAAAGCAATATATGACTTCTACTTTTTCATTGGATTGAATGAGTACAAAGAAAATTTTGTATGCTTTGAATTTATATAATTTTATATGTGAGATACAGCTAAAGAAAAAATGCTTTATTTTTCAAAATATATTGAGTTTTCTGTTAAGCAAGACTCTAAAATTTAAGAAAATTATCCAAATGTTACTATGCTTGTGAATATTTATATCCACATCCTCTCATAAGCACTTGGTTATTCTTAATCTTGTTATCTGGAGGCTTTGATATTATACAGCAATAAAATATTGTATGCACCTGAGAAATTATAATAATAATAGTCTTCAGTGCAAGCATTCATGAGACTTATATTTTGGGTAAATTACACTAACTTAGAGAAAGAAAGTTGCAGAGATATAAATTATTCAAATGTTAATTAAATTTTTCTTAGTTTATCATCTGTCTTTGGAAATGGAAGCAATATTTATCATTATTCTCTTTACCTCACATACTAATTTGGACATGGGCCATATGAATCAGTTAACTATGAAACTGTTTTATTTAAAGAAAGCTAAATATGAATTATTTTGGAAAATGAAGAACTTTATTTTAAATGTGAAAAATTAGATCTAAATATATTAATTAAAACCCTTTGAAATTTAAAGTATTAGATTTCTTAAAATAGAGAGTTTTTTTAATTTAACAATTGCTTATCTCAAATGAAGTTCATATGTGTGAAAAATTTCAGAAATTATTGTGATTCAGTAATTAGCTATTTGTAAACACAGTTCTGGAACTGTAGATGATATTAATAGAAACTTATTTTTAAGTATTTAATTTTGCTGTGATACAACACAATGGGCTTATATATAAACTTCAGATAACCTCATTTATTTATGATAATGATGCAGCATTGCATAATATCTTTCCAATGAAAAATTTTCAGCTGAGCTTACCAGATGTACTTTAAAAGCATGCACATATAGTCAGTAGACTCAAAACTTATTCCTATGATACATAAAATAAAGCATATTTAAGATTATGGACCCTAAACTTCTTACAGTGAAATTTGAATATTATAAAAAAGCATACACTTCTGATATGAAAATTTATCTTCATTCTTCCCTTTAGACCTAACTTTCAAAATATGTAGCTATACCTGAAGTGTAAAGGTTATGCTTATTCCAGGGTTCTTACATTCAGGAAATTTATAAAGTTTTAAGAGCATTAGATATTAGCAGGATTGTGTTGCCATAGCAACCTGTATCCACGAACAAACTCTCTAAATATCTAACCTAAAAGACATCGATGAGGTCAGTGCTATGAGATGTGAAACAAAGCCAAAATTATTCACACAGAATTCCAGAAAGTAGTCATTAGTTGTAGGTACATATTTTTGTCCCTCTTATTTAGAACTTGAATTGCTTGATATTCAATTAAATCAAATGACTTGTTAATCACTTTAACAAATGCTTACTGATATGATTTGGCTGCGTTCTCACCCAAACCTAATCTTGAATTGTAATTTCCATAATCCCCATATGTGGTGGGAAGGACCCTGTGGGAGGTAATTGAATCATGGGGGCCATTTCCCCCATGCTATTCTCATGATAGTAAGTTCTCATGAGATCTGATGGTTTTCTAAGGGGCTTCCCCCTTTGCTTGGCACTCTTCTCTCTCCTGCCACTATTTGAACAAGGACGTGTTTGCTTCCCTTTCTGCCAAGATTGTAAGTTTCCTGAGGCCTCCTCAGAAAACGGGAACTGTGAGCCAATTTAACCTCTTTTCTATATAAATTACCCAGTCTTGAGCAATTCTTTATAGCAGCATGAGAATGGACTAATACAGTAAATTGGTACTGCAGAGAGTGGGGTGCTGCTATAAGGATACCTGAAAATGTGGAAGCAACTTTGGAAGTGGGTAACAGGTAGAGGTTGGAACAGTTTGGAAGGCTCAGAAGAAGGAAAATAATGTGGAAAAGTTTGGAACATCCTAAAGACTTGGAAGGTCCAGAAGACAGGAAGATGCGGGAAAGTTTGGAACTACCTAGAGACTTGTTGAATGGCTTTGACCAAAATGTTGATAATGATATGGACAATGAAGTCGTGGCTGAAATGGTCTCAGATGAAGAGGAAAAACTTGTTGGGAACTGGAGTAAGAGTCATTCTTGCTAAGCTTTAGCAAAGAGATTGGCGGCTTCTTGCCCCAGCCTGCCCTAGAGATCTGTGGCACTTTGAACTTCAGAGAGATGATTTAGGGTATCTGGCAGAAATTTCTAAGCAGCAAAGCATTCAAGAGGTGACAGTGCATGAAAGTTTGAAAAAGTTGCAGCCTTACAATGCGATGGAAAAGAAAATCCTATTTTCTGAGGAGAAATTCAAGCTGGCTGCAAAAATTTGCATAAGGAGGAGCCAAATGTTAATCCCTAAAACAATGGAGAAAATATCTCCAAGGCATGTCAGAGGTCTTCACGACAGCCTCTCCCATCACAGGCATGGAGGCCTGGGAAGGAAAAATGGTTTTGTGGACTTGGCCCAGGGTCCCCATGCTGTGTGGAGTCTAGGAACTCGGTGCCCTGCGCCCCAGCCACTACAGCCATGACTAAATAGAGCCAAGGTACAGCTTAGAGAATGCAAGCCCCAAGCCTTGGCAGCTTCCATGTGGTGTTGAGTGTGCAGGTGCACAGAAGTCAAGAACTGAGTTTTGGGAACCTCCACCTAGATTTCAGAGGATGTATAGAAATGCCTGGATGTCCAGGAAGAAGTTTGCTGCAGCGGCAGGGCCCTTATGGAGAACCTCTGCTAGCGCAGTGCAGAAGGGAAATGTGAGGTTGGAGCTCCCCCAAAAAGTCCCCACTAGGGCACTGCCTAGTGGAGCTGTGAGAAGAGGGCCAGTGTTCTCCAGACCCTAGAATGGTAGATCCACTGACAGCTTGCTTTTCTTCACATGCCTGGAGAAGCCTCAGACACTCAATGCCCGCTAGTGAAAGTAGCCAGGAGGGAGGCTGTACCCTGCAAAGTCACAGGAGTAGAGCTGCCCAAGGCCATGGGAGCCCACCTCTTGCATCAGCACACCATGGATGTGAAATATGGAGTCACAGGAGATCATTTTGGAACTTTAAGGTTTAATGACTGCCCTATTAGATTTCGGACTTGCACGGAGCCTTTAGCTCCTTTGTTTTGGCCAATTTCTCCCATTTGGAATGCCTGTATCCCTATTGTATCTATTGTATCTAGGAAGTTACTAACTTGCTTTTGATTTTACAGGCTCATAGGTGAAAGGGTGCTTTGTCTCAGATGAGACTTTGGACATGGACTTTTGAGTTGATCCTGAAATGAGTTAAGACTTTGGGGAACTGTTGGAAGGGCATGATTGTGTTTTGAAATGTGAAGACATGAGATTTTGGACGGGCGCCAGGGACGGAATTTGTGGTTTGGCTGTGTTCCCACTTAAATCTTATCTTGAATTGTAGTTCCCATAATCCCCATGTGTTGTGAGAGGGACACAGGAAGAGGAAATTGAATCCCGGGGGTGGTTTTCCCCATGGTATTCTGGTGATAGTGAGTAAATTTTCATTAGATCTGATGTTTTTATAAGGGGCTTCCCCTTAGCTCAGTTCTCATTCTTCCCTCTCTCCTGGTGCCATGTGAAGAAGGATGTGTTTGCTTCCCCTTCTGCCATGATTGTAAGTTTTTGAGGCCCCCCACCCATGCTGAAATGTGAGTCAATTAAATCTCTTTCCTTTATAAATTGCCCGGTCTCAAGGATATCTTTATCAGCAGCATGAGAACAGACTAATACACTTCCAAAGCATCTACTTTGCATTAACTTATTCATTCGGGATTGCGGGACAGAACTAAAATGAGATTTTTAGATCTCTTCATCCAGTTAAAGAATCAGCTACACATCTGGGCTACTGTAACCTAAATCAGAATGTGATGGCTGCCAACTCTTTTGTACTATGTGCTCACATAGAATGATGTGTATCAGAGCCTAGTGAACAGGCTCCATTGAGATGATGACAGGCACTTCTAAGACAAAGACCAACGCAGAGGCCAATATTTGCAATGAATAGGTGTCAGGTTTATTGGAGATGAAGAGAAGGAATGCGGTAGGTAGGAAGAGGAGATAAGATTAAAGCCACTGCATAATGCTGGATGGTAGAATTTCTTAAATGTTATGCTAAAAAGTTTTGAGCTTTTGGCATGGAGCATTTAAAAATGGAAAGATAGTAGCAAAAAAAAACCTTGAAAATCCTCCACTATTCAATAAAAGACCATTGGTTACAAGTAGGAAGGTTTATTAATGAGCAGATAAAAGTTCGAGGTTGGTCTGGAGTACTCAGGGATAGGAGGAAAGAATTGAAAGGAGATTTTAGAATTTGGATGTGGATGAATAAAGAGCAGGGAACTGAGGACGTTGCTGACAAATTGATCTATCTGGTTTGGTTTTCAGATCTTCTATATTGAAAAACATTTGAATACTACTTTGGAGCTAGGAGTTAGTGAATTTGGCATGGAAAGGTTTGGGATTGATAATTTGGAAACATTGCCTTGTGGTAGACATGAGAAATATCTGTCCAGATCCTAGGAGAAAGAGGATGCTGATCTGGGAGTCTCTGTGTTAAGGTGATGTGTAAAAAGGTGGGAGTGAAGAGAGACAAGAAGCTATACCCATGTGGTCACCTACATCCCAGGCAGGGTGGGGGAAAGGATTCTGATTAGGGGATTGAGTGTCAGTAATTACTCTATATCCACAGCCTTTAGGCCATGAAACAGATATTTTCATATGCCTGTAATCTTATCTCTTCAACATGAAGATTGATGATAAGATTTACAATATTAACTGTACTAATAAATAATGTTACATGGGCACTAGCAAAGGGAATTTCTTAGATTAAAAAATGAATTCAATAATTAAGATTTGCTGTTTAGCATTTTATGTTATTGAACATTGAAGTAAAAAAATTGTTTATATTTTCTTCCAAGTAAGTGATGGTGCTGCTCAATTTTTAAGTGCAATTTGGTAAAATAAGGCACTTAATTTATATTCTCACCAGATAAATGTTCTGAGTTTTCTAGATATACAAACATTATCGATAAATATACCCACTCTAATTCAAATACAATGATAATATGGTGTGCTGGGTTTCACTCACAGATTGACTGATTATTATACTCAATTGAGCACTAATTCTTGTACTCAATAGAGGATTGGTGTTACGTACATTTGACTTGTTCAGTTTTTAATACCAGAGATAGATATTTATAGAATCCATTTCTATTAATAATCCTGCCTTTAAGTTTAATGTATTTTATTAATCTTTGGGTCTAGAAGCATAATCCCATCTCCATTTGCATTCAGTGCTATATGCTATGTAACTATACATGACTTCATCCACTCATATTCATGTGTGCTTAGGAAATCTGACTTTTTTTTTTTTTTAGTCTTAAGAGGAATAGGAATATGTTGCTTTATTTTACAAAACATTCAATACTGGTTGATACAGTAACTTGTCTGAACCTGATTTTGTTTGTTTGTTTGTTTAATATAGCTGATCTTAGAAATTTAGTATAGGATGGTTTTGGTAAATAAACCATTCGACTGTAGCAATGGACTAATGAGATAATTGAGGATAGGTGTAATAAGCAAGGGATCCCAGAAGGAGGCGTAATTGAATGTGGCTTCTTAGAGTCTTGCACAGGGAGGCATAGTTACTGCAGATTTCGCTCATGTGGAGTGAGGATTCCCTCAGTTTTGAAAATCTGTTCTTTGCACTTTCAGCAGAGGTGTATACATTTCTTTTGGTAAACCGACCGCCTGCTTTCCTATGTCTGACTGCATGGCTGCCCACACACCAAGCACAAGTAATGGAAACAAAATAATCTCAACATATTTATGTTGCAAGATTCAATTGGGGGAATTCTAATTTCAAAAAGTATTACTCAACAAGTCCAGGGTCCAAGCAAATCTGAGATCCACTCCTACATAAACACATAACATGTAACACATGAACACACACACACACACACACACACAAAACCTCCAAAAATATCCATCGTGATTTTCTAAATATAATTTCTCTTATAAGGCATACTTCCTTAATGAGTTAAGAAAAATAATTGAGAGTCAAGTAACTGAAGAAATTCAGTTACCTCAGGGCTCAGGCATCCCAGGTGCTCTGAGGCTGGCTGAGTAACAAATGGCTGCCGACCTCCTCCAAGGTGAGAGGATTTATTTCAGGCTTAAAGTAGCCTGAATCCTATGGAAGGAAATAGGATTGGAATGTTAAGAAACTGGAGTGGATGTTTTAAATCCTGAAATGTTTCTAAAAATGTGACTTTCTGACCCCTAGTTCTGGAAATGCTACCTAGTGTTCTGCCTTGGTCTTCTGCCACTGTGAATTGTTAGCCACGAGAAGGTGCTGGATGTCCCTGCATAGCCTGAACGTGCTCCCCAGGAGACTAGAGCCCTTGCCTACCATTGCAGTGAATTCCTCAAGGGACTGGGAAGGAAGGTATCATGTCCTCTCTCTGTTTTGGGAAGCAGCCTTGGGGAAAGGGCCCTGGCAGAGAGGCCCTCAGGTGTCTGTGTAGGTGACAGGGCAGGGTTAGGTTTTGAGCAGGGCAGTGACAATGGTGGTGCTTATAAGCTTTTGGGCAATAACTAACCTATACCAACATATATTAACATCTATCAAATAAATTAGAGATTCATTTGCTAATCATAGGAAACATATCAAGACCAGACTCTATTTTAAATGAGTAAAAGTCACATGCAGATTATGTAGGTTCACAAGGAGTTGGCAAAATAAAAGCAAGCTTGAACCTGACTACACATCTCCCGTAGCTCCAGGAAATACAATGAGCCCTCAAAGGCAGGCAACAGCCACGTTTCTTTTCAGCCTAGGTGGCACAAGCTGAGTGTGAACAGGGGGTGTGGATGGGTCCAGTGGCCTTTTCTTGGCCATGGGAGGAAGAGCCCTCTTGCTGGCTGGGCCCAGTAGAGACTCACCATTTATCCAAATTCCTCAGGCTACCATGAAAGGATGGCCAAAAAGCCCTCTCTTTTGGACCAGCTAGACATTGTTCTGACTTAACAGGAGTGGCCAGGCTTTCATAGGCTGGGTTTCCCAGACGCAAGTAACATACTTCTCCTTTAAACATGCATTGCTGGAATCCACCTTTATACTTTAAATGGGGAATTGGCGCCTCATTTCTAGTGGCTGTGTTACAATCAAGCTGCATAGCCAGCTTTATGTTTGAAGCCTTATTTAATTATCTGTCTCGAAACCAAAGAAAGCATAACAAAGTAGTATGTGATTAGACAGGCCAGGTCTCAGGAGGGGATCTTGGAAACCCCTAGCAAGAGCCCAACCTTGGTGATGTTACTGCTCTATAGGAGAGGATGGGGTGTCTTACTTTGCTTGGGCTGCTGTAACAAAATACCATGAACTGGGTGTCTTAAACAACAGACATTTATTTTCTCACAGCTGAGAGGCTGGAAGTACAAGATCAGGGTGGCACTATGGTTGGGTTCGGGTGGGAGCTCTCCTCCTGGTATGCAGACAGCTGCCTTCTCCCTATGGATTCACATGGCTTTTCTTCTCTGTGTATGAGAACAGAGAGGGAGGGAGGGAGGGAGGGAGAGATGGGGAGGGAAGGAAGGAGAGAAAGATGGGGAGGGAAGGAGAGAGGGAGAGGGAGGGAGGATGGAAAGAGACAGAGAGAGATTGAGATCTTTCTCTTCTTATAAGTCCACCAGCCGTCAGATTAAGACCTCACCCTTATGAACCTCATTTAACCTTAATTACCTCCTAAAAGCCCTATCTGCAAATATTGTCATTTTGGAGGGTCAGACGTCAACATATAAATTTTGGGTGGAAGACATAATTAAGTCCATAGCAATGGGGAAGCTATGTTTCAATTTATTGTGTTTTAGAAAGGTAAAAACACTTTTTAAAGTACCAGTTTTCATTACCTTAACTTACCATTGAATATTACATTAAATCTAATTAGAATCATAAAGTTTCAGTTCCTATAAATATTATTTCTACACATGCACACCTTGAAAAGATGCTAACTCTTTTAAAAGTTATTCACATTTTACATCAGCAGAAAATGACAGTATTTTCTCTTTAAAAAATATTTTTAAGGCAACCACAAAATGCAGGTGTAGTTGCAACTAAATAGGATGACTGGTGTATGGAAAGACTGATTTCACAGGTGATTCCAGGCAGCCTCATACAGAGTTTTTTCCTAAGGTTTTTATTCTGTTACTACCACCCATTACAAATATGAGAAGTACAGAAGGTAAAAGATAAGTAAATGTGGTTTATTCTGGATTTTTAACCAATAAAATTTTTTGCTACATACAGAGGGAGAAAGCTCTTTAGCGTCTTACATACGGAGTGTCAATAATCCTCATGCAGTCTAGATGACATATTTTAGACTACTGTTATCAAATTGAGTGATTTAGGATAAAGTCTGGACAAGCCGTAGTGGTGTTTTTTGAAGCTGGTCTTACTCTCTTACAATCTGTTCCTCATCAACTAAGGCTTAAAAAATCCTTTGGATGTATTAAAAATTCTTACCTTCCCTACCAATAGGAGTTTGGGAATACGTGATAATCAAAGTAGGATGCAGATATAAAACTACCCTCATGCTATGTTTATCCAAATAGAAAATGGCAAGTTACCGTTACTAATATCCTGTTTCTTTTTCTTTGTGTTGACTCAGGAGAGTTAAATGTGCTGTAAATCAGGAGACTGATGTAGACTGTCAGTCTTTCCTCTGAGTCACATTCTGTCAGCCACCATTTGCATTCATCAAAAAGGGTCTTGATGCTAAGAGCAGAGATCCCATCTTGAATTCTGCAAAGAACAAAGTAAACATAAATTTCAAATGTAGAGTCATGATTTTAAAATGGTCAGCATGTGCTGCCACAGAGAAGAAAATTGCTTTTCAAAATGGTAAAATATAGATATTATTGACATATCTGTCTCCATCAGCATTTATTGGAGAACAGAAAAAAGATTTCAAATACCTATAGCTGAGATGTTATGTGAACAAAAGTTAAAGTGCAGGAAAAGAACAAAACAAAATCTATTGTCATCTAACTCTCTATCCTTTATAGCATCTGAGAAATAGATTTCCCCTAGTACAATAAATTGCTTCAAAATGGCTAAAGTAACTTTGCTTATTAGGCACTTTTGGGAGTCTTACATTATAACTTAGCCAATTTACAATTATTCTGAGGCTAATGGTTTTCCAGATATAATTACCATTCATGACTGCTCTTTGCTTATTCCTTTCCTTTTTTTCTGTTCTGCATTTTGTTCATTCTTTTCACCCTTCTACCAGGTGCTCCGTGGGAAGGGAGAGAGGCAAAGAAAGCAGACCCCAACATCTAGCAAAGAATCTTTCATGTAATGACTCTTAGTAAAGTTGCTGTCATGAAAAGATAGCCCCTCAATGGGAGCTATTGGACTTGGTCAGGAAGACATTTTACATTACTGACAAAAATGAGATTTTAAACATATATTTAAATAATCTTTGTGCTTATCATTTTATAAACCCGTGTTGTCTGATGCAGTAGCCAATAGCCACATTGGCTATTTTAATTTTAATTTATGTTAAATCAAATAAACATTTCAATTTTGAGCCTCACCAGCCACGTTTTAATTGCAGAATAATATTTAATGCTTCTAAATTGTATTTCTAAATATTTACATATTTGAAAAATACTCATAAAATACCCTGTCAGTCATATTATTATAGAATATTTTCATCATCATACAAAGTTCTATTGGATAGTACTAAATAGATTAAAAGTTGATCTGTGTATACAAAGTTCTTACGAGTATTTCTGGTGTAAATGTATACATAAAGATTTATGTCCACAGGTGACTGAAAGAAAACATGGAGAGTGGTATAATACCAACATTTGTTTTAAAAGCTTTTATGATTTTTTGTTGCCCTGTGTCACAAGAAAAATTATAAAATTTTTTTAAACAAATTGTATCATCAGTGAGAAGGGGTTATAACATGGTGTCACTCACCCAAAGTCACTGAAACTGAGGTAGGAGGCAGGACTTGACTCCAGAGGTGGGACTCAAGACACCAGACCAGATTGAGGAGTACCTAAAACAGGGCCAGGGCAGAAGCAGCTTTCCAATCAGACACACCTAGCAGTGTGCCATGTCAATTTATCATTGCCATGGCAACACCTGGGAGTTACTACCCCATTCCTTAGTGATGACCCAATGAACCAAAAGCTACGACCCCTTCCCTAGAAATTTCTGCATAAACCACCCCTTAACCTGCATGCAATTAAAAGTGGGTATAATTATGACTGCAAAACTGCCCTGAGCTGCTACTCTCTGCCCATGGGGTAGCCCTGCTCTGTAGGAACAGTCACAGAGTTGTAACACTGCCTCTTTAATAAAGCTGTTTTCTTCTACCTCTGGTTTGCTCTTGAATTCCCTCCTGGGCAAGTCCAAGAACGCTTGTAGACCAAGCCTTACTTTGGGGCTTGCCTTCCCTGAATCAAAACTGTAACAGGGCAGCTCATACCTGAGCCACTACGTTAAAATTAAGAACACAATGATGTGTTTCTTCGGAAGAAATGCAGTGGGAGTCTCCATGAAAAAGTCATAGTCCAGCTCAAATAGTTACACTGGATGATGGTACACCCATCCTTCTTTCCCTCACCACTGAAGATGGCTAAGCCAGGATTCTGCAGCCCAACCCCGAAAGACTCACACCGTTCCTCTCTAGAAAGGAGGAACTCAGCTCCCTGCACTGTTCTGGCCATGACTCCTGATGGACCCAAAATGCTGCTTTATCTGTTTTAATAGGAATTGTAATGCTATGGTTGTGCACCACGGATGGAGAACTATGTCCCTGTTTTCTTAAAGTCAACAGGAAACATTACTGTACCTTAAGAGAGGATGTAGTTGTGTGCCAAGGCTGCAGAGCTATGTCTCTCTTTGGACAGTCAACAGAAAACATTATTGAACTTTAAGAGAGGATATAGAAAGTACTGTAGCATGGCTTCTTGAGACCCTGAGTGTTCCAGCAGGTAGTGAACAAGAATTTCTTTCATGTAAGTGATGTGGTTTGGCTCTGTGTCCCCACCCAAATCTCATGTCAAATTGTATCCCCAGTGTTGGAGCAGGGGCCTGGTGGGAGGTGATTGAATCATGGGGGTGGAATTCACCTTTGCTGTTCTCATGATAGAGTTCTCTTGAGATTTGGTTGTTTGAAAGTGTGTAGCACTTCCCCCTTCTTTCTTTCTTCCTCTTGCTCTGCCCATGTGAAGAGGAGCCATGCTTCCTCTTCACCTCTTGCCGTGATTCTAAGTTTCCTGAGACCTCCCCAGCCATGTGGAACTGTGAATCAATTAAACTTCTTTTCTTCATAAATTACCCAGTCTCAGGTAGTTTCTTATAGCAATGTGAGAAGGAACTTGTCAATGAAAAGAGTCAAACTCTGTAAAATATTTGAAGAGATTTATTCTGAGCCAAATATGAGTGACCATGGCCCATGAAACAGCCCTCAGGAGATCCTGAGAATGTGTATCCAAGGTGCTCGGGGCACAGTTTGGTTTTATACATTTTAGGGACGCATGAGACATCAATGAAATACATTTAGGAAATACATTGGTTTGGTCCAGAAAGGTGGGACAACTCAAAGTGGGGGCTTCCAGGCTACAGGTAAATTTAACATTTGCTGGTTGACAATTGATTGAGTTTGTCTAAAGACCTGGGATCATAGAAAGGAAATGTTCAGGTTAAGATAAAGGATTGTGGAGACCAAGGTTCTTTTGAAGTCTTAGAGTGGCTGCCCTTAGAGACAACAGATGACAAATATTTCCTATTCATATTTTTAAAGGGGGCTAGACTTTTAGTTAATCTCTTTAGGATTTGGAGGGCCTGGAAGAAAAAGATCTAGCTATGTTAATAGAGATTCCTTACAGATGCAAATTTTCCCCCACAAAGGACCGCTTTGCAGGGACATTTCAAGATATGGTAAAGAAACGTATCTTGGGGTAAAATATTTTTATTTTCTTCCTTGTCTTGTAATGTTATGCCAGAGCCAGGTTGGAAAGTAAGTCACAATATATAGGGTTAAAGAAAACCTGTCTGATGAGAATTTATGATTTGTGGGGCATGATTCCCCAGACCCCCTAGATAGGAATTTGGGTAAGATAAAAAGATCAGAGTTTAGTCCTCAAACTAATACAATAAGTTTCTACTTTCTCTCCAAGTATATCCTGTTTCTGAGTGGCAGGTGAAAGTTGTGTTTCCCTTCAACCACAGCACCTGGCCCAGAACCAGCCTTACCTGCTATCCACTGGTCTCTGGGTCTCTCTTTTTATGCCAATCTCCATCCCTTTCCTTAAATTCTTCCTCAGGATTCCCCTGAGTTACCCTGGAATCTGAATTCAGTTTACCCTTCCAAACCAAGAAATGCTGTTTATATCTGTGTTGTGATTACAAATAAGGTTCAAGTTTCTGCCTTCCACCCTCAAACATAAAGAAGGCTCACAGTATTCACCTGTGACCATGGACCTGCTCCAGCTGAGGAAGCCAAGAGATTTGTTTCTTTTCCCCTCCCTCCCTTCCTCCTTCCTTTCCTGCTTTCTAAAATCATAATGTGTAACTTTTCCATGAAGGGAGCAGGAATTCACTCAATCCTACTCAATCATCTCTTCCAGGCCATGTGCTTTTTTCCCTTGATTTTCAGTTTTGGAAGAACTATTTATGTGTAAATAGCATCCTTTCTATCTGAATCTTCCATAATTAACCATCTTTTGTTAACTGTTCCAATAGACAACTAATTTATCTGAAAATAAATTATTAAATTACATTGTATTCCAGCTTTAAAACAAGCATTGCAAATACTTTCAAATTAGATAATTTCTTTCGATATTAGGAGCTAAATAAAATCAAAACTGCCCACCAGATTTAAACTATTCAGAAATGCACTAAAAGAAAGCCAAAGATAGATTATAATAACTTGAGGCTCTTGAAAAATATTTGCCATTGGTAGAATATCAAATGAAACATTTTGAAAAAACATACTGAGAAATTGGAAATGTTTTGCATGTCTCTTAGAAACACACGCCAATGTAAGCCATGAAGCAGATATCTTTTTTATCTTCTTTTACTTAAACATACAGCTGATGTTGAAAAATTAAACATTTTATTTTTTTATTTTAATTTTTATCTCATATCATCTAAATCAGTCATATATTTATAACAAGCCAAAATGCTTTTCAGTATTTTCCTGTTACCATAACCACATGAATTATGAATTTGCCTTTGGAAAGATGTCTTTCTTTCCCTTAGGGTGAGTTTTATTCGATCATTAGAAACAGATGAGTTCCATTTAAATGATAAAGTTTCTCTACAAGTAAAGACAAAGTTACAGAATTCTTTCCATTGTTTATTTCCTTAATTTCTCAAAAAAATGTTGGTAAGTTATAAAAATGAAAACCAAGAGATTATTTTTAAAATGTTTTAAAATCATATAGCTCTCAGCATTATAATATCTTATTAGGAAATATTTCCCTTCTTCTTGTTAGCAAAAACATATATTTTTAAAATTCCCTATTGTTCCACCACTCCAACATATCAACTGTCTCCACTATATATTTTAAAAATTTTAATTAATATGCCTATACATATTCTAATCAACTATTTTTAGAATAGTTTTAGATTTTATAGAAATTTTGAGAAGATGGTAAAGAGGGTTATCGTACACCTCTCACCCTGTTTCCCTATTATTAACATCTTACATTAGTATGGTATATTTGTTATGGCTAATAAACTAATAGTCATATATTATTATTAACTAAAAGTCCACAGTTTATTCAGATTGTCTTTCTTTTTGCCTAATGTTCTTTTTCTGTCCCAGGAGCCCATCCTGGGTACCACATAACACTTACTTATGCCTTCCTTGGCCCCTCTTGACTGTGATATTTTTTCAGACTTATCCTCTATGATAACCTTGACAGTTTTGAGAAATGGTGGTCAGATATTTGTAGAGTGCCCCACTATTGGAATTTGCCTGGGGTTGTAAGTTATGGGAAGGAAGGCTACAGAAGTAAAGTACCGTTTTCATCAAATTATATGAAGGCTATGTATTATCAACATGAATTATGACTGTTGACATTAACCTTGGTCGTCTAGTTAAGGGCGTGTTTGTCCTATTTCTCCATGTTTTTTGCCTCCTTTCCCTTACTGTACTCATCGGAAGAAAGTCACTAAATGCAGCCAACATTTAAGGACTGGGGATTGATACTTCCTGTCCTGGGTGGCAGAGTATCTACATAAATTGTTTGGAATTATTCTGCATGGGATATTTGCTAATTCTTTCCCATTGGTAGTTTACTCAATAATGTATGCATATCATTATGGACTCATGAATATTTTCTTTGTCCTTTGGGTTACAATTCAGTGCCACTTTGCTTATTTTGGTGCCCAAAGTGTCTCAGGTTAGGCTACTGGGAACTCTTTCAGGAGGCTTCTGGTTCCTTTGACATACCCCTGTAAGTGTATATGTTATTTTTCTTTTGAGCCCTTTCTTACTTTCTGGCACTATCAGGTACTCTAAGTTCATCTTGTGTATTTCTTGTCTCTGTCCTGGAATCAGATAACTCTTCAAGGATCCCTGATTTATTTTACTGAAGAATGGGATCTTAGAGGCTAATATTTGGGAAATTGGTGTGCTTGTGACTACGGTTATCATTATTTATAGGGCTGCCTAGATGACAGAGCAAGTAACTAAATGTGTGTATAATAAACCAAATATATACATATACATCTCTAAAAATATCTTCATATGTAACCATCTATACCTATATTAAGCTAAACATGAGTACATATGAATGTATCCAACTTTAATCAATTACTACCTGGAATACTCTACCCTCCTCCACTATGTCTTTGTAAATTCCCATTCCAGCAGTGAGAAATCTGTCTCCCATCGTCCATTACCTGTATATTTAATTGTTCACTTCCAGTCTATATGTGTAGCAGTACCAACATTTTGAACCTGAACCCCTGTTGCCTATATATTTTTGAATGATAAGAACAATAGGGTACATGTAGTTTTGCATCCTGGCTTTTTAATCAAAAATTGACCCTAAAGTTAAGCTAAGGATCCCCAGAAATCTTTGGGTAAGTGAGTCTTATTCCTCTTCTGCAGTTCTGGGCTCAGGAATGTGTTGGACAAAGCCTTGGATGACTGGAGAGGCTGAGAGTGTTGAACGAGAAGTTTAATTACATCTAAGTGAACTTCATCACCCTGTAGTTCCAAAATCATGCTGTGCATTGTGTAATTGTGAAGTAGATGTGGTGGATCTAGCCCAGGTCAGGGGATCTCAAAAAATATCTAGGTTTGGGCTCATGTAGAGCTTCTCTGTTCTGAGAGATAAGGCCTTCAGAATTTCTGATGCAATGTTCTCAGTCTAGATTTTATCATCCATTTTGTGAGCCACTGGTGAGGTTTGGGGGGGCCGGGAAGTTTACATCACCCTATAAGACTGTTGCTGATCTCTCTGCTACGTGTCCTGAGCCCAGAACTGCAGAAGAGGAATAAGACTCACTTACCCAAAGATTTCTGGGGATCCTTAGCTTAACTTTAGGGTCAATCTTTGATTAAAAAGCCAGGATGCAAAACTACATGTACCCTATTGTTCTTATCATGCAAATATATATAGGCAACAGGGGTTCAGGTTCTTTCTATATTATCTAGATAGATAAGTAAACTTTGTTTAGTTTACACAATATTGTCCATGTCTGGTCTTTCTGCTTCTATTGACACCTGTCAATACTGGTATTCGTGGTATAGATATAGTTATGTCACTATAGGATGGGGCAATAAAAAATTGAAGTATGATGTTCTCTTACATGTGTGCATTATAAGTCATTTAACATTTTCTCTATTTTTGATCACTTAGGTATTTGTCCATTTTGAAAAAAATTATCAGGCTTAAAATTGGCCCCTTGTTGGCCTTCTTACCAAATGTCATATGATTCTCTCATCAGCAGCATCACTGACCAGATTTTAAAGAGACTATCCCTGAAAGAAAAATGCTCCATTTAGAAAGCCTGAGACTAATCATCCCCATCACAGGAACATTATGACCCTCCCTCTTCTTTACGTGTTCTTATTTTTTGTGTACACAATTGTTTCCACTCTCAGAAGTTTTTACCATCCTCTGATGACAGAAATAATGTCTTATTCAAGTTTATCAAGCCTGTGTTCTCCCATGACTTTGCAAAATGCTTCCTGTATGGTAGGTACTCAAAAAATGTTTATTAAATTGAATATTAAAGGTAATCAGAGCAATGCTATTGTCCTAATAACCTCAAATAGTCCCATATCCAACCTTTCTCCCCGAGAAGCTTTTCAGGACTTCTCCAGTCCACATGGCTCTCTCTCTTTCCAACACTCTGTCAGCATTTTACAACTCCGCTTCATAAATGCTATCTAATACTTCATGAGTATTAGATTTTCAGCTTATCCAGGGCACAGCCTCTGCCACATTTTTCCCCTTTGGAGTCCTTATAAGTGTCTGCCATGGCGCTCTCCTTATAGTGTAAGTCAATAGAACTTATAGGTTGCTTACTAACCTGGACTCCAGCAGATTTTTACTGAGTCAAAATGACAATCAAAATGTTCATGTTGAACAAATGAAAAATATGTCTAATAGGTGAGAAAAAAATCAGATAAAGTATACTCAAGCTGATTGTTGCTCATTGTTTTGGCCATTTACTTGTAAGCCTTTGGGGGAAAATCATTAGCAATTTCAACAATGTAAGGTGTATTATTTTGTTTGTTTCAAGAATAAGCAAAGCAGAACCTTTTTTTTTTTAAACAACAACCAAAAGAAAAACCCATATAGATTGACACAGAAAGTTCTCTGATATTACAAAGTACCAGAAAAATATATTGGAAACCTTCAGCTACAGCAAGCAACAATTTATAAGTGCCATTTCTTTCATCTTATTTGACAGACTATCTCAACAGACACAGTTATTTAGTCAGCCAGTCTAGAAAGTTGTTAAAAGTATGGCAGCCATCCTGCTTACTTTAAATTTATTTTTATACAGTCTGAAACCAGACATTGCTATATACTTTGATATATAGGAAATAATTTATTTATAATAAGTGATTTATCATCATCTTTGCCTTAATCATTTTGAAGAAGATTAAGATTAAATTATTCCAAATCATTTTAAGGGTCTAGCCAAATGGCAACATTTGCATTCCAATTAGTCCTGAGGTGTACAAAGAGTTTTTGAGGGGACAAAAATTGTACGGTATTACGTGTGAAGCCAAGTTTATTATTATGGTTCTTTTGTAAAGAGTATTTGCTTGAAAGAAACATAAACCCAATCAAGCTAAGTCAAATAAAGAGGAGTTAATGAAATGAGAGATGCACATCATAGCCCAGCATCCTGAGATCCAGAACTGGAGAAAAAGTGGCACTGGGGATTCTTAGCTACTTCCAGTAACAGTTTCTCTTTTAATTCAAACTTGTTTGATTGCAAGGAGCAAAAATCTCCTGAAACCAGTGTAAAAAAGAGGGCTTCTTTTATTTATTTTTTTAATCAATACACATTTCTTAGTTTATCAGATTTTTATGATTTTTAATACCTCTGCTGATAACTTCTTAATTCATTACTTTATTGGCCAGTCTTTCTCCTTTCTCTGATCACTATATATTTTTTTTTTTTTTTTTTTTTTGAGATGGAGTTTCACTCTTGTTGCCCAGGTTGGAGGGCAGTGGCACAATTTCGGCTCACTGCAACCTCCACCTCCTGGGTTAAAGTGATTCTCCTGCCTCAGCCTTCCAAGTACCTAGGATTACAGGCACGTGCCACCATGCCTGGCTAATTTTTGTGTTTTTAGTAGGGATTGGGTTTCGTCATGTTGGTCAGGCTGGTCTCAAACTCCTGACCTGAGGTGATCCACCCACCTTGGCTTCCCAAAGTGGTGGGATTACAGGCATGAGCCACCAGGCCCGGCCTCTCTTGTCACTTTTTATAAAATTGCAATCAAATCCAATTGCTAGTTCCCTTATTCCCCTGACCCCACTTTGCTTTGCACCATTTAATATAGTTATATCTCTTTTTTTACTCATTTATTTTCTACTTCCTCTCTCTTTCCCATTAAAATATACGGCCTGAGGGCTCATATTTTGTTTTGTTCATTGCTCTATTTCTAGCATATAGAATAGTGCATGATATAAAGTAGAAGCTCAGTATTATTTCATTCATTCAATGAATAGATGAATCAAAACCTAAAAAGTTGTATCATAATAGCAAAGCATAGAATATTTAGCTGGTTTGCCTTAGAACTGTGTTAAAGGATAAACTTAGGCACACTGAAATTCTAAAGAGTTTACCTGAGCAGATGGGGACTCATGAATCTAGCAGTACCAGACCACATGTTGCTCAGGGCTTCACCAAAGGGCATTAGGGGAAGACTTTTTAAATAAGGTGAACACGGAGATAAGGCAAGGAAAATATTTGATTGGTTAAAGTGAAGCAGTAGCCTTTTTTGGGTTGTTCCAGTGGAAAGTCCCTAGTTAGAGGTTAGTTGGTGATTTCTGACGGGTTAAGCTTAAGTTTTGTTTTACTATTTATACTGAGTTGGGTTTCTGTTTGCTTACATAAGAACACAGGGCTCTGGAGATACTTCAACTGATCATGAATAGTCTCCCAATTAATTATTTGAACAATTGGAAGTTTATGACAGCCCTTGACAGCAGTAACATAGCTTAAGCATACCCTGAAAATGACCCTATGGTCTAAGAAGAATATGTGTTTGGAGTCCCAAGCCAAGGAATCCTGGAGTGGCCAACCCTGAGATTCATTCCTTATCTATGAAGGACATCTGACCCTCTGACCCATCCCTTGGAATGCAGGTTATATAGGGAATTAAGGCCCTTTGTTTTGGATTAGATAGAGGGTGCTAGGTGGGGCTTGCTAGATGGAGGTGGCTAAATAAAAATGCTATACAAACTGCATGCTTTTTTACAAACAGTAGTGGTTCTCCTGTCCAGTCCACTGCCATGGGGCCATCCCTGTATATAAGTCCCCCAACAAGCCCTATGCCTCATTTGCTGTCTTTGGGTCTTTTCTTTGACCTCTTGGACCCAGTGCCATCCCTACTGAAGTGAACCAGCCTCCGGCATCACATCCCCTCCCCATGCCCCGCCACTGCAGACTCCTGAATCTTTCTATCAGGTTAGTCTAGAAACAGATCTTGGTAAATTCTCACTGGAGAATGGATTGGCTTCTTTCTGATCATGATTCCAAACCTTAGCTAATCCACTGTATCCAGGGTCTGTTGATGTACATCTAATGGCACAGGTGCATTCTTTCAGCAGCTATGCTGTGTGAGGCAATGGCTAGAGAAGGGAGTTTGAGCCTGAGTTACATTTCTTTTTTTTTTTAATATATATATTTTTATTATACTTTAAGTTCTAGGGTATATGTGCACAACGTAGCAGGTTTGCCACGTTGGTGTGCTGCACCCATTAACTCGTCATTTACATTAGGTATATCTCCTAATGCTATCCCTCCCCCTCCCCCTGGTGTGTGATGTTCTTAACTGTTCCAAAACTATTGGTATTATTTTCCTTTCTATTCTACAGAGAATCACATCTTTTACTCATTCATTTTAAAATGTTGTTTAGACTTCAGCTATGAGCGGCCATTACTCTAGATGCTGGTGACACAGCCAAAAATGACAACATCTCTGCCTTCTTTTCTGGGAATGTTCCATAGCACCCTATGCTTTCCACCTCTCACAATATTTCTTAAGCACAATCTTTTTAGACATTTTCACACTAATTACTTTCCTCCCTTTATGTTGTACTTTCTCATTTGAAAGAGATAGAGTAGCGGTCATCTGAGCAGTTTTCTGGCTGGACAGATCTTTATGACACATTTCCTGATTTGATTAGCACATGAGGGCAAAACTTTGGCAAGGTTAATGAGTTGCTCCCAGATATCAAGATGGAAAATAAGTTATATTTAATACCTGGCTACTTACTGTCTAATAAAAAACTTATCCATATCATGCAAATCTGGCATAAAAATGATTTCAGGCCTGAAGACTTGAAAGACCACACCTCATGCTTTTACAAAGGACGCACAGTGTTGGTTATTTGAATTTAGATCACTGTCTGAATCTCCTACTGGCATTCTTTGCTTACTTGTTCTACTTTTGACTTCCTAAGGCCCCAGGTATCTGATGATTACCATCATTTTAAAATCACTTTAATTTTGCTTTTTAAAATTCCCTATTCATCCCTTGCTGCTATTAATTAATACCAGAGGACCACTTACTTTTGTTGCTGCAGGAAAGGTATTTTCCTCAGTATGGACATCTTTATTAGTAGGTTTCTAAATAATGACTTGGTTATTGTGAATATTAATTTTAGATATTTGGTGTATGTGTGCATATTTGTGTGTCTATAAGAGTTTATATAGCCATAAAGTGGGATGCTCAAATTAAATTGTGATGAACTATAGTGAGTACAGAAACTAAAGGGTAGAGTTAAATTCCAAGAAAATTTATCCAGGTTAAGAATTTCTAGAATTTTATTGTATATTGAAATTATTTTCTTTTTTTGCTTATTGTTTAGTTGGAAATATTTCAAATGAGAAAAACTACCATGTACCAATGTAATCAGACATAACAATTATTAACATTTTGTTATATCTGTAACACATCTTTATGTTAGATACTATTTAAAAGTTCCCTGTGAAGATGAATGACACATTTTCCATTTTGTTTTATATTTTTGCATTAAAGTTTATTTACTTTGATACTACTGTTATTAAACCATTTTTCTTGGTAATTATTTATATGATACATAGTTTCTATACTTTTCTCTCAAACTTTGCCATTATCTTTTAGATATATTTCTAGTTAAGTGTATATAGCTGAGTTTATAATATCTATTTTGAGAATCTCTGCCTCTTAAAAGGTCAAGTTACATATTTAAACTTATATCTGCTATCTTAATTTATGTTCCCCAGTAGCCATTCTTTTTTGTTTGTTTATTTCTGTTTGAAATTGAGGTATAATTCACATGCAGTATAATTTACAATTTTGGTGTGCAGTTCTATGAATTTCGACAAATACACAAAGGCCTATAATCACCAAGACAATAAAGATATAGAGCAGTTCTGTTACAGGTAGTTAGACAGGCATGAGTGGGGCAGGAGGGGGTTCTTCCGCCACCCAGTAAGAACGTTGGGTGATGATTCTGCATTTATCACATTGCTTCTCTAAAAGTGATAAATTAGCAGCCAGTGCCAGGGAGAGGCCATTTCCTGATGGTCCACACCTGTTGCACTAAAGTGTTAACTGAATGCAGGCACCAGGGAGATGCAATTTGCCAGGCATGTGCATTAAGAGACAATGGTGGAGTATGACTTTCCAGGGGCACTCCACTGGAAAAGGGAAGAAAGCCTCAGATGGGCATGTGTACAACTTCTTAAACGCACTGTGCATACTCACCTTCCAAGGGTAAGGAGGACACGGCACATGTGGGCAGCTCATCCTAAGGAAAGAATCATGGGAAAGGGGCCAGCCTATAAAGTCCTAGGACCAAGGCTCAATACCACACTTGCCCTTCAAGTTGCCTGCTTGGGTCTCTTTCAAGCATACTTTCCCGTTTTAAAGCCTTTTTAAATAAATTTCTACTCCTGCTCTGAAAATTGCCTTGGTCTCTTTTTCTGCCTTATGCCCCTCAGTCAAATGCTTTCTTCTGAGGAAGTGAGAATGGAGGTTGCTGCAGATGCATACACATTCACCACTGTTAACTTGGATACCTTTCACTGGTGATAGTTCCACACCCTCCAAAGTTCTCTTGCTACCTTTTGTAGTAATCTCTACACATTCCACCCCCACCCTTACATCAACTGTTCTCTTTTCTGTCCCTAGAGTTTTGTCTTTCCCCAAGTATCACATAAATATAATCATACAGTATAAAGTGTTTGAGTTGTCCACTTATCATGATTAATCTGAGATTTATTTATGTTGTAATATCACTAGTTTATTCCTTTATATTCTTTACTAGTATTCCATTGCAGTGGTATATTGTGATATATTTATCCATTCACTAGTTAAAGGATATTTGGGTTGCTCCCAGTTTTCGATGATTATAAAAAAATACTATAAATTTTATGTTCGTGTTTGTAGCAATGTAAGTTTTTGACTTGAGTAAATACCTAGGACTGGGACTGCTGAGCCTTGTGATAAATGAATGGCAATCTGTATAAGAAACTGCCAAACTGTCTTCCAAAGCATCTGTTTCATTTTGCATTTGCACCAGCAGTCTGTGAACATTTCAGTTGTTCTGCATCCTGGCTGCAGTCTGTTATTGTTGGTTTGTGTAACTTTTTTAAAATTTTAGGTATTATAAAAGATATGTAGAAGTATGTTATGGTGGTTTCGATTTGCATTTGCCTAATGGCTATGCAAAAATCTTTTTATGTGCTTGTCATCTGCATTTCTGCTTGGTGAAATGTTTGTTCAAAATGTTTGCCCAACTTTTTAATTATTCTTTTTCTTGATGATTACTTACAAATAATAAAAGATTTACAGGAAGTTGAAGAGATGATACAGAAGTTCTCTGTACTCTGTCCAGTTTTCTCCATTGGTTTAGTTACTATAGTACAATATTAAAACCAGTAAATTTACATTAAAGTGTGTGTATAGTTCTATGTAATTTTATCTCATGTGTAGATCTGTGTAATTACCACAGTAATCAATAGCTGTTAAATTGATTTTCTCCCTTGGTTTTCTGCTTGCAATTTCACAGCTTTCTGTTTTTTTGTTTGTTTGTTTTGTTTTATTTTTTGAGATGGAGGCTTACTCCATCACCCAGGCTGGAGCACAGTGACGTGATCTCAGCTCATTGCAGCCTTTGTCTCCCGGGTTCAAGTGATTCTCCTGTCTCACTCCCATGAGTAGCTAGGATTACAGGCATGTGCCACAGTGCAAGGGTAATTTTTCTATTTTTATTGGAGATGGGGTTTCACCATGTTGGCCAGGCTGGTCTCGAATTCCTGACCTCAGGTGATCAGCCCACCTCGGCCTCCAAAGTGATGGGATTATAGGCATGATGGCACCTGGCCTAAATTCACTGCTTTCTGATCTTCTCTGTTTTCTTCCTTCCACTTGCTTTGGGTTTATTTTTTCTTTTCCTAGTACTGAGAAATTAGATTATCAATTTGATATATTTTTTCTTTCTAATGTAAGCATTTTCATGTTATTAATTTTCCTCCCAATACTGCTTTAGCTGTATCTCAAAACTTGACATGTTAAATTTTCAATTTGACATGTTGGATTTTTATTTCCATTTATTCATTGTAGTTTTAAATTTCCATTGAGACTAATTATTTGACCCATGGATCAGTTAGAGGTGTATTTCTTAGTTTTCAAGGGTTTGAATTTTTCTTTTTGCTACATTTCTGTTATTGATTTCTAGTTTAATTTTATTGTGGTCAGTCAATGATGGGGTACATAGATGATGACTATTTCATAAGATTATAATACCATATCTTTACTATACCTTTTCTATGTTTGAATACAAAAATACTTACTATTGTGTTACAGTCACTGACAGTATTCAGTGTAGAAACAATACACTAAACCATGTAGCCTTGGTGTGTAGTAGGCTATACCATCTATGTTTGTGTGAATACACTTTTTGGTGTTTATACAATGATAAGATTTCTTAACGATGCATGTCCCAGAATGTAGCCTTGTCAGTAAGTAACGCACAACTCAATTTCAATAATTTTAAATTTATTGAGGTTTGTTTTATGACCCTGTAAATAGTCCATCCTGATGACTTCTCCATGTACATTTGAAAAAATGTATATGTGCTGTTGTTGGTGAGGGCCAATCCTTTGATGGTTTTGTTGAATTCTTCTGTATCTTCATTCTGATCAATTTTTGCTTCTTATGTTTTGTACTTCTGTTTGGTGCATACATATTTAGAGCTAACATATGCTTGTGGATTGATTTTCTAAATCATTTTGTAATGCCCCATTTGTCTCTATTAATATTCAATTTGTTAGTATTTTATTTAAGGTTTCTGCATCTATATCCATAAGGGATATGATTAATTAATTATCTGTAAATGCCTAAGTCTAGTTTTAGTATCAGAATAATACTCTGTCCATAAAATAGGCCTTCCTCTTATGTTGAAGAGCTTAAGGAGAATTGCTATTATTTATTAACTGACCTAATTCACCCATAATGTCATCTAGGCCTGGAATTTTCTTTGTAGAAAGCCTAACTATAAATTCAGTTTCTTTAGTAAACATAGGGCTACGTGGCTTACGTATTTCTTTTTGAGAGAGATTTGGCCATTTTTGTTATTCAATGATCTTTTCAATTTCATCTAAATTGTCTAATTATAGGCATAGACTTTATAATATTTTCTTATTGTACTTTTAATGTCTATAGGATCTATAGTGATGTCTCTTTTATTCCTGATGTTGGCAATTTGTGTTTTTTTTTTTCCTGTTGGTCTATCTAGCTAGAGATTTGTCAGTGTTAGTAATCAGTTCAAATAACTCCCTTCTGATTTTGTTGATAAGCTCCATTAATTTTTCTGATTGCAATTACATTGTATTTTTATTTTTTTTCTATTTTCTATCTTGCTGTGAGTTTAAGTTGTCCTTCTTTTTCTACTGTCTTGAGACCAAGATTGAAATTATTGTCTTGAGAGGCTTCTTCTTTGATAATATAAGCATGTAATGCTATAATCTTCCCTTTAAGCATTGCTTTATTTGCATTTTACAAATTTTGATATGTTGTGTTTTAACTTTTGTTTCATTTAAAATATTTTCATTTCCATTTCCTTTTAATAATATATTATTTAAAAATGTTGTGTTTAAATTCAAAATCTGACCCTGATGTAGCTTAAGTGATTAATAACTGTACTTTAGCAATGGAAGATATTCCAGTCAGTTTGATCTCACTAATTCTCATTCTGATTCTAAAAATGATGGAATTGCCCCTGATTTTCTTCTTGCAAGCAAAGGTGAAGTCTGTATAACCACTAATACTTCTGGCTGCACTTTTATTATTACCCTGTGTCAAGAGAGAAGGGTCAATATAGAAACTTAAGAAAACTACCTGGATTTCTAAGATGGTTTATGGGATTGTTCAGCTGTTTTGTCATGGTTTCTTGGGTGCATAGTTGAAATTAATGTCGCAAATTAGCTTTACTAAAGAATCACTAGCTGCTTAAGATAGTTTTGTAGTACTTCACATAAAAAATGATTATAGCTTTGACTAGGATATTGGCAATAAATGTAAAGTTCTCTTATAGAAATATTTTGAAAGTAAAATTGACAAAAAAAATTGTCATGGAATTGATATGCACATGAAGGAGTTAAACCTTTTATGTGTGGTCCAAGTATTCTGCCTCATGCCAAAAAAGATTTTTGGCAAAAAAGAGGTTCCAACTAGGCAATCAAAATTAGTGTGAGGAAGTCAGGAAGATGATCATTGCTTTGGTCTTGAACATTCCTAGTTTGAGTGGGTCTCATAACCTTGAAAATCATGGGGCCCAAGAAAGTCTGATGCCAAGCTCAATATCATAGGGGCAGGAAATTATACTCTTAAAATTGGAGTAAATATAATTGATCAATGATTTAATCTACTCAGGTACAGTAAGATCTTATGTAGGCAGTCAAATACATAGGTTTCACCTTAAAGAAGAAACATATTTGTATTTCTCTGTGTATGATTGATGTTGGTTGGTATTTCCTAAAGTGAATAGAATAGAATGAGAAGAAAAGAACCTTGAGGAATTCTAACCTCTGTTAAACAAGTAGATGATGGGGACCTACAAATGAACAGAGCAATTGTGGGCAGAAATGTTGGACAAAACTAGGAATATATATATCACCAAAGCCAAGGGAAGGAAGTGTTTCAACCAGGAAGTGGAGATCAAGATAAAAACCAAGAGTTCTGATTGTTATTGAGCCTGTAAATACAATGAAGTCTAAAATTAACTATTTGATTATATGGCTTATATGTAAAAATATCTCCTAACATCCAGCATTTCCTTAACTGTAAATATAACTTTTTGGCTTATGGTATTTACTGCCTTTTTTTTTCAGGTAACACTACCTATTTTCTATAATTGCTATGCTGAATTTTTGTAACTTTGTTGTTTTTATCTGATGGATAGATAAGGAAGGCAGGTAATTTAAAAAGTAATCTATAAATAAAGATGAAAGGCCTGTTCATATAATTTAGAGATATTTATAATGCTTACTGGCAGGTGCTATGAAATATGCCAAGAATCCACTAGAAAGATATATAAGAAGTTTGAAATTGTTTTTATGATGCTGAAAAGAGGCTGAAATTTTAAAATATTGAAAATATGTTGGAATAATGAATAATAAATATTATCTTTCAATATTCTGGAATAAGAGTCTTCAAAACTACTTGGATTGAAACACCATTATGCACTGTGATGGTTTAAATGTTTTTCCTCTTCAACACTCATATTGAAATTTAATTGCCATTGTAAAGATATTGGGAAGCCTGTGATTTTTTTTTTTTTTTTCAAGACAGAGTCTCACTTTGTCTCCCAGGCTGGAGTGCAGTGGCACAATCTCAGCTCACTGCAACCTCTGCCTTACAGGTTTAAGCAATTCTCCTGCCTCAGCCTCCCGAGTAGCTGGGATTACAGGCGTGCACCACCACACCTGGCTAATTTTTGTCTTTTTAGTAGAGATGGGGTTTCACCATGTTGGCCCGGCTGGTCTTGAACTCCTGACCTCAGGTGATTCACCCACCTCAGCCTCCCAAAGTGCTGGGATTACAGGCATGAGCCATAGTGCCCGGATCTTTTGCCTATCTTGAATTGTGCCTTGAGACTCACCCATGTGGATGAGACTATGGACAATAGACTTTTGAGCTGATTCTGGAAGGAGTTAAGACTTTTTGGTCTTTTGGGATGGAATGGATATATTTTGTGAGATGGACATGAGTTATGGTGGGCTGGAGGCAGGATACCACGATTTGAATATTTACTGCAAAACTCATGTTGAAATTTAATTGCCATTGTAACAGTATTAAGAGGCTTAGCCTTTAAGTGATGATGACGTCTTTATTCTTATGGGGATGCTTGGTGCCATTATGATAGGGCAAGTTTGGCTCACTCTTGCTCTAGCTTTCCCTCTCGCCTCTGCCATGTATCTACGCAGCAAGAAGTCCCTCACCAGATGCTGGCACCATGATATTAGACTTCTCAGCCTCCAGAACTGTGAACCAACAAATTTCTGTTTATTATAAGTTACCCAGTGTCAGGTATTCTGCTATAGCAGCATAGAACTAACTAAGACATGGGCTTATATTAAATCTTCATGTATTTCCTTGAATTGAAATTTCGTAAGCCCATGGTCTGAAAGGTCTCTTGCAACAGCACTTATTTCAGGCTAACCCTGAAGCCTTTGCATGATTAGAAAGAAAATACTTGGGCTAATCTCAGTGTTTCTCCATTCATATTCTCTACTTCCTATTAGTAATTGATGAATCACTTATCCACTATAATTCGAGCAGAAGTTGGCTTTATATGAAAGAAGAAGAAATTTGCTGATCTTTGAGTTTGCCACTGTTATTTCAATAGCTGAATACTATGTTCACTTTTGGACTAGATCTACCCATTAATTAACTTGGTTTTACACCATTGAAACCATAGCTTCTAAGACCAATGTAGAATCAGGCTTTTCCAAGAAAATATATATGGCCAAGAACTACTAACCTCTGAGTAAGTGAAATTGAGGACATTCATGCAGAGTTGTGTAATTGTGTACTGCACTAGGCCCCACATCTAAGTGTGAGTCATTCACGTTGTAGACATCATAGATGTGTATATTGATTATGAAAAATTTCCTGGAACATGGCAGTAAAGTATCATTTTAAGAAAATCAATACATTATGCAAATTTTCCTATAAGTGGAAGTGAAGTATCTGGAGATAGGGATGCTTTTTAGTAATTTTTACAAATGTACCATATGAGCCACTGGTAACCCTGAGTACCTTCAAATGACTCAGTAGCGCATGATGTCCACTCAGCCATAAAGCTTTATTTCATAAGAAAGCATGGCCTACTTAGCAATAGAATTCTCTCCAAAAGTCACTCTTATGCTAATCCTGAAAAATACAATTCAACTATCACCACAAAAAAGATTCCGGAAAAAAAGTACCTATATTGTTACAACCCTAAGCATACCCTTTTTAGTTGCTAATCATTGGAAGAACAATTATACCACATACTTACATTTAAAAATGAGAAACTCAGAGCAATTTAAATGGCAAGCTTCCAGTTCTACAAAAATTATAAAACTATAAAATTGACTGACCTAAACTAAATGACTCAGTAGAGTGGCTGAGGAAAGGACAGTAGGAAAAAAGGTCCCTCACCACCCTCTGATGTTTCTTTCTTGGTTGCACGCTAGTAGTCAGATGCTAGATCAATATTAGCCATTTAGCAGTGTGTTAAGAGATGTGGCTTAGGTGACTGATACTGTACACAACTCACAGCTTATATTTACCTTCACTTGTAGTATTTTATCATTTGGGATGATAGTAGTAGAGTTTTTGTTTAATTAGAGATGCTAGGAATTATTACATAAAGACAAGACATTGAAATAAAAACATATTATAAAAAACATATCAGACATTTAAGTTCAGAGTTGGTAATTGGCAACTTAAGGCGTATTTGAAAGCCAGAGAGCCTCTATGGCAGCTGTAACGTATACAATTTTCTCCTGCAATTGCAGGTTGAACTGTGCTAAAAAACAGGCCAGGATTCATATTTTAATACTGGCCCAGTGACAAAAGAAGCTTTATTTGAAAATTTTCATGTTTTCTTTGTCCAACTCATGGTTCTTCTAGGGAAAATGGAACCCTGAGACATAGGATTGGAAAATTTGCGTTTTAAAAAAAAACTAAAAAATATTGACTCCAAATTACTTTAAGTTCTTCTGGGTAGCAAAAGTGGCTCCTATGTTTTGCCTAGAGATTGTCTTCTCACCTGAAGCAATGTCTAAGCAAAAGGATGCTTGCTTTCCTTAGGAACTATTCTCACCTCCCTTCCATGAGTTTAGGTCTCAATACAGCCTAAATAGAGAAATTCAAGCTCTATACACCAAAAGGATTTCAGGTCTGGCTAATATTTACTGGCAAAAACTAGAGAAACACATTTGGGAGTGAATCAAGAGAGTTAGGCTGAAGGGAGGAGATTAATATAAGGCGAAATAGATGTGTTAGTTTACTATAGGCGCTGTAACAAACTAACTTAATAACAGTGATTTAAAATAACATAGATGTGCCATCTTAGTATCCTGTAGGTCAAATGTCTAAAATGCATCAGCAAGGCTGTGTTCACTCTGGAGGCCCTGGGAAAGAAAGGATTTCCTTGCTTTTCTAGCTTTTAGAGGCTACCCACATTCCTTGGTTTGTTCTTCCTTCCTTGAATTGTTCCAACCTCTCCTTCAGTTGTCCTATCTTCTATTCTGACCCTCACTCTCCTGCCTCCCTCTGACCCTGTGATAACATTAGTCCTAATTGGATAATATCCCCATCTCAAGCTCCTCAACATAAACACATCTAAAATGCCCCCTATCCATGTAAGTTAACATGTTTGTTCACAAGCTACAAGAATTAGGACACGGACACATTTAGGGAGCTATTATTATGCTTACCACAATAGAAGAGAATTATTAACATAGGAGAGAATTATTAACACAAACTCTCCCATGTTTTAGAATTCGATGTTTTGCAAGGATACTTGGAACTCATTCTAATGATATTCTGGGATAGCCCTGAAATATAGTCATAACTGTTTCTACAGTAAACAAAGTAAAGATGCCAGAACATGCTGGCATAGTATTAAAGGCAAGTGAACTCAAGTGGTTACATGTATCAATATGGATATCTTAATGCCAGTCAAATAAACTATCACTTGACTGTGCTCTACAGGAGGGTCCAGAGAACATTTTCTTCACTAATGTGCTAAGAAAGCCATTGATGATGTGGACACCTGCATTTCTGAGAATCTCAGTAATGGCTTTCCTTTGTAGGTCTGTGTTTTCAGTGGAAGAAACTGCTGTGCAACTGAGTTTTCTATTATCAGCAGGAATGCTTGGATCCCTAAATGGCAGAGGCCAAGTATCAGTACTTAAACATGAAAGGTAGGATGGTCATTACTGCCACTATAGAAGTCAAGGCTACAGTGACAATCAATATGCTACAACTGTCAATAATATTTGGTAGTAGCTAACAGGCCATGGTATTCCTAGAAGACAACTAGACAGCTGTTTAGGGTATTGATCAAATTATATAATCAGAGAAATGTTAAGAGCTAAGTAGCAGAAGACTGACATCGAATTCCAGAATGGAAAATCAGGATTCCTAACTTAGGTCCCAGATTTCTACCAGTTCACAGATCCAGAGACTGCCATTTGGAATGAGCTTGGGTTGCCTTGAGGAAGGACCCTGAAAATCCTCCACAATTACATATTGTAAATGTTATTCTACTACCTCTCCTAGGAGTCCTGCAGCAAACCATAGGTTAACAGTACAATAAAGAAAAGTAAATACTCAGAATTTTCAGGGACGGTTAGATATAAGGTCTTATGACACTGATAGCAGGAGACACAAAATGGCACTATGGTTTTAAGTTACAGTGGGCATTAGAGGCCAAGTAATGTTGTGGGACTTTTCCTTAGTTTAGCGAAAGATGGGGTCCTTGTCACATAGCTACAAAAATTTAGGCTTGCAGATGATTTGAAGGGTGAGAAAGGCTGGGTTTTATTGGGTGAAAAGGAAAATAAGGGGAAACGGGGACTCTCTGCATAGCCAGAGTTCCCCTAGTGTGCTTCCCACCTTGCAGCTTGAATTCCAGGTCCCACCCAGGAAGAGGAGGGGCCAGGCTCCTCCCCACTGCAAATGGGCAAACTTCTGTGGCTCTACCCCAGTGTGGGCTCTTCCCAGTGCATAGACCAGTTAGAGTTCTGCCAGGGAGCCATTTCCACCTGGCTGTCTCAGTAATAAATGGAGTTTTGGTCTGAGTCAGTTGGTTAAAGAGATCCATGGACCAACACTGTAATTATTTCTCTGTTACCTGGATATATAATGGGCACAGACACCTTCAGCAGTGGGTAGAACATTATTCACATTGCTTCCCTAATGAGTAAAGGTGATTGTGGCAGGAGGAGCCAAATGGAAGCTTTGAATATGTTTATTATTTTCATCATCAAAGTTTTAAACTGAAGGGGAGGAAAAAAATTCTTTTCCTTCTACCCTTCTAAGTCTTTAGCTGGGATCCCTCTAATAAAAGACAGATTAGCTACAGAAAAACAAACAAGTTTATTAACATATTTATCTCATATGTACATGGGAAACACCCAAGAAAATTAGTAACTTGAAGAGGTGGCTTAGGGCTCTGACTTATACAGCATCTTTAACAAAAGACAATACATTTGTAGAAAATGACAGGACAAGGAAAAGTGAATTTAGGCTTCTAAGAGTGGCAAACTGTGAGAAGGGAAATATATGACAGCGAACTGATGGAATACGGTTTGCTTGCAGATTTCTCTAGTGCCATATTGAAACTGCCTTTGCAAAATTATGACTGAGACAGTGAAAGAGATCTAACTTAAATGACTCCATCTTGCTTCTAACCTCCATGCTGTCTTTGTTCATTCCTGGACGTAGGCTGAACTAACTTTGGGAGTAGTTTGTAGTTTATACTTTAAACAAAGACGGTAACAGCCCTTTCCCAAAGCAGACCTCCTTTTTGCCTGCGGACTAGACTAACACAGGATCAGAATTTATGTTTTAGGAGTCAGGTAGCTGGAGGCTACAAGATTCTGACCCTCCCTAAACTGCTCCTAAGATCAGTGCTTGAGATATTTTACAGACTCTGCACTTGATAGATCAGCTGGCACCACCCAGGTTATCTGATCTCTTGGCCGCCACCGCCACCGAGGAACTGACAAGAAGACAGCTTCCACTCCTGATGATTTCATCCGTGACCAATCAGCACTCCTGGCTCATTGGCTCCCCCTACCTCCACCCACCAAGTTATCCTTAAAAACTCTGCTCCCTGGCCGGGCGCAGAGGCTCACACCTGTAATCCCAGCACTTTGGGAGGCTGACGTGGGTGGATCACAAGGTCAGGAGACGGAGACCACCCTGGCTAACACGGTGAAACCCCGTCTGTACTAAAAATACAAAAAAAAAAAAAAAAAAAAAATTAGCCAGGCATGGTGGCGGGCGCCTGTAGTCCCAGCTACTGGGGAGGCTGAGGCAGGAGAATGGCATGAACCCAGGAGGCGGAGCTTGCAGTGAGCCGAGATCGCACCACTGCACTCCAGTTTGGGTGACAGAGCGAGACTGTCTCAAAAAAAAAAAAAAAACCTCTGCTCCCCAAATGCTTGGGGAGACTGACTTGGGTAATAATAAAACTCGGATCTCCCGCACAGCCAGCTCTGAATAAAATTACTCTTTCTCTATTGCAATTCCTCTGTCTTGATGAATGGGGCTCTGTCTAGGCAACAGGCAAGGTGAACCCACTGGGCGGTTACAATATCTCTGGACTGATAAGAGTCTGGAGTCTTCTCTATTAAGAGATAATATATATCCTGCCTTTAGGCATAAAAGGGGGAGGATAGAGAAAGCGTTTCCTGCATTTGCAGCATCTTAATTGCTTTTAGCTCAAAATAATTTTTATGTCAAAGAGGCATATGTTGGGGTGATACATTCTGGTTTCCTTTAATACCATAAGTAATTATTTATTCAGGTAAGAATTAAAGAGATGAAAACCACCATCAAAAATGCACAGGAAGTCGTCCTTATTCATCTGGCCTTTGTGAAAACAGATGGTTCAAGGTGGATGATGGTGCCCTACCATAAATTTAAACTGCGTGTCAGGGTCTAGGATTTTACCCTTCTTACAAGCTAGTGTGAGCCTGTTAATATTTAATTAATGCTAACAGAAAACATGAAACTCCTCAGTCAGAGACAAAATACCTTTTTATTAATGACACAGAAAGCTGCAGGGGCATTATGTTGGGCTGGTTTCCCCTGCTTCCAAGTCCTCAGGAGCAATGCAGAGTGGCTTAGGTGAATGTTGTGTATGCGGTGAATTTGCATCGCGATGGAGAAGCACAGAGATGGGGAGATGTAATGTCCAGAGGGAGACATTATCTCTTCCCTCAAAGTTACTTATTGGAAATTGTGCCCTGACAAATGGCCCAGGAAGGTATGTCTGGTGAGGACCTTTCATTCTTAGCATATCCAGAAAGAACATTCAGGGACACTTAATTCCAATGGCAGATTGCCTCTCTTAACATAGTGGAAGCTCCAATCACAGACGCCGTGTCAGATGTAATATTTTCAACAGAACATATCAACACAGCCTCTGGCACTTAGTACGTGGCCTTTTATCTGGCAACTGCTTTTTTCTCCATAACCATCATCAGTGAGGATTAAGAACAGTTTGCACTTAAATGGCAAGAATAGCAGCACACATTCACTGTCTTGCCCCAGGGCTATGCTACTTCTGCTGTCTTTCATAATGAAGTATATAGAGACCTCAGTAATCTTGATAGTCTAAAGAAAATCATGCTGGTCCACCCAATTCATGACATTGTGCTAATTAAACCTGGTAACTGGAAAATTATAATTCTCCTAAATGTTCCATAAAGGTACATGTATACCACGAAGTGGAGGATAAACTCCATCAACATTCAGGAGAAGGCCATACCAGTAGAGGGTATCAGTCATGCAGGGATATCTCCCTATAAGGCAAAGAGAAAGTTGCCATACTTTGCGACTATTACCATTAGGATACAAGAGATAAGTGGTTAATTTCGGAAGGCCACATTTACCTCCCTTAAAAATAGTTATAACAGAGAGACCATTGCAGCTTTTAACACGCTGCATCTTTTTTCCCTGTTCCCAGCCCTTCCTCTGGTTAAAAGAAAAACCTGAAACAATTTAAATTGAACAGAGTTTAATTGGTAAAAGAGAAATTTGTGAATTGCGCAGCCCCTGAAACGGGACAGATTTGTTACCGGAAAGCGGTTCCAGATCCAGACCCCAGGACAGGATTCTTGGTTTTTGCACATAAAAGAACTCAAGGAGAATCCATAAAGTGGAAGCAGTTTATTAAGAAAGTAAAGGAATAAAAGAATGGCTATTCCATTGGTCAGTCTTGTGGGCTGCTCAGCTGATTATACTTATCGTTATTTCTTGATTATATGCTAAACAGGGGTGGATTTTTCATGAGTTTTCTGGGAAAGAGGTGGGCAATTACTGGAACTGAGGGTTTCTCCACCTTTTAGACCATATAGGGTAACTTCCTGACGTTGCCATGGCATTTGTAAACTGTCATTGTGCTAGTGGGAGTGTCTTTTCGCATGCTAATACATTATAATTAGCATATAATGAGCAGTGAGGATGACCAGAGGTCACTTTAGTGGCCACCTTGGTTTTGGTGGATTTCGGTTGGCTTCTTTACTGCAATCTGTTTTATCAGCAAGGTCTTCGTGACGTGTACCTTGTGCTGACTCCCTATCTCATCCTGTGACTAAGAACACCTAGCCACCTGGGAATGCAGCCCAGTGGGTCTCAGCCTTCCTTCACCCAGTCCCATTCAAGAGAGAGTTGCTCTGGTTCAAATGCCTCTGACGGGCTGAGAGAGGCTCCAGGGCTACCACCTGGTTTGAGAAGGTTTATGAACAGAAAAAGGAAAGGAAGAAAAAAGAAAGTGCCCTACAGAAAACAGAAATGAGGTACAAAAACAGCAGATTGGTGACAGCTTGGAATTTGCCTTACTTGAACCTGGTTTGAACAGTTGGCTGCCTTTGATTGGCTGAAACTCAGTGATAGGCACAAGGGTAGGTTACAGTCGGTTCACACCTCCAGTTAGGTTACAGTTCACAATGTACCTTTAAGACATCTCAAGAGGCAGCTTTAGGCTAAACTTAACATTTTTTCCTTCCACTCTCACTTTCCTCCTCTGCAGCTCTTTTGTTTGTTCATTTTTTCCTGAGCCCCAGTCCATTTTGGATTTGGGGCTTGTAATGGACAAAGCCAGGGCTTGGGGAGCCAGTACGGCTCAGAGAGCACAGATGACTTGAGAAACCTACAGGTCTTCCCCTGGGGGTCCAGACTGGATATCATAAGATTCCAGGGTTATCAGCCAAAGCTGGCTCATATGACCTTGGGGTCACGTGCCAGACTTGGATAGGTACAAAAGCAGGACCGGATTCCAGGAGAACCACGGAACCCGGAAGCAGACCAGCCTGCTGGTGCCTGCTCTCGCGAGGCCCTGCAGACCCACATGACAGCGAGGGGCGGAGCAGTGCTGCTCATGTCTGCCCTCCTGGCCAAGAAGAGACTCCTTGGGCCGGCGAGGCAGCTGCAGGCCGTCTCAGTCCCTGGGATGCTGCCGCCCGGGAGAGCTGCCCTCGCACTCAGCTGCCTGCCGGGTCCACAGGCTCCTCCTCAGGACTCCTGCATTTTCCCCTGGCCCTGGCTTCCACAGAGCTTCCCGCATTGCCCCAGGCCCCAGACCGCATCCTGTTTCTGGTGGAAATGGCAGCGGGACTCCTGCAGAACTTGGCAGTGGCCCCAGTGAACTCAGACAAACGAGACTGTAAGAACGAGATTTGCCATTTGCTACAGACGTGCTAAATAGCAGCTCTCGTGGTAAAGAGAACGCTTCTGACCCGGGCCTGATGATTGCTTTTGTCACAAGAAGTGCAAGTTACTGTGTCCAACTGCTGAATTTTATTTGTAACTTATCAGACGCACTTATTTTCCCCAGTGCCAGCGCCAAGGAATCAAGAATCCATAGCTGACAGGAAAGCAAACGGATAAAAATACAGTTGGGTTAATGGCAACCAGGTCTACATGAATAAAGTAATTATGCTCTGTGATGTCACCGTCCAGGCATACCTTTCTTTTCTTTTTCCTTTTTTGAGGCAAGGTCTTGCTCTGACACCCAGGCTGGAGTGCAGTGGCGTGATCATGGCTCACTGCAACCTCTGCCTCCCCAGTTCAAGTCACCCTCCCACCTCAGCCTCCGGAGTAGCTCCGGCTACAGATGGATGCCACTATTGTGTCCGGAATTGGTGGGTTCTTGGTCTCACTGACTTCAAGAATGAAGCCGCGGACCCTCGCAGTGAGTGTTACAGTTCTTAAAGGCAGCGTGTCCTGAGTTTCTTCCGTCTGATGTTCGGATGTGTTCAGAGTTTCTTTCTTCTGGTGGGTTCGTGGTCTCGCTGGCTCAGGAGTGAAGCTGCAGACCTTTGCAGTAAGGGTTACAGTTCATAAAGACAGTATGGACCCAAAGAGTGAGCAATAGCAAGATTTATTGCAAAGAGCGAAAATACAAAGCTTCCACAGTTTGGAAGGGGACGAAAGCGGGTTGCCACTGCTGGCTCAGGCAGCCTGCTTTTATTCTCTTATCTGGCCCCACCCACATCCTGCTGATTGGTCCATTTTACAGAGAGCCGATTGGTCTGTTTTACAGAGAGCTGATTGGTCCATTTTGACAGGGTGCTGATTGGTGCGTTTACAATCCCTGAGCTAGACACAAAAGTTCTCCGTGTCCCCACTAGATTAGCTAGATACAGAGTGTCCACTGGTGTATTTACAAACCCTGAGCTAGACACAGAGTGCTGATTGGTGCATTTACAAACCTTGAGCTAGATACAGAGTGCCGATTGGTGCATTCACAATCCCTTAGCTAGACATAAAGATTCTCCAAGTCCCCACCAGATTAGCTAGATACAGAGTGCCGATTGGTGCATCCACAAACCCAGAGCTAGACACACGGTGCTGATTGGTGTGTTTACAAACCTTGAGCTAGATACAGAGTGCTGATTGGTGTATTCACAATCCCTTAGCTAGACATAAAGATTCTCCAAGTCCCCACCAGATTAGCTAGATACAGAGTGCCAATTGGTGCATCCACAAACCCTGAGCTAGACACAGGGTGCTGATTGCTGTGTTCACAAACCTTGAGCTAGACACAGAGTGCTGATTGGTGCACTCACAATCCCTTAGCTAGACACAAAAGTTCTCCAAGTCCCCAGTAGACTCAGGAGTCCAGCTGGCCTCACCCAGTGGCTCAGGCATGGCGGGCTGCAGGTCCCAAGCCCTGCCCCGCGGGGAGGCAGCTACTAAGGCCTGGCGAGAAATCCAGCACAGCCCCAGTGGGCTGGCACTGTGTCCGGAATTGGTGGGTTCTTGGTCTCACTGACTTCAAGAATGAAACCGTGGACACTTGCGGTGAGTGTTACAGCTCTTAAGGTGGCGCCTCTGGAGTCTGTCCCTTCTGATGTTCAGATGTGTTCTGAGTTTCTTCCTTCTGGTGGGTTCGTGGTCTCGCTGGCTCAGGAGTGAAGCTGCAGACCTTCACAGTGGGTGTTACAGCTCTTAAGGCAGCGCGTCTGGAGTTGTTCGTTCCTCCCGGTGGGCTCGTGGTCTCGCTGGGCTCAGGAGTGAAGCTGCAGATCTTCGCAGTGAGTGTTACAGCTCATAAAAGCAGCGTGGACCCGAAGAGTGAGCAGTAGCAAGATTTATTGCAAAGAGCGAAAGAACAAAGCTTCCACAGTGTGGAAGGGGACCTGAGCGGGTTGCCAATGCTGGCTCGGGCAGTCTGCTTTTATTCTCTTATCTGGCCCCACCCACATCCTGCTGATTGGTAGAGCCGAGGGGCCTGTTTTGTCAGGGCGCTGATTGGTGCGTTTACAATCCCTGAGCTAGATACAAAGGTTCTCCACGTCCCCATCAGATTAGTTAGATACAGAGTTTCGACACACAGGTTCTCCAAGGCCCCACGAGAGCAGCTAGATACAGAGTGTCGACTGGTGCATTCACAAACCTTGAGCTAAACACAGGGTGCTGATTGGTGTGTTTACAAACCTTGAGCTAGATACAGAGTGCTGATTGGTGTATTTACAATCCTTGAGCTAGACATAAAGGTTCTCTGCTTCCTCACCAGAGCAGCACTTCCTCACCAGAGCAGCTAGATACAGAGTGTCGATTGGTGCACTCACAAACCTTGAGCTAAACACAGCGTGCTGATTGGTGTATTTACAATCTGTGAGCTAGATATAAAGACTCTCCATGTCCCCACCAGACTCAGGAGCCCAGCTGTCTTCACCTAGTGGATCCCGCACCAGGGCTGCAGGTGGAGCTGCCTGCCAGTCCTGCGCCATGCGCTGGCATTCCTCAGCCCTTGGATGGTCGATGGGACTGGGCGCCGTGGAGCAGGGGGTGGCGCTCGTCGGGGAGGCTCCGGCCGCACAGGAGCCCATGGAGTGGGTGGGAGGCTCAGGCATGGCGGGCTGCAGGTCCTGAGCCCTGCCCCTTGGGAAGGCAGCCAAGGCCCGGCGAGAAATCGAGCGCAGCGCCGGTGGGCGAGCACTGCTGGGGGGACTCAGTACACCCTCCGCGGCCACTGGCCCGGGTGCTAAGTCCCCCATTGCCCGCAGCCGGCAGGGCTGGCTGGCTGCTCCGAGTGCGGGGCCCACCAAGCCCACCCCCACCTGGAACTCCAGCTGGCCCGCAAGTGCCGCACACAGCCCCGGTTCCCACTCGTGCCTCTCCCTCCACACCTCCCTGCAAGCTGAGGGAGTGGGCTCCGGCCTTGGCCAGCCCAGATAGGGGCTTCCACAGTGCAGTGGGGGACTGAAGGGCTCCTCAAATGCCACCAAAGTGGGAGCCCAGGCAGGGGAGGTGCCGAGAGCAAGCGAGGGCTCTGAGGACTGCCAGCACACTGTCACCTCTCAGCATAGCTGGGGGGACCCGGTGTACCCTCCGCAGCTGCTGGCCTGGGTGCTAAGCCCCTCACTGCCTGGGGCCAGCGGGCCCACCGGCCGCTCCCAGTGCGGGGCCCGCCAACCTCATACCCACGCGGAACACTAGCTGGCCGGCAAGTGCCTCGTGCTGCCCTGGTTCTCAACCCTGCCTCTCCTTCCACACCTCCCCACAGGCTGAGGAAGCCGGCTCCAGCCTTGGCCATCCCAGGAAGGGGCTCCCACAGTGCAGCAGCGGGCTAAAGGGCTCCTCAAGCGTGGCCAGAGTGGGCGCCAAGGCCGAGGAGGTGCCAAGAGTGAGCGAGGGCTGCCAGCACGCTGTCACCTCTCACTATGGCTGCTAATTTTTAAAATTTTTGTAGAGAAGGGGTTTCATCATGTTGCTCAGGCTGGGCTAGAACTCCTAGCCTCTGGAAGTGCTGGGATTACAGGCGTGAGCCACTGTGCGGGCCTAAGCATAACTTTCAAATAATAACTCCAGCAAGAGAGAGACATGCAGTAAGCATGGTGAAACAAGCACCTCAGTTTAAATCCCCCAAATCCTTCACTATGGCCAGTGCCAGAGAGCCTTTCTATAGGAATACAATGTGAGCAGCTTCAGTGGGGCATATCTGCCGACCAGCCTGGGGTTAGAGCTGAGCACTACCTGAGTGAGTGGCAAGTTGACTGTAACAAGAGATTCAATATCAGCCACTATCAATGAGAGTTGTAACTCAGGTGGTGATTCTGGAACTGTGTCACTCTTCTAGTCTTCCATTTTGGAATGAATGCAAGGTCTACCTCGTTTTTCATACAAGGAATTCTGCTGAATTCAACTCTTCCCAATGCCAGAGACCCCAATTTAAAGCTGTGACTCACTGGCAGCACTTTAAGCCGCTACTGGAAATTCTTATAGAGTGAGGAAGATATTCAACTGACAAAGGCATTTTCAGTCATCATATTTTGTGGGTCCAGGCTTTCAAGTGTGAAGGTGAAAATTTTGGATATGTGGAAGAATATCAGCTGGATAAAAATAATACGCTGGTCTACATCGCAGTTTGCAGGCCCTGGCAAGACTGGACCTGTCGTCCAGATGGTTTACCTCATGGTCAGGAAGAAGAGTCATGCTGGCCCTCAGATGATTTAACACCCCCACTGTGGGCCATCCTCACAGATCAAAAGCAGTGGCAAGAGTTCCACATTCACTTCTCTGAGGTTAAATTGGTGTTGATAGGGAAGCATGCTTTCTCTTAAACTGTTTTTCAAATTTTATCTAACATGAATGAAATTCATCTTGCAACATTTGTAGTGCACAAAAGAGTAGCTATCGGAATGACCTGTGTTACTTTTGCTAACTGGGTTAAATATTTTGCTAGCTGGTTAAACGTTAATATTTACCAACATGGAACTCTAAGGGAGGATAAGTAAGAGTGCTTTTCTAAATTGGCACTGGCTCCACTGTAATTGGACTTTTCGAGATTTTTGTGTTTGGTTTCTTTATTCTTTACTCAGGTTTAAACCTTAGGAAGGGAAATCTTTGGTCTTAATACTTGTAAGTGATGAAGATTAGTTAAATGTTATGCTGACATATTTAAGAAATTTAAGATAATAGAGAAACAGTCTGACCCAAGAAAATGAAAATATGAAATGTTTAAATTAAGCTTTGAAAACCAGGTCAGGCCTGGCCCACATGGAATGAACAGTTAAGCATTTTAGCATTACAAAGCTAATTGGGCATATCCTTTGATATTTTTGATGCTCTACCATTTAAGAGCTGGTACTTTATAAAATATAAAAATGGGTGGTATTTTTATTTCTTTTGTAAAGTGATTTTTCAGTGTTCTGTTTGAAGTTTAGGGTGATCCTATTTCTATATAATACAATAATAGATTTCACTCTATTGATCTATCTACTTACAGCTTGGTTGAGGTTGTACATTCTAAGGATCAGTTCACATATGATACCTTGCCTGTAACAATGCTAATACAAAGTCTCTTTGCTAAAAAATTACTTCTGTGATACTTTTTTTGGATTAATAGATGCATTCAAGTTTTACATGAGGCCTAGAGCAAGAGAGAGTACTATAGCAAGTTCAAGCTATGGTTCAAGATGCTCAGAGAATAGATTATGATCTAAGAGATTGAATTGGGCTGGGCCTGATGGCTCAGCCTATAATCACAGCACTTTGGGAGGCTGAGGCAGATGGATCACTTGAGGTCAGGAGTTTGAGACCAGCCTGGCCAACATGGTGAAACCCGGTTTCTACTAAAAATACAAAAAAAAATTGCTGGGCATGGTGGTGTGCCTGTAATCCCACCTATCGGGAGGCTGAGGCAGGAGAATTGCTTGAACTCAAGAGGTAGAGGTTGCCGTGAGCCCAGATTGTGCCATTACACTCCAGCCTGGGCGACAGAGCAAGACTCAGTCTCAAAAAAAAAAAAAAAAAAAAAAGAAAGAAAGATTGGATTGTGCTGAAGATAAGTGTTATACCTGTAAATGTGAGTGACAGCACAGACCTCTAGAGTTCTCAAGCAGAGCCATACCCTCCATGGTACAAAGTAACTTTCCATTTAGAAAACATCTCTTAATGTGCTACTGGTCATTGATAGAACCTGACAACTGACAATGGGACATGGGGCAGAGCCTATGCAATCAAAATTTTGTGGCATGAGCTGGATATTATTAGATCCACTAATTCATAAGGACAGGTGATAGTTGAACAATCCATTAGATGAAGGACGTGAGTATTTGGAACTAGCTTGAGTTGTTTTAGGAGGAGTAAGTAAATTACATGAACAAGTGACTTAGACTCCCATGTTACCACCTTTGTGGTTCAGTTCATACCTGGGGCTTGCTGAGATTCCTCATGACCAAATAACTGAGGAGGAGTCTTGGTTCTTATTTACAAATGAATCTGTATGAGATATTAGAGCTAGCTAGCCAGAAATAAACTGCTACCATATCACACTCCCAAAGTAAGGCTGAAAGGTCAGTGGTGAACGGAAATCTTCTCTGTGGGCAAAGGTTGGTCTTCCAGTTGATACGGAAGAAAGGCAGCCTTAGGTAAACACACTTCAAATGCGAAATGGCTTGGTGAGTTGTTTTGAAGCCTAAAGAAACAAACCTGAAAAATCTGTCAATAGCAGAGATTGATGCTGAGCCCCTCATATATCACTGTTGCTCAGTCTAGAGTTTAGTTACTTGGCTAAGGTTGGTTTCTTAGTTTTCACAAATGCAATGTGATAAGATAGTAGTAACTAAAATTGGGTGAAGGTCATATAGGAACTCTCTGTACTATCGTTGTAACTTGTCTGTAAATCTAATATTCCAAAATAAATAGTTTATTACAAAAGAGTCAATGGCATGAATAAAATGAGAATAAACCTCATTTAGTGAAAATATCTGTTCTTTTCAAGATAAGTATGATTCAAGTACTGAGAAGGCCCATTGGAAAATTTCCTTTTACTTTTTCATCTTTTAAAAATTTCTGTTTGGTTAGCCAAGCACTGTTTAACCAAGAGTTGTCATGATTTAAATATATCAGTCCATACATTTAGATATCCAAACATTTTTTTCTTGATATTAGGTTCTATTCTAAAAAATAATATTTTCATCAAAATGTGCATCAAAACAACCTAGTTAAATAGATCTGAATATTTCTGAGAGAAGAGTAGAAATAAGCTCAATATAGCATTGATTTCACTATGCAATATTGAGCATATTATCCTCAAATGTATATTTTTATGCTGTCAATGAAATGAAATAAATGTATATTTTTATGCTGTCAAAGAAAAGAAATAAATGTATATTTCTATGCTGTCAATGAAATGAAACCAAAACAAAACAAAATAATACACTCATTATTTTTGGCACACAGTCCTCCTCTACTGCTTTCTTTCTGACTGTCAAATGCAGCAAAGAAGAACTGACTAAACCTGAGTAAATTCTGATTATATTGTGTGGGTGAGGGAAAAAATTCTAGAGTTGGGAAACTTGGATTCTGTGTTTCGAATAAATCACAAAACCTTGTTTAATATGGGTGTCTTCATAATATAGTACCTATCTCATAAGCTTTATGACCAGGTCTAAAAGTTAATGCATAAATTATTTGTAACGGTGCCTAACATCTAAGACAGCGCCCTAGAAATATAATTTAATGTTTTTGGAAATCCATTGTAACCAAATCCACTATTACTTAGAGTCTGCCAATTCTGTCTATACAAAGACCACCAAGAACATATCTGTACCTGAAAAAGTTGGGTTTATTGTTTATTGCAGAGAGAGAAGATGCATTCCATGGGGTTGGGCAACAGTTTTCAAATCTAGTACTCTTTTCACAGCATCTTGCTGACTAGATGGTATTTAGAAGTGCATGCTTCAGTTGCACCATGATGTTTAAAGAACTCTTCAAGCTGCCACCTGAAAACTGTCCTTGGAATCAGATGTAGAGTTGAGTCTGTTACACACCTGAAGTAGGATGTGTGTGTTAAAATCATGAGTATGGGACAGACGTGATCCTGCTTAACTGGTAGATACAGAAATCTTAGAGTTTCAGCATATGAACTCTTGTAGATACAAGCAACTCTGAACACCAGAGCAAAAACATGAATTCTGCCCTGCCCCAAGAGGGGTGGTAAATGACATGTCTATAGTGCTTCTTTGCTTAAGAATTGAAGAGCTGTATTTGCTATTTACAGGACGTAATGAATGACAGTTGGGAAACTTCTCTTTTAACCCTTTAAGTCTGTTGCATAGAAGTCAGCCCTTCTGATAACTTCTATTTTCCATTCCCTTGTTCCTCACTTTCTCTTTGATAGTCATTTTCTAATCACTCCCATTGTTGTTAGGTGGCTATTGATTTTCCAGTGATGACAATCTTTAAACAGTAGTTTACTTTCCCCAGGCTTTAGGTCATTCTGGAGCTATGTCCACCTATGTGAGCCCAGTACATATTTCACATGCCAGAGCTCTAAGTAAACTCTAAATAACAGAATATATGATGAGTGAAAATGTGCTCACAAGTAGCCTCACTCAGTGAATATGTAAGTACTAAAAGGGACTTTCTGGAGGCTTTGGCTTAAAACAGTGACTGTACTGAAGGGAATTTCAGACAGAATAGGAAACAATGGGCTATTTTGAAACAGATATGATCTTGTGCCGCCTCATGGATTCTCACATCCTCCAACTGCTGATAAGATTGTGATTAAATATTTTCTGTCAAGAAATTGCTGGAGAAAATTGCTGAACCATAACTATACTCCCAAGGCTATGAGGAACAAGCAGCCACCCTGCCGATGTGAATTTGCTTCTGTCTTTATGACATATATCTAATTCTATCTTGAAAGATTTGCTTGAATTGTCTTTTCATCCATTTCTTGATCCCTCTTAATTTTTCTCTCTAAATTACATCTTCATACATGTTTTCTTTCTGAAGAATAAAACATTCACTTATTTCAAGTAGTAAAACCAGTCGAAAAATCTCTCCTTATGTAACTTTTCACACTTGTAACTATTGTCATTCTCTCTAGAAAAACAAAATAGTCTTCTTAGTATTTTTTCTTTATACTCTTGTAGTAATTTTACAAAGTTAGGACTCTGAAAATGATTATGAAAAATGCCTTTCTCTGCCTTGGGGTATATGACTGATAGTGAATATTTACCATAAAACCAGTGGTTTTAATTTATCCACCAGTAACTTCATCTTTAATAATATGAAATTGGAAATGCCGACATTCTGTGGTGACAGTTTTGCTTCAATTGCTATGAGCTCGTATAAGTAATTGAAGAGACTTATAAAGGCAGTTATTTTCTATGTTCATTGTGAAAAATAATATCTAGTAAATGTGGTTTTTCTAATGGCAGCATGATCTCCCAAAAGTAATACTGGAGAAACTTAAAAAGCCAGAGAGAAATTCTGATTTTAGGAAGCAGCCATAATAGTATGAGAAATTCCTGGGGAGATTAAAGACTATCTTAAGCTGGCATATGAAGGGTAGGGTAGTCTGTGGGTAATTGCAGCCGGGGAAGAGGACAGGTTAAGAGGACAGTGAGGGCTTTGATTGGATAACTTTTTTTTTGGTAAACTTAAGGTATAAATTGCCCCCATCGCCTTTTCTCATCAGTTCTCCTGCCTCACACGATAACCGGTGTTCTGATTTTTATCACCATAGATGAGTTTGACCTATTCTTAAACTTAATATACACAGAATTATAAAGTATATATATTTCTCTGCCCGGTTTCTTTTACACAGCATGTCTGTGAGATTCATCCATGTTGTCAAATGTACCTGAGTTTATTCCATTTTATTGCTAGATCATGTTCCATTATATAAATAGAGCACAATATTTTTTTCCCTTTCTCTGGATAGACATTTGAGTTATGTCATGTTTTAGGCTATTATGGATAAACCATGCATGGATATTCTTTTGTGATGCTTTTTGTGGATATAAGCTTTTACTTACAAAGGAAACTGTTTGGAATGGAAATTCTGGGTCATAGTATGGGGCACAATGTATTACATTTTATAAGAAACTTTCAAAGAGTTTTCCAACACAGTTGTACCATTGTTAACATTTATCAGCAATGTATGAGAGTTCCAATTGCTCTACATTCTTTTCAAGATTTGGTATTGATAGTCTTTTTAAACTGAAACGGTATACTGAGGGTGAGGCAATATCTTCTGGTTTTTCATTTTCAATTATCTGATAACTGGATTTGGAGTAGTATCACATGTGCTTATTGGTCATTTATAGAAATTCTTGTTTTTTTTTGAATTGCTAACATCTTTTGCCCACTAAAAAAAATTGAAATGTCTTTTTATTTTCGATTTAAGCCAAGTTTTTAATATTTGTTACTATATACAAATCCTTTTTCAGATATATTTATTGCAAATATTTTCTGCCCATCTGCTGGTTTTCCTTTTCACTTTCTCAACAGAGTTTGGGCAAACAAAAGTTTTTAATTTTGTTGAAGTTCAGTTTATCCATGTTTTCTTAAATGGTCAGTGCTTTTTGTGTCCTATCTTAAATATTTTCTTAAACTTAAAATATTTTCTTCTACATTTTCTTCTAGGTGATTTGGAGTTTTCTTTTTGTTATTTAGGTATACAATGTGACTCAAATTAATTCTTTACTGGTGTGATATATAGCACATTTTTAATACTTTTTTAATATAGATATCTAGTTTTCCCAGCACAATTTGTTCAAAAACTTCTTTTCTCTATTACACTACATGGCTAATTATTTTAAAAGTCAGTGAATCCTAATGCGTTGATGTACCTTTGCAATCTATTCTCTTCTATTGACTGACTCAACAATCCACATTTTAGTACCACATGATTTCAGTGCAGCGCTTTAGAGTGAGTCCTAAAATCAGATCTGCAAATTCTCCAACTTCTTTTTCAAGGCTATCTTTGTCATTACCATGTTGTCGCATTTTCAAACAAATTTTAGAAAAAGCTTTTCAATTTCTACAAAGAAGAAAATACTGGGGATTTAACTGGGGTAGCATATAACCTATAAAACATTTTTAAGAAGAGTTGGCATTTCAGTATTTAGTATTCAATTTCGTGGTATATTTTTATTTATTGCTTTAGTGTATTTAATTTCTTACAACAATGTCCCTAGTCTCCACTGAGGGAGGTTTTTACATCTTTTATTAAAATTATTACTAAAAGTATATGATATATTTTGGTGCTTTTCTAAAGGGCATTATTTATATTTTATCATCTAATTTTTATTTCTTCCATATAGACATAAAACTGATTTTTTTCGTATTTACTTTGTATCTTGAGACTTTGCTAAATTTCTCTATGAGTTCTAGTAAAATAATTTTGTAATTTTCTTTGGAGTACACACCATATTATCCTATAAGAATAATTAGAGTTGTATTTCCTTATTTCCCATCTTGATGCTTTTTTGTTTGTTTGTTTGTTTGTTTGTTTTTCTCTATGGATAGGTTCTGAGTACAGTGTTTAACATGAGTGGTAAGATGGATCCCTTTGTCTTCCAAGCGATTAATATGATAAGACTGATGTATGACTCTAATCAAATATATTTAAAAATTAATACAGGCATATGTGTTTTATTGTGCTTCACTTTATTGTGTCTTTTATAAATTGAAATTCATAGCAACCCTGCATCGAGAAAGTTTATTGACACCATTTTTCCAATGGCATGTGTTCACTTAGTGTCTCCGTGTCACATTTTGGTAATTTCCACATTATTTCAAACCATATATATATATATATGTTAGGGTCATCTGTGATCTTTCATGTTACTATTGGAATTGCTATGGGGCACCATGAACTACCCACATATAAGATGCGGAATAATAAATAAATGTTGTATGTGTTCTGACTGTTACACTGTCCGACTGTTCACTGTCTCCCTCTCCTTGGACATTCCTATTCCTTGAGACACAGCAATATTGAAATTAGGCCAATGAATAACTCTGCAATGGCCTCCACGTGTTTACATGAAGGGAAGGGTCATGTGTCTCATACTTTAAATCAAAAGCTAGTAGTGATTAAGCTTAGTGAGGAAGGCATATCAAAAGCCAAAATAGACTGAAAAGCTAGACCTCTTACACTGAACGGCCAAGTCATGAATACAAAGAAGTTCTTGAGGAAAATTATAAGAGCTACTCCAGTGAACACATGAATTATAAGAACGCAAAACAGCTTTGTGTCTGATACAGAGAAAGTTTTAGCAGTCTGGAAAGAAGATCAACCAGCCACAACATTCCCTTAAGCTAAAGACAAATCCAGAGCAAGACTTGGTCTCTCTTCAATTCTGTGAAGGCTGAGAAAGGAGAGGAAGCTGCAGAAGAAAAGTTTGAAGCTAGCAGAGGTTGGTTCATGAGGTTTAAAGAAAGAAGCCATTTTCATAACACAAAAGAACACGGTGAAGCAGCAAAGGCTGATTGACCTTCTGTAGCAAGTTATCCCAAACATCTAGCTAAGACAATTAATGAAGGTGGCTACATTAAACAACAGATTTTCATTGTATACAATCCCTTCTTCTGTTGGAAGAAGATGCCATCTAGGACTTTCATAGCTGGAGAGAAGGGGACAGTGCCTAGCTTGAAAGCTTCAAAGGGCAGGCTAACACTCTTGCTAGGGGCTAATGTAGCTGGTGACTTTAAGTTGAAGCTAATGCTTAGTTACTATTTTGAAAATCCTAGGGCCCTTGAAAATTACACTCAATCTATTTTGTTTGTGCTTTGTAATTGAAAAAACAAAGCCTGAATGTCAGCATATTTGTTTATAGCATGGTTTGCTAAATATTTTAAGCCCACCATTGAGAACTATTACTCATAAAAAAATTCCTTTCAAAATATTACTATTCATGACAATACACCTGATCACCCAAGATATATGATGGAGATGTACAAGGAGATTAATGTTATTTTTATACCTGTTAACAGAACATCCGTTCTGCAGCCTGTGGATCAGGGAGTAATTTTGACATTCTAATCTTATTATTTAAGAAATATATTTCATAAGGGTATTGCTGCCAAAGATAGTGATTCCTCTCATGGATCTCGGTGAAATAAATTGAAAACCTTTTAGAAAGGATTCAACATTATAGATGCCATTAAGAACATTTTTGACTCATGAAAGGGGGTCAAAATACCAACATTAACAGAAGTTAGAAGAAGTTGAGTCCATCACTCATGGATGACTTTGAGGGGTTCAAGACTTCAGTGGAGGTAGTTAACTGCAGATGTGGTAAAAATAGCAGGAGAACCAGAATTAGAAGTAGAGCCTGTGATGTTTCTGAATTGCTTTAACCTCATTATTTAATTTACTGGACGAGGAGTTGCTTCCTATGGATGGGCAAGAAAGTGGTTCTTGAGGTGGATTCTACTCCTAGTGAAGATGCTGTGAACATTGTTGAAATGACAGCAAAGGATTTAGAATGTTACCTAAATTTAGTTGATAAAACAGCCACAGGGTTTGAGAAGATTGACTCCAATTTCGAAAGAACTTCTGCTATAGGTAAAATACTATCATACAGCATCACATGTTACAGAGAAATCTTTCATGAAAGGAGGAGTCAATCAATGCAGCAAACTTCATTGGTGTCTTGATTTAAGAAATTGCCACAGCCACCTCACCTTCAGCAACCACTACCCTAATCAGTCAGCAGTCATCAACTTTGAGGGAAGTCCTTCAACCAGCAAAAAGATTACAGTTCACTGAAGGCTTAAATGATTGTTAGCATTTTATAGCAATAAAGTGTTTTAAAAATTATGTACTTTTCGTAGACATAATGCTTTTTTTTACTTAACAGACTGAAGTATAGGGTAACATAACTTTTATATGCACGGAGAATCTTAAAAATGTGTGTAGGTCCCTTTTTTGTGATACTTGCTTTATTGCAGTGGTCTGGAATTGAGCTTGCAATATTGCCAGGGTATGCCTTTATCAAAAATAGCTACTAGTTCCATATAATTGTGACTAAATGGCACTAGCTAAATTTTGATTATGAAGAAAATGATAGATTAATTAAGAAGCAGAAGTCAGTGATAATAAAAGTATTGCATGTTAAAAGTAGAATATAATCAAGGTAATGCTGTCTTTAGAAGAAACATTATAGTTTTGAATACATAAATGGTGAAATTATAATTTAAAAAATAAGTAATCTAAGTATTAAACTTAATAAGTAAGATAAACCAAAAGGGAGCAATTCCAAATTTCAAAATGCACGTTTACTCACATCTTAACATTTCTGAAATCAGGATGCATCTTGCTATACATAAGCATGAATTGTTCCAAGTTTTCATAGATAATGGTGATATTTATAATAAATATTATTTTTTATTCAATGAAATATAATTATGAAGGGAAAATTAGTGAAATACCTAATAGAATTTAGACCATTTTAACAAAACCCAAGATTACAAAAAATAAACTAAAATAAGCCAAATACAGAACTGAAAATAGGTAAATAGCTATAGAAATTGTAAAAAATAGAAGTGTGCTAATAAATTTGAACACCTAATTGAAATAGGTTTCAGAAACATGAAAGAGTGCAAGAAAATATACAGAGTTTAGATATATCAATAAGTACTGCAGAGGAAAAGATTTTAGTGTAAGAGTGTCCCTCAAAGACTCTCAAAAAAAAACCAGTTAATTCTTGTATTTTATGAGTTTTTCTAGAAAATAGAAAAAGTTAATTTCACCTCATTTTTTTGAAGCTAGTGCAATCTTAATGGAAAAATTTATTAAAGACATTTAAATGTAAGAAAAAATTTAAGTTCATTCCCTTAACAAACTACATTAGAAATGACTACTGCAGGCTATTATCAACTGGAGGATTGTTGCTTTGAAGAACTACTAGACCTGTAGCAGAATGTGCAAAGTGAAAAGTGAATCTTACCATTTGTATTGTGGTTTGGTTTATTACTAGATTACATCATGCATAAACTGACTACTACACATACTTAGATAAAAGACATATTAAATACATTATTATCTAAATGTATTTAACAGTTAAAAAAATTATGTCGGGATCTAGAAAAACTTTGCCTGAGGAATGAAAACGTGGTTCCATATTAGAAAAAGTATCAGTGCAGCTTATCACGGGGACAGACTAAAGGAGAAATACCACATGATTATCTTAAATGATGCAAAAGAAAACCTAATTAGATCAAGGACGAGGTGAGGATGCATTTTATCACTGCTACAGGTTCACATTGTGCTGAAGTTCTTGCCAATACTATGAGGACATAAAGTGAAATAGGAGGGGGAAAATGTGGGGAGAAAAGACAGTCATCTCCTTATTTTTAGATGACATTATCATCTATCTAGAAAAAGTGAGAGAATAAAAAGACCAACTAGGAAGCAATAAGATAATTTATAAGATTGCCAGTTACAAAATCAACTTAATTTTAGTTCTCTACAATAACAAAAAACAGCTATTAAGTTATAATAAAAATATATCCATTGATAATACCCATAAAGCATCTGAAATTAATCATAGTTATTTGAAGAATAATTCTTTGGAGAAAATCTTAAAACTCTAATTTAGGATGTGATGGTTAATTTTATGTGTCAGCTTGGCTAGGCCATGGTTCTGAGACATTTGGTCAAACATTATTCTAAATGTTGCTATGAAGCTATTTTTTAGATGAGATTAACATTTAAATCTGTAGACTTTGAGTAAAGCAGGTTTATCTCTATAGCGTGTGGGGGCCTCATTCAATCACTTGGAAGCATTAATAGAAAAAAGACTGATCTCTCTCAAAGAAGTTGAGATTCTGCCAGCAGATAGATGGCCTTTGGGCTTGAATGGTAACAACTCTTCCCTTGGTCTCCAACCTGCTGGCCTACTCTGTAGATTTCAGATTTGCCTCCACAACTATGTGAGCCAGTTCCTTAAATTCAATCTCTCTCTCTCTACATTATATATTTACATGTATTTATATATCTGTAACATATATAGATATAAGTAGGAATATATCTATAAGTAGGAATATATCATAGTATTTATAGATATTTATAGACACATAATAAATATATAAAAATATATAATATATAAATAATACAAATATCAGTAAAATTGATATTCTTAAATTAAAATTCTCTTCAAATTAATCTACATAGCAAAATCCAATTAACAATTCCAAATTGATTATTAAATAGCTTGATACATTAAAATTTTATGTTGAGTAACAAATATTGAAGTAAAATGATAAAACGTCAAAAAAAATAATAATGAAGAATAAGAAAGACAAGGTAGTTGCTTTGTAGTTAATAAACTGTTCCATCAAGAATGTGGTAAAATAGTGGATGCTGTCTGAAGAATAGATAAATAGTCCAACAGATAAAATAGAAACAAAGATATTTGATTAAAGAAAACAGCACCACAAATTAATGGATCAAGCAGATTTGTAAGTATGTGGTGGTGTAAAAAATAGCTCATGACATAGAGAAAAAAATAAAACTAGCAACACCTCTAACAAAGTTAGACTCTAGATAAAGACATAATTAAGATATATCATGATATAAAATTAATAGAAGAAAATGTGGAGACATAACTATGAGCTAACATAGGGTGTCAGATTGTCAAACCAGGTTCACACAAATTAGTTCAAACTTTAATAATCCCAAGGATGTAGGCAATAAAGAGGCACAGTTGAGATGGAAAGAGCTCTGGGACTTCCCATGTGGCCTGCCAGGTCCTTCTTTTCATATCAGACAAGTAGTGGCCCAGAATAATAGGAGAGTTCTCCAAGTGGGGTATCATGGGTTATTACCTCACAAAGAGAGTAATACTGAAGTTATTTCCATTTTATAACCCAGAAACTTACAGACCTAATAATGACATTTTCCTGGGAGCTATTTTTCAAAACTGTGTGCATTCTGGGTTTGTGATAAGCAATCTGTAGTTAGGGATATCCTACTAAGAACATTAAAAATTATAAAGTATATTTTTTGAGCAAATATTGTTAATCAATTTACACAGCTGCCCCCCTTACAAGTAGATTGGACATAGTCACCTGCTTTCTTTTCTTTCTCCTAGGGAGCTTTCCTCCTACAATGGAAGTGAATGAATCACAGGACAACTATTTTCTGTTTTCCAACCTAGGGATAGAGAAAGACACTACATAAAACTTCAAAACTACAAATCATAGAGTTAAAAAAAGGAACAAAAATAGATTACCTAACAGTAATGATTTTCTCCAACAAAGAACACATGGACTAAGCTAGCAGAAATGTGGTAAGAAAGAGAATAGAATTGGCTCATGTATCCGTAGGTTCCACATCAGTGTATTCAACTGAATGGGGATCAAAAATATATTTTTTTAAATTATGTCATCACTATGACAGAGGGAAAAAAGCCTGGGTCCAAATGTGCACTGTCACTTAAATTTCCTACCTGCAAGTGAGACATATTATTTCTGCTCATATTTCATTAGTCAAAGTAAACAACACAGTTACAAATAAGTGTAGTAGAGAGGAGAAGTGAAATCTTACCCTATGCTTTGATGTTAAAGTAAATATTTATGAACAACCCTAATGACTATGCCTACATAACAAACAAACTAAAAATTATGAAACATAGAAAAATATACAAATTAGTGAGTAAAGAAATACAAATAAAACAAAAAATGAGATATTGCTATACACCTATTGATTAGAAAGTATTAGAAAATTAGACAATGCCAAGTTCTGACAATCATGTGAAAATATAAACATTTTCATGTACTAGCGATGGCTGTATTCACTGATGTAACCATCCCATCCTGGGAAACGCTATGGCAATACTTGGCATAATTTGTATACCTGAACCTCACATGCTCCACCAGTCCCGTTCCTGGGAAATGTTCTCACAGATGCACGGTTATGCTTTGAGAACACTCAGTCTGATATTATTTGTGATGGTGAAACTTTCAGGAAAATGGTGCCTATTACTAGGCAAGTGGGAGGATGAGTAAAATGCATGAATTATGTTATTGAATATGATGCAACAGTTAGAATCAGAGATTATGTGATGATTTTAGAAACTTATTGCTTACTGAAAAAAGGGACATACAAGTACTGTAAGTTAGAAAATATGTATACTAAAATGACAATACACATTTTGATAGACTAATTCAAATGAAAATATATACATTGAATATATTTGAAAGGAAAAAATAAGTAATCAAACCAATCTAACACCACCACCACCACAAGAGAGGGTTTGCATAAGCCAATGAGTACAATGTGCTATCAACCATTTGAATCTGAAGAAATGCTACTACTACCACTAAGCCTGTTTCGCTGCAGTTTGAAATGCCCTAATGTTTTTTTTTAAAAAATTTACTCTAGAAACTCTTAAAAGAGTAAAGAAAATAGCACAATATCCTCACCTGACACCTCACCAGCTTCAACACATATGAATATTTTGCCAATCATGTTTCTCTAGAATGCTTTTTTATTCCTAAAATATTCTAAAGAAAATCCCAAATATGTAATTTCAGTGCATAGACTGTTTTACCTGTTTATACATTTTCTGACCCACTGTGGATGCTCAGTATTGCGGCTATTGTTATTATTGCCCTTCAAGTTTTAGCTTGCATGATGCCTTTGTGAAACTTTTTGATACATTCCATCTGTAGGGATTCAGTCTGACACACCATTATCTCTCCAGTTCCTGGTAGTGTTATAAAAACTCTGTCAATATACGATGAGCTTTTTAGTTTATTCATCTATTCACTCTGTATAAAACTACTAAGCAAATTCAGGATTGATCAGTTCTTAACATTCAGATAAAGCAGAAGTAGCTTCAGTTATAATCTTCACGGGGTTTCCTTTTCCACATACCATAAAATATAAAATCCAAGAACATTGCATAAATTTCTCTGTTTATTTAATTATTGTCATTAGTGTCACATTATTGTGGTTATATTACACTTTTTCTAAGGAAATGGAGTCACCACTTTTAATACACATCTAAATACATTTAGTCATGTCATTTTTGTTGCTACCTCCACTCCCACTGGTCTAAGCTACATCAAATTTTGAAGATCATAGATAAGTTTGCATTTTTTTTCAGTTGGAGGCTAAGCTTTCTCCCCCACCATCACACCCCCATACTTATATTGTCAATCTACGATATTGTTCTACAAGTGAGTTTCTTGTAGTTAGGTCATAGTTTTATTATCAATCCTGTCAATCTCTGCTTTTAAATTGGTATATTTAGACCAGTTATACTTAAAGTCATTATTGCTGTGTTGGGGCTAAATCCTTCCATTTTGTTTGTTTTCTGTTTGTTTTGAGTTCAATTCCTCCCTTTCTCTCTTTTTTTTTTCCTTGTGGGTTACTCAAACATTTCTTACAGTTCCATTTTATTATCTATGTTCTTTGGTAACTTTGTATATTTTCTAATTCTGGTTACTCTAGGTATTACAATATAATATACATACACAACCTATCACAGACTACTGGAACTGACACTCTAACACTTTGAGTGAAGGTTAGAAATCTGTCTTCCATTTAGGCCCCTTTACACTCTCCATTTTGAAAATATAAATGTTTTGAAATACTTTTTTCTATATACATTGAACACCACATCAGCTAATATTACCATTTTTGCTAGTTGATATTAAAAACTCATGAGGGGAAGGACAGTTCATTTTTTTTGGATCTAACTTTACCCATTCCATTGTTCCTTCTTCCTTCCTCAATCTCAGCCTCTTTCCATTGGCATTTCCTTTTAGTTCAGATAACTTGTTAGACGTTCTTGAAGGTATGTTTGCTAGCAACAAATTTTCTTAGTTTTGTTTCATGGGAGAACGTCTTTCTTTTCCCCGTTTCTGAAGGTTGTTTTTCCAGGAATCTTCGGATACAGAACTCAGAATTGACAGTTCTTTTTTTTTCAGCATTTGAGAATGGCTTTCATGGTTTCAGATGGATTGTTATCAAATATTGTTTTCATATAGATAATTTGTTATTTCTCTCTGGCCTCTTTCAAGATTTTTTCTTTAGTTTTCAGAAGGTTGGTTGTGATGCGTCTTGAAGTAGATTTCTTTGGATTTATTCTGTTTGGAGTTCATTCAGCTTCTTGAAATTGTAACTCCATTGAGATTGTAATTCCTAATTCCGCTGCTAAATTTGCCAAATTAGCTATTATGCCCTTGAATACTATTTTCAGCACAATTTTCTCTTCTTTTGGGACTTCAGTGAAACAAATGTTAGATTTGTTTTTTGTCCCCCATGTCTGTCCTTGAGGCTCTGTTCATTTATTTTTATTTTCTCACTCTTGTTCAGATTGAAATAATACCTGTTGATCTGTCTTCGAGTTCATTCCTTCCTCCGTCAACTTCAATTTACTACTGAACACAACCAGTGAGGTTTTAATTTTGGTTATTTTGTTTTTAAATTACTTAATTTCCTTTTGCTTTTTTATATATTTGATTTATTTGCTGAGATTTTCTATTTTTAAATTGTGTTTCTAGATTGTTTATAATTGTACAGTATTGTAAAGATGTCAAGTGATTTCACTATATTAGTTACATTAGTGTTGGTGCCCGTTGATTGTATTTTCTCATTTAATTTGTGGTTGTCCTGGTTCCTAGTGTAAGCAGTGACATTTTATTGTACTGTGGATATTTTGGGTATTATGTATCTGAATGTAATCTCCATTTTTAGCAAGAAGTCTCTGTGTTTAGCTGTAATATACCAGTATGAGAAGGGGGTGGTGAATGTTCAGCTTCCTTCTAGGCCTCATTGACACCACCCTGGGAAAAGCGGACTGCTGTCTCTCACCACCTCACTGCAGTTCGGTGGAGTATAAGCTTAGCTCCCCTCTGGGGTCCACAGGCAGGAAAATAGGAGAAGCAGAGGCAAACTCACATTGCCTTGCCCCACTTCTCATCTGAGATATGTAGGAAAAAAAAAATGGAAAATCCTGGGAACCCATCACTGTGTCATTCTTCAAGTCCCAATGTCCTTAGGCGGTCCACTTTCTTAGTATATCTGTTAGAATTTTTCTATGGTTGTGTCTTGTGTTATATTCAGGGATTTTTTTTTTTTTTTTTTTTTTTTTTAGTTATAAGAAGGAGGACCTGGGAGGAATAGGGCTGTTCTATCTTGGCTAGCACTGTAAGTCCATTTAAGATTGCCTCCCCACCTCCCAACGCAAAGGTTTTTGTCAGTTTCTTACAACCTCCTTATTCTACCTGTCTCTCCTCATCCTACCTGTCATTATCTCACTATTATTTTTCAATTTCTTCCCTAATGTTTTCTATAGTTACATTAATTCAGTTATTTGCTAATTATACCATAATTGTTATAAAGTACTAAGATAATTTTATATTAAGATTATCAGTCTTATTTAGATGCAGAGAAACTCAAATTTGAGGGTCATGTGGAAAAATAAGTTATAATCTCTGGGTGGGGGGTAGGGAATTGATTAAAATAATTGAAATGTCTACAGGTAAGAGATGGTATGAAAGACAGTCAATGAAGGATGGTCCGGGTTTTAAGGGAAGCATGTTCTATGTGGTGATTTCAGTATGATAAAAAGTGTGTAGAGAATGTGAATACCTCTTCAGACAATAGCAAGAATTCCACTCTGGCTGAGAAGAAATATTCATGTAGCTGAACAAGAGATGATTAAAAGTTTGATTATATGGTGGACGATCTTTAATGTTTGCAGAAGACATTAGACTTAATTTAGTAGGCAGTGGGGAGTCATCAAACATTTTCATCATTGGGGAAGGTGATTAGAATCTGACACTGGTGTGCTAATGCAATCTACTATCTATATAAATAATAATCCCTCAGGTCTTTCATAGAGATTGCTTTCATTAAATTCCATATAGATTTGAGGATAAAGATGATTTTACTATTAAAAACTTGCTTTAAGATAAGAATGTAACCTTCCTCCTCGAATTCAACTCTTTAATTATTGTACTCTAGCAGTTAGCACACATTTTTTTCATATACTGGAATGTGTTTTTTTAAAAAATAAGTACTATATGACTTAGGGAACAGAAATGACATCTAACTTACAGAATATCTCTCAGTAAAACATGATTATCAATCAGAGAAGTAAAATTCTAGCTGATGATTTTTGTTTTCAGTCTTCATTATCTTGCTTAGTTCAGTATTCCTTAGAGTTGCCACCTATCCCATTTCTGGGGAGATACTCAAGGCCATTGCACAGTGGACTAAAACAATTCAAGTTTTCCTTTCCATTGAAGATGATTTCTTACCGTCACCAAGAAAAGACCAAATTGTGTTGAAATATATCTGTTTTATTACTCTAAATAGTTAAAAACTCTCTTTTACCCAATACACATGATATAGGGAATATAAAAGGAATGGAGTTTTTTTTTTTTTTTTGGTAACCTGAATAGGACACAGAATTACCTAGATAATGGATGAATATTTCCTTTCTATATGTGCATAACTGAGCACATGCATAATGAACCATTTGTGTAAGTCCTCTCATTGGTAGGATCTAAACTTGATAACAATGGGGTCTGTAAAATGCAATTTGCAGTCTTCCTGTTCTTGCCATTTATGGGCACAGTAGAGAACAGAGATGCTATTGAGTACAAATGGACAATCTCTTGTAGAGGAAAAGAATTAAGATAATTGGCTGGGCGTGGTGGCTCATGCCTGTAATCCCAGTACTTTGGGAGGCCAAGGTGGGTGGATCATCTGAGGTCAAGAGTTCTAGACTAGCCTGGCCAACGTGGTGAAAACCCGTCTCTACTAAAAATACAAAAATTAGCCGGGCGTGGTGGCAGGTGCCTGTAATCCCAGCTACTCGCGAGGCTGAGGCAGGAGAATGGCGTGAACCTGGCAGGCGAAGCTTGCAGTGAGCCGAGATCACACCACTGCACTCCAGCCTGGGCGACAGAGTGAGACTCTGTCTTAAAAAAATAAAAAATAAATAAATAAAGAATTAAGATAATTAAAATTTCACTATCAAAAATTTATTTTTTTCATTTAAAAAATTCAGATTTTCCCCAAAGCAACAAATTAACATAGGACATACTGTTCTGTGTGTTTTACATTTAATGGTTAAAATGAAATTAAAAGGTCATGTAATTAGTTAGAAAGGATGTTAAATGCACGTAGCACGGTGCGGCACGCAAGTGCTGGCTTCGAAGACAGGCAACGTTTCTAATACTAGCCCTGGTAATTCTTAGCTGTGACTTTTCTCCTATCATTTACTTTCTCCTGTGATGAATATTAGCTAGAAATAAAGGTAGACTAATTCATTCTTTACACTATCTTAAGAACAGTAGGAGAAATTTGGAACAAACTAGTTGGACAGTCAAAAGCCTAAGGATCTTTGATATATTAAAGTTTCAAAAATCCTAATTATTTTCCTTAAAGTAGAAAAGAAAGCCAAAGTTTAGTAAAGTAATGACTGATTTAGTTAAATAATTATTAGATTTAGTGATAAATATACTGGTATACCTGCATGTCTACATCTCTATTAAATCTACTCTAAAACCCATGTATGCCTTACCACATTTATTATAGATTGTGGTTAAATAATTCATACTGAGTTGAGAAACATTATATTTTACAGAAAATGCATAATCTATTCTACTCATGGGAGCAGTTAAAATGTAAGTTAGAGTAAGTTATGTCTTCATGCAATACCCTCTTAAAGCTTCATACCTCACTTTAAGTAAAAACCAAAGTCCTGACAATAACTTATACATAAGAAAGCCATTCAGATCTATTTTCCTAGGACAGTCCAAGTTAGTGCCTGCAACCTCTGTGTAATTATTAATAGCACCCCCTTACATCCTTTCATGAGTCCTGTTCAAACGGTAAGTAATGGCCACCTTATTTATGAGGCACTCCATAATCTGACCCCTATAACCTCTCAGATCTCAGCTCCCACTACTCCACGCCTGCTTCTTCTCCAGAAACACAAGCTCTGTTCCTCACACAGATGAGGCCCAGGCCCACCTCCAGGCCTCTGCCCTTGCAGTTACCCCTGTCCGGAATGCCTTTCCTTCTAAATCCGCACAGCTTACTTCCTCACTTCTTTCAGGTTTACTCAGTCGGATCTCCTTGTCCATCATATCAGTCACAGTCTACTCAAAACAGAAAGCTCATGCCAGGTTTTTAAAGAGATAATTTAATAGAAAAAGTGTTATATGGGTATAAAGACTTGTTAACTAAGTGACTGCAAAAGGCTCCATGAAAACACGAAAGTATCACGGAGGTAACAGCTGCCATCCCTGGTGCTGGGGAATGAAAGGGAAAAGGCTGGGATTAAAATTTATGAGCTTGGAGGCTGAGCCTCACAAAGCTTGGTCCCAGATGGCTGAAGAGAGGTGCTGCTTATCTGGTGTTGGTGTCTCTGAGCTTAGAGAAAGGAACCTATTTGCCTATGGCTAGGGAACCTCTTCTGAGGAAGAGCTACTAGCAACTGGTAAAAGCATTTTACTGGGGATACGAGGATCTGATAAGGCTGTTTCTGCAAGTGTTGAGAAACAAAACAAAACAAAACAAAACATCTGGGTACAACTGCTTCAACTGCAATGCCCCACTTCTGCTGGGGTAAAGTGATGCTAGGGAGACAGTGGCAGAAGCAGGAAACATAGAGGAAGCAAACAGGAAGTAGAAAGACCCTTCGTCCTCCTCCTATTTCATAGTTTCCTTCTAGCGCTCTGTATTGGAAGGGCCTTACAAGAAGACTTCTAGCAAAGCCGAAATGTGGTTTGCAAAGTTCCAGCGTCAGCATCATCAAGAGCCATACAGAAGGATGAGTGAAACTGAGCCACTGTTTAATACTTGTCATACCCATCCTCGCTAAAATTTCAATCCCTTCCTACATTTTCTATTTCCTGTTCGGCTTTATTTTGCTCCTTAGTGCTTCTCGCTTAAGTACTAGATATTTTCCTTATTTTCAGTGTTTATCATCCATCTGCCTAATTAAAATATAAGCCTAATGATAACAGGAATTTTTGTATGTTTTCTTTACTGCTTTGTTGAACCTAAAAAAAAGTTCCTGGCACAAAAGAGGTCCTTAATAAATGTTTCTGAATATTAATATTCATAATAAACATTTATGTAGTAGGTATTATGTTCAAGGTTCTAGTCTATGTACTTAACATATATTTAGCTCCCAAATATAATTATGTGCTAACCTATTATTATTCTTATCTCATAGATAAGCAAAGTGATGCATAAAAACGTTAAGCAGCTTACCTTAGGTCACATAACTAGTAAGTTGTAAAGCCAGTCAGCCTGCATCTGACTCATCATGTTAAATTGAAAATACAAATGAAAATACTAAATACACTCCTTCAATTACCCATAATTCATGACATGGAACTATAATGTCCAAAAGCATTACCTTATGGCAGCTATGTGAACAAGCTTAATGATTAAGAAACAATATTGTTATTGGACTATGTTTAAAGTTCTAATCTTAAAATGAAGGGTAAATACAATTGGCAACGGTGTACCCTTTGAAAGAGATTTCTGACTTTAATGAAAGCAAATGTCTCTGGGCTTAAATAACATTTCTAGAGTCAAAATTTCTTTGGAACTAAGCCTTTGCTTAGTTCAGTAAAACAAGCATTCAACCAACAATAGTAGTGCCTTCATTACTGTGATGTCAAATTGTTTGCATTATTAGCTCAGACTGCTCAGTATGGTGCACAAAAAACTTCTTATGACCCAAACATCTATTTTTCTTGTGATTAATATTTTATTAAGCATTAATAAATACAAAAAAGAGTGCCTAAAAAGAATATAATGACATTCATCTTCACAGTCACAGAGGGAGATAATCTTTCTTGATACACAGCATATATACACTACTGTAATATTTATATTGGAGTTTTTCTCTCAAATTTTAAAACTGAATGAGAACAAAAAATTATGTAAAAATGTAGTGCATTTCATTAACAAAATGGAGAAAATAATTCCATTTCAAATGACCTGAAATCCTTTAACACCATTCTGATATGTTTCTTTTTCCTTAAAATGAGGACTTGGGTTGTCTTTATGGCTGTGTCTATAATCACATGAACCGAGCAGAGCTGTATTGGAGTCCTAGTTGTGCATGTGGGTAGGAAAGGCCCAGACCTAGAGGGTCCCCCTCCACCTCACGCCACAACCCAGGACTCTGGTGCTCTCCTTGGAACACACAACTTCTCCAATATCTTTATTTACATTTGTATATCATCGTGGAATTTTTCCAAGCTATGGAAGTTTGTATAATTTGTATCAAGTTTAGGATTTTCAAAATCACAGATACTAGTGGCCCTTTTAGTAAGAATAGCCCCCATTTATTGTGAAAAATGTACTTCAATTAGTGCGCATATTTCACATTTCAACTTCACAACAAATCTTTGAAGTAAGTGTTCAGATCTTTGTTTTAGAAAACAATGTATGGGTTTATAAGAATTAAATAAGGAACCAAGATCATCAAGATAGTTGTTAGTAGAGCACGTGTAAGCAGATGTTCCCCGGCTTACCCTCTATGGTTAAGTAGAGAACCCAAAGACAGAAGAGAGAAGCAGAGAGAAATTAAATGGAGGTGTTTAATTTACAATTCTATGTTCTTTAATGGCCTCTTATTATTGGTTTTCTACTAAAATGCTTAATATTATTAATACCAATACTTCTTTTGTAGATTGGGATTATTCTGTATCATAGGTAAAGGATAAGCAAACTACAGGGCAGAGGAAGTGGATGGAGTTATTTTTACAGCCTCTGCTGGGATACTTCTGAGGGGCAGTCAGCATAGGTAAACATGCGCTCATTTCTCCTGTGTCCTCTGCCAGTGCTCCAGAAATGCGGATGAGTCTTACCATCCACCTTCAGAAAGTGAATGGTACTTCCACTTTCCCAATACATTCTCACACCGTGGCTTTAATAATTGGGCTCCTCATGACGAATGTGCTGTGCAGCATTACACCCGTGTGGGTGCAACATCCAGGTGGAGATGAACATTCCTTGTGGGAGTCCCTTGTCTACTTTGCATATTTGGAGCAACACGATCTAGTCTGAAGTAACTGGCGTCTAGTAATGAACATACCAGGAGAGAAGGGTCGGGGAGGAAGAGAGAGGAAAAAGAAAGGCATTTTAAAACTCACATTGTAAGGATAAAATAATTTACAGAGTTGAACTCACTGGAATACTCTTGAAAATTTAGTTCATGGTGAGCATAGGCTTAAGCATTCTCAGTCATCAGCTTCCCACGTCCACTTTGAGTTCCTCCTCACCAAGAACCTGGGGCTAACACTTCATCAGTTAAGTGAGTCTCTGTTTTGGTTTAAGTTAGGAGCTTTCTACTTTGAGAATCTTCTCAGGTCTGCTGACATTCTTTTCTTTGTCCTGTGACTGTCTGTGCTGGGACTGAATGATTTTTCACTTGAGTCCAGTCATTATTGAGTTCTCTGTGTTCAGTGTGAACCTGTTCAAAACTCATTTTAAGTACATTGGACTTTGGTTCTCTCCAAAATGTTGAATAACAGGCTGGTAGCTTGTTTTATTACTTAAACGTAGAGAGGACAGTCCTGTTGCTTTACCTTCAGCTCTGTCTCTATCCCAAGTTTGCTGGTGTGTGTGTGTGTGTGTGTGTGTGTGTGTGTGTGTGTGTGTGTGTGTTCTCTACTAATTTGTGAGCTCTCTTGGCTAGACTTTACATGATAGCTTATTTTGCCCTTTCCCTCTTGTAAAGATGATTCATAAGTAATGAACCTGAACTGAAGAGATGCCCCACCGTACAAAGTCACGACTTATTTCATAAAATTTCATTACAGTCCTTTGGAATCAATGTCCTAAGGAGCAGCTGTATGCTCACTCAAGACAATTAAGCAATGTAATTTATTTTTCTTACAATTCTGTGTTTTAGGAAGAACTTCAAGTAGAATTTTAAAATTCCTAAACAGGGCGTTTTAAATAAAGTCTTTTCTTAAGTAAAGTAAATTTAAATGAACTTAATTCTGACTGGGATATTACAAAAAAAAAAAAAACCCAAAAACATTTTAAAAAATTTCAGTTACTTTATTTCATTCCGTTTCCATAATATCTAGAGTAATTCTTGATATATGGATTCTAGAAATTATTGTAAATGCTTTCCTCCTTTTTTCAGAAGTAGATGAATGGAAGTTTTGTGTTTAGGAATTATAGTTTCTGTTAATGACTATCTGTGGGCACTTATTGTCTCTCAGCATCAGGTTTCTCCTCTGTACAATGAGGTGGTAAGGCAGAGTTTATGATTCATTTCATGTCAATATACTTTTTCTTTAAGAAAGGAATTTGTAGAGAGTCTTAGAAGTTATAATGGTTGGCCGGGCATGGTGGCTTACACCTGTAATCCTAGCACTTTGGGTGGATGAGGTAGGCAGATCACTTGAGGTCAGGAGTTCGAAACCAGCCTGGCCAACATGGTGAAACCCTGTCTCTACTAAAAATACAAAAAATTAGCTGGGCGTGGTGGTGGACACTTATAACCCCAGCTACTCAGGAGGCTGAGGCAGGAGAATCACTTGAATCCAGGAGGCAGAGGTTGCAGTGAACCGAGATTGTGCCAATGCACTCCAGCCTGTGTGACAGAGCGAGACTCCATCTAAAAAAAAAAAGAAAAGAAAAAGTAATAATGGTTTAATTAATTTTAATCTTAATGAATTTCTTTTGAAGTACAGATATTCCTTGACTGACAATAGGGTTATGTCCCAATGAACCCATTGTAAGTTAGAACTATCTTAAGTTGAAATTTTATTTAATAGCCTGATGAGGCCGGGCGCGGTGGCTCACGCCTGTAATCCCAGCACTTTGGGAGGCCGAGGCGGGCGGATCACGAGGTCAGGAGATCGAGACCATCCTGGCTAACACGGTGAAACCCCGTCTCTACTAAAAATACAAAAAATTAGCCGGGCGAGGTGGCGGGCGCCTGTAGTCCCAGCTACTTGGGAGGCTGAGGCAGGAGAATGGCGTGAACCCCAGGGGGCGGAGCCTGCAGTGAGCCGAGATTGCGCCACTGCACTCCAGCCTGGGCGACAGCGAGACTCCGTCTCAAAAAAAAAAAAAAAAAAATAGCCTGATGAGCCCATTTTGACATCCAAATATGGTAAGTCAAAGTATCCTAAATGTAGATGTTCCTTAACTTACGATGGGGTTACATTGGAAAAACTCGTTGCAAAGTTGAAAAATTGTAAGTTGAATTATTTTAAGTAGGGGACCATCTGTATTTCTTTTAAATCTTGCTGTGTTGGGTTTGAAGGAGTACGTTAATAATCATGTTTCCTTGTTTTGCCGTGTGGCTATTTTCTTAGCTGCCTTCCACTGGCTGTCTCACATCGAAAGTGAATTATGGAACTAGTATTTGGAAACTGTTGTCTTGAAACTGGGGGAGTTTAACTTCCCCCTAAAATATTGGATACATTTTCATCATCAGGATGCATGTTTACATAATGATAATCTGAAATATTCTTAATAATGCATATGCTTTACTTTTCATAGAATGGAGACTCTTGGCTTTCAAGGAAGATGGACTCATGAAACTGTTAACAAACCTGAGTAGCACTGTCTGGTAGCAATATAATAAACTTTTCAAACCTAACATTAAAGAGCACGAATATCTGATAATGTTTATCAAATTTCCTACATAAAAGATTATGTGGGAGCCTTAAATACAATCTGCTGTAAAAACAAATGTGGCAATCTGCCTAGTATATATTTTCCTTTCATAGGAGGATTCATTTTTAGACTTGTTATATACATAAAGAACAAAGGGGGCTCGGTGCGGTAGCTCATGCCTGTAATCCCAGCACCTTGGGAGGCCAAGGCGGGCAGATCACCTGAGGTCAGGAGTTCGAGACCAGCCTGACCAACATGGCGAAACCCCGTCTCTACTAAAAGTACAAAAAATTAGTTGGGTGTGGTGGCAGGCGCCTGTAATCCCAGCTACTCAGGAGGCTGAGGCAGGAGAATCTCTTGATCCTGGGAGGTGGAGGTTGCAGTGAGCCAAGATTGTGCCACTGCACTCCAGCTTGGGTGCAACACAGCGAGACTGTCTCACCAAAAAAAAAAAAAAAAAAAAAAAAAAAAGAACAAAGGTCAGTCTCATTTTAAAAAGGTAAAGCTGAATAGTTTATTTATCTATAATTTGTGTTCTTTTTAACAGAACATTTTGTTAACATTTTAGAAATATGATGAACTTGAACTTCAAGTGACCACTGAGTGAATTTTATTTCTATTTTTTTGTGATATTGATATCATAGTTAACTTTTTTCAGTTTGGATTATATACATTGTTCATTTTTTTCCTATAAAAGTATAAATAATACATTTTTGCCAAAGCGCACACTGCATTTTTGTGAACACTTCTGATTATATCCTAAGGATAAATTCCTAAAAAATGTAATTGTGCAGTGAACACATATGCCTGAATTTAAAGCTTTGGATGTAGCATTAACACATTTTCACCCAGAAAGCCTATGCCAATTTGTGTTTCGTTTAAACAAGTCGTATGTGGGAATGCATTTTCATTTTCAGGTATGTAGGACATTATCCCTTTTTCAGTCTGTGTGATTTGGATGTTGCAATGTGCTTAGCTAAATAAAAAGGACCTTGTATTTATGTGCATTTTTTTAATTACAAGTAAACCTAAATTTCTATTCTGTGTCCTGGCTACATTGGACAGCCTGTTTCTTCACTTTGCCTATGATTCTGTTAGGACATTTATCTTTCCCTTCTTGATTGGTGAGAGCATTTTAAAATTAATACATAATATTTGTGCATTTTTATGGGGTACCTGTGACATTTTGATACAAACATACAATGTATAACGATCAAATTAGGCATTTAGGATGTCATGTCACACATTTACTATTTCTTTGTGTTGGGAACATTTTAAATCTCTTCTAGCATTTTGAAATATACAATAAATTGTTGTTCACTATAGTCACCCTGTTGTGCTGTTGAACGCTAGAACTTATTCCTTCCGTCTCACTGTGTGTTTGTATCTATTGACCAATCTCTCTTTATCCCCATATCCTTCCCAGCCTCTGGGAACTATCATTCTGTTTTCTACCTCCATGAGATCAACTTTTTAAATTCCGTTTTTTACGTTTTACATTAACTGAGACCAACATTGCATCTCTACTATGTGCAAGACCAGAGCTTCTGAAAATTTGGAGGAAAGAAACACTTCCAATTAAATGTACAATATTTCCTCATGATTTTGGCATGTTGCTTGGTAGATAAAATAGTATTCTTTTAAACAGCATGATATACCTTATTTTATTTCCATAATAATTGAGATAATTTATACATGCAAATACATATTTGGACAAGTCAGCTAGGGGAAATAAATAAATATCTGTCAAAAATGTTAATATTGTGTGACCTTTGTAAACATTTCTGCAAGGCATTCAGTTTTTGGGGGGATAATTGTGCAATTGTGCCTGTGTAAATTTATGATCAAGGGCAACTGTAAAAATATCTGTCATGATGAAATACTGCCTATTCTTCAATAGATTATTGGCTGTTTTATGTTGCCATGGCTGATTCTTTACCTTCTTTCCAATGCCATTTGGATGGACAGTTTCTTCAATGAGCTAGGAAGCATAAATTGGAAATATATTGGGCAAGTTGTTCAAGGTGTCTTGTTCCAAAGAAAGAATAATTCCTCTGTTAATATTTTATAGTTTCATGCTAATGAGGAGATTCTTCAGCTAGCAAGAGAGCAATTTAGGCCATAAAGTAGAAGTAACTTTATAACTAGGAGAAGAAATGAACACTGAAATCTTTGCTGGAATGTTTTGCACTTTTTCAATGTTTTTGGCTTCTCCTAATAAGGCATCCTGCTTAGTTATCAATCTACTTGGCCCTTGGTAGCTCAAGTCTTGATTTTAAAACCTGAAAATCTTCCTTAGTTAAAGGGTGAGATGGGATGAGGTAGAGAAACATTAAAGGAAGCAGTACAAATGAGCTCTGTTAGCAATGATCAAAAGCAAAATGTTAAAAAATGTTAGCAGGAAGAGGAGGGCTATCTTTTCTAACTCAGGCTAATGATTTTTTTTTCCTTTAGATTCAGCTAAGGATCTTACCTCAAAGCCCCTGAGTGGGAGGTTTTTATTCTTGTTTTGGTTTTAAATTTTATCCTTAAAATGAAGTTTCTAAAACACATTAACAATGTGGAAAAAAAAAAACAGTGAATTAGAAATCAAAGGGCTGATCTTCTTTTTCTGTCTGTGACCCTAGCTAGTTGTATGACCTAGGAAAGTGACCTACCATCACAGCATAAATATCTTTCTCCTTAGGATGAGGAGCTTAGAAAACATGGGCACTAAGTTTCCTTGACCTGTAACATGATTTTATAGTTTTTTTGAGTCATATCGCCCTGTTAACTGTGTTAAAACATTGTCATTTCTGTCTTGCATGGCTTATTTACTTCTGCTTGCCTGAGTCAGCAACATGATGGGATCACTGTGCATTCCAATTCGCTAGATATTTCTTTTTTCATCAAATGGGTAGTAACTCTTCAGCAATCCTTGCTAATCTTATGAACCATGTAACAGATGCACCTGTCGTTGGTCACACCTCATATGAAATGCAAATGTTGCTATTTCCCATTGACATTTATGTTCTAATCATGACCTTGAAGAGAGCTAATTTAATATCATTTTGCATGCCAGATTTTGGCCTTGCAAGAAAACATACACAAAGGATTTATGTTACATGTCTGCAGTCTGCTTTGAATATTTTCATTCAAATTATCTGGGGGAGATCTGTTAGTAATCATGTTGCAAAATAATTCATAAAAAGGTAACTAAACTTTTCAGTAAATGTGTTAATAATAACTCATGGGATGTAATGAAACAGGAACAAGATAGTGTCATATGTGAAACAATATTGGTCATATGTCATTGCAATCAATTTTTATACTTGGAAATCCTTCATATATTAGATGTTGTTATTTTAGCATACTTACAAATTTTTATAAAAAATAATTTCTCAAACTCCTCTCATGTAGCTCCGAGGGTAGACTAAAATTTTCCCAATGATAATGAAGATGGCCAGTTTTAAAGAAATGCATTTTCAGATCCACTTGTTATTTGATGTTAAGTGTACACATACATACATCAAGATAATTTTATATGAATACCATATCTTTTATTTTTTCTTTCTATACTCAAGGACAAAGGGTAATAACAGTTGTTTATATTTTTGTTTCTCTAAGATGCCATTTAGAACAGTGCATATAAAAATAGAAGGCAAAAGTACAAGATATCCAGAAAGTATGTTCATTTATTGTTATTAATTTATTATGTAATGCACTGAATACAGACTGTGGAGTATATTTTGTAAAATATCTGGCTATTTCTTGGAAACTGGGGTCATTTTAAGGGCACTGTATGACATTAGATAAGAAAAGCCATCTTCAAGATACTTGTTCAGTTTATTTTTTATTTTATTTTATTTTTTACTTGTTCAGTTTATTATCTGAATAGGATCAACTTTGACCAAATGATTGTAAAAGCAAGGATCTCCAGCTTTCCTTTCTCCCTATGGCTGTTATACTGAATAAAAAAATACCCTAGGCGGAAGAGAAGTGATGATATTGTCCTGGTGAGCTGCTTCAGTGCAGAAATATGGAGTGATCGTTATCTACTCCTTCTTTCCTGGTGAGGGAGGTCTAGCATATATGTCCCATGGATCAGGGCAGCTGAAAGAACAACCATGTTGGTGCATTGAGCCAGAGGCATATATTAAGTTATGCTTAAAAAACAGTGGACTTCAGAGGAGTGTGGGTGCCTGGTGATAGAAACAAGACAGATGATCTTGCTCTTGGGAGCTGAGACCTAAAACTATTAAAGTCTGAGATATTGACAAAAAATAGAAATATCCCACGTCTCCTGCCCAGAGCCTGGCTAGCTCAGGGGTGGAGTCACTTGTATCATTGGTGACCCCCATCCTTTTAATGGATCCTGGATGAAATGGGCAGCTGTCCCTAGGAAGTTTTCTTCCAACAATCCTAAAGCCAGAGATTTGTTTAGCTGTTTCTTTTTTCTCTTTTCTTTATTTATTCTAAAAAAAAAAAAAAACAAAGAAAAAAACAGGATACATGTGCAGAATGTGCAGGTTTGTTACATAGGTATACGTGTGCCATGGTGGATTGCTGCAACTATTGCTCTGTCTTCTAAGTTCCCTCCCCTCAAAACCCACCCCCAACAGGCCCCGGTGTGTGTTGTTCCCCTCTCTAAACAGACTTGTTTTAATCTCAATTCTAACAGTAAGAAGTCATCTGGCTACCCCCCAAATATTTGAAGTTTCTGAGGCTTACAATAATATAATAATTGAACATATTTAAATGGGATGTTGTGGTCAAACAAGAAGATAATTATGTAAAGTGTTCTGTTCAATTCTTAAAACACAAAGTACATAATAAAATGATAAACCTCATAAACAATTTGTATACATAAGAGATATTAGTGGAAGTTGTGTACCTATGTTGTTTTCACATTCTGAAAAGCATTTCATATATAAGCATGAACTCCGGTGGAAATGTTATCTGTTACCTCATTATCAAGTCTAGTTTACAATACTTTCTTTTTCTTGTCTATTATAAGAAAATAATGTAGCATAGTGTTGTTGCACTTATTTTAGGACAATAGACTTATGACAGTGAAGGAATCTGATTATAAAAAAACAAGATTTTCTTACTTGCTCAAGTTTCATTTAGAGCCTGGTGATAAAGTCATTACAATCAAGGTTTTTTGGTTTGTTTTCAAATATTGAACTACTAAGCTTTCCACTTTTCATCATTCTATCATTTTCTTCTGTCCTTTTGGCTATAACGTTTAGGAGTAGTACCTTCATTAAACAGCATTTTATATCTTTGAGTAATGATTTGTTTTTCATATATTCTTCAGAAACTCTTTGAAAGTTTTTCTTATTTGCATAGAATTGTATTACCTTACACCCACATCCACATTAAATCAAGATTCCTTTCTTCATGTATTCACTTAATTGCCAAGAATGTCAGTAATATTTTTGCAAATGTTTTCAGTATCTGTAAGAAAGTTAATTTTCATTTTAAAAGCTGCCGCATGAATATTTCAATTACTGCCACTCACAACTAAATGGTTTTAAAATACTAGTACCTGTTATGTGTTTCTTTAAAAACAGTTTATAAAATAAAATTAGTATATGAAGTTAAAAAATAATTGAATGGGGTTTAATGTCTATTCCTTTTATTTTTATATATTCAGTATTTTAGCAGAATATATTGATAGGAGCTCTTTTCAAAATGACGTTTTATCCTTTGTGGTGCCACAAGCTAGATTATGTTCATATGTTTTATAGCAAGTTAGTACAAGTTTATGGTGTTCCAAAAATTTTTGAAATCCATGCATAGTCTTTTTATAACATGCATTTTCCAATACTTTTTTGAAGATCCTTCATATGTATACGTGCACATATATAGTATGCACATTAAATGACCTTTTAAAGAGAATGATACATTTCATCTTTTATATTCTTACAGTGAAAATAATAGAAAATAGATTTGTACTAGAGTTACAGACATTATATGACTGCATGTATCGGCATGGGTAAATTTCCAAAGGTAAAATAGAAACAAAAAAAGCAAATTGCGGAATGATCCATTCACTAAGTTACTATTTGTAAAGAATTCCAAAATCTGAACTCATACACTCTTGTTTTGGGATTATACATGTGAAGTAGCAGTACAAATATATCCAGAGAGTATGCAAAGGGCAAGTTCAGCAGTTACTAACTTAGAGTACTGTGTGTGTGTGTGTGTGTGTGTGTGTGTGTGTGTGTGTGTGTGTGTGTCGTGAATTAACCAAAGCAATAGGCCAAATTGGCTCTTCTTGGCAAGGACGTTCAGAGACTTTGGGTATTTCTGTCTCATTTATGCACCATTCATAGAGCCTTGTCCTGGTCTGTTGGAAAATGATGAATTTCAGAGTGACAGCGTTGCTTGTGTTGCAGGTCAAGAGAGAAAGGCAAAGACACATGGGTGTCAAATGGAGGCCTGGAAATTGCCCACGTCATTCTACCATCATGGTAGAATGGCCCTCCTATCATGTGGCCACGTGAGAACCTTCTGACAAACGTGTGAAGCTGGGAAATGTAGCTTTGTCTTGAGGTCGGGAAGTAGGAAAGGAGGATTTACGCAGACAAGTTAAGTCCTCTATCTCACTAAGTCAATTAAGTTTTCTTCCTGGATGGTGATTCTTGACCAATGATGTGGACAAAAAAAAAGCAGTTTAGTACTATGAATTAACTAAACTTTAGTTCTTCTTCACAAATTATTGTAGTTATTTGGGTCCTGTTCTAATTGTGAGATTTTTTTTCAGCTTTCTCAGCAATTATTTTAACCTCTACACATAAATACAATGTATTCTTTCTATTATTCAGATTTGCCAGATTTGGTGTGTGTGGTTTACAACTAAAGAATCCTAAAAATTAGAAAATAGGATATATTTTTAAGGAACTCACTTTCTCTAATGTACAATGTAGGGGGCCCTATGCCTCATCTGTAGGAGAGACATTTGAATTTATATACTCATAGAGCTGCCAACATCGAAAATGTATAGTTAACCAAATGTTGCATTGTATTTGGAAAAATATTGTTTCTTAACCCTGATTATAAGTATAGTCTTATTACTTCTTACTCTTTTTTTCCTCATTTGCACTTAATTTACTCTTATAACTTAAATGTGTGTATGTACATATGAACTGAAATATATATGTAAGCATACTTTTATGATGCAACTTTATTTTAAATTCCATTGACTTTCAACTAGATTTTACCTTACTGAATTGCAGCTACCTACGTTTTAGGTTGATTGAAAAAGAAACTTTAAAAGAAACGGTCAGCCGGGCGCGGTGGCTAACGCTTGGAATCCCAGCACTTTGGGAGGCTGAGGCGGGTGGATCACGAGGTCAGGAGATTGAGACCACAGTGAAACCCCGTCTCTACTAAAAAATACAAAAAAAATTAGGCGGGCGTGGTGGCGGGCGCCTGTAGTCCCAGCTACTCAGAGAGGCTGAGGCAGGAGAATGGCGTGAACCCGGGAGGCGGAGGTTGCCGTGAGCCGAGATCGCGCCACTGCACTCCAGCCTGAGCCACAGAGCGAGACTCCGTCTCAAAAAAAAAAAAACAAAAAAAAGAAAAAAAAGAAACGCTCATTTATGCATTCTTAGAAGTGGGCATTGATATTGCTCACTTAATAAAAATATATCTACTTAATTACCCAAAGCAAAAGAAACTTATAATTAAAACCCTACAAGTCAAAAATACAGGTCTCTTGGAACTTTTAAGCCACACGTTTTTGAAACATGTACGCTTGTGTGTGTGTGTGTACAGAGAGAGACAGTGTATATATACACACACACTCTCTGTCTCTGTGTGTGTGTGTGTGTGTGTGTGTGTGTGTGTGTGTGTGTGTGTATGTATGTATATGTATAACTTGTCTCTAAAAATAGGTGCCTAAGCTTATTAAGGGGTTATGGACTTTTGATATATCTACAACTGTTATTTTAATTGTCACATGTCAAGTGATTCAAGTGATGCTGCTTTACTGGTATTGATCTAAAGTGATACAGATTTGGATATTATTGGTGATATTTTAATTATTTACAAATGGCTTATACCACAAAGAATTGTGATTAAGATTTACTAAGTCCTATAATTAATAATTTTTGTGTTTGTGTGGGAAATTTGCCATGGTGTTGATGAATTAAATTCCAAAGATTAAATAAATACTATAACAATGAAAATTTAGATGTCTAGTAAGTCAGGAACATACTTCTGTTTCCCTAGTTCCTTTCAATTGTGGAAGATAAGTCTTAATAAACAAAGAAAACTAGTTAGGTTTATTTCTCTGTCCAAGTCTACTCTACCTTAGAAAATATAATTTCTGAATTCTGAGCTAAAGGGATTGTAAATAAAGGCGCCAATGGAAATAGCTTTAAAATTAATTAGTAATAAGTTTTCTTCTCTCCTCAAATTGCCATGGTGAACTAAATTATGGAAATATCATAGATCTCTACAAAGGGAGTTTTTAATTAAAACCTAGACGTCATTTAAGCAACCACATACAACATATTACAAATATAAATTCTTTTGTTATTTTTAGTATAAATTATTATTTGATTGGATAGCCTTATCATGTTAGTATATGAAACCACTTTAAATGCAAATTCAAATAATGACTATATGCAATTATTTATATGTATTCATTGCTATTCAGTCCATAAATATATGGAACTTTGGAAATAATATTAAGAAATCCTGCTTTTCCTAATATTGTCTCACTTTCTAATATTTAAAAAATACAATCCATCAATTTAACTGTTTTGACCCATGGTTTGGAAAAAAAATGAAATGAAAAAACAACATGTGACCATATTGATCAATGCTTAAGTTTAGAATATCACTGAAAAATGTCAAATCCAATATTTATGTGAACATACTTTGAATATAAATGATAACTATTTAAAGGCTGGGCAACATTGACAAAGCAATGGAATTGTTAGATGTACCACCAATAATGGCTTTGACATTCACTTGAATGGAAAGTCCTTCCAGGAGTTTACTGAGAAAAGTAAAAAGTATTTTAGATGGATGAGTTCATCCATAATTTTCATTTTTGTTTTCATTTAGAGTTTCATAAGAGCTTTAATATTAAAAGTTTTTAGGTGATGAATGATAAGCATCTTAAGGAAACTTTATGTTTTATCAGATTTGTATCATATTTAACATGAATCTCTAATACATCTAGTTTCTGACTCAATATACTAAAAATCATATAATGTTCACATTTAGTATTTTCTCCAAACTCATCTACTTCATTGACACCATACTTTTATGTCCTTTCTTCTGGGAAGCTTAAATGAAAGAATGTCAAGATTATGAGAAGCTTGTAAAAGTTCAATGGTGTCTTAAACTCACTGTACCAGAGCTTATCATTGATAGAGAATAATATATTACTGCAGTTAATGAATCTGGCATAAAATTCAACTTCTGTTAGTAAGGAAAAAATGTCTTTATTGGATTAAATGCTATTTAGTAGAATGGGATTTATATGCTTGGTGAATAAAGAATACTTTAATGAGCGTAGTATATATCATAAGAGATGAGAACAGTCTTTGCATATTTCTCAGTAATTCTCTATTAGAATTCTGAGACAATACAAATCACACATTTTAAATTTCTGCTCAGAAACGTCTCATTGAAAGCAGGCTTCCTAAATAAGAACAGTGGACTAGTGTAATCCAGGAAGGGCACTTGGTCACTGATAGCTTAAGGAAATCCCAGTGTTGTTTCCAGGAATCAAAGTCACCTCATGGTTTTCAATCACTCCTCACTGAAGGCTATATAGCAGGAACTTCACTCACCAAATATGCTTTCAGTGTTAACTTTATATCAAGCACTAAGCATATCAATCAATCTTCCATCTATCCAAAACATGCTTCTGTAAGGTCTTAAGAGGTATCTTTAGCTATTAACTTTGAAGATCACCAACTGTTCTTAACTTCAGTGTATCTTTTTCTCAATAACAGGTGGTACCAAAAGAGGTGAGATAGGATGGCATGCAGTGTTCTGAATCAACATCTGCTGTGGTCTTGAAGTTCTAGGTAGAAAATAAAAGAATCAGAAATAGATTGTTCTTTCTTATCACCATCTAGAGGAAGGTTAACTATTTGGAAAAGGAAAGAAAACAAAAAGGAAGCAAAGACCTGTTTTTCTAAGCAGTATTATATAATAGAATTTGGTTTTCTGGAACAAGCTTGTTTTATTTCAAGCAGTGAAAGAGTAAAGTTTCCAAGGATATTGTATCAAATACTCTGAAGTTCAAGTGCTGAGGTTTGAACAGAAGAGCTCACAAGACTGGCAGTTCTCAGAAGACTGTAATTGGAAACAGAAGGACTCTTATTATGCTGTGATATCTGCATGCTAATACTCACAAAATGCATACAAGTGACCTAACAATTTTATCAGGAGAGTACACATAAATATTGCTAACCTCATGTTAAATGCAGGGTAAAACTTATTCGAAGGAAGAGATAAAGTAAAAGTGTAGCTCAACAAACGTCTGCAAATACATGTACCTTCAGTTGAGCATAGGTATTACTGTCCTGCCTTAGTCAAGCTAATGTGAGCCAAGAGTAAACTGTGATCGTGACTGCTCAGTAGAAATAATCGAGGGATGATGCTGCCTACATGCCAAATAACCACTTTACTAGCATTTTAGCGCATTATAAATACCCAGGTGTGGCATTCTGGCAGTTCATTGGAAACAAGGAATCAGGGCTCAGGAGTGACTCGGAAATAGAGAATTTGGAGACAGAGGTGAAGTGGTGTGGTTGAAATAAAGAGAAAAATCATAAAATAAAAAAAGGAATGCCTATAATAAGAACTCAGAAGAAAAAAGCATGCAGAAAGGGAAATGTCAGAGAAGTGGAAAGAGAAAAATTAGGAGAAAGCAAAGTCATAGAAGGCCAAAGAGAGCTTCGAAAAGGATGAGAGAAAATACAGACCTGAAGGTCAAAGTACTATTTTTGAGAAATATTGTTAACAACTGATAGAACATGAAGATGAAAGTAAAACTTTCATGCACTAAAAACAGAAGCATATATACAGACCATAATGGAGTTACATGGGGAGTTTTCTTAGAAACCACTATTTTTAAAAAGCATGTCAAAAATGAAAGATAAATAAGAATACCATTTTTAAAAGTAACTTAAATATGTCATCGCAAAGTTTATAAAATCCTGATTATTTGAAAATAAATTTAAAACTTATAAAAGATAACAATATTTTAAAGTTATTTTTAGCACACATAAAATACTCTATAAAATGCATAAAACCTATATTTATTTTAAACATTCTGTTAATAGATTAGAGAGAGAAAGCTAAAGTCCCTCATTTCTATTTAATTTTAATTAATTTAGTATGGTATTATTAAGTTCCTATTATTATATGTATGATGTATATAATACAACTTACTATCAAATGTGAGTTGCATCTCTCATGCTAGAAATATAAGATAAAGACCATATAGCTGCTGAATAATTTTATGCCCTCAAGGACTACATTTTAAAAATGCTGAAAAATCATCAGTAATGTGCTCACCACCCTGTGTTAAGTGGATGTCTGCCCTTTGTCTTTTATATTGTTTCATCTGATTGTTTTAAGTGGATCAGGTCAAATATTCTAACTTAAACAAAAATATCATTAAAATCTGTGAAGAACACTGTAAATAGATAATTGCTCCAGTTTACACAGAGGGAAGAAAACTGGCCTTCAAGCACTGGTAATCTTCATGTTGTTGGTTAGCACAATTCCAGAACAATTATTATGCATTTGTTAATGAGTATTTTAACAATACATTATAGGTCAGTTTGTTTTCACAAATAACAACAATTGTCCGATGGATCTCATAGGTTGATGAGGACTTGCACTAGATTTTCTCTACATTGATGTTTAGCATGATATTTGACAAAGCAGTATGTTTCTTTGTTAAATGGGGAAGTTCAATGAGTGTACAGCTAGTTCTGTTCTCAGGAGTATGAACAGTCTTACCCAAGAATAACAGTGCATGGATAAGTATTAACTTGGGTTATATACCTACTGGAATCTTATACAATTTCTTCAGTACTTCTTCCCATATTTTTAAGTGTCAACTCTGTATCAGACACTAAGAACTTTACCTTATACTATTCTGTATTCTTGTTATAAATAAAGGTTACTTATCTCATTATGTAAGGCAGTGAACACTCAGATTCCATACAATTTTTCATCTGATAGAGTGGTAGGCAGAATAATGGCCCCAAGGAAGATGTTCATTTCTAATTCTTAGAACCTGCAAATATGTTAGGTCCATGGCAAAGGAGAATTAAAGCTGGAGATGGAATCAGGGCTGTTAATAATCTGACCTTGAATAAAGAGATTCTCCTGGTTGACCCAGGTGGACCTAATAGAGTCACAAGTGTCCTTGTAAGTGAATGAGGGGGCAGAACAGAGAGCAACAGAGAGATAGCAGGATGAGCGCGCATCGCCCTGGTGGCTTTGCCAAGGGAGGAATGGGACACGGGAAGCTGGTGGAAGCTGGAAATGGCAGGGCAATGGTTTGTCCGGTAGAGTCTCCAGGAGGAATGTCATCCTGATTTTAGACCGCTGAGAGCATTTTGGACTTCTGACCACCAGAAATGTAAGATAATAAATTTATGTTAGAAGCCACAAGGTTTGTGATAATTTGCCATAGCAGCAATAGAACTAAGGCTGATAGATTTCCTGATGGAGCTGGATTCAATCCCAGCTTTCCAGACTCGGAAATCAGTGCTCTTTCTGCTACACCGAACACTCCCTCTTCTCATGAACTACTTAAAAGATACATGGATCAAATTTGCATATAACATAATGCAATGAGGAGAATCTGATAAATTAGAACAGAGGATAAAGCTCTATCTATCTATTTATCTATATATAGATCTGTCTGCCTACCTACCTACCTACCTTAATAGGTTGAAGTAAGGTAAAAAATAATTTTCAGTATTAAATGTGAATATTTTATTTATAAATGTCAGTTATACTGCATCACAGAAGCCCATTGTGTCACTTCTACAAACAGCAATGTGTTTTTTTCTGGATGCGTGTGATTTTATTTATTTTTATTACCTGCAGAAAGAAAAACTCGACCCTGAAAAAGTTGGGGCTTTAGCATTTTAGCAAAATCTCCCATATGTCTGTTCTTGTTATTGTTGGCCTGATGGATGTGTTATACATAGTTCAGTGAGAAAAGCCCTTATTTGCCACAAATTTATTCTGCAATTTAAATGGACTGTAATGTTTCTGTGAGGTCTTTAATTAAAGGTTGAATTATACAGACTTTGTAGTTAACATTCAATAAATATAAAATAAAAACTTTATATTGAATAGCTTATTAAGAGCCTAGGAAAATATCAGGCAGCTTCTCGCTTATTTATAGAGAACATAATAAAATATGACCCCCTGAGGAATTTTAATTTTAATAATTTAAATTCTTCTACCTGTAATGTGTCTTGGTTCTTGTGTTCCCAATGTCAACAGAATGTAAACATTCTCCAGGTGTCCTCCCTTCTCTAATTGATGAGGTATTGGCTTCCCAATACTTCATATTATGGCATTAATTTGTCTCAAGACTTATACATGTGGCCCATATGTTTTTTAAATCTTATTTACTGTTGAAGAAAAAATTCAGGTTTGTATTGTATTTCCACAAGCACACTGTTAAAGACTTTGTGCATTTTAGTTAGCTGCTCACCATTTAGGATGTATCGTTATAGTGGTAATGAGAAGAAAGTTCTTTAAAATTCCCCCTTTTCTGGCTTTATCTGACTCATGGCACTGTACTTTGATATCTAAATGTATTGTGACAACCCTTATCATTTGGACTAGGTTCCACAAAAAATAATGACCTTTAGTTCTTACTTTGGTTCAGCAGAAAGGGCTGGATTATCCATAAAGATGCAGAAAACCATTTCCACCAGGAAAAAGACCCAGAGTTGTGTGTGATTTAAATATTATGAATTAACTTCCATGTTCATGTTTAGAATATTTAATACATTGTGATTTTTTTCCCTGTCTTTAATGAACAACATCACACTGAAATGGAGAGAATTTACTGTTATTATAAGACTGTCAGTTAATTTCTCTGAGCCTTAGTGACTTCATCCATAAAATAAAGATAATTATACCTACTTGGCACAGAATGTGTCTGTGATGTGAAGCATACGATGTATGCCATGTGATAGGTTGAGCAATATAAGGTAATTACGTCTTTTTTTTTTTTTTTTTTTTTTTTTTGACAGAGTCTCACTCTGTCGCCCAGGTTGGAGTGCAGTAGAGCAATCTGGGCTCACTGCAACCTCTGCCTCTCAGGTTCAAGTGATTCTCATGCCTCAACCTCTTGAGTAACTGGGACTACAGGCATGAAACACCACATCTGGCTAATTTTTGTATTTTTGTAGAGATGGGGTTTCACCATATTGGCCAGGCTGGTCTTGAACTCCTGACCTCAAGTGATCCACCTGCCTTGGCCTCCCAAAGTGCTAGGATTACAGGCATGAGTCACTGCATCCAGCCAAGTTGATGAAGTTTTAATCTGTCAAATGGAAACAGCATGTGTATGGTTATCTATATACAAGGAATGTTTGCTCAATTGGAACTTCCTAGTTAACAGAGCTCAGAAGTAGACTTGCCTACAATGGTGGTCTTCAAATCTTTCAGATTCTCAGCTTCTATTTTCCTTCTTTCCCGAGATGGGTTAGCCTGAGAACAGGTGCGAGGTCAGCTTCCTCCCAAACTCCCATTCTACTCTTCCATATCTCCTTTCATAGAATCTCTCTACTGCTCTATTCAAAAGACAGACCTCACAGGCATCCTGGATTTTCCTTCAAAACAACCCCCAATGTGCATGGCGTTAAACCTCAGAAATGCCAAGCACAGACACAAATCAAAGTATTATATGTTTAAAAAGTGAATAGCTCCAATGACCTGATAGCAAAACTGCTCCTAAGATAGGCGATTTCCAGTTTGATTTTTAGGAAGACTAATCAAGCGTCCAGCTGATCATTATGATGGCAAATGGTTATAAGAGTATTGTTAGAAAAAATAGGAATGGGTTTTAGAGACTTCAGCGTCATAAAGACAAACAATGCTCTTTTTCTTGACATCAACCTATTTAAGGTGAAAAAGATCTCTCAGCTTTTGCTTCTATAAAAACAAAAACAGAGTGTAGGAATGGAATTGGTGCAGAATCCTAAGTGTATCAAAAATGATACTTACCTGTGGTTACATGAATGCGTTAAGAACAGCTCCATGCCCATCATTAGCAAGAATGTTTCCAATACAACTATACTTTTATGCTAATAATTATGGATCAAAACACATGATATATTTATATTACGATAGATTGTAAACCAAAGATTATAATGAAAACTCACTCAAAAAGTATGTTTTAACACATATGGTACAAACAAAAATTTTAAATATCATATACATTCTTGCTGCAGATCTGAAGTGTTAGTGAGTTCTAGGCACCAGCAACAGTATGAGAGCAAGTGGCTTAGGGTCCAGCTCCCCTGGAGGTCTTCAAGAGTTGTCTCTTCCTTCTCCTCATCGCTTTCACAGTGATTTCTTGTCCTTCCCTCTATCCCTGAGATCTTCTTTCTCCCAGGAGCAACAGAATCATAGCCTATGGTCTTGATGTTTAATATCCAAGAAGAGATGAAGAAACTTCTCAGTCTCAAAGTATTAAGAACACTTTAAAAGGCTATTAAAGTTAAAGAAAAGTCAAAACTGGTTTAAGAGCCAACAAAGTTTAAATAACTGTTATCAATCCTGTGTTTTATCTCAGAGCAATGACTTTGCATGTTTATAGTTTTTTTTTTTTTTGTAGTAATTGTTCTTGAATGGAGGAAATGGGGACTAACTACAATATTTTTTCAAAGTGCACAGGGCCACCACTCCTTACCAACATGGTCATAACTCCCCTTCCATTACCCTTTAATTGAAATAATTATAAGTCATATCAGACTCCATTTTTCAGTATTGAGAAAAAGATGCCAAAGTTGAAAATATAAATTCTTTTTTGAATGTTTCTTAATTAATATATAAAACATGATGGTTGTATTTAAATTTGAAAAAATATCCCAGAAATGATGCTTCATTACTGTCATTAGTATATATCCTATATTTGTAGTTATACAAATTTTTTTTTTCTATTCTATATGTGTCAGGATTTTAAATATAGCTGAAGGTGTCATTTAGAAAGCAAGATGCTTATATTTTATTATTTGGGAATTAATTGGGAATAAAAATGCAGCACCATTTAAGGCATTTTATCTTTCATTGCAAATGCGCTTTTTCTCACTTTGCACTGCTAATAAGTTTTCAGCTTTAAAAATTACTGAAATGTAGCCACAATTTAAGATGACATATTTTGCCCAATTACTTCTGGTATTTCAGATTATAGTTTCAAGATAAACAGATACACATGCACACACAAAGAGTAAATTCTTCCTTGAAATAACTTCTATAAGCTTTTCTTTTCTGGCACAAACAGCTAATTATTGCCTCCATACGGGCTGATTCTCTTGAGCTAATAAAGGTGACCTTATGGCCTTATACATATAATTCCTCACATAAATTTGAATTATTTAATGTCAAAGGTAGTATTTCCCTCCTTTGTAAATAATATAATGATTATCATATTTGCATATTTACAACTTTGAGGATGTCAAAAGTAAGCAAGCGAAAGCAACCTCAGTAACGCCTTGTTGTGGGCAGAGGTGGGGGTTCTGAGGGGGGAATATTGTAGCTGAGCTACTGTAGATTCTGCACAGACATAAAAAGCAATAGTGATAAAATAGTAAAAGAGTATCTCCATATGAACTAGTTTAAAGGCCCTTTTATTATTTCTAATAGGGAAGTGCACTAAAGCCTTTTAATAAAAACAGTTTAGGTCATTCACTCCTGCTTGCCCCTTGCAAAATAGCTTATTTCTCCCTAGTTAACAATGCCTGATATCAGTGGTATTGGACATGCCCTAGGGTGAATCCCTATAATCCTCAGCCTAGTGTTCATACCTTTATAATCCCATCCTCTTGAACGTGAGCGAGACCTGTACCTTGCTTCCAGCCCATATAATGTAGAAAAAGTGATGGAATGTTACACTGTGGCAAAGGGTGGGGATTTTACAGAGGTAATTCATTAAGATCCCAACGTAGTAGATTTTGAGTTGATCAAGAAGGAGATTATCCTGGGTGTGTCTAACGTAATCAGTTGAAAGCCTTAAGGGATAGACTGGGTCTTCCCTGAGTTGAGAGACTTCAAGTAGCAGAGAATTTTCTTATTGGCTTGATGGAAGTGTTCGTATGTCAAGGAGCTGTGGGTGGCCTGTAATTGCTGAAGACAACCCCTAGCGGACAGTCCAAAAGAATCCATGACCCTTAGTCCCATAGCAGCAAGGAAATGAATTCTGCCAAACCTTGAGTAACTGTGGAAGTGGACATTCCTTTCCAGATGAACCTCCAGATGAGGATGCAGCCCAGTCAACACCTTGACTATAACCTTATGAGACCCTCAGGAGAGGGTGCAGCTAATTCTTTTGCCTGGATTCTCAATCCCCAGCACCTGTGAAATATTAATAATAACTGACTTGTTTTAAACTGCTAAATTTGTGGGAACTTGTTAGGAAGCACAAAAATAATACACTTATGTTTCCAAAAAGTATATCATGTTTTATAATGCACTTACGTTCAGAAACATAATATGCTATGTTTTAAGCATATTGCTATTATCCAGAGGTAATTCAAGTCATTGGGGAAATGGTTGATAATAATTTTTAACTTTGCCTCTCCTTTAAGTTGACCTATTTTCTTAATTTTCCTTTTGTACAGTCCTTCCTGAAATTAGTCTTAATCTGTAAAATTGATTTCAAATATACTTTTTGCTTAATGATGTTTGCTTAAAGTTGGTGTGGTTTTATGCTTGTTGGTAAAATATTTGTTACATTTTAATGCATTGCTCACCTGTAATAGCATTGGGTTAACCTGTATGATGTTTAAGTTAGGTGTCAATGCTCAAGCCTGTCTATATGGCCCCTATGTCTATATGCTGCCTTGGAGAAACACGTCCATGCTGTGGGAAAGTGCCAGAGAAAAACATTTAAATTCTAGTTGATATCTTTAGCCAATATATGCCTGTTTGATATTAGGGATTATTTAACATGCTAGACCACAAATTTCCTACCTGTCTCAGTTTCCTCTTCTCAAGACATTGTTCTTAGTAATTTTTATAAAAGTACTTGAAAAACACAACATTCTAAATAAATATAAAGGATGACAAACCTGCAGTATTATGTAATAATTTATTTGATACTACCTCGGTGCTGCAAATACACATCTTTAGAGAAGAAGCATAATGGTATCAATCTCAAGACCTGTGGGGCAGGGCCACTGATCCTTTGCAGACTGTAAAGGAGGTAATTTAGAGTCCCACTTCAGTGCATCAAAATCCATCTGCTGCCGCCCTCTTCTTGTCAGATGCAACTTGTTCTGTGCTCTTTCACTGACACATTGTTTTGCACGTTTATGTCTAAGACCATCTGGATTGTCTGGTCTACCCAATATCCTCACATGCTTCAGTTTAACATCCCTCCTCCTATCTGCCCCATTACTCACTGTGTGATTCTGCTTCTCTGGCACCATTTTTCAGAGGGAGACGACGAGGGCACAAGCTAACTCCTTGCAGCCACCGTTTTATTGTACAACCTCAGCTAGAGTCTTGACTGTAACCACTGGGCTTCCCCAGAGCAGCTATGATTTGCTCTTTTTAAAATAGATCTTTGTGCTCTATGTATGAACTGTTATGTGTTATCTATTTAAAAAACATCAAAATGTTAAATCCTTCATGTCTTAATAAATTGGTTGGATGTTCATTTGCTTGTTCTTTGAGGAGTTAATTCATTTTTCAGCATAGGAAACACACATATCGAAACATGCATATCACAAACCAGGAAATGGACTAAGCTTTGAAAATAGAAAAAACAAAAGTATATGTCCCTGCCATCAAGGATTTCACAGTCTTCTGGAAATGGGGTAGGGGTGTCCCATGTTTCTCACCTCCTCTATTCCCATTACTCACTGCCTTGGAACTCACTCGATTCTGTTTGCTGGGCAGCATTTCTCCGGGGAAGACTACTACAGAACTTTATCCTCTTTGCTTGGCATGGGGTACCTCCCACTTTCGTAGAAACTGACTCCATTCAGCCACAATTTGCGGTAAGTTTGGTCAACCTATAAGTGATAGAAAGGAGATGTGCATGGGCTCAATGGGACTCTAGAAGGGGGTATCTGTCTCAGACAGTGCTGTTCCTGATGACCTTTGTGAGGAACATTGGGACTAAGATTTGTAGCACTGTGTGAAGTCCAAGACAGAGAAGGATTAGGCTTGCCCAGAAGCAGAAACTCTCACTTTGAAATGGAAGTCAAAAAGAACAGATGCAGCCATTACTTAACAAATGAGCAAACAAGCAAAAAGGAACTGGAATTATGCTCACTTTGAGATGGTGGTGGAAGATCTCCTGCAAGACTGCGCTGATTGCTTGTTCTTCTTTAGTTCATATATTGAAAGTTTTTTCAGATGTCTTGGCTCCTGATTATATAATCCAGGCATTGATTCTGACCCCTTTACCAACTGAAGCACAGCTCTGTGTCATCAGTCAGCTCTCTGTTCCTACGTGACTAAGAGTTCCCCTCATCTACTCCTTCCTATTTCTGTGAAACACTAGACACTCTATCATGGTACCTTCTTCCTCTGGCTCACGGATGCTTTTTCAACAGCCCTTTCAACTTCTTAAAAATAACTCACTGATACGAAGACAAATGTAAACTTTATTTGATATTTCAAAGAGAAGTTAGTGAAGGGTGACTGGAGGAGGGAGAGAAAATTATATCAGGTCAGTTAAAAGTTCTATGATTTTTCGCCTGTAATCCCAGCACTCTGGGAGGCTGAGGCGGGCAGATCACGAGGATAGGAGATCGAGACCTTCCTGGCTAACATGGTGAAACCCCATCTCTACTAAAAATACAAAAAATTAGCTGGGCGTGGTGGCGGGCGCCTGTAGTCCCAGCTACTCGGGAGGCTGAGGCAGGAGAATGGCGTGAACCTGGGAGGCAGAGCTTGCAGTGAGCCGAGATCACGCCACTGCACTCCAGCCTGGGTGACAGAGCGAGACTCTGTCTCAAAAAAAAAAAAGAAAAAGAAAAAAAAAGATTCTATTATTTTTCTTCTCAATTCCTTTTTCAGCTGCCCCATCACTAGAAACCTCTTCCTATGGCCCTTTCCCTGCAAAGAATCTGGGCTCAATGATTTCTCACGTCTTCCTCTAGGACTTTAGTTTACAACGTTACATGATTTTTTGGTATGTGTTTGCAGAGAAACGTCCTTTCTCCTCTGAAGTTTGTGTGCTAGATTAAAACCTGGGCTTCCAAAAACATCTTGCATTCCAAGCTTAAAATAAGAAGTTACGTCAAAGACAATGAACTTTTAAAAATGAATTCTAGTAAATAAGCCAAATTCAGAGGCATTTTTCAGCTTTAAATATTTACTTGGGTTCAGTTTTTCTACAAAGCATGACATAGGAGCATGCTTGTCTTTAAAATATTATGGGACTCATTTTGTTGAGCAAATAAGTAATGTGCTCCTATTCATATATAAAGATGATGTCACTGTTTCAACACCCATTGAACAGTGTGGCTTTGGGCTGTTTTTAGTGACCGAAATACGTTATAGTGGAGAAACAGTAAGCATTACTAAGGATTAAATTTGTGTTGTTTAATGTTATCATATTTACTTTAATTGTATTAATATTGAAGTCCAATTTTAGTGATCAAATAATTTGTAGTCATGTTTAGTACATGGCAATTCATATATCCTCTTCATAAGAGCGTTTTGACTCAAATTCTGGGTTCAGAATTAACTGGCTATGTGCTCTAAGCAAAAAAACAAAGCAAAACAAACAAAAATAAACCTCCATGCTCCACAGTTTCCTCATACTTAAAAATTGGAATTCACTGAGTATTTTATACTACATCCTAGGTATATTCATAAACCTATTTATATCAAATTGTTCATCAATCAAGAGAGAAATAATACCAACTTCACTGGGTTATTGGTTAGATTAAATAAAATGGTGCGTACATGGTGCACAGCTAACTGTCTAGGGTGTGATAGACGCTTCAAAACTTTTGCAGATACATCCCTCCCCTCAAATTCCTTTTCCTCCCCTACTCTGGACCAATCGTTGTGTAAGTGTCTCATTTATGAAAGAAGCTAAAAGTAGATGAGAAATAGATGCATTGTTTTGAGCTTGTTTATAGGCAGCACATAAGCACTTCAACTGTAAATACTGTTGCTTCATGATGGGCTTGTTGGTAACTTCTATGGCACAGAATTCCTTATTGGTTTCATTAGATTGTTTTCATTTTCTTCCCCCCCATCATCTTTAATAAGTCATATCAAGATGCCCAGAAAAGGTTGTGTGGACTTCCCTGTTGATCCTGAGGGTGTCAGAGGATTAACTATAAAACAAAATTGCTATTTTTCCCTTTTCACACAAGAGCCATCCATCCAGCCGAGAGAGAGGCAGATACCCTCCCAGGGCACCTTGGCGTGCAGTGAAATATTGGTATTCGAATTAGAGTCTAATCAGGACAAGCAGACAAAGTGATGTGTTTCAGCCTTGTCTTTTTTGTAGCCAGTTACTCCAGACTCCTAGCGTTCATGTCTTCCATGTACTTTCTTTAATTAGCACTTTAATAGCTCGGCTTCAGAGAGTTAGTTCGGGAGAGAACTTTCCTAAAGCTGCCAAATGGTCACAAGCAGGAGGTGATTAAATTTCGTCTCAAGCACCAGGCATCTGCACGCGTTCTCTGTGTCACAGTGTGCTTTTCAAGATGTGTGCCCAATAACTCCTGGCCAGAGGGATGTGATGCTCTCAGGAAACGCATTTGAAAAAGCTGCCGAGCATCATTAACCACTGTCTGTATACTATTGATTTAGATCAGTTTTCATAATAAGGCTCTCGATTCTCCATTAAGCACTGGTTTATCTTGGATGGGGAAGAAAAAACATTTGTGCAGAGATTATTGTTTTATTAGCTTTGAGCCAGAAAAAAGGAAAACAAAAAAGTTCTGTGTTTCAAATTTTTATTAGCCCTTCATGTGTTAATTATGCATGCGATTTATAGAAATATTCTTTGCTTAGAGCTTTAACCCTTTTCGTCATATACACTGACTCAATATTATGAAAATTGTGTTGATAGTCAGTAATCAAACAAGAATAAAACTCCATTTTAATGCATCTCACAGGATGTGATGCAGTAACTTCCGTAACACAATGTTAAGATATGTGGCCTCTATGGAAATACGGTGAGATATTCTTCTAAAACTTGGTGGGTTTTATTTTCTTTCATATTTAACATTTCTGAAGTTAGGATGCATATTACAATAAATATGACAAGAAATCATTTTTACTTTAATTCCTTTTGTAGGACATAAAATAATGGTGTGCTGTATCACTAATGACATCTTATAAAAGTATAGTCATTTTTTGCTTATTTAATAGTTGTCTTTTCATAAAGCATAACTTGCATTAAAATTGCATTACTTTCTTGCTTTAACAAGTTGTTATACCTAATTTCTTTGTTTGAGTAGAAATTGCTTCCCACCTAGCACCTACAAACACAGTGCATATTTAGCTTTTAAAAAATCCTTAGGTACAGGCATTATTAATATACTACAATTTTATCATGCAAAGTTCAAAAAATTTAGTGTAAATTTTCAAAGATTAATTTAAAATGCAATGTCCGCATAAAACACATTGGTTATTTAGTCAGAATGAGAGATGCTTTCGAGGTGAGTGATTGAAGGATACTCTCGTCAAGTGCAGAGTCGTCACTCATAACCCTTGTAGTGAAGTGTTAGGCTCTCTTGTTTCTGTGAACAATAAAAATTGATAATAAGATTGAGAGGAAGGGGAGGGGGTTAAGTATTCATGGCGGCATATTTTTTAATGAAAACGACACTCCTTTTTTATAATTATGAAAATACTACATGCATATTCAAAAAACAAATATTGTACTAATTTTTAGACTATACCTTATTTGATTAATTCTGTGTAGATGCACACACACACAGGATCACACATAATGCTTTTTGAAACTGACTTTTTCACTTTAACATTATATTTAAAAATGATATAAAATTAATATAGATTGCAAATAGGTTGACACCATGGAATATAATAGCTGCAGCATGTTGTACTATGGGAGTATCATTTAATAATAAAACAATAGTTAGATTTCATTTTGCATCTAACTCATGTCAGGCAATGTGCTGAATATTTTATGCACTAGTTCTCACAATAACCCTATGAAATGCATATTTTATCTTCTTTCACAGTAATTCTATGATGGAAGACTTGGGGCTTAAACAGGAGTTACCCAGGTAGTTAGTAACAAAGACGAGATTTGAATTTAGGCTGTCCAAGTTAGGTACTCAGACTCTCAACTAGTATTCTATACAGAGTTTTATGGCATTTATGTATTCTATTTCTAGATCAATCTTATACTGTGGACAATTAAGTTGCTCTCGAGGGTTCCACTATACAAATAATATAGTATTTACTATTTGTTCACACTTTTTTTTCAGTTAACAGATTGTTTTCCTAGGATAAGTTCATAAGTTTAATATATATTGTAATATTTTCCTACAGATAGGTTGTTTATTTTATATGCCCATACCAGTATGTAGAGCATGCCTGTTTCTCCACATCTTCATATGTACTGGCTACCAACATGTAGTACTTCTAAGCAGCGGCTGTAGGACCACAGCCTATCCAGAAACAACATAGGATGTCTGGATCTTGCTTTGTATATCACCACACTTCTTTTTAGGATATTCCTGAAAGATATGCATGCATTTATTTTGGAATGGAAATAAGTGATCAGTCATTTTTACAGCTGTGCAAATACTGTTAAATTCACAATATAGAAATTTATGGCAACAATCAAGTGGGCACACGTAACTACTTATCAGATATTTTGGAAATAAAAGCTAAGCAAAATTTTGCAAATAATAATTGCAGGTCCTTCCATATTATGATGTTCATTTGAAATCTCTAAAAGGCTCCATATAATAATTGGCATTATTTTATTTTAAATTTTTACTTGGACATATTATTTGAGACTCAGATAAGATTTGCAAGAAATGTACAAAGTAGTCCTGCATCTTCCTCAGTTGGATTCTCTAAATGGTAATATTCATCTTTTATTTCTTTCTCTCTTTCTCTCACGAACACACAGGTCTTTATATTAATATATTGTTTTCTCATTTGGGGAGGCTATTATAGTATTTGTTACAGGATGTTGCCCTTACATACTTTATAGTTTCTAAAAATAAATATATTATTTTACATAACCATTGTATACTTATAAAATCAGAAAAACATGGAAACATAGATAATCTGCAGAACTTAAACAAATTTCACCAATCATTTTTGATAGTGTCCTTCAAAATAGCCAGATTTCTGATTATTTCTTGCGTTCAATTTTCATGTCCCTTTTCTACCCTTTAATAAAAAAACTTCTTCAGTCATTGTAAATAGTACAAATATTGACCAGCTATTTGTAGAAACTCTTTCCATTTTGTTGCATTTTTTGGTGACAATATGCAGAAGTGTTCTTTTGAGTTCATCACCTCCTGAGGTTTGAGGTCAATTTGTCCTGTTCTGGTGATGTCAACCTTGGATAAGTTGTTGTATGTCAGCTTTGTCCATTAAAAATTTAATATTTTTACTTTGTAAGCAGTAAGTAAATTGAGAGGTGATCATTCGAACAGGTGAAAATATCCGGTTACTTATCAAAATCCATTTGCAGTTTTCACCATTGATTCTTGCCTTAATTATTATTAGGATGATTACCAAATAGTTATTTTGTAATTACATTATTCTTTCCGTGTTGATTTCTACTGTAAGGAACACACTTCTATTCCCTCTACCCCAAGTGACAGACCTTCATCAATTAATTCGTTAACTGATGTATGGAATCACGGATCCTTTTTCTTTAATTATTGGGTTATAATCTCTTATTCTCATTTTTCTAATGCTCAAAAGCTGTGTCAGATTTGGCCAGTGGCAACTGCTACGTTCTGACTCCTTTATCCTTTGGACATGTGATCATTAATCTTTGAGTACCTGTTTTTTTTTTGTTTGACACAATATGTTCTTGAATTACCTTGTATTTTTATTGTCCCAGCCTGAAATAGGTCATTTTTCTGGGGGTTCCTTTAGTGGATAATGGAGTGTAAAAACCAAGATCTGGGCTCTGGAGTGATCATTTCTACTTGGGTGTAATTGTTTCAACGCTCTTTAAGCTGGCAGACATAGCAAATACATATATAACTACTCACACCCATAAACATCCATTTAGCTATGTATAAGCAAATACATATATACCTACTCACACCCATAAACATCCATTTAGCTATGTATAAGCAAATACATATATTCCTACTCATACACATAAACATATATTTAACTATGTAGACATACATAGTTTACATAGTTATAAGTATATAAGCAAATACATATATTAGTATACATAGTTATAAGTATATTAGCAAAAACATATATACCTATTCACACATATGTAAACATAGATAAATGTATGTTTATATGTGTGAATAGATATATATTTGCTTATATACTTATATAAGTACACTATATTTATTACCAGATAGATAGATGTTGAAAACTATGAATTTATACTTATATCTCTAATTTCATTTGAACACATAAAGTTTATTCCAAAATTCTCTATACCCATATTGTAACTCCCTCTTCTGACATTGAAGAACATTGTTCTCAATACCAAAAATATATTTTCGTGGTTTCTTAATCCAAGAATGCACAGGAAATTACTGTTAGAATTACTAGTTCATGTCTCTCTCTCTCTCCGTCTCTCTCTCTCTCTCTCTCTCTCTCTCTCTCTATATATATATATATATATATATGACAAATGTGTGTGTGTACATATATATTCTTGTCTTCTCAAATTGCAATAAAATTACTATTTCATGTAACACAGAATGTGTAATTGTTATAGTTTGGATAGTTGTACCAACTCAAATCTCACGTTGAAAAGTAATTCTCAGCGTTGGAGGTGGGGCCTGGTGGGAGGTGTTTGGGTCATGGAAGTGGATCTCCCATGAATAGCTTGGGCCATCTCCTTGGTGATAAGTAAGCTCTCGCTCTGAGTTCACATGAGGTCTGCTTGTTTAAAAGTGTGTTGCACCTACCTCCCCACTCTCTCTCTCTCTCTGTCTCTCTCTCTGTCTCTGTCTCTGACTCACTTGTTCCTCCTTTTGACGTGTGACCTGCCTGTTCCCCCATTGCCTTCTGCCATGATCAAAAGCTCCCCAAGGCTTCACCAGTAGCCGAGCAGATGCCAGCACCATGCTTCATGTAAAGCTTGCAGAACTGTGGGCCAATGAAAACTGTTTTATTTATAAATTACCCAGTCGCAGGTATTTCTTTATAGCAATGCATGAATGGCCTAATAGAGTAATGGAGAAGAATACTCTAAGTTCCTTCAGGGAAAGATTCATTTCTTATATAATTTTTACCTCCTATATTTAGAGTCAGAATTGTAGAGAGTTGTAGGTGACAGGTGATGAAATCATACCTTTTGGAGGGGGCCTCTGCCTGGCTCCAAAAGACACAGTTTCACCACCGGCCACTTTCAACTTGCCTCGTATAGATGACAATGTGGTATTTACCATCTGCTTCAGTCTTGCTTGTTATCTGCTCTGAGTGACTTTTACTTCTGTAGGACCAATTAAGTGTATCTTACATAAAAGATTCAAAGGATGTTAGAGTGACTTCAAGGTTTTTTTTTCCTGCAAACCATCTTGACAAAAGTACCAAAGTATATTTATATCTATATAGCTATTCATGTGTTTGTGCTTGGAGATGTTATCAAAAAAACTATTGCATGCTCAAACTTTTTCTATGTATTTGAATATAATCTTTATTTGTTTCTGCAGCTATAACACCTATCCCATTAATAGACATCTTTACACTAATACTTCAACATAAATGCTAGAAAAGCTCTTTGCTGTGTGGCTAGACAGATCAATTCTTGCTTCATTGATTATTTCAATGAGAGTCTAAAAGCATATCCTTGTGTTACTGATAATTTCATCTGTGGTGGTCTTTATTTGGTTCAATTTCTAATATTTGCACCAAGAGACAGGCATATATGGGACATGTTGAATAGTCTAAATAGAAACTTCAGAGTTCTAGGATAATTTTTACTAGTTGAGTTTAGTTAGATGCAGTGGCACACAGCCCATCCTGCAGACTACTGTTTTCACCTTACTTCTGGCTCTAAAAACGGCTTAAACTATGGTTGTTACCCATATATATGTGTAATTTGGAAATACTTGATTATCTCATTCTTTACTAACACTGTATACTTGCTAAAATTCATTAACAGATTAATATGGCCTATAATCATGGTTGCATAGCCAATTACTTTTTATTTGTCAATATGTGTTGGCATCCAATTTAAACTGGAAATAATGTCCTGTATGACATTGGTGCACAGTACATTGAAAGTGGTTGATCAATACTCATTATTCAAGTTTAATGAGTTTTGTCATTTTAACAATCAAGGACAAAAGTAACATATGTCCACATTTTCATGGCTTACATAAAGTTGCTTTTACACTTTATTAATCATTCTCAACTTGTTTTCTGTTATTAATATAAAATTACGCATAAAACTTGTATTGAATTCCTAATTGAAAGGATAGCCATAAATCAGGTGATCAGAGTGGTTCCTTAGAAACCACAGGAAGTTACACCATATCTAAAAAGATTGTTAATGTGATGTAGAGAATGGTAAGTTAATGAGATGGCTCATTGCTTAGTTTAAAGGTACTGGAAAATTAGGAAGGTGTATGGAGAATTAGAAACTTCATCCTTCAGCATGGTTTGATGATAGCATACCTGAAACCTTATGGTTTGGAAGACTGTGATACTGTTATAGATTGTTATATCATGTCTCCTTATTGTTTTTATTACATGTAGACATCCCAGCAACCTCGTATCTCTACTTACATATAAAAGTATTTAATGTGGCAATTTCATCTCTTATATTCAATCTAATTATGTAATGACATGGATACATAAATATATATTATAGAGACGCTTATTAAAGCATTTAATATAGCAAAATTCTGGAAAAAAACCCAATAAATAAATGCTGCATTTGTACATAGTGGAGATACATGTAAGAGGTAAAATAGCTTTTTAAAGAGAGGCTAGCTTTACAAGGTATAAGGTAAATCTCTTCGATGAGCTGAAAGATGATCCCATGGTATATGGAGTGAGGATAGGATATTATAATTCAGTATATGCAAAATCACACACATACACGTACTCCACATACATACACACACACGCAACCATTCTACTAACATGAAATTTTCCTCAGCCGTTCTCCCTAGGAGAACGTGTTCGTAGGGGTCTGTCTCATTCTCTGTGTACTTCTTTGGTAAAATCAAATAAATTCACAACAATGCTGAAGAATTTTTGCTCTTTGTGCTTTTTGGAAATCCAGTTTCCCAGGTGCACTCTCTCTCCCATTTTTCTTCAGACCTCCGCCTCCTCATATGCAGCTGATGACATTATTTCTCTGAGAAACATAGAGTGATTAAGATGTAATTCTACATTCCCCATACCACGCCTATTCCCTGATCTGTACCTCTGCCTGTAGTCTCAATGTTCTTCTCTGTTAGTCTGGGAGAAGTGTTCTTGCTTCCTTATAGGACTGACTGCTAGACTTGTGCACTAGATTCAATGCCCTTGAATCTACTTGAGAACATTAGCAATTCTCCCCGATTAATCATATACGTGTGTGTGTGTGTGTACTAATTTCTACTAACTCACAACAGACAAATATGCTGTAGTTTTTCCAACATAAAAAGAAAAAATATTCTCGCCCCACACATCTTTAGATATCCCCACTTCCACAAATGTTTTTCATTGCTTTGCTTAGTAGCAAAATTCCTCTGCAGTATTGTCTATACAGTATTTTGTCTCCAGTCCCTGTCCACTTTCTTTCTTGAATTATCTTCAAGTTGGCCTTTTCTTCTGTCATTTCTCTACCAAAACTCTTCTTGTCAAAAACATCACTGATAAATTCAAGTTTTTAATTCTCAGTGCTCAGCTCACTTGACTTGCTAGCAACATTTGTCACTTGATCAGTCCATCCTCCTCTGAAATGCTTTTTGCATTTGGTTTTCGGAAGCCAAGCTCTCTGATCTTCTTACCACTGCATTGACCATCCCTACTAAATACCTTTTTATGTCTCTGCACCTCCTTTGTGTGTCTACATTTACTATTTTGGAAAGTCACTCAGGTTTTTGTCTTTAAATGTTATCTATATGTTAATGATTTCCAAATTGGTACTTCTAGAGCAAGCTTCTCTCCTGAACTACAGCCTCAACTGCATACTTAGCCTCTCTCCCGGGATGGTAGAAGGTGGCTTATATTGAGCAAGTCCAAAAATGGAATTGTGATATCCCCTGAAGCAAATTCACTTTCCCAGAGCTTCTCTATTTCAGCGACAATGCAATTGGTTATTTTTTATTTTTTGGATTTTTGTATGTTTTAGATTTTCTAGCCCCCAAACCTTGGTTTCCTCTTTGATTCTCCATTTTGTTTCATATCCCATATCTCATCAATAGTCAATTCCATTGGATTCAAGATAAGTCCAGAATCTGATGACTCCTCACTTGTGCCATCATTCTGCTGTGAGCCTTCATCACCTCTTATCTGAATTACAGCAATTACCTCCTACGTGATTTCTCTTCTTTCACCCTTGCTGCCTTTTAGTTCATCCTCAACGCAGCAGCCGGAATTATCCTTTGAAATATAAGCCAGATTGTGTCTCTCCTCTGCTTAAATTTTGCACTTCTCTAAGAGCAAAATCTAAGTTAAAAGCCATAAGACATTACACGATTTGACCTTCCTGTTTCCTCCCTAACTTAATTTCTTTCTATTTTCCCTTTTGCTCACATCCTCTCCATCTTTATTGATCTGTTTGCCGTTCCTCAAATAAGATTGGTTTCCACTGCAAAGTCTTGTACTTGATCTTTCACCTGCCAGAAATACATTCCCTCTAGATCTACGTAGCAGCTAACTCTAATCTTCACACAATGTCATCTTCTTGACAGGATCTTCATTGACTGTATTATTTAAACTCACGAGGACCTCTCAAAAAGCATACAGATTTTGGATAATAATCCTATCCTGAAGACACAATCCTGAATGCCAAAGTCCCAAATATTGAAATCCCTAAAGAACAAAATCCCTCTAGCCTAAATCCCTAAAATCTAACATCTCTAACGTCTAAAATCCGAAAAAAATTACAGGATAGTTGCATTATGTTAGGCAGAAACATTATCTTGTTATTTTCTGTATGCAGAATAAAATGGATTTTAATAGAATCCTCAAACCATAACGACATATTTGAAATTAGGTGCAATCAAGGCTTCTAAAAGTGACTTTCAAGGTGTTACCAATAAAGTTTGTTTTTTCCATTCAGGCCAATGCATTTGGAGAAGATCTGGGTTTATAGATTGGCCATGCAGTATGGCAATGAAGTAAATTCAATTTAAAAGTGAGTCACTTGGCTGCATTGGTATTCCTTCTGCTGTTGAGATTTCAGGAGCTTTTAATAAATTAAACCTGCATTTGCCTAAAGAAGCCACTGAAGTTACTGACTAGTTTGAGAATAATTATGTGAATGGCAGGATAAGAAGATACTTCTGAAATGGTGTTGCTGTTCAGTTACCAATTTTTTAACCAAAAAAAATAGTTTATTGAATGTAATTAGTATCTTTTTTAATACTTTAAGTTTTTTACTACTTTTAAAAAATACTTTAAGTGCAGAAAGTTCAGGTTTGTTACACAGGTATACACATGTGCCACGGTGGTTTGCTGCACCCATCAACCCGTCATCTACATTAGATATTTTTTCCTAATGCTATCCCTCCCCTTGCCCCCACCCCCAGACAGGCCCTGGTGTGTGATGGTCCCTTCCCTGTGCCCATATGTTCTCATTGTTCAACTCCCACTTATGAGTGAGAAAATATGGTGTTTGGTTTTCTGTTCTTGCGTTAGTTTGCTGAGAATGATGGTTTCCAGCTTCATCCATGTCCCTGCAAAAGACATGAACTCATTCTTTTTTATGGCTGCATAGTATTCCATGGTGTATATGTGCCAAATTTTCTTTATCCAGTCTAACATTGATGGGCATTTGGGTTAGTTCCAAGTCTTGCTATTGTGAATAGTGCTGCAACAAACTTACATGTGCATGTGTTTTTATAGTAGAATGATTTATAATCCTTTGGGTATAAACCCAGTAATGGGATTGGTGGGTCAAATTGTATTTCAAGTTCTAGATCCTTGAGGAATCACCACACTGTCTTTCACAACGGTTGAACTAATTTACACGCCCGGCTCCTATTTCTCCACATCCTCTCCAGCATCTGTTGTTTCCTGACTTTTTAATGATTGCCATTCTAACTGACGTGAAATGGTATCTCACTGTGGTTTTGATTTGCATTTCTCTAATGACCAGTGATGATGAACTTTTTTTCATATGTTTCTTGATCACGTAAATGTCTTCTTTTGAGAAGTGTCTGTTCATATGCTTTGCCCACTTTTTGATGGAATTGTTTTTTTTCCTTGTAAATTTGTTTAAGTTCCTTGTAGATTGTGGATATTAGACCTTTGTCAGATGCATAGATTGCAAAAATTATCTCCCATTCTGTAGGTTTTCTGTTCACTCTGATGATAGTTGCTTTTGCTGTACAGAAGCTCTTTAATTTAATTGGATCCCATTTGTCAATTTTGGATTTTGTTGCCATTACTTTTGGTGTTTTATTCATGAAGTCATTGCCCATGCCTATGTTCTGAATGGTATTGCCTAGGTTTTCTTCTGGGGCTTTTATGGTTTTAGGTCTTATGTTTAAGGCTTTAATCCACCTTGAGTTAATTTTTGTATGAGGGGTAAGGAAGGGGTCCAGTTTCAGTTTTCTCCATATGGCTAGCCAGTTTTCACAATACCATTTATTAAATAGGGAATCCTTTCTGCATTGCTTGTTTTTGTCAGGTTTGTCAAAGATCAGATGGTTGTAGATGTGTGGTGTTATTCTGAGGCCTCTGTTCTGTTCCATTGGTCTATATATCTGTTTTGGTGCCAGTACCACACTGTTTTGGTTACTGTAGCCTTGTGGTATAGTTTGAAGTCAGATAGTATGAGGCCTCCGGCTTTGTTCTTTTTGCTTAGGATTGTCTTGGCTATATGAGCTCCTTTTTGGTTCCATATGAAATTTAAAGTAGTTTTCTTCTAATTCTATGAAGAAAATCAATGGTAGCTTGATGGGTATAGCATTGAATCTATAAACTACTTTGGGCAGTATGGCCATTTTCACAATATTGATTCTTCCTATCCATGAGCTTGGAATGTTTTTCCATTTGTTTGTGTGCCCTCTAATTTCCTTGAGCAGTAGTTTGTAGTTCTCCTTGAAGAAGTCCTTCACATCCCTAGTAAGTTTTATTTCTAGGTATTTTATTCTCTTTGTAACAATTGTGAATGGGAGTTTGCTCATGATTTGGCTCTCTGTTTGTTTATTATTGGTATATACGAATGCTTGTGATTTTTGCACATTGATTTTTTTATCCTGAGACTTTGCTGAAGTTGCTTATCAGCTTAAAGCATTTTTGAGCTGAGATGATGGGGTTTTCTAAATATACAATCATGTCATCTGCAAACAGATGTCATTTCACTTCCTGTCTTCTTTTTTAAATACCCTTTATTTCCTTCTCTTGCCTGATTGCCCTGGCCAGAACTTCCAATACTATGTTGAATACAACTGGTGAGAGAGGGTATTCTTGTCTTGTGCTGGTTTTCAAAGGGAATGCTTCCAGCTTTTGCCCATTCAGTATGATATTGGCTGTGGATTTGTCATGAATAGCTCTTGTTATTTTTAGATATGTTCTATCAATATCTAGTTTGTTGAGTGTTTTTAACGTGAAGGGGTGTTGAATTTTATTGAAGGCCTTTTCTGCATCTATTGAGATAATCATGTGGTTTTTATCACTGGTTCTGTGTATGTGATGGATTGCGTTTACTGATTTGCATATGTTGAACCAGCCTTGCATCCCAGGGATGAAGCCCACTTGATCCTGGTGGATAAACTTTTTAATGTGCTGCTGGATTCGGTTTGCCAGTATTTTATTGAGGATTTTGCATCAATGTTCATCAGGGATATTGGTGTGAAATTTCCTTTTATCTGTTGTGTCTCTGCCAGGCTTTGGTATCAGGATGATGCTGGACTCATAAAAAGAGTTAGGAAGAGTCCGTCTTTTTCTATTGTTTGGACTAGTTTCAGGAGGCATGGTACCAGTTCCTCTTTGTACCTCTGGTAGAATTCAGCTGTGAAGCCATCTGGTCCTGGCCTTTTTCTGGTTGGTAGGCCATTAATTACTACCTCAATTTCAGAACTTGTTATTGGTCTATTAAGGGATTCGACTTCTTCCTGGTTTAGTCTTGGGAGGGTGTGTGTGTCCAGGAATTTATTCATTTCTTCTAGATTATCTAGTTTATTTGTGTAGAGGTGTTTATAGTATTCTCTGATGGTAGTTTTTATTTCTGTGAGATCAGTGGTGGTATCCCCTTTATCATTTTTTATTGTGTCTATTTGATTGTTCTCTCTTTTCTTCTTCATTAGTCTGGCTAGTGGTCTATCTATTTTGTTAATCTTTTCAAAAAACCAGCTCCTGGATTCATTGATTTTTTGAAGGTGTGTGTGTGTGTGTGTGTGTGCGTGTGTGTGTGTGTGTGTGTGTGTGTGTGTCTCCTTCAGCTCTGCTCTGATCTTAGTTATTTCTTGTCTCTGCTAGCATTTGAATTTGTTTGCTCTTGCTTCTCTAGTTCTTTTAATTGTGATGTGAGGGTGTTGAATTTAGATATTTCCTGCTTTCTCCTGTGGACATTTAGTGCTATAAATTTCCTATATACACTATAATTTCCTATAAACACTACTTTAGCTGTGACCCAGAGATTCTGGTACATTGTGTCTTTGTTCTCATTGGTTTCAAAGAACTTACTTATTTCTGCCTTAATTTTGTTATTTACCCAGTCGTCATTCAGGAGCAGGTTGTTCAGTTTCCAGTATTTGTGCAGTTTTCAGTGAGTTTCTTAATCCTGAGTTCTAATTTGATTGCACGGTGGTCTGAGAGCCTTTGTTATGATTTCTGTTCATTTGCGTTTGCTGAGGAGTGTTTTACTTCCAATTGTGTGGTTGATTTTAGAATAAGTGCTATGTGGTGCTGAGAAGAATATATATTCTATTGATGTGGGGTGGAGAGTTCTGTAGATGTCTATTACGTCCCCTTGGCCCAGAGATGAGTTCAAGTTGTGAATATCCTTGTTAATTTTCTGTCTCGTTGATCTGTCTAATATTGACAGTGGGGTATTAAAGTCTCCCACTATTATTGTGTGGGAGTCTAAGTCTCTTTGTAGGTCTCTAAGAACTTGCCTTATGAATCTGGGTGCTCCTGTATTGGGTGCATATATATTTAGGATAGTTAGGTCTTCTTGTTGCACTGATCCCTTCACCATTATGTAATGCCCTTCTTTGTGTTTTTTGATCTTCGTTGGTTTAAAGTCTGTTTAATCAGAGACCAGGATTGCAACTCCTGCTTTATTTATTTATTTATTTATTTTGCTTTACCTTTGCTTGGTAAGTATTCCTCCATTCTTTTTTTTTATTATTATTATACTTTAAGTCTTATGGTACATGTGCACAATGTGCAGGTTAGTTACATATGTATACATGTGCCTTACTGGTGTGCTGCACCCATTAACTCGTCATTTAGCATTAGGTATATCTCCTAATGCTATCCCTCCCCCTTCCCCCCACCCCACAACAGTCCCCAGAGTGTGATGTTCCCCTTTCTGTGTCCATGTGTTCTCATTGTTCAATTCCCACCTATGAGTGAGAATATGCGGTGTTTGGTTTTCTGTTCTTGCAATAGTTTACTGAGAATGATGATTTCCACTTCCATCCATGTCCCTACAAAGGACATGAACTCATCATTTTTTATGGCTGCATAGTATTCCGTGGTGTATATGTGCCACATTTTCTTAATCCAGTCTATCATTGTTGGACATTTGGGTTGGTTCCAAGTCTTTGCTATTGTGACTAGTGCCGCAATAAACATACGTGTGCATGTGTCTTTATAGCAGCATGATTTATAGTCCTTTGGGTATATACCCAGTAGTGGGATGGCTGGGTCAAATGGTATTTCTAGTTCTAGATCCCTGAGGAATCGCCACACTGACTTCCACAATGGTTGAACTAGTTTACAGTCCCACCAACAGTGTAAAAGTGTTCCTATTTCTCCACATCCTCTCCAGCACCTGTTGTTTCCTGACTTCTTAATGATTGCCATTCTAACTGGTGTGAGATGGTATCTCATTGTGGTTTTGATTTGCATTTCTCTGATGGCCAGTGATGGTGAGCATTTTTTCATGTGTTTTTTGGCTGCATAAATGTCTTCTTTTGAGAAGTGTCTGTTCATGTCCTTCACCCACTTTTTGATGGGGTTGTTTGTTTTTTCCTTGTACATTTGTTTGAGTTCATTGTAGATTCTGGATATTAGCCCTTTGTCAGATAAGTAGGTTGTGAAAATTTTCTCCCATTTTGTAGGTTGCCTGTTCACTCTGATGGTAGTTTCTTTTGCTGTGCAGAAGCTCTTTAGTTTAATTAGATCCCATTTGTCAATTTTGGCTTTTGTTGCCATTGCTTTTGGTGTTTTAGACATGAAGTCCTTGCCCATGCCTATGTCCTGAATGGTAATGCCTAGGTTTTCTTCTAGAGTTTTTATGGTTTTAGGTCTAACATTTAAGTCTTTAATCCATCTTGAATTAATTTTTGTATAAGGTGTAAGGAAGGGATCCAGTTTCAGCTTTCTACATATGGCTAGCCAGTTTTCCCAGCACCATTTATTAAATAGGGAATCCTTTCCCCATTGCTTGTTTTTCTCAGGTTTGTCAAAAATCAGATAGTTGTAGATATGTGGCGTTATTTCTGAGGGTTCTGTTCTGTTCCATTGATCTATATCTCTGTTTTGGTACCAGTACCATGCTGTTTTGGTTACAGTAGCCTTGTAGTATAGTTTGAAGTCAGGTAGCGTGATGCCTCCAGCTTTGTTCTTTTGGCTTAGGATTGACTTGGCGATGCGGGCTCTTTTTTGGTTCCATATGAACTTTAAAGTAGTTTTTTCCAATTCTGTGAAGAAAGTCATTGGTAGCTTGATGGGGATGGCATTGAATCTATAAATTACCTTGGGCAGTATGGCCATTTTCACGATATTGATTCTTCCTATCCATGAGCATGGAATATTCTTCCATTTGTTTGTATCCTCTTTTATTTCATTGAGTAGTGGTTTGTAGTTCTCCCTGAAGAGGTCCTTCACAACCCTTGTAAGTTGGATTCCTAGGTATTTTATTCTTTTTGAAGCAATTGTGAATGGGAGTTCACTCATGATTTGGCTCTCTGTTTGTCTGTTGTTGGTGTATAAGAATGCTTGTGATTTTTGTACATTGATTTTGTATCCTGAGACTTTTCTGAAGTTGCTTATCAGCTTAAGGAGATTTTGGGCTGAGACAGTGGGGTTTTCTAGATATACAATCATGTCATCTGCAAACAGGGACAATTTGACTTCCTCTTTTCCTAACTGAATACCTTTTATTTCCTTCTCCTGCCTAATTACCCTGGCCAGAACTTCCAACACTATGTTGAGTAGGAGTGGTGAGAGAGGGCATCCCTGTCTTGTGCCAGTTTTCAAAGGGAATGCTTCCAGTTTTTGCACATTCAGTATGATATTGGCTGTGGGTTTGTCATAGATAGCTCTTCTTATTTTGAGATATGTCCCATCAATACCTAATTTATTGAGAGTTTTTAGCATGAAGGGTTGTTGAATTTTGTTGAAGGCCTTTTCTGCATCTATTGAGATAATCATGTGGTTTTTGTCTTTGGTTCTGTTTATATGCTGGATTACATTTATTGATTTACGTATATTGAACCAGCCTTGCATCCCAGGGATGAAGCCCACTTGATCATGGTGGATAAGCTTTTTGATGTGCTGCTGGATTTGGTTTGCCAGTATTTTATTGAGGATTTTTGCATCAATGTTCATCAACGATATTGGTCTAAAATTCTCTTTTTTGGTTGTGTCTCTGCCCGGCTTTGGTATCAGGATGATGCTGGCCTCATAAAATGAGTTAGGGAGGATCCCCTCTTTTTCTATTGATTGGAATAATTTCAGAAGGAATGGTACCAGTTCCTCCTCGTACCTCTGGTAGAATTCGGCTGTGAATCCATCTGGTCCTGGACTCTTTTTGGTTGGTAAGCTATTGATTATTGCCACAATTTGAGAGCCTGTTATTGGTCTATTCAGAGATTCAACTTCTTCCTGGTTTAGTCTTGGGAGGGTGTATGTGTCGAGGAATTTATCCATTTCTTCTAGGTTTTCTAGTTTATTTGCATAGAGGTGTTTGTAGTATTCTCTGATGGTAGTTTGTATTTCTGTGGGATCGGTGATGATATCCCCTTTATCATTTTTTATTGTGTCTATTTGCTTCTTCTCTCTTTTTTTCTTTATTAGTCTTGCTAGCAGTCTATCAATTTTGTTGATTGTTTCAAAAAACCAGCTCCTGGATTCATTAATTTTTTGAAGGGTTTTTTGTGTCTCTATCTCCTTCAGTTCTGCTCTGATTTTAGTTATTTCTTGCCTTCTGCTAGCTTTTGAATGTGTTTGCTCTTGCTTTTCTAGTTCTTTTAATTGTGATGTTAGGGTGTCAATTTTGGATCTTTCCTGCTTTCTCTTGTGGGCATTTAGTGCTATAAATTTCCCTCTACACATTATTTTGAGCCTATGTGTGTCTTTGCATGTGAGATGAGTCTCCTGAATACAGCAAACCAATGGGTCTTGACGTCTTGACTCTTTATTCAATTTGCCTGTCTGTGCCTTTTAATTGGGGCGTTTAGCCTATTCACATTTAAGGCTAATATTGTTATGTGTGAATTTGATCCTGTCATTATGATGCTAGCTGGTTGTTTTGCCCATTAGTTGATGCAGTTTCTTCATAGTGTTGATGGTCTTTACATTTTGGCTTGTTTTTGCAGTGGCTGGTACCAGTTTTTCCTTTCCATATGTAGTGCTTCCTTCAGGAGCTCTTGTAAGGCAGGGCTGGTGGTGACAAAATCTCTCAGCTTTTTTTTTCGTCTTTAAAGGATTTTATTTCTCCTTCACCTATGAAGCTTAGTTTGCCTAGACATGAAATTCTGAGTTGAAAATTGTATTCTATAAGAATGTTGAATATTGGCCCCCACTTTCTTCTGGCTTATAGGGTTTCTGCAGAGAGATACACTATTAGTCTGATGGGCTTCCCTTTTTGGGAACCTGACCTTTCTCTCTGGCTGCCCTTAACGATTTTTATTTCAACCTTGTTGAATCTGATGATTATGTGCCTTGGAATTGCTCTTCTCGAGGAGTATCTTTGTGGTGTTCTTTGTATTTCCTGAATTTGAATGTTGGCCTGTCTTGCTAGTTTGGGGAAGTTCTCCTGGATAATATCCTGAAGTGTGTTTACCAGCTTGCTTCCATTTTCCCCACCACTTTCACGTACAGCAATCAAACGTAGGTTTGGTCTTTTCACTAGTCCCATATTTCTTGGAGGCTTTGTTCATTCCTTTTCATTATTTTTTCTCTAATCTTGTCTTCACGCTTTATTTCATTAAGTTGATCTTCAATCTCTGATATCCTTTCTTCCACTTGATTGATTCAGCTATTGATACTTGTGTATGCGTCACGAAGTTGTCATGCTGTGTTTTTCAGTTCTTCTGGTCATTTATGTTCTTCTCTAAACTGGTTATTCTAGTTAGCAATTCCTTTAACCTTTTATCAAGGTTCTTAGCTTCCTTGCACTGGGCTATAAGATGCTCTTTTAGCTTGGTGGAGTTTGTTATTAACCACCTTCTGAAGCCTACTTCTGTCAATTCATCAAACTTATTCTCCTTCCAGTTTTGTTCCCTTGCTGGTGAGGAGTTGTGATCCTTTAGAGGAGAAGAGGCATTCTGGGTTTTGGAATTTTCAGCATTTTTGCGCTGGTTTTTCCTCATCTTCGTGGATTTAACTATCTTTGGTTTTTGCTATTAGTGACCTTCATATAGTGTTTTTGCGTGGTCATCCTTTTTGTTCATGTTGATGCTATTGCTTTCTGTTTGTTAGTTTTCCTTTTAACAGTCAGGCCCCTCTTCTGTAGGTTTGCTAGAGTTTGCTGGGGGTCCACTCCAGACCCTGTTTGCCTGTATCTCTAGCAGAGGCTGCACAACAGCAAATATTGCAGCCCATTCTTTCTTCTGGAAGCTTTATCCCAGAGGGGCACCTGCCAGATGGCAGCCAGAGCTCTCCTGTATGAGGTGTCTTTTGACCCCTGCTGGAAGGTGTCTTCCCGTCAGTAGGCATGGGGGTCAGGGACCCACTTGAGGAGGCAGTCTGTCCCTTAGCAGAGCTTGAGCTCTTTGCTAGGAGATCTGCTGCTCTCTCCGGAGCTGGTAGGCAGGAACGTTTAAGTTTGCCGAAGCTGCACCCACAGCTGCCCCTTCCCCCAGGTTCTCTGTCCCAGGGAGACGGGAGTTTTATCTATAAGCCCCTGACTGGGCTGCTGCCTTTTTTTCAGAGATGCCCTGCACAGAGAGGAGAAATCTAGAGAGGCAGTCTGGCTACAGCAGCTTTGTGGGACTGTGGTGGGCTCCGCCCAGTCTGAACTTCCTATTGGCTTTGTTTACACTGTGAGGAGAAACCCTCCTACTCAAGCCTCAGTAATAGCAGATGCCCCACCCCACACCATGCTCAGGTGTCCCAGGTCAACTTCAGACTGTGGTGCTGGTAGTGAGAATTTCAAGCCAAGGCTTGCTGCTCTCCATGGGGGTGGGATCCACTGAGTAAGACCACTCAGCTCTCTGGCTTCAGCCCCCTTTCCAGGGGAGGGAAGAGTTCTGTCTCATTGGCATTCCAGGCACCACTGCGGTACAAAGAAAAAAAAAACCCTTGCAGCTAGCTCAGTGTCTGCCCAAACAGCTGCCAGTTTTGTGCTTGAAACCCAGAGCCCTTGTGGTGTAGGCACCTGAGGGAATCTCCTGGGCTGTGGGTTGCAGAGACTGTGGGAAAAGCATGGTATCTATGCCAGATAGCACTGTCTCTTATGGGACAGTCCCTCACGGCTTCCCTTGGCTAGCAGAGGGAGCTCCTTGACCCCTTGCACTTTCCGGGTGAGGCGACACTCCACCCTGCTTCAGCTCGCCCTCTGTGGGCTGCACCCACTGTCTAAGCAGTCCTAATGAGATGAACTGGGTACCTCAGTTGGAAATGCAGAAATCACCCACCTTCTGCGTTGGTCTCACTGGGAGCTGCAGACAGGAGCTGTTCCTATTTGGCCATCTTGGAAACCAATCACTTATCAATTTTGTTTCCAGCAAATTTGTGGTCTGTATGTAAATGCATGCTAAATGAATTTCTTTGTACCCAAAACAGTATAGAAGCATGACACAGAAGATGGGAAGATTTAATATGGGACACTTAGGTTGTTTTATACTGAATCACAGAAGAGTTTCAGAAAGAGCAGAAAGGAATGTGAACATATTCTCCAATGAGAACCATGTCCTAAAAAATAGATAAATAAATAAATGCAACTATTCAACATGATGCAAGATGTCATTATATAGTTAATGTTTGTGAATGTCCACCAGCTCTTACAGACACTGTGCAATTGCCCATAATCTATTCCTGTAATACACTTTTTCATGTCAGTTTTTAAATATAATTTTTTCGTAGTATTTTTTAATATTTTAAATTATCATATTTTTCTTTACAATTCACTATGCTATGTATTTCATCTTCACATCATTTCCAATGCTGGAGGTGTAAATTGTTTAAAGACTTTTAGAATTCTAATTTGTTTCATGCATTTTTTTTTGCAAATGACTACATAAAAGTACATTATCACAGCACTGATTTTGTGTGTAAACATTGTGCATGTACATAAAAATGTTGACATTTCCTCAGTAAATGAAGCAATATCCTTTTTGAACATCGGCATTTGTGAAAGATACAATTTCTCAAGATCTTGGTTCTTTGGGTAACTGATGTGGTGGTGGCTCATCATAGTTTTGATGAACTCAAAGGACTTAGAATGTCCATCACAGTATTTCAGATGACTGAAATTATAAAGCTGCATGCTCACAAGTACCAATCATGATGACATGTATTTATGCATTTTCCTTTTTGACCTATTTCTTTATGAATACTGTTCATCTGCTTGTAACTTATTCTCGTGTGACTATCATTAGTATACATAAGTGTTTATGCCTACAAAATTAAGAATGCTATTATTGTCTGTTTTATTGTGTAAAGGGGCCCTTAAAGTGTTCTGTCATGTTTTATATGTTTCTCAAATCCTATTTTTAAATGTAAATAAACATCTTTCAAATAATTTTAAGTTATTTTTTCCAGAACTAGATTTTTGGGATTTCAACATTTGGAATTATGGTGTTCTGGATTGTGTCTTTTGGGATTATGATCATCTGCAATTGCCCACAATCTATCCTTGTAATATGCTATCCTATGTGTTAATTTTTATAGATATTTTTCTTTTTCCTAATTTTTTTCACTATTTTAAATCATCACATTTTCAAATTAGATCACAAGTTAGATCACATTTACAGTTACAGGGGATTAGAGCATTCCTTTATCTAGTGGGGAGACACAATTCAACCCATACAAATAATTATGATTTTTAGCATGCTCATGTTTATTCCTATGATTATGTTGAGAAAATATAATTAAAAAAATAGTTTCCCAATCCAGAAAGCTCTTAACAGAGGTAAAAGAGAAATACAACAATTTTATTTTTGGATAAGCATTAAACCAAAATGTGAACATCACAGGCAATCTTCTAAGAGATTGTAAAGACAGAAATTTCACTATTTTATACAGCCAAACAGATATAACCCATTCCATTTATGTTCTCAAGATGAACAATAGTGTATCCTTGAGTAAAAGTATATGGCATCACTATTTGTCCCACAGGTCTTCTTAACTCTACCTGGCAATTTAGATGAGCATCTGCCTTAGCTAAATGACTTTATCCACAGGAAAAATAAACTCATATCGTTGTGGATAAGAGGTAGGTTAGTAGTGCAGAGAGAGTCGCCAGAGGAGCTGGGTTCTTACCTTCCCACAGAACCCGGGATAACCGGACTCCCTTGATGATTATGTTCCAAAGAGATGGTTTCTAGATTCTTAAGATAGACATTCCCGGCACTTTAGTAAAACAACTCAGAAACAAAGTTAAATACCACATGTTCTCACTTGGAAGTGGAGGTAAATAATGAGTAAACATGGACATAGAGTGTGGGATAATAGACATTGGAAAGTTGGATGTGTAGGAAGGTGGAATTGGGGAGAGGAATGAAAATTACTTAATGGGCACAATGTACATTATTTGGGTGATGGTTACACTAAAAGCCCAGACTTCATAGGTATGCAACATATTCATGTAACATAACTGCACTTGTACCCCTTAAATTTATACAAAGAAAAATTTTATTGGTTTATAGAGACCAATAAAAAACATCCAATTAACAAGTTCTGTAAGGTAAATGCTCTAAAGAAAAGAGAGAAGTCTCCTTTCTTATTTTCAATAGGGAGAATGAAACCTTTTATTTTAAATTTGTATTTGCCTTTACAATTTACATATTAGTGAGTTAAATACATAAATAAATGCACATACTAAAAGTGAAGAAAAATTGTCAAATTATGATATGTATTAATTTATATAATATTTGAAAGTGTGTAAAAAAGATTTTAAAACAAATTATTTTCTGTCTTTTCATTAATCTTTCCTCTTCCAAATTAATGGATTTTACATGTTGTATAAATCTACATGGATTTTGACAATTTTTTTTGGTTTAGTTTATCATTATTCATATCAGACCGTATTTATAATAATAGATTTTAAGAAAGTTAGTTTAACTTTAGCTTTTTGTGGAGACCATAAACCATATGAAATAATCAATTATGATACCTTAAAATTACTTCTAAGGGACTTTGAATTTTCTGGATGGAGGACAAGAAAAATAAATACAGTATAGAACCCAGTTGGAGAGCTAGGAGAAGGCCAGGGCATTGCAGCAGTGGACTATTTCAAGAGTGTGCAGTTGTAGAAATTTGGAAATTTGGGTTATGAGAGATTTCTATGCAGCACTATCTAACTTATCAACTTCCTCTAGCTTCTATTGCTATGCCATCTAGAATCAGGGGAACCCAAGGTGTGAAACCATTTCATTAATGGGAACATTCAAATAAAAACAGACAATTCTCTAAGTATGAAAATATTTTAAAAACTAAACCACTGAAATAGTTTTTATATGCTAATTAGGTTATTCATAGAGATAATTAAAGAATACACCCAAACTATACATAAAAGAATGAAAATAAATGAAGCTTTCAGCTTATATATCTATAAAAAAGTAGTAATTATGAAATACTAATGACGGAATTTATAAATATGTGAATGTAAAATTTAAAAAACAACAGACTTTAAAACCTCATAGATTTTTGTTTTTAAAGACCAACAAAAGTATGTAGGAAAAATGAGGAAAAAACTCTAGAATAATATAATTTTGGTAAAAAATTGAGAATTTTAAATACATTAAAGACAAAATTACAAGAATATACTATGAATAAAACAAATTTTAAATTATTCATAAATCAAATATTTTATAAACAACTAAAATAAATCAGTGATATATAAAATTGTGACAGGACAATCTAATTTTTACAAACTCCTAAAAGTAAAATAGAATAAATATTGAAAAGCATGTTTTTCTTATACTTTGTTTCACATTCACCCAGTTCTAGAGGTAATCAACATTACCACTTTCTATGTACTGTTTCCTAGATGCTATATACAATCAAATATGTATGTAGATGCTTTTGTAATTAAGTATAATATATTCACTCTTGTGTATTCTGCCTTTTAACCTATTGGTTTATATAGAAATGCTTCATTTATATTGGTGGCTGAAGATTATTCATTTTAATTATGTGCTAAAATTTATATAAGTAATTCTTTATTGATGGGCTTCTGCCCTTTTGCACATCTTTTGCTGTAACAGAAAAAGTAAAAAAAGAAGAGGAACATTTCTCTTCTTGAATACGTGTTATTATAGCTTTAAGATAAATTGGTAGATACATAATTGCTGTGGAAAAGGAAATATGCTTTTTAAATTTAATGGCTTTTAAGTTATATTTTTCCATTATAATTGATATGTTAGCAGCTTACACAATTACCATTAATGTGGGTCTATTTTCCTAAGTCCCTACCAACACTGTATGCTAAAAGAACTGATATTTTAAATCTTATAATTTAAGAAAGAGTGTGTAATCATATTTACAAAATATGTTCTTATATAGTAATTGTAACTTTTCATAAGTTTTAAAGGCATTAGTATACATTGTTTTATCAACCATTTCTTCATACACTTAGCCAAATTTTCAGTTCTATTGATAGTTCTTTTATTAATTTGTGAATTTTTTCCCAATTTTCTATTGTGAGGCAATACACCTAACATAAAATTTACCATCTTAACAATTTTCCAGGATATTGTTCAATGGTATTAAATACATTCATAATATGCAGCATCACTAACCATCCATCTCTGTAACTCCTTTCATCTTATAAAACTGAAACTCTATACCCATTCAACAGTGATGCCCCATCCCTCCTGCCCCCACCCTCTGGCAACCACCATTCTACTTTCTGTCTCTATAATTTTGACTATTCAAGGTACCTCATATAAGTGGGATCAGTAGTTGATTTGTATGTGTGTGCTACTGTGTGCTACTGGCTTATTTCTCTTAGCATGATGTGCTCAAGCTTTATCTATGGGGTAGCACATGTCAGAGTGTCCTTTTTAAAGGCAGAATAATATTCCATTGTGTGTATATGCCATATTTTGCTATCTATTCATATGTTGATGGCACTTGGGTTGCTTTCACATTTTACTCATTGTGAATAATGTTGCTATGAAAAAATATCTAGTTGAGCTTCTATTTTCAATTAAGTTAGGTACATAACTAGACATAAAATTTCTGGATTACATGGTAATTGTATTTTTAATTTTTTGAGGAACTGCCATTCTGTTTTCCAAGGTGGCTGTACCACTTTACATTCTCACCTATGGTGTGCAAGGGATCTGATTTGTTCATATCCTCACTAACACTTGTTACTCTGTGTGTGTGTGTGTGTTTTAATAGTAACCATCCTAATGGGTATAAAATGCTATTTTATTGTAGTTAGGATTTGTATTTTCCTAACGATTAGTGATGTTGGGCATCTTTTCATTGGCTTCTTGATCATCTGTATATCTTCTTTGGAGAATGTCTATTGAAGTCTTTTGCCCATTTTTGAATCAGGTTGCTTTTTTGTCATTGAGTTTTAGGAGTTCTATATATATTCTGAATAAATATGTCTTATCAAATATATGATTTACAAATATTTTCTCCCATTCTGTGGATTGTCTTTTTTCTCTGTTGATCTTGTTTTTTGACACACAACATTTTTTAAATTGTCATGAAGTCTAATTTGTTTATTTTTTGTTGTTGTTGCCTGTGCCTTTTGTGTCATACCCAAGAAATTCAGTATTTTAAGGTTTTTTAAGTGTTTTTTCCTATGTTTTCTTCTAAGAATTTTATAGTTTTAGTTCTTAAATTTATGTTTTTGATGCATTTTGAGTTAATTTCATATATAGTACCAAGTAATGGTTCGACTTCATTCTTTTGCATGTGGATATCCAGTTTTTTCAGCACAATTTGTTGAAAAGACTATCCTTCCTCTATTGAATGGTCTCATATATCAGTAAAAAATTCTTCTTACTGTATATGCAAATGTTTATTTCCAAGCTCTCCATATTATTCCACTGGTTTGTGTGTCTGTCTCTATGTCAGTAGCACACAAATACTGTAGTTTTGAAGTAAGTTTTGAAATCAGAAAATGTGAGTCCTCTAGCTTCGTTCTTCTTTTTCAAGATTATTTTGGTTATTTGGGTGTCCCTTGAGATTTCTTATGAATATTACAATGGGTTTTTCTATTTCTGTAAAAAATAAACCATCATTGTGATTTTGATAGAGAGTGCATTAAAACTGTATCACTCTGGGTGGTACTGACATATTGACAATATTAAGTCTTCCATGGGATGCATTTCCCTTTATTTATGCCTCCTTTAATTTCTTTCAGCAATGTTTTGTAGACTTTATTGTACGTGTTTTTCAATTCTTTGGTTAGCTTAGTTCCCTAAGTATTTTATTCTTCTTGATGCTATTATAACTGCAATTGATTTTGGAAATTTCTTTTTAGATTGTTCATTGTTATTACATAAAAATGCAACTGATTTTGAGTGTTGACTTTCTATCATGCTACTTTGTTGAACTAATTCACTTATTAATTCTAACAGTTTACATGTGTATGTGAGTATGAAATCTCTGTGAAAAGAAATCATTTTATTTTGTCCTTTCCAATTTGGAGTATTTCATTTCTTTTTCTGGCTTAATTTCTCTGGGTAGACATTCAGTACTATGTTGATAATAACTGTTGAAAGTGGGCATCCTTGCCTTGTTCCTAATCTTAGAAGTAAAGCTTTCAGTATTTCACCATTTAGTGTAATGTTTACTGTGGGGTTTTTATATATGCGTTGTATTATGTTGAGGTAGTTTCTTTATGGTATTGAGTTTTCCTCTCTAAGAACTGGCAATAATTGCTCCAATTGTTTCTTCATTTGAAAAGTTGTCCAGTAAAATTTTATAATTTTTTTATCTGTAGGTCTTGCCTAACTTTTGTTAGATTTGTTCCTAGATGTTTTGTAGTTTGTTGTTTTAGTAATTGAAACTGGTGACTTTCAATGGTGACTTAAAAACACGTAAGTCATTTACTTGCTTCTGAGCAGAATAAAATAGTCTGCCAGGACAGGGTTTCTACTCAAAAAAGTTGGAGAAGGGAGAATGAATTTAAAAATCTCTGTATTTAAAGCCGTCAGAGAGCTGTGACTTATGGTGAGGTCACTTGCTGATTCTGGCATTGGCTAGAACCTCAGAAACTGGGCTTGATCAAACCAGAGAGCTGCTATTTTAGGATAAAATCAAGAGCGAGCTCTCAAACACAAGACTTGTTACATGTGCAATACACTTACTAAATTCATAAGTCTTCTGAGTGGAAGGCTAAAGAATTAAACCAAACTTCTACAAAATCCTATGAAAATTTTCTGCTGTCTCATGGCTGTTGGCAGTCAAACCCTTCCTCGGAAGGGCCTGAGAACCATGAGAAGAGTCAGAATCCTTTTTGGTAAGTTTATAGAAACAAGGCTTTACAGCTTTTTCTCTGAGGGTGTGTCCTTCTCCTGCCCCAAGGAGAGGCTGAGGATCCAGGCTTGCTCCCCAGCAGGGAACAAAGGAAGCAGCAGAGCTTTTGGGGATTAATGAAAAGCTGGAGGCTCGAGCAACATCAAACCCACACACTGTCGCTACCTGGGACCTTTGCCAAATGTGAAGGAATCTCAAAATGGAAGGCTAAAGATCAAAACCAAAGAGATCTGTGAATCAGAACAAATTTCCTGCAAGCCCCAGTGGTGAAGAGACTCTTGCCTGTGGGGGTCTCAACAGAGAATTTTAAAGTCATATTCTTAGAACAGAGGTGAGTCCAAGGTACACTGTGATTAAAACTACACACCAATCTTAGCTCACTTGAGTCTGTGAAAAGATTAAGGTGTCCAGCCGTTTACTCTATCTATCTGCTTAGGAGAAGAAGGTGTCATCTTAAAAAAAAAGAAAAGAAAAAAAAAATCGTAAAATCCTAGGAATGTGAAGTGAGAGAATCATATGACCAAAAGCTAAGAGAAAATAACAGACCATAGATGAGAAGCTGGAGGAGATCAGCATATGAGAACAAGAGACAGGACTTTAAAAATAACTATGATTACTGTTAAAGAAAATAAGACTCCTGGTAGCTGACAAGGGCAGTGCCGAGTATACGCCCTTCAATAAATATTTCCTCCAGACTCAATTCACAAGAAAAAAAAAGAGGAAGATACAAAATCCCTGACCTCAGTGTTAACTTGAAGTCAAAAGATGTCCAAACTTCAACATAGCTCTATTTTGTGCCAAAAAACACCCCTGCAAACCTCACCAAATTCCAGCAAGCAATGCCTCACGTGCCACCCACTCCATCCTGAGAAAACTTACAAGAGATAAAGGAGCTGGCAATGGACCTAAGGCTGACCTCAAATCACTATCAGATAGAGCAAGTGATCCCTAAGTTTGAAAATACTAAAATAAGTGCCCTGGTAGGTGAGAGTGTGTTCTGCAGGCAGGGGAATTAGGACTTGCCATTTGAAGAGACAGTCATTTGAAATGTGTAATTTCTGGGAGAGGAAAATAAAAACAGCAAAAAGGGAAAAGAGAGCATCCTTTGATAATTGAATGGTGTTAAATCAAGTTTAGCCTAACGCTGCCTCCTTACATATTTCAAGTTCAGCCTAAAGGTTTCTCTGTACATTGTGAACTATAACCTAAATGGAGGTGTAAACAGACTGTAGTCTACATCTTGTGCCAATCTCACCAAGTTTTGGCCAATCTAAAGTGACCAGCTGTTCAAACTGTGTTCAAATAAGGCACACACAGAGCTGTACCCAACCTGGCTGTCTCTGCATCTCACTTCTGTTCTCTGTATGTCACTTTCCTTTTTTCTGTCCAAAAGCCTTCTTCTACCATGTGGCTGTGCTGGCATCTCTGAGCCTACTCTGGCTGGAGAGGCTGACAGATTTGAGAATTGTTCTTTGCTCAGTTAAACTCTTTTAAATTTAATTCGGTGAAAGTTTTTCTTTTAACAGTGGTAAAAGGGAAAAAGAAGCCAAAGGAAAGGAATTTGAGGCTGTAGAACAAAAGGAAAGCAAACTGCAAGAGGACACACAATTCCTCCCTCCACTACCAAGCCAAACAATCAAAAAACAACCCACTAAACAATTTGAACTTTACTTTCAGAACAGTGGGGAAAAAAGTCTAAAACATAAAAATTGGGAGAATCCTCTATCACCAGCACATTTAGAAGAGTATGTTTCAGACTGAGCTTCATAAAAACCAAGCAATGACTGGAAAATTTTCTGCAAGAAGAAAGGCAATGGATATTTTAATAAGTAAACATCGAAACTGAAATAGAAGCAGGGTCAAAGGTGGAAGACTGATGTGCAAAGGCGCTATGTGTGGCAAAGTAGAAATAAATCAACTGAGAAATGTAAGACAGAGGAAAATAGGAACCTGGAGCAGCTCATTGATTGTTATAGTTAATACAGGGGAGAAAGAATACCACTAACAATTGACATACCCAATAGTAAAAGGTTTAATAAGAGAACAGAGACTAAGGATACTTAAAATGGCATAAGTACAGATGGAACACTAGTACAAAAATAGAAATCTTTTAAAATATCCCACATTAAAAAATTAAGTAATCACCAGGATAATTATTCTATCTAGTTCTATTGTTCTATTCTTAGTGGGGGGTATATTTTCTCATATCTCGCTGCTATATTTTTAACTCCTCCATCTCCATCATGTGAATCATTCCCTGTAGTATACAGCCATGCTTAAAATTTCCCCGTATTAAAAAAACAGGAGATCTTCATATATGCAAATGCCATATTGTTCCTGGGTAGTTCCAAGATCATATTTGCTAGGAAGTACCTGAATGTACAAGATGAGTTAAAAGAGTTCCTTTTGCATGGCCACAGCATGGTAGCATTTCAAGAGACAGCACAGAAGTGCACAGGACCTTAAGCTCCAGAATTAGTTGTGCCAATTTCAGTCCTGACACCAGTACTGTAGGATGATACTAGGCTATTAAAACCTCTCCTTGTGCTTCTCTTTTCTCATCTTAAAAAATGAGACCTACATTATCATTATTACAAAAAAAACTATGTGATCAATATTGTTATTTTTGTTATGACATTTATACTGCTGTATTGTTAGAACAGTTTACTTTTCCATTTTTTCCATTTTACTTTAAGTTCTGGGATACATGTACAGAACGTACAGGTTTGTTACATAGGTATACATGTGCCGTGGTGGTTTGCTGCACCCATCAACCCATCATCTAGGTTTTAAGTCCCACATGCATTAGATATTTGTCCTAATGCTCTCCCTCCATTTTCCCCCAACCTCCCGACAGGCCTGGTGTGTGATGTTCCCCTCCCTGTGTCCATGTGTTCTCATTGTTCAGCTCCCACTTATGAGTGAGAACATGAGGTGTTTGGTGGTGTTTGGTTTTCTGTTCCTGTGTGGGAAGCGTTTACTTTGTATACGTATCTTTAGACTGAGCCCCTTCAAGGCAACATCTGCATCATGTTCATGTTAGTATTTTCATAAACAAAATATGCTGGTAAATAGAAGTTCAATATATATTTTTGAATGAATTATTTTATGATTTGCATTTACCATTTATGGGTGAAATCATGAACTCAAATGCATGTACTATGTGAGATAACATGCGTGTTGGTTTTTATAGCTTCTCCAAATGTCACAAAACTGTGTATACATATTAACAAGATTTATGTGTACAAGTGGATGGACTTCATGATGATAACCGTTGTTTTGAAGCAGCTTGATTTAACATTAATGAATATTCTAGAATGTCATAATTAAAGTCTACAACTTAATTTTTATACTTTTTAATTTGTGTCCTATAAAATATCACCGAGTTATTCTTGTGGTAAATGTGTTTTTGCTCAAAGTCTTTGTTTTTCAGATTTTATGTTAAGAGTTTTCTTCCTTAATATATTAACAAAATGATACCCAAACTGAATATGTCAACCCTTTGTTTTTATATTTAATAGGTCATTAATATATTAAAACTACATCATAACTAGATGCACTTTATTTTAGTCAGGTTTTCACAGCACACTTTGTTCCTACGCTGATTAGTGTTTTTTTATCCATCCCTCTCTGCACAAAATAATTGCCTCATCAGTTTGTGCTTATTTGAGCTTCAGAAACACAATTAACACCCCATACATTTTTTCTTTACATTCAGTTGCTTTTAATTCAGCAATGTACAATAAATTCAACAAATAGACTTTTTAAGAATCAGATTACATATAAAAATGTGACATCTTAGACTTTACTACAAGAAATAATGTTATTACAAAGATTAAGCTGGAAATATTTAACCTAAGAATCAATATACACTCTTTAATTTATATTCCTGAGTAAAAGAACAAGAAAAAAACTTCATATACTTCAGAACTTAAACAACCTATGAATATTGAATGAAATCCGATATCAAATAAGTGGAAAAAAAGAATTATAGTAAACTGAGAGATGGTTCAAGTCAAAGAGGTTAAGAAAGAAAGAACTAAATGATTTGATCTTTGTAATCTGGATACAATTTTTTTACTTTTAGTATCAAAAACACCGTTTTAAAAATAGAAGTGCTACAGGATAAGATGAAGAAAATAGAACTGAATTATTTATCCCATATGGGTAAGAAATAGCAGATAATGTTTCATTCTTGCTGTTTATAATTAGAGTAATTTATATTCAATACCTTGTTTAAAGCTTTGAAATCAGCCATCAAGGAGATTTGAATGTATATATTTTACATCACTAGAGAAAAATAAGAACAAAAATAAAATCATGAAGCAAAAGAGAAAACAAGTCAAAAAGTATGGAAAGAAAATACAGAAAGGCCTCTCACTTCTCTGCCTTGCAGTTTAAGATTGCCTGACCCTGGCATCACTGTAACAATTTCAGAAGTCAGAGAACGAGAGACAAACTAAGCCAGTCCCCTTTTAGCTGCGGATGCATTCATTCTACAGTTTATTTAAAAAGGTTAGCCCTATAATATCACAATGCTAACACTGCTGAGAGAAACACTGAGTTCTGAGCCAAATTCCCCAAATTCATTTTTACTTTTTTGTTAAAATATATTTTAACTGAAATATTCATACCTGGAAATGCACAAGTGGTAAACATAACCGGCACCGCCCTTGGGCATCGTAACATTAGCAGGACTGCTCAGAGTGTCCCCTCCCCACCGTCAGTCCTGCCACTGTTCCCTCACCTTTACCAATGTCAAGTCTGTTTTTCTAACTCTGATTTCTTTTTTAAATGGAATCGCACAGTATGTACCCTTTTGAGTCTGGATTTCTCCCCCTCAATGTTTTGTTTGTGAGCTCGATTCATGCTGTTGTATGTACCAATCATTCTTTTACTCTCATTAATTTATAGCACTGCATTGCATGACTGTATTGTCAACACCTGGTAGTGTTTTCAGCATGGGACAATAATTAATAGTACTACTCTCTCACTCTCTACCTCTGTCTCTACACATATACGTACGTGCACCCACAGAGAGTGTACACGCATACACATACATACGCACTTGCACGCACAGAGTGCTTTCTGTTGAATTCATACATAGGACTGGAATTGCTGGCTGACAATGCATGTAAATGTTAAGCATGGGTTCCAGGCACCCTTTCAAAATGATTGCATTCGGTGAAAACATATCAAATTAGTGATATGTGGCTATTTTTGATCTATAAGTTGTCATTTTATGAAAGTCCCAGTTGTTCCATATCTTTGCCCACCTGTTATTTTCATTCTTTTTAAGGTTAGCCATCCTGATGCTGTGTAATTATATTTCACTCTGGGTTTAATATAAATCTCTCAGATAATTAATAAGGTTGAGAAATGTTTTAGTTATTCATCAGTCATGTGGAGTTTCTCTTTCCCATTTGTATTGCCTTTTTCAGAAGTTTTTGGCAAGAGCATTGGTCAGCTACAAGCTAGTCCTTCAGTGTTGGAAGTGGACGCCTATGGTGTTTGCTTCTGAAGCATCTCTGTAACAGTCCCTTATCGGTTTCTTCCTGCTGCAACGTTTCTTGTTAATGTTGTGTTTGATGATTTTCTAAAACTTCCCAGTTTAAAAACTTTTTTAGATAATGGCCATCCATAAAAGGTCAATAATAGATAATAAATTAGACAAAATATGACCACTTGATGTATTATTTTTTCTATTGTTGCTTCTCTGTTTCTAAAAACAAACAAAAAACAAAAACAGGTATGTTTATTTTTAATGATTTCTAAAAAGCTGTAATAACAATAAAGGATGGAATAGGGAAATCCAGATATTTAGATAAATTATAAAATTGAATTCCTTAACAATTTACCACTAGAAACCATGCTGCAAAGAATAACTAGACCTTTGAAAAGGAACGTGGTTAAATTAATCTATTTGTGACATTCACTTTTTATTATTATCATTTTTTGAGACAGTTTCACTCTTGTTGCTCAGGCAGGAGTGCAGTGGTGGCATCTTGGCTCACTGGAACCTCTGCCTTCTGGGTTCAAGCAATTCTCCTGCCTCAGCCTCCCAAGTAGCTGAGATTACACGTGCACACCACCATGCCTGGCTAATTTTTTTATTTTTATTTTTATTAGATATGGGGTTTCACCATGTTGGCCAGGCTGGTCTCGAGCTCTTCACTTTAGGTGATCCACCCGCCTTGGTCTCCCAAAGTGCTGAGATTACAGGTGTGAGCCACCATGCCCGGCCAATCAAATATTTTTATAAAATAAAATCAAATGCTTTAGATTAGGTCTTTTAGCATATTGTACATATTTTTAAGTATCAGCACTTGAAATTTCTGGGAAGTACTATGGAATATTCGATAGGCAGCTTATATTTAGGTGAACATTTTCTACGTCATTACTTATTTGAGAGAAGATGCATTCAATTTGGAGCCTATCTGAGGAAGATTCCTTGTAATAATATCAAAAGAAACAGTATATTGTGTGTTCATCTATGTGGAAGTTTATAATTTGGGATCCCAATATAATGTCATTAATACTGTCACAACATTTAAAATATGTATTTGTCAAAATAACACATTTAGATTTTGATTTTGACAGACATATTTATATGTGCATGATAAATTGTACATGATAAAATATAAATTATAAAGTGATAAAACCCAGTTTCAACATTTTTCTAGATAGGGGGAATTTCCTACTCACAGAAACAAGTCAATTCAATGTGATTTTTACTTTTTATCACTAGCATATTACCTATTAGAAATATATTTCCTCATAAAACAAATACTTTTTAATTATTTTGCTGAACTGAATGCCAGTTTGGAATTAAAGTCATTACTTTTAAAATGTAAACATGCCACTGACCTAACATCTAGCTATGATCTATTGAGATAAATTATGACTCTATATGATATCCAGGGAGAGAAACCAGTCAATTATGTTAAAACTGATGTCATGATATATTTCTCAATGCATGTGAGTATTATATAAATTTGGGGCCTACAGTGACTCTGGAGAAGACAAGGAAGAGGAAATGAGGGTAAAGGAGCCAAAGCTTCCCACATCCGACATCATTCACCTGAATTATCTTTTCAATCCTTTCTGCCTACCTTATATAGAAAATGTTGTTATGATGCCCATATTATCCATATTACAAATTACAAAATTCAGAATGGTTAATTTTACATAACTATCAACTACTAGAACCGGAAAAGAAACTTAAATCTCTTTTTCTGTTTTCTTTATCTTGAATTGCATCACAGTAAAATCTTAGACTAAAAGAAAAAATGAAGGAAATTAAATTTTTCTTGAAACCCAGGAGACTCTTTACAGTCTCTGTCTCAGTGTTGGCAAACAATAACACAAAACATTTTAAAGCCAAAAATACCTACCATCATTAACTTTGAAGTTTGGTTCAATGATGTTCTTGACAACCCCTGAAGTAAATGGAAAGCTAATGTTATATAAAAGAACACTTGCTCTCTCAGCTGGATTAAAGGCCTGTGATTTTAGAATTCTTAACTATTTTGAGAAATCAAATATTTGGTTTGGTTGAGAACTTACAATGTATTGATTCTCAAGTCTAAGTTCATCCAACAGGGTCCACCTCTTATTGCATACGTGCTTGGAACAATCACCATCATACATTAGCTATTAAGTGGTAGCTTTGAAGGAAAAGCAATCAAACAAACAATAACAAAATAAAACAAATTTAGAGTGTTACTGTAGAATTTGACCATTCAAAAAAAATTGTTTGTAACCACATGCTAGCAGAATGACTTTGGAAAAGTTACTCTTTTTTTTGCCTCAGTTTCCTCATTAAAGAATATGTTACCCACCCATAGACTGTTTTGAAAATCAAACAAGTTAATAAATGTAAGTTAATTAGAACTACTAGACGCATAGCAAGTGTCCAATATATATGATCTTTTATAATGTTATTGATAAATTTATTTCAATATGCAGTATTTTCCATTGAAGAATTCTCCTTCTGTCTCCTTTCACACAGCACGTCTTCTTCATTTTATTTTAAGATGAGCAACTGCAATTCACATTATCATACCATATACCATAAAGCTTTAAGTATCTTCTTTTTTATTTTATTTGTTTTTTATTTTTTATTTTTTTTTATTCGGATCTCTCTGTGTCATGCAGACTGGAATGCAGTAGCTCAGTCACGGATCACTGCCACTCCGCTTTCCCGGGCTCAAGCAATCTTCCTGCCCCATCCTTCTGAGTAGCTGTAGCTGGTTCCACAGGTGTGTGCCACCACGCCTCACTAATTTTTTTCTTCTTTTTTTATTTTTAATTTTTTTAATTTTTAGTAGCTATGAGGTCTCACTATGTTGCCCAGGCTGGTCTTTTGGGCTCAAGCAATCCTCCCACCTTGGCCTCCTAAAGTGCTGGGATGACAGGCGTTAGCACTGCACCTGGCCAAATATTTACTTTTAATGTTTTAGCTTTTTACGTTCAAAAAAGGCAGAGCAGTTATGGAGAGGGTAGAGAATGAGAGCCTGAATATAAACTCACAAACCTCCACTCTTCTGAAGAAGCTTTACTAAATTTTGAGGCTATTTGAAGTACGGTTTTAAAATAATTATTTTAAAGAGCAATAAACTTAAAATCTTGCAACCTTGTGGAAATTTCCTTAAAGTTAAGTATAAAGTTCTTACAAAGTGAAGCCTATTGTGAATAGACTGTCAAATATTTTGAAATTTGGAAGTTAAATTTAATACTTAATATTATTCAAAATATTCATTGAAAATGAACAACGCTTTTTCAATAGTAATGTCTATAGAGAGTGCTAAAATTTAACAACTTTATCTTTTTATAATTCCTTAACTAGAAAATATGTCTAATTTCTTCACTTGTTGCCATAAAACACATGGCTACAAATAGTACGTAATTGACAACACAGAATAAAGCTGAATCCAGTGGTTAGGTATTTGAAGTAAGCACCATAGTATATAACTTATAATAGTTCAGGTCATGAAGGACTGTTAGAATTCAAGAACACAAAGAAACAATGGATAAAATATAACAAAAAAGTATTTAAATATATTGATGAACTAAAAAACAAGAGCAGGAAATCACCAGGGCTACAGGAGCTAGTGCGCAGCACTCTTCTGGGAAGATTTGGAGGATGCACAATTTCCTAATGAAGCTCATTTTCGAATGTCCATATAAGGACACAGGAAGGAAAAAGAGTCAGGTTTGAGGCCTACATAAGGAACGACACACCCTCCTGTATGTTCTCAGGAAACCATACATCGGCTCACCTCAAAGTGCTGGCCCACACGCAAACCTGGGATTATAAAATCATTCCCCTTTGGCCTGGAGAAATGAGAAGAAATTTCCTCGCATGTCATGCCACTCAGATGAAATTGAAAACTAAAACCCATCCCACATGTTAACATAGATCTGAAGAGCTTCAGCTCCGTGCAGCAGGACTCCAGCCAACACTGAGTAATGAAAACGAAAACGGTTTCCTAGATGGTGAATCCCCTAGTTTCCCTGCAGAGGCAAATGTAAAATTAACATAGAGAGAAATTTCCATAATCTGGACACAGAAGTTCCAGGCAAAAAGAAAAGGCCCGTCAAAGAAAAGTTCCCAGTACAGAAAACTGCTTGTTACATGAGGAAATTAAGAAGTAAAACGAAATGGGCATATGTGAGAACAAAAGGCAATGATCACTCCAAGAACGGGAGACAGTAGAGTTGTGATATTTGCTTAAGAGAAAATACTGTCAGAAACTGAAAGATCGAGTCTGAACATTTTTACTATCAAGAAGGAAATGCCAGTACCTCTCCAAGATGAGATATGAGGGGAAAGGAAGGGGGTGGATTTTAGAGCCACAATCTCATGAATCACCTCTGCTCGCATTTAGTACGGCAAAGCCTCCGAGTGTTACTGCGTGGCTGTGTAGGTATCATCGGGTTTGCTGGGCGTGGCCAGCTATAAGACATGGGTGAATGTTTTGGAAAAAGCTGTCCAGCTGCCTCTGCTTTATACGGGGTGACCCCAAGTTGGGATTGTGTGGCCTGATCAGGCCAGCCCACTGAGGGGCCCAGATCAGGATTTATCATAGAATGACTTGATATTCATAAAACATGTTGGACGGTGTCCAGCACATTGTACTTGAGACATAACAATTGGAAAATAAAAACGGCAATACAAGACAATAAAATATGTATGCTTAAGATGGAAAACAACGGCAAGAAGAAATAGTAACACAAGATTCAAATGCACAAACTGGGTGTTAAGATTTACTTCAATTTATAAATATAGAAAAAATAGACACTGGAATCATTGAGTAATCAGTGCTTGCATTTAAGTAGTTTAGAAAATGGAATTGCAAGGTCCTAGGTTGGAAGACAGAATGGAAGAAAGAATCTCCCTAAAAAGCATAACCCTGAGGAAACTATTTATACCCCATAGATTTATATATTTATCATATATTTCAGCAAATGGCAACAGCATATCTACTTTTTTAACAAAGGCAGCATATTCTAACAATTTTCTTAGAGAGAAAAAGAAATTTGTTTTCAGAAATGAATGCTTTTTTAAAAAATGCAGGAAAATAAGTTGGAAATGCTCTGACCAGGGCCTGTGAAATCAATTAATTATCCTCCCATGTAAACTAACTGCTGTTCTCGTAGGAAAGGAGCAGACTTACCTAATTTTTTTAAAATGCCAGAGTTTCATTGTAAATGGTCCCAAATCATACAAATCAATATGAAGATCTAATAGGGTAGAAATAATTAGAAATATGTAAGATGTGAAGGAGGAGAGTGTGTTGAATAATTGGAGAGAAAAAAAAGGATAGAGAAAATAAATAGAAAAATGTGAATGTTAAAAAAAAGAGAAAGATAATGACCAACAGATTTCTCATCAGTCAAATCCGATCATTTTGAAAGTGATAATTAAAAACAAAAAGTATAAAATGCAAGGCCTTATGTATTCAGGGAATTATTAAAATTAATGAAATTATTTTTCACCCCACTTAGCATTGCCGTTCTCTTTCATAAAAACCTGACTTAATGTTTTCTTACTAAATGTAAGTATTTCACTTTCAAAAAAAGAACAAATGTTCTCTAGCTAAAATAAATAGAAAACAGGAAATGAGAGGCTAATTTTTCAGGGAAATGGCACTGTGCCAGACGGCTCATGTGTTAACAAGAATATTCAAATGATCCTCACTGACCCTGGTGGCTTCCTTTCACCCAGATCCCTCAAATGTGACTATTACTTGGAGAACTGTAGGGAGCAGATGCATGAGAAGAACACATGTTATGATTGCGGCATTAATATCTACCTAATTATATACGTGTTTATAGGACCATTCTAATGAATTTTGACAATTTACAAAACTATATCCTAGTTTACAAAATCAACATCCCCACCCTTCATACATGCCATGTGCCATGGATCAGCAGAATATCAATCCAAATGCCAAAATTCAATTTTATTCTCGCAGCTTATTTTGCTTGACTCTCTGAGACATAGTTAACTTCTCTTTATCTCACATTCCTTTGCCACTAATGAGGATATTATTGTATTGGGTTGCTTAGTGAAACAGTTAATATAAAATGATGCAATAATACTTGTCAAATATGAGGAGCTTTACTGATTAATGAAATAAATAGTGCAAACTACCTGCTTTGTTTCAATGTGATTAAGAGAGTGCTAGAGATTTGTGAGAGAACATAAACTATGTGACATGATATAGAAGTTAATGTGGGGACTAGTGGTTAAGAAAGCACATTGGATTCAACTTAATTAGGTGTTTTTTTCAGTAACCGTGATTTTCTCGTAAAGCTAAAGCACCTTCTTATTCATCCGACAAGACTGCTACTGCCTTGGGGAGAATGTTTTCCAAAATATCATAGTGTCATGGACCACTTTTAATGGTTTAAATGAGAAAGCAGAATAAATAGAAATTGATGTATTTATTCCTCAAGTACGTATTGTCTGCCAAATAGTTTCCGGACTCATTACTAGCTGCTGGAGAGAGAAAAATACGATGTACTGTGCTCAAGGGCTCCGTGTGGACATGAAAACCAAAATGTTCTTTTCTCCTTTTTTAATCCCTAAACAGATAAGTCCTTCAAGTTGGGCAGCAGGCACATTCCACAGCACATCAGCAAACCTTGCTTTCAACAGTGTTTACTGTCAAAGTGAGAATCTATAGAGATTCCTTCCTTAGGCTGAATTTAATTTCAGAAGGTATCAAAGGGTGTGTTCTGGAATATGAGGGCCATGATTTCACAGTGCAGTTGCTACAATGATACAAGGTTGTTGTTCTCTTTCAAAATAATCTCTTGAAAACACTGGAAAACATCATTAATAAAATGTACCTTAACCCTATCACTTAAAAAAGTGTATAGAATGAGTTGAACATCAACTAGTGCCTCACCTTCTCCTCCCAAAAACATCACTGAGAGATAACACATGACTAACATTTCAAAGCCAAATGTCACTGTGTAAGTTTCAAGCCTTGATGGAACTTGGCTATTTTTTAATAAAATATTTTATTGAGGTACACAATAATAAGTGATCAATTCATACAGTTCAACAGATTGTTACTGCTAAATACGCCAAGGTAACCACCATAGGGGCAGATAAAGAACAATACCAGCATCCCAGAAGAAGTGCCAGCCACTTTTGTACCAAGAAGAGCTCAGCAAATATTTTTCCTATGAAAGAATCAATAAAACTAGACGAAATGGCAGAAACAATCATTTAAGGTCTCTGAAAATTGACCAAGGTGCATAGAAAAAACTGAGAAGCATTTATTCAAGAAAAGATACTGATTTTCAGAACATACAGGGGGCATCAGTGCCATTTATCCAGGCTGTGCTCCCACCCCGCTCCCTCCTCCCCACCCCACTGACTTCCATCTCCATGTTGCAGAAGGACTTCTCAGGGCAAGTGGGGCCAGCCATGACAACCGTCAACTCCCAGCCTCGGTTACCTGGAGCTCTGGCTCTCTGATGCAGCCCTTTATTCTAGCCTCCCACTTTGCTTACTGTAATTTCACTCTCTGTGAGAAATTTGGCACCCACTTTCACAACCCATTTACTTATTGGTTCAACTCCAGGATCCATGTAAAGCAATTTCAGAAGTTTTAACCATATTTTCATGAGAAAAACATTTACTATGTAGAGTACAATATTTATATACATTTCCCTTTATCATTGCCATTAGAGTTTCCAGTCAAAACACCCTTTCTCCAAAGTTACTTAGATCAGTGTCTTCTCCCCATGTTCTTCCATGCAGTGATTTCCATTATAATTAGACGCATTTGTCACAGTTGACATTCTATCTTGAGATCCCACAATGTCCTGGCTTATTTCTTTTAATAATGTGCATACATTAATGTTTACACTTTGTGCTATACAATTCTATGCTTTTGTCCAATGCATAGTCTCACATCCACCACTAGGGAACCATTCAGATTTGTTCCAACGCTGTCACAAGTCCTCTTGACTTCCCCTTGTCAAACACTCTACTCTCCCCAAACCTTCGGCAGCCACTCATTCATTTTTCATGTCTACAGTTTTGCCTTTTCCAGAATGTCAGATGAATGGAATCATTCTGAGTGTGTGTGTAGACTTTGTGGTGTAGCTTTTTCCAGTAATCTAACTGCATGTAAGTTTTATTTATGCAGCTGGGTAAATCAGTAACTCATTTCTATTTATCTTAGAATAATATTCTTTGCATGGATATGCCACATTTTGCTTATCCATCCCACTGTTTCCACTTTTTTACTATTCTAAGCAAAGCTGCCACTGAAATTCATGCAAAAGTCTGTGTAGTCATGTACTTTTACTTCTCTTGGGTAAATACCTGGGAGTGTAATATTAAGATTATATGGTATATGGTGTATGTTTAAGTTTATAAGAAACTATAAAATTTTTTCAAATGTGGTTGCAATATTTTGTATTCTCCCCAGACATAAGTGAGTATTTCAGTTGCTTTGTATCACCACCAAAACTTGGTATAATCAGTCTTTTAAATTGTAGTCATTTCAATCAACGTATAGTGATACTTCATTGTGATTTTATCTTGCATTTCCCTAATAACAAAAGATGTTAAACATCTCTTCATTTATTTGCTTTTCAGCCATATATCTTTTTCATGAAGTGTCTGTTCAAACGTTTTGCCCATTTTTAAATTGGACTGGTAGTTTCCTTATTAGTGATTTCCAAGAGTGTCTTATACATTCTAAATAAAAGTCTTCTATCAGGTATATGTGTTGCAGACAGTCTCTTTAAGAGAATGAATATCTCTCTATTCTCCTACTGGTATTTTGAGTAAATTTCAAAATTTGGCATTATCCATTACCTGATGTCCAGCATCATGAAAACTGTTGCTCCCTATAATTTGTCTATTTTTAGACAATATTTGTCTATGTTTATTTATCTGAGATAAATAGAAATGAGTTACTGATTTACCCAACTGCATAAATAACACTTACATGCAGTTAGATTTTTAGACAAACTATAGGAATTTTTTTTCTATGTGAATATTTTTTCCCATTTCATAGTTGTTTTCTACACATTGGTGGTTATGTTGATAACACAGAGAATAAATCCAGTCCCTGTTTTTTCATTTTGTTTAGAAGTTCTCATTTGCTACACATTGGTGGTTATGTTGATATTGAGTCCCTCTTTATCTCTGGCATACTTACTGAATCTTGAAATGTTAGTTTATATAGGGTTTTCTTCAAGTTATCTAGGTATGATAGGTTCTTGATTAAAGGCTTATTACACTGTAAAAATGGTTACTCTTTGCCAATTTATTAAACCCTCCCAAGCTTAGTTAACTTTAAATTGACTTATTCCTATCTTTACATATTTGCTCAGTCATTACAAATTCTGCAAGCAATTGGAACACATATCAGATGCGGATGCCACCTGTGTGGGTTAATCTTGCTCATCTGTCATTCAAAGTAGTTTAAGATGTCCCTAGGCAGTCTTGTACTTAATCCTAAATTACTAGCACAGAATTACTATATCAACTAATTATACATTTTAACTATATTAAAAAGTATCATGCTTGGTTTCTCTTCTAGTCTCTGCACTAGTCTTATTGGTAACTTTTTCAACTTTTATTTTAGATTCAGGGGGGTACATGTACGGGTTTGTTACCTGGGTATATTGCTTGATGTTGAGGTTTGGGGTATGAACGATTCCGTCACCCAGTAGCGAGCATAGTACCCAATGGATAGTTATTCAACACTTATCTCCCTTCCTTCTTTCCCCTACTAGTAGTCCCCAGTTTCTATTGTTGACATCCTCATGTGCATTAATACTCAAGGTTTAGCACTCACTTATAAGTGAGAACATACAGTATTTGGTTTTCTGTTTTTTGTTTTAGTTTGCTTGGGATAATGGCCTCCAGCTACATCCATGTTGTAAGAAGCATGATTTCATTCTTTTTATGGCTGTATAGTATTTCATGGTGTATATTCACCAGATTTTCTTTACGAACTACTGGATATAAACAAAACGTGGTACATATACCATGAAATACCACTTCTTTGTCCACTGTTGATTGGCACCTATGTTGATTCCATGTCTTTGCTATTGTGAATACTATTGCAATGAATGTGAGGGGGCATATGTCTTTTTGGCAGAATGATTTGTTTTCTTTTGGATATATTCCCAGTAATGGGATTGCTGGGTTGAATGGTAGTTCTGTTTTAAGTTATTTGAGAAGTCTCAAAACTGTTTTCCACAGTGGCTGAACTAATTTACATTCCCACCAACCATGTATTAGCATTCCCTTTGCTTTGCAGCCTTGCCAGCATCTATTGTTTTTAGGCTTTTAATAATGGCCATACTGACTGGTGTGAGATGGTATCACACTGTGGTTTTAATTTGCATTTCTCTGATAATTAGTGAATTGGAGCATTTTTCCATATGTTTGTTGGCTGCTTCTTAGTTTTTTTTTTTTTTTTTTTGAGAAATGTCTGTTCATGTATTTTGCCCAATTTTAGATCGTGTTTTTTTTTTCCCTGTTGAGTTGTTTAAGTTCCTTATAGATTCTGAATATTAGACCTTTGTTAGACGCATAGCTTGTGAATATTTTTTTCCCATTTCTTAGGTTGTCTAGTTACTCTGTTGGTTGTTTGTTTTGGTGTACAGAGCTCTTTAGTTTAATTAGGTCCCACTTATCAATGTTTGTTTTTGTTAGAGTTGCTTTTGAGGACTTAGCCATAATTTCTGTCCATTGATCAATGTCCAGAATGGTGTCTCCTAGGTTTTATTCTAGGATTCTTATAGTTTGAGGTCTTACATTTAAATATTTAATCCATCTTGAATTGGTTTTTGTATATGGTGAAATTTAGGGGTCAATTTTCAATCTTCTGCATATGGCTGGCTAGCTATCCCAGCACTATTTATTGAATAGAGAGTCCTTTCCACATTGTTTATTTTTGTCTATTTTGTTGAATAACAGAATGATGTAGGGGTGTGGCTTTATTTCTGGGCTCTCTATTCTGTTCCATTTGTGTAGGTGTCTGTTTTTACATCAGTACCACACTGTTTTGGTTACTGTAGCCTTACAGTATAGTTTGAAGTCAGATAATGTGGTCCTTTGTTGTTTTTGCTTAGTATTGCTTTGGCTATTCAGGCTCTTTTTTGGTTTCATATTCATTGTAGATTAGTTTTTTTCTAAAATATTTCTGTGAAAAATGGCATTGTTAGTTTGATAGGAATCACATTGAATATGTAGATTGCTTTGGGCAGTATGGCCATTTTAAGGATATTGATTCTTCCAGTTCATGAGCATGGAATGTTTTTCCATTTGTTTATGTCATCTGTAATTTCTTTTAGCAGTGTTTTGTAGTTCTCCTTGTAGAGATCTTTCACCTCCTTGGCTAGATGTATTCCTAGGTATTTTATTTTTTGTGTATGAGCTAGTTTTACTATTGAGTTAGTTCCCAATATGACCATCTTGATTGTATATGATGACAGCCCATATATATAATATATGTATAGTATATATGTATACTAACCCACATTTATATTCAAACATCTATAATTGCTTCTGTGTTTATCCATCTACATACACATTGAGCTAAACTTCAGTTTATGGTGATATCTCTGACTCTAAGGCAGCTTGCATGGGTCATTCTCATTTTTTTCTTCTTGTCTACCTGTAACTTCTCTCTCAGACTATGAGAAGCTTGGCCCTTAGAATCTACCCTCCATTTACTTATTAGTTAAACCCACATATATAGGAAAAGTATTTCAGTATTGTAGGTCTGTAAATTTTCTCCATGAGAAAGACACTTACCATCTAGAATGCAGTGATTGTGTGCAGTTCTTTTTGTCTTCTTCCAAACGCCACTGTCCTAAATTATTCATATCAGCTTCATCCATACCTCCAACACTCCCTGCTTTCTTCAGCACACTTATGCCTAATATCTATAATCCCATTAGATTCAATTATACAATAGGCATTCTCTTCCATCCTGGGGTCCCTGATACCTGTGTGTACTTTAAGTTATCATACATTAAAGCTTATTCTTTCTGATATACAGACATGAGTTTGAGGAAATGCAAGCTTCATGCATTTGTTTCCCCACTCTAAATAATTCCCTGTGCTTGCCCTAGTCAAACACTCGAACTTTCTCAAATCCTTGACAATAACAGATCTATATTTTCTATATTTTGAACCTATAGTTTTTTTTATTATACTTTAAGTTTTAGGGTACATGTGCACAATGTGCAGATTAGTTACATATGTATACATGTGTCATGCTGGTGTGCTGCACCCATCAACTCGTCATTTAGCATTAGGTATATCTCCTAATGCCATTCCTACCCCTCCCCCCACCCCACAACAGTCCCCAGAGTGTGATGTTCCCCTTCCTGTGTCCATGTGTTCCCATTGTTCAATTCCCACCTATGAGTGAGAACATGTGGTGTTTGGTTTTTTGTCCTTGTGATAGTTTATTGAGAATGATGATTTCCAATTTCATCCATGTCCCTACAAAGGACATGAACTCATCATTTTTTATGGCTGCATAGTATTCCATTGTGTATATGTGCCACATTTTCTTAATCCAGTCTATCATTGTTGGACATTTGGATTGGTTCCAAGTCTTTGCTATTGTGACTAGTGCCGCAATAAACATACGTGTGCATGTGTCTTTATAGCAGCATGATTTATAGTCCTTTGGGTATATACCCAGTAATGGGATGGCTGGGTCAAATGGTATTTCTAGTTCTAGATCCCTGAGGAATCGCCACACTGACTTCCACAATGGTTGAACTAGTTTACAGTCCCACCAACAGTGTAAAAGTGTTCCTATTTCTCCACATCCTCTCCAGCATCTGTTGTTTCCTGACTTTTTAATGATTGCCATTCTAACTGGTGTGAGATGGTATCTCATTGTGGTTTCGATTTGCATTTCTCTGATGGCCAGTGATGGTGAGCATTTTTTCATGTGTTTTTTGGCTGCATAAATGTCTTCTTTTGAGAAGTGTCTGTTCATATCCTTCGCCCACTTTTTGATGGGGTTGTTTGCTTTTTCCTTGTAAATTTGTTTGAGTTCATTATAGATTCTGGATATTAGCCCTTTGTCAGATAAGTAGGTTGTGAAAATTTTCTCCCATTTTGTAGGTTGCCTGTTCACTCTGATGGTAGTTTCTTTTGCTGTGCAGAAGCTCTTTAGTTTAATTAGATCCCATTTGTCAATTTTGGCTTTTGTTGCCATTGCTTTTGGTGTTTTAGACATGAAGTCCTTGCCCATGCCTATGTCCTGAATGGTAATGCCTAGGTTTTCTTCTAGAGTTTTTATGGTTTTAGGTCTAACATTTAAGTCTTTAATCCATCTTGAATTAATTTTTGTATAAGGTGTAAGGAAGGGATCCAGTTTCAGCTTTCTACATATGGCTAGCCAGTTTTCCCAGCACCATTTATTAAATAGGGAATCCTTTCCCCATTGCTTGTTTTTCTCAGGTTTGTCAAAGATCAGACAGTTGAACCTATAGTTTTACTTTTTTCCAAATTTCATATGAATGAAATTATACTATATGTAGACTATGGGTTTGGCTTTTTAAACTTGGTTAGAAAAGAAAAATCAATAACATTAATTCATGTTGTTGAGTGAATCAATAACTCACTCCTCTTTATCACTGAATAGTATTCCATTACGTGGATGTACTCTCATTTTCATTTCATTTCCCTATTAAGGAACATCTTATTTTCATTTTTAGAAATTATGAGTAAAGTGCTATGAATATTTACATATGTTTTTGTGTGAACACATATTTTAAATTCTCTTGGGTAAATATTTAGGAATGTGGTTGCTGTCTCTTATAGTAAGTCTGTGTTTAACTTTATGAATATAAGTCTATCCCAAATAGACTGTGCCATTTTGCATTCCCCATAAGCAATAAATAAGAGTACCTCTTACTCCAAATCCTGGCCAGAGATTTATTTGATGTTTTGCATTTTTGCCATTCTAATAGTGCATAGTGGTATTTCATTGCGCTTTTATATGAACTTCCCTTGACGTTGAGCCTATTTCCAAATGTTTATTTGCCATCCATATATTTTCTGTGGTGTAGTATCTTTTCAAATTTATGACAACTTTTAGAAAGTGGTTACCTGCTTTCTTATTGGTGAGATTTAATATTCTTTATGGTTATTGGCTGAAAGTCCTTTCATCCAGATATGGATTTTGCAAATATTTTTATTTAGAGTGTGGCTTATCTTTTCATTATCTAAACAATAATTTGCAGAGCAAAAGTTGAAATTTTTATAAAGTCCAATAACACTTTTCTCTTTTATTCATTGTACTTCTGGTGTAGTAGCTATAAATTCATTCCCAAACATGAACATCATACACTGGGGCCTATTAGGGGGTGGGGGGCTGGGGGAGGAATAGCGTTAGAAGAAATACCTAATGTAAATGACAAGTTGATGAGTGCAGCAAACCAATATGGCATATGCATACTTATGTAACAAACCTGCACATTGTGCACATGTACCCTAGAACTTAAAGTATAATAATAATAATAAAACAAAATATTTCACATACAAATCTCACCTTCCAGGATAGGTATTATTTGTTGAATGCCTATGATGTGTCAGGCATTCTTCTAGGGACTGGAGATACAGGAATGAACAGGACAAAATTCCAGCTCTCACGGACCTTGCATGCTTATGAAGGGAGACAGACAAGAACAAGTAAACAATGAACAAGATAACTCCAGCTAGTGATAAGTTATTATGGAGAAAAATGTCAACTTAGATAAGGTTGTCTCGGAAGGCATCACTGGAGTGACATTTGACTTAAGATGTGGGGAGAGAGAATTACTGTGCAGAGCAAAGAATTAATAAGGAGGTTATACTTCATTGTCTGAAGCTTCATTACCCCAGATTTAAAAATTAAAGAAGGCATAAAAATGCATTATAGTATGTCAGAAAAATGGCCTTTACTGGGCATGATGGCTCATGCCTGTAATCACAGCACTTTGGGAGGCCAAGGTGGGAGGATCACCTGAAGTCAGGAGTTTGAGACCAGCCTGGCCAACATGGTGAAACCTCATCTGTACAAAAAAAGAAAAAAAATTACAAAAATTAGCTGGGCATGGAGTGTGCGCTTGTAGTCCCAGCTATTCAGGAGACTGAGGCAGGAGAATCACTTGAATCTGGGAGGCAGAGGTTGCAGTGAGCTGAGATCAGTCCACTCTACTCCAGCATGGGCGACAGAGTGAGACTGTGTCTCAAAAAAAAAAAAAAAATGCCCTCAAGGTAGAAATGAACTTGGCCTATATATTCAAGAAACATCAAGGCAAATGAAGAGTAATAGATGAAGCAAGAGGCACAGAAAGGAGGAACTCAGTCATGCAGGAACTCTTTGCTGTGGAAATGTGGAATGTGAGTTTTATCCTAAGTACAATGGGAAGCTATAGGAAGTTTTAAGGAAGAGAGTAATATGATTTGTGCTTTTATCAAATAACGTTAGTTTCTTCCTTTGCTAACTCCTACTTATTCTTTAGGTGTCTTAGATTCTTAGGTTAAATTACTTAATAAATATATCACTTAATAACTTTTTACTGAATGAATACATGCATGAATGAATAAAAAAAATAATAATAATAAATCCCCCCCCAAACACAATGTTCTATAGATCTTCTCCTAAATATTCATCTAGAGGTTGTATACTTATATTTATATCTTACATTTAATTTATAATCAATTCCTAGTTAATTTTTAAATGAGTATTAATTTAGTTGAAGTTTTTTATATAAATATATGATTGTTTCATCATCATTCATTGAAAAGACTATCATTTTTCTCTTGAATTTTTTTTTTTTTTTTTTTAGGCAGAGTCTTGGTCTGTTGCCTAGACTGGAGTGCAGTGGTGAAATCCCGGCTTGCTGCAACCTCCGCCTCCTGGGCTTAAGTGATTCTCCTGCCTCAGCCTCCCGAGTAGCTGGTACTATAGGCGCCCACCATGACACCCGGTTCATTTTTGTGTTTTTAGTAGAGATGGGGTTTCACCATGTTGGTCAGGCTGGTCTTGAACTCCTCTCCTCAGGTGATGCACCCGCCTCGGCCTCCCAGAGTGCTGGGATTACAGGCGTAAGCCACCACGCCGAGCCTGTATTGAATTTCTTTTGTTTCCTTGTCAAATTAGTTGACTATATTTGCATGTATCTCTTTATGAGCTCTCTATTCTGTTCAATTGATGTATAACAGCAGGTCAGTACCACACTGTCTTAATTAATGTAGATTTATAGTAAGACTTGAGATTGGGTAATATGAGTCCTTCAATTTTGTTCTTCTTTCAGAATTGCTTAGGCTATTCTATTTCTGTGGCTGTTCACATACATTTTGGATTCTTGTTCATTTCCACAAAAAGAATTTATTGTTGTTTTGTTTGAGATGTTATTCAAATAAGCTGAATTGGAGAGAAGTGGTAGCTTAACAATATTCTGCCTTTTAATATATAAACATAGTATATATCTCTAATTATTTCGGTCTTTGTTGACTTCTTTCACCAGTATTTTTCAGTTTTCAGCATAAAAATCCTGCACATATATTGTTAGTTTATACCAAAGTATTTCATTTATTTTGTGTTCAATATTTTAACTTCATATTTAAATCTTTTATCTCTGGAATGTAAGAATGTAATTAACCTTTGTATATTAAACCTGTATACTACTACTTTGCTAACCTCATTATCAGTTCCAAGAAATTGTGTAGATTCTTTGGGATTTTCTACATAGATGGTCATGTCATTAGCAAATAATGTGTTTTTTTCTTTTTTCTACATTTTGTTTTATCTTAACCTTCTTAATTATTATGGGGCTCTTCGAATGATCACTTTCATAATGAGTGAATCATTGTAGTTGGTGTTTATACAGGAGGTGGTCCATTTTCACCTAAGTAGTCCCAGTTATGTGTGTAGAAATATCCATAGTATTTCCTTTTCATCCTCTTGATGTCTGCAGTGTTTATAGTGATATCTCTTGTTTCATTCTTGATACTGGTAACTTGTGCCTTCTCTTTTTCTTTGCCAGTCTTGCTAGAGGGTTGTTCATTTTATTAATCTTTTTAAAAAACAGCTTTTGGTTTCATTGATTTTCTCTGTTATTTTCCTATTTTTAATTTTGTTGACTTCTGCTCTAATTTTTGCTTATTTTAGGTTGAATTATTTGCTCATCGTTCTCTAATTCCTAAGATGCAAGCTTCAGTTATTAATTTTAGGTCTTTCTTCTTTCTAAATATTTGTATTTAGCACTATAAATTTCCCTGTAAGCACTGAGTTAGCTGCATCCCACAAATTTTGATATGTCATAGTTTCATTTTTATTTACTTCTTTTTTATATAATTTCTCTTGAGACTCCCCCCTTTGAGCCATAGATTATTTAGAAGTATATTGTTTACTTCCTGAATACTGGAAGATTGCTGATATATTTTTCTGTTATTAATCTCTAGCTTAATGCAGATATGGTCTAAGAATGCACATTGTATGTCTTCTGTTTACTCAGTTTCAAAAATGTGTGTTATAGACCAGAAAGTGGTATTTTTGGTTAATGTTTTATGCTTACTTGAGAAGAATGCTTATGCTGTTTTTGCTAAACGAAGTGTTCTATAAATGTCATTTAGGTCAAGATTTTGATACTGCTCATCAGGTTATTTATTACCCTTGCTAAATTTTCTTCCTCCTTGTTTTATCAGTCATCGAGAGAGCAGTTTTTAAATCTCCAAAGAAAATTGTGGGTGTCTCTATTTCTCCAGTTAAATCCGTCATTTTTTTTGCCATATGTATTTTGAAACTCTGTCTTAAAGTTCATATTCATGAAAGATTGTATGTCTTTTTGGAGAATTTACTGTAACATCCCTCTTTATCCTTGAAATTTTCCTTGTTCTGAAATTTACCTTAAGTTAATATAGCTATTCTGGCTTTCTTTTGCTTAGTTTTGAATTAATTATTTTTCCCTATTTTCCCTTTAAACTGTCTAAATATCGTCTTAATGATGTTTTCTTGTGCACAACATATAGATGGGTTTTCCTTTTGTACACAGTTTGACAATTTTTATCTTTTAAGTGGTTTAGAACATCTCCATTTATAATGATTATTGATAAAGTTGGCTTAAAAGTTACCATTTTGCTCACTGTTTTCTATTCATTAAATCATTGTTTTTCTCCTACACTTTCTGATTTTAAGTGAACTTTTTAATAATTCCATTTAAATGTTTCTACTAATTTTTAATTTATTTATTAATATTATTTATACATATTTGGGAAGTTTTAAAATAATTGTTATAGGGCTTGCAATATACATTTCAAAATAATCTGAACCCCCCCTTTATATACTGATACACCACTTCATATGTAGTGAAATGACTTCATAATGGTTCATTGCCAATTTGCCTTCTCCTACTGTGCCATTGTTATCATATAGTTCAGTTCTATACATGCTCAGGCTGTAATCTTGCTGACAGTGATTGTCTGTCTCCATATCAAGGGATAACTGCTTTCCTGCAAACTTAGTTCTATTTTGGGTTCCAGGAAATTGGTTAATTTCATTTTCCTAGCTTTTTTTTTTTTTTTTTTTTTTTTTTTTTGAGCGGAGTCTCACTCTGTCACCCAGCCCAGGCTGGAGCGCAGCGGCGCGATCTGGGCTCACTGCGAGCTCCGCCTCCCGGGTTCATGCCATTCTCCTGCCTCAGCCTCCAGAGTAGCTGGGACTACAGGCGCCCACCACCACGCCCGGCTAATTTTTTGTATTTTTAGTGGAGAGGGGGTTTCACCGTGTTAACCAGGGTGGTCTCGATCTCCTGACCTCGTGATCCACCCGCCTCGGCCTCCCAAAGTGCTGGGATTACAGGCGTGAGCCACCGCGCCCGGTCTTTTTTTTTTTTTTCCTGAGTGCAAGGGACATATTTTCAGTGCTCTATTATCTTCAGGTTGAAACTGAAACTTAGCTCTTATATGTCAGTAGTGAGGTATCATGCGATTCTACACATGGCTTTGATGACCACATATCCTTGTGTCTCTCAAATCTTTGTCTTATTTGTCTTTTCCTCTAGAATTTGAATTGTCTGCTTTCCGTTTCCTTTTGGGTATCCTAAAGACACCGCAGGTCTGCTCTGCTTCAAAACGGAAGCCATCATGTCCTCCATATCTCTTCTTCTTGTAATCTTTTGTGTCTCTGTTAATGGTCTCTGCTGAGAGCCAACCTGAGGTATTTCTAGACTATTTTCTGCATCTGCTATTCCATATGTAATCATTTCTCGAGTGTCCCTAAATAATTGTCTTTGCTCCCACAATTCGTATTCCTATTGCTCTGGTTAAGGGCTTTTCTCTCTCTCACTTGGGCACATTTTAAAGTCCTCCATTATCTAGTCTTAATAATATCAAGGATATTTTTTCCTCTCCTGAAACACATTTTTTTTCCTTTGTGAGGCTTTGCCTCAGACGTCTGAGGTTTGACAAGCTCTTCCTTGCCTAACACAGCCTACGCCTTTGTGAAACGAGAACTTTCCTTTCTAATAAGCCCTTAGCTGACTCCAAATCCTCCTACAACTTACTTATGATGCACGTTCCTCTAGGAAAACTTTACAGAGCTCCATGGCCAAGGTAAGTGCTAGAGCTGGCGGGGAACCAGACTGATACCCCTCTCACCATGACCTACAATGCTTCATCTGTAGATAGCTCATTTTTGCGACAATAAATTCCTGAAAGTCAAATAGTCTCTTATGTTTGTCTATGTGTCTCCGGCATTTGAACTGACATTTCCCCCACCGCCCCCCCCCCCCCCGCCCACTTTTAACACCAGGCTGAAGTAAATAAAGATAGAGACAATTGTAACTACTGAGTTCCAACATCATTCTTCTTAAGAATATGACAAGATTTCTCATGAGAGTTTCTTTAAGTATGGTCACTGGATTTAGTGTATTTATTTTGAGGTTTTTTAGTTTGACTTTTTTTTTTTTTTTTTTTTTTTTTTGAGACGGAGTCTTGCTCTGTCGCCCAGGCTGGAGTGCATTGGCGCGATCTCGGCTCACTGCAAGCTCTGCCTCCCGGGTTCACGCCATTCTCCTGCCTCAGCCTCCCGAGTAGCTGGGACTACAGGCGCCCGCCACCGCGCCCGGCTAATTTTTTTGTAATTTTAGTAGAGACGGGGTTTCACCGTGTTAGCCAGGATGGTCTCGATCTCCTGACCTCGTGATCCGCCCTCCTTGGCCTCCCCAAGTGCTGGGATTACAGGCGTGAACCACCGCGCCCAGCATTTTTTTTTTTTTTTTTTTTTTTTTTTGAGTCGGAGTTTCGCTCTTGTTGCCCAGGCTGGAGTGCAGTGGCGCGATCTTGGCTCGCTGCAACCTGTGCCTCCTGGGTTCAAGCGATTCTCCTTCCAGCCTCCCTAGTAGCTGGGATTACAAGCATGCGTCACCACACCTGGCTAATTTTGTATTTTTAGTAGAGACGGAATTTCTCCATGTTGTTCAGGTAGTTTGAACTTTTTTAATGGTTACATATTCCAACATTGAAAGAATGGCATAGCTGGGCAGAAAAAGTTAGTTTTCTTCTTGCCGCCACATTTCTAAAATGCAATGGAATGCTGCAGCTCTAACTACTTAGCTCTGAGACAAATCAAAGTCAGAGTCTGCGTCCCCACGTGCTTGTTCTGATCCGGGAAGCCCTGCTTCTGCGCTGCTCCAGACTCATTATGTGGAATTGGGTGGTCCTGACATCTCTGTCCTGGAAACTGTGAGATCAGAATTCCCTCCCTGGCAGTTACACAAAACGACATTTGCCAGGATTTCCAGGGCAGAATGGCTGTTATATTATCTATTTTTCAAAGATTTCACATGTAATTAATTTCCCCCTGAGCTTTATACTTTGTCATTTAAAAAATGTAAATGACGTATTTAGGCTTCCACATCAGAAATGATTTTGAATTGTTAAATAATTTCCTGACATGGCATGATGCTTTTCAAATAATGTCTATGAGTCGATTTAAAAAGTAGAGGAAATATCACATCGAAGTCAGGACTGGCGTAGGCGCGGCCGTGAAAGCTGATCTGTCAGTGTGCGTTAGTAGTCACTCACCGTTTCCCCATCCTGTGCGGCTTTCCTGAGCATAAATCGCCAATCCCCTGACTTGCCTAGAGAGTATTTCATATCACACAGCAGGCATGATTGTAGTCACTTATTTTTCGCTGTTAGTAGGATGCACATCCTTGTCAGTCTCTGAACATAAGAAAACACACTGCCCACTCTCCTCTCTATTGTTTGTCTCTTAATTAATGCTCATAGCTTAATCTAAGAAAAATACCAAATGGCACCATTACTCCAAAGTGGGTGGGTGCACTTTGCATGTATATAGATGATAAATTATTGATGTTTGTATGGTGACAAGAAAAATAAAATTAAAAAGATGTGTTTAAAGGTTACCTAGAAGGTATTATAAACATTCTATTTTAAAATCAGTTCTACACATTGCAGTTCTCCACAGTTTGGGAAAATAATCATATGTGAGTTAAGGGTTCATTTGCTAGATGATACTCTCTTACCTAATATTGGAAGGAAAAAGGAATATGAAACTCATTTCTGATTCAGGCAACTGAGTCACTATTTTAAAATCTCTGGTGCAGTTCGTTTCATACTTGGAGTGAGATATTGTGATAGATTCGTTAGGTTCTAGGTTACCATGGTGACAAGTCATTATTTCTAAAAGTAATTTGACACATCTCAAGATTTTGGCCCTTCTGTATTCCTATATGGTGCTACAAAGAAAAAGTGTTAGTTAACTTTAGAAATATTTCCAGTAGATATAGCAAGGAAAAACTACAATGTTTGCCTTCAAAGCTGCTAGCCCTAGAGAAAAGTTAATTGAGATTTTTTAGGAAAAGTAGTCTATAGGGGCATAAGCCACACTGATGCTACATTTATTTATTTTTTAATCTGTAAGCCACACTGATGCTGCATGTATTTATTTCTTAATCTGTCAAGCTTTGTGGAAAAATAACCACCTATGATTAGTTGTGTTTTCCAGTTAAAACTAAAAGCAATAAAATGTAAACCATAAGCCCATTTAAAGCTTCATTTCTCATATCCTATTTATAATGACAAATCATATAACTGGCCTCTTTCTATGCTCAAGTCATTTGTGGAGATAACCAACATTGTGTTGTCAAATAATCTATCTATTGCCTTAAAGGCTTAGAGGTAGACATGAGAAATATATTCTATAAGGAACTGGATTTATGGCCCATCTGGTAATTATCTTCTTGTTACCAAGGTGGCAATGGTATGGATACACCATTTCTTAAGCTTCAGGAAATGAATTATCCCTAAAGTACATTCTGGTATTTCAGTACATTAACACACTTGTCAATCATGTGTAAGGCATTCTACTAGATACTTTTTGTATAACATTAAATGAGTGTTATCAGACACTCTGTGATGTTGGTGTTGTCAATTATATTGTATATATCCATATATTTAGACTTAATACATTTAAATACATTTTTAACAGCTAGTACATGACAGAGGTAGAATCTTCTCTACAATGGAGGTCAAATTGTTTTCATGCTAGATTTTAAGCTTCATGCAGTGTTAAGACAGTGCTATGTTTATATTTTTTGTGCATTTGGCACTTAACAGAACCTCAATGACAGTAAATTGAACAGGCTGCAAGTTTCTTTGATTCTCTTGTAGGTGACATGATGCATTTCAATGGCAAAGGAGGAGGAACACACCATAATATTTCTGCATACTTGAATTGATTATATCACACATAATCTATATGACTGGCCTTTCTCTCCCATTATATTGTAAGCTGCTGTAAGGAAGGGGTGATGTGTATTCTTTGTTGTATCATATTAGGCTGGCAAATGCCTTATAACGTGAAAATTCCAAATAAACATTTGTTAAATAAATAATCATTTGCTTTTATTTCATATGGCTTAAGAGATAAGGGAAATATTTTAATGAGAAACTATTGACTGTAACATACCACAATTTTCTATTTAGTTAGCCTAACAAGAATTTCATAGGATGAAAAATGAAGCAGAACAACACATAACCACAACATCATCAACTGAGGATCGACTAGTTAAGTTGAGGAATATAACAGTTTATTATTACAGATTCAAGATTTTCTCATCAGCCCTCAGGGAACACGCAAAATATATACTTCATTCAATAAAAATGGAATAGAAAAAGACATAGGAAGTCCTCCGGATTAATTTTAGGTGTCAACTTGACTAAGAAATATCCAGATAGCTGATGCAGCATTATTTCTGGGTGTGTCTGTGAGGGCATTCCTGGAGGAGACTGGCATTTGAACCGGTGGACTGGCTAAGTAAGATCTGCCTTCACCAAATGTGAACTGGAACCACTCAATTGGCTAAGGGGTAGGACAGAAAATAAAGGTGAAGGAAGATGGAATTTTCTTTCTCTCTTCCAGAGCTAAGAAACCCTTCTTCTCCTGCCCTTGAGTATCAAGACTCTGGGGTTTTCGGCCTTTGGATTCTGGGACTTTCATCACCAGCTTCCCAGATTCTCAGGTCTTCAGCCTTTAACTGGGAGTTTAACCTTCAGATTTCGTGGTTTTCAGGCCTTCGGTGTTGGACTGAGCCAGGCCACCAGCTTTCCTGGTTCTCCTGCTTGCAGATGGTCTATCATGGGACTTCTCAGCCTCTATAATTGCATGAGCCAATTTCCCTAATAAATCCCCCTAATTCATATCTATTTATGCCTATATCTATATTTCTCTCTTTTTCTCTGTATCCCTTCTATTGGTTCTGTGACTCTGGAGAACGCTGACTAATACAAAAGTCTAGTAAATGAACAACCAATCCCTGAATGACGACATGTTAGATCTTTTTATTTGCCATTCTCTTTCAAATCTATAACATGTTTGAAATTAATTACCGATTGTGACTTTTTCTTCTTTAAGCTATATTCTATTTGTCAATCATCTATTATAATAAGAACACAGATATTCCTGATTTTAGGCCATGGCTTATGACAAGACATATAATTTAATATTATCCAAACTATAATAGGTAGAACATATGTGATATTTCTGTTTTCTTAACTTTATGTATTTTTAGGAAAAAATTCATGTTTACCTCTTGCTATAATTGAAACTCTTGTGTAATAACTTTTACTTGCTACTTTAATTTTTATTTCAAATAACAGTTTTGTAACATTTTTAATGTATATTTGCCTTTGGTATTGTGGTGACTAGTAATGCATAGAAATAATAGTAATGGGCAAATAACTAGCAATTCAATAAAGTACTCTTAAACATTGGTGGTATTGCAATACATAAGCATTTTCATCAAAACCAGAGATTGAGTTTTTTCTTTCACTTTAGATATAGATCTTTATTACAAAAGAAAATATTACACAGGAAAACATATACCCATTAAATTGTCTTTATCAAAGTAGCAAAATAGCAATTTAATGAAAAATGAGTATAAATTTAACCTGTGAATATAAATGAACGGAGGCAATCAACATAAGCATTAGTATGCATACTAATGCTTATGTTGAATTTAGAATTACATCAGCAGGTAGAATTTAGAATTACATCAGTAGGTAGAAAAGATTAAAAGAATGATTATGAAGAACAAAAATGTTAATCTGGAATAATACTACTCTCCTGTCTACAGTGATATCTTTATGAATAAACAGCAATAATCTATTGTATTTAGTCTTCCCTCTACATAAAACTGAAATACATTTCCTATTTGTAGGTGCATGTTTCCCTCTGAATATGATTATTTATAAGGAGAGAATGCAGTGGAGATGGTTAGGGGAATTTTGTACTATAAGAATTGAATTGAATAGCTTCATTGCTAATTTTACAAGTAAACTATAATTTCCTGAAGTTAATAATTTTTCTATTCTTTAAAAAATCTAGAGTAACTGAATGGAACATTTCGAAAAGTTGACCAAATCTTTTTTTCATATGAATCTTTTCATAGTTTTTGAAAAGTGCTATACTATATTAAATACTTTTCATTAAAATGGCGCAACTTTGTAAAGGGCTGTTTTTCCATCTGTGCATGTTGAAGCTCTCTTTTGACTACAGAATAACAGATGTGATATGCAGTCTTAGTAGATAAAATCAATCCTTTATTACTATTGCTGTGAAGATATATCTCTATGTCTAAGAGCTCTACAATTAAGATCATCCATATGTGAGACCAACTGAACAAATACTTTTATGCCATAATCAGTGGTCTGTTAAAGTATCAATAAAATTTATATTCTAACAATTACAGTAATATTCAGTAATAGTACTTGTAATGTGATGTTGGTATAGAGCAGCATCATGAAGTTAAAGTCTTGTATATATGCCATGAACTGATCAGTAATACAAAGCAGTAATAATTTGATATATACAGGTGGCTATTCCCAATAACTGAGGCATTATTTCAAAAAGTATTTTACTCCAATTATGCTTAGAGTAAAATCGAATAACAGCTTCCCAAGGCCTCTCAAAGAAACTTGTTGAACAGAATTTTAAAATTAATACTGACTCAGGCATATCATTAGAAGCATTAGTCCTTGCACTACAGAGAAGCTCTTTGACCTAGAGCTGAGGAGACTGTTTGTCCTTCTTGGACGGGGACCCAGAATGTTGTGTTCTGGAACTCTGGGTTTTCTGTTTTCTCTCTCTACTTCAGTTTGCACTTTTTTTTTTCTTCCTGCTGATCCCAGTGTGTGGATGCTTCCAGTGTGAGGCTTGCTTTGGACACGATTGTCTGAGAGAAACCCTGAGGGCAATTTTTCTCCACCTGTAGAGAAAAGTGCATGTACTTAATGAAAGAATTTTTTTTATTTTTGGCCCAGAGAAACTTGTTTTATAATTGTGAGCAGGCAGGGCAAGTGCTGAGATGACAAGAAATGTGATTTCCACATATAAAAGGAGGAATGCAATTGTAGAAGGCAGGGAAACCACTGGTTTCTTATTTACTCCATGTAGGTAATAATAATGATAAAATAAGCTAACATTTATTGAAGTTTACCCTTCATTCATTCAACAATTATTTATTTATTGGGCACCAAATACTTGCCAAACTCTGTTTCACACACTGTAAATTCAGGGCCAAACAAGACAGATGAAATCTCTATCCTCATGGAGTTTATTTCACATTGTGAGGGGACAGGAAATGAATGCACCCTGGATAATTGGGAAGAAAAACAAAGTTGTTATTAGAGTCAATAAACTCTGGATTTAAATTTTGATTCTATTTATGTTTACATCTTGAACAAGGTGGTTAAACTTAAAGCCTCTTCATTGATAAATAAGATTTTATGGTGTCTACTAAGAGACTTTATTGACTTACCCAAAATTATGTAAGCTTGTTATAAAGACGTACATAGGAAAATGGGGGACATAAATCTTAGACATACTGTATACCTCCTCCTTTTATATGTGGGAATCACTATGCTTTCAGAACTGGAACATATCACTTTGCATCAAATTAAATAATTTTCTCTTCTGCCCAGACATACATTGATCCTCCACTGTGGCAGCAGCAGTTTATTTAACCAGTTTCAACTCTTTTTAATTTGCCAGATTCTATTACAGATAATTGAACACACAAAAAATAATACCTTCTTTGTAATAACAAACGGACAAGTGACACAGTTCACTGGAAAATTCTCTGCTTTCATAACACAAGCGTTCTTTCCTTTTATTTCCTTCTTTTTGGTTGGTGCTGTAGTGGGAGAATTACAAAGACCTGGACTGTGACTTAGACCCTGATATTGTTCAGCAACTGAACCAATGCCAGGCACAATCTACCTCTGGGCTTCTTATTACATGAAAAAGATAAACTTTTGTTTGTTTTACCCATTTTAAGTGAGGGTTTCTATTATTGCTGCTGTTTCTGCTGCTCCTTAAGCTACTGACCAACTCTGACACCTGTTCTCTGAATGGCCTTTCTTAATCTTGAAGAGTGGCAGGTAGGGAAACAAATATGTTGAGATTTTTGTGATATTTTTATATAATGATTTTGACTTGACACTGTTATCAGGTTTAGAATATTGGATAGAGTCTTCAGGAATCCTTTATGGGCTGTAAGAAGCCGGGAAATATTATGTCTTTTTTGGTTGAGTTACCTGTCTCATATTGTTATTGAGAAAAAAGTGGAATCATGTATGTGAAAGTATTTTTAAATTCTACCTCGTCATCTGTCAAACAAAAACCTGAAGACCACAGGGAATGGAACTTCCTTTCATAGCACATTTGCTAACAGGGCAAGGGTTCTAACACTGATCTGACACCAGATCGTCTGCCTTCTCTTCATGCCGTGACTCCATTCCAAGATTTTTCTATTACAGTGGTTTACTAGTTCTGTGACTTCAGTGATTTTTATCTGGAGTGAATTTCCCATTTCTTAAGTATTTCTAATGTGTGACTTGACATTTTCCTCCTGTCTTTACAGGGTCATTTATATACCACCTGGGTTCAATTCTGAGGCTTCAAATGTCATTTAAACCTATTCCTAGGTATCTAGAGAACTTTTCCCTAAAAAGCATTTTTTCTTAAATATAATGTGTTTAAGCAAATGATAGTGCAAGTTTATAAAAATTCTAAATAAAAATGGCCAGACACTGACAGCTTGAAATCTAGCAAGGCTTAGCACTGTCCCTGCTAATTGCTGCCATTGCAAATTAACGGAAGCCTTTTAAATCTCTTGACAGTGGTTATGCAACTTTCTACAGGTAGGAAAGTCTAGGCAGAACATAACAGATGCAATCATTAATATGCATCTGCATATGCTTCAAAGCTCTGAATTTTTTGAGTCTTTCTCTACCTCATTATATGTCTCATCGCCAAAACAGATCAATAAGTTTTCCATCTAAGAAATGGCAGAGTGGTCGTGTTTGAATGGTTCTCATCCCTTTCTATTAAAACTTAAAGATGTAAAAATTAAACTGTTTTCTCCTAAAAAAATTTCTTGTTTTCACAAAGTGTGTGCTTAAATTATTATACATTCTAGGGCTAATTTTAATTTACTTTTTTGTTCTTGTACCTACTGAAGGAATACTTAAAATTCTCTCAGTTTATAGGGAAGGGTCAACTTATTTATTATTTCATTTAAGTCATCAGTGTGTTCAAAAAGCAACCAAGTACAACATGCAGAATTTGTTATAAACAACAACAAAAATTCACGAAATGGAATTTTTAAAGTATCTTGTATTTGTCCAGCCATTTAAAAAGTGTGTATACACATGTATATATGTATATATATACACATGTGTGTGTACACACACATGTACACATATACATATATAGATATATACAAAATAACAAAGATACTTAGAACTAAGCTAACGAGTTATAGTGAATTGGTATTTTCCAAATTTAGTTGAGATCCAGATTCCAATTATTTCTAAATCTAAGTTGAAATGTTGTACCACTTATGGAAGACTTCCAGAAAGAGCAGCCCTGGTCTGTTTCCATTCATGGCAAAGAGTTTTTTCAGACCAACTCCCACCACAGAGAAGAACTTAAAAAAAAAAAAATCCATGAAGCCATTGAAAGACTATCAAGGCAGCAACAACTTAAGGGACCAATAATGCTGGAGAGAAAGAAAGCCCCCAAAGGACTCATTCCTGATTTTTCTTCCATACCCCATCTTCCTATCTGTCTGGACATCCTTTTGAGTCTTCATTCAAAGCACAAGCACCCCACCACTTCCGGATAGCCTTCTCTGTTATCACTCTGGTCAGAACCATCAGCCGTCACCTTGATTACTGAAATAGCTTCTTAACTCATTTCTGCTTTCAATCTTGTAACCCCACATTCCACCCCAAGCTATTTTCAGCTAGCAGCCAGAGTAATCCTTTAAAAAAAAATAAGACAATCATGCCAGTTACCTGCCTGATATCTTGTGATGGTTTGAAATCTTTTGTTTCTCCTGATGAAAGTTGAAGCCCATGTAATGATCCTACATGATACGAGTTAATGGTATCTCTTACTATTGTAATTGTCATATCTTACCATTCAATTTCTATTTCAGCCCCACTGGCTTCATTCATGTTCTTAATCTTTCTTAATTTCTTCACAAAAACCCTCCGAGGCACACTCCCCATGGCTTTGCATCACCTGTCTCCTTTTTCCTGGAATGCTTTTCCTCCAGGTTGTCATAATACACACTCACACTCGTCCTTCAAGTCTTTGGGAAAATGTTACCCTCAATGAGGTCTACCCTGCTCACCCTGTCCCTTCCCTTAACCTTCTCAATGCTCCTTACACTGCTCTATTTTTATAATAAACATATCACTTCTAACATTTTATTATCTAATATTTATTATTCTTACTGTTTGTTGTGTTTCTACCTCACTAGAGTGCAAGTCCCATGAAGGCAGAAAACATCTGTTTCATTCACTCATATATCTCATTCTAAAAGAGTCAGGATGAGAGGAATTATTGAGAGCGACAATAGCACTTTAGTGACTGACAGAGGAAATGATGACAGCAAAGAACACAAAAAAGAGTGACCAGAAAACATGAAGAACACAAGGACCATGCTGTAGGCCAATTAACCAAAGGCTGAGAAGTTTACACATTTATCGACAAGGAGATATTGGGGAATATTAATGAGAAAAATGTCAGTGAAGTTTTGGGAACTAAAATTAACTGAAAATGTATTATTGGTGGGTTGTTTTAAAATTTTAATTTAAGGGAGGCTTTAGCATTTTTAAATGTTGATGGAAAGTATGCGAAGAAAAGGCGAAAAATAGAGAAGGGGAGAGAGAGAGAGGAAGGCAAGGGGGATTAAAAAAGAGATAATTAAGAATGAAAGATGAGATCTGTGAGATCATCGTTGATGCAAATCAAGGGTGGAAAGCAAGGTGAAAGAGACATCTTTCATAGTAACAAAAATGAGAAAGCACATGGAGAGACATACTAGAAATTATGGAACAATTTGAGAATATTTGTATAAGATTGCTTCTATTTTTTCTATATTGGGTGAGGCAAGCTAGTGTTTTTAGTGTGATAGGCAAATTAGTAGGACTAGATATTTCAGAAGAACTGAAAAAGTTTAGGTAATGTGAGAAAAATAGTTACAATGTGTGGAATATATACTGTGCCTTCTTGGACTAAGAATGTACATAGATTATGTCAATAACTCCTGTAACACCATGATGAATATGTATTATTATTCCATTTCCATATGAAACTTAGGAGAAGTAATTGACTCAATGTTACCCAGGTAATAGGCAGTGTTACCAGTCTTGACTCATCGGTAGTCCCATTCTGGGGTCCAAGTTCTTAACCACTAAGCTAGGAGCCCCTGTAACAGAGTAGAAATAACTGACTAGGCAAAAAAATAAAAATTGTAGGGATCTGTTTGAAAACACAGTTGAAATTAGAGTTTCTAAATTCTTAGTTGCTCTATTCAACAAAGTTCTGCAATTTTCTTTAACAGTGCTCAGATATTTAAATTTGTCAAGTGTTGCAGTCTTTTTCCTTTTTATTCAATTTGGGATTGAATAAAAAGGGGAAAATATTTAAGTTCTCCAGGAAGATGAGGCTGGAGGAATAAATCTTGCAGTATAAGTTGTATAAGGAAGAAAAAAAAATCTGGATGCAGTTATGGGGAGGGAAGAAAGAGTCAAAGGACCAAAAGTGTATATGAGATTGAAAAAGAGGTAAAAGAGGTAAAATGGTTGTAATAGAGAACTGGGAATTTGGATGTTGTGGCAAAAAGAAATTACTTTACTATTTTAATGTTGGATTGTGACAAAGTCCAGGATTGTCCATGGGAGTAGGAGACTTAATGCAATTCATAGTATGTATTACTGTATTTGATATTAAAATACTGAATATAGAATGGAAGATAACCAGGAAGATGGCAAGATGACAGAAAGGTAATAAACTCTATGCTAAAACTTCCAGAGACAAGAAGGAAATCACTGTGGTGTTGTGAATAAACATGATTTCTAGTGGGCCAAGGATGTTTTTGTTGTTGGTATAACCCTCAAAATATCAAAGTTTTTAATAAAATAGAATAGTAATCAGGCAGGGCATGGTGGCTCAAGCTTGTAATCCCAGCACTTTGGGAGGCAGAGACAGGTGGATCACCTGCAGTTGAGGAGATCGAGATCAGCCTGGCCAACATAGCAAAAACCCGTCTCTACTAAAAAATACAAAAATTAGCTGGGCATGGTGGCGGGTAGCTGTAATCCAAGCTACTTGGGAGGCTGAGGCAGGAGAATTGCCTGAACCCAGAAGGAAGAGTTTGCGGTGAACTGAGATCGCGCCATTGCACTCCAGCCTGGGCAACAGAGTGAGACTCTGTCTCATAAATAAATAAATAAAAATAAAATAGTAATCTGAAAGTAGCATTTGGAAACAAAGAGGGTGCTGATGTCACCTACCATGAAGAGTGTGATGGAATGGGCAATTTTCCCTACCATGGGCTGCATTGAAGGCGGTGTCCTCAGTCAATGCTAAGACTGTAGAGAAAGTTTAGTTAAAAGATGGAAAAGGTAGTACCCTCAGATCCTGTGAAATAATCAAGAGAAGAGAATAATGGGAGTTTGGATCAGCAGAGAAACTCCAGAGCCATATAAGGAACTAAATGTAGATGACTAGAGGAAATCTATATTTAGGGAATCATGTGAGGAATGAAGTATTTCAACTAATGGTGAATAAAATGCACATAAAAATTAGTTGTCTGTGTCCTGATCTGTATGGCACTATGAGTCAGTGCTTCAGGCCGACATCCCCTTCATCAGCAACCCAGGTTCAAAAAGGTTCAACATGTCTACAGCTGAAGATAGATTGAACACAGAGTTCCTGACAGCTTAGGAGTAACAGATACATCATTTTCCTTTTACTTATCTTCAATATGTACTACCAGATTTTAGATAGGATTGAGTGGGCTTTAGAGCAATAAATGATACATGTTATCTTTATCTCGATGTATCTATCAATTATCTATCTATCGGAGAGAGAAGATAAATATTTAAAGTTTTTTTTTTTTAAATAAACAAGATTCTGAGATGAACTGAGTCCTGCAGCTGAGCTTCGATATTAGTTTCAGTGTTCTGGTAGTTAAAGCAGGAAGAGAAATAATCATTATTACGCTTTTCCTTGGCTGATAAGCAGATGAATATATGTTAGATTCCATTGAGACGACAAGACAGACCAGAGAGGTACAGGATGGCACATGTGGTCAGACAACCACTATTTGATTTAATTCCCTTGGAATTGCTCACATGGGTGCTTATACAATGGGCATTAGCAACCTATAGGGAAATTTGATCAATTACAGCTTATAAAATGATGTAAAAATATTATTCAGGGCTCTTTCTCTTTACACACACACACACACACACACACACACACACACACACAGTCTCTCATACTTCTTTTTATTTTTTATTATTTTTTGAGATGGAGTTTCGCACTGTCACCCAGGCTGGAGTGCAGTGGCGCAATCTTGGTTCACTGCAAGCTCCGCCTCCCAGGTTCATGCTATTCTCGCCTCAGCCTCCCGAGTAGCTGGGACTACAGGCAACCACCACCACGCCCGGCTAATTTTTTGTATTTTTAGTACAGACAGGGTTTCACTATGTTAGCCAGGATGGTCTCGATCTCCTGACCTCGTGATCCGCCTGCCTCAGCCTCCCAAAGTGCTGGGATTACAGGCGTGAGCCACTGCGCCTGGCCTTTTCTCACTTTCTTAATATCTAATTTTAAAATGTGAGAATACAGACATCAAGAGGAAGGGACTCATTGCACACACACTGTCATGTCTTTGCAGCCTGCCTTTCTACACTATCCATTGTTTCAAATAAGCCTTTGGCTTTTGCAAATAGATTGCAATAAACTCCTGGTCATATTGGCTAATGAGTTTCTGAAGGGTGAAAGATTAATATATTTCATACACGTTCATTATGAGATGATATTGTGAAATGACTTCTGAAATAGATTACATAATTTAAAGATAGCTATTTCATTTTTTTCTTAGTTTACCAGCATATTTTGACCAAACTGAATACTCTTTCTATATATATATACAATTAAAAAGGCAAAATCAGCCTATTTAGTTGGATGCCATGACCAAAAGTTCCACGGATTGCTCATGTTCCTTCCTCATTCTCTTACTTCTACATTTGATCCCAGAAAGGAATACTCGGCACAGTGCAGGTACTCATGTTCTCAAATTGGATATGCAGTATGGGACAGAGAGAAGAAAAAATATGCATTGTGACCCAGCTGTACAAGCCTAGACCAAATCTCCTATTGTACATAAGATGTACTATTACAGTTAATTTCAGAGAATTATCCAAACAACCAGAGGTGAGACCAAGGAACAGACCTTTTAAAATATTCTAAAACTTTTGTCTACGTAGTAACCCAACAGGCTGGATCGCCTGTTCTCTGGTTCCTCATGTCCCAGTCGTTCACCTCAGAAACTGAACGACATTCTCAATAGTTTGCTTCTTTCTGTCAATAATGGATAATGACTGTGGGATTTTGGGGAGATATCATCCTGCTCCTCAGACCATAGAGATCTCTTTATGTGGCTCATCTTTTTGTTCCTTCCAGTGCTGAAAACTCTGGTCAGGTTCTCCGAGTCTGTTAAGCCCATGTTTTGGAGCGGCCAGCATCGTACAGCATGAAAGGCATGCTCATGTCAGGTGCTTCCTTGTGAACCTCGTGCTTTGTCCTCCTATGTTCAAAGCTGTCCACCCAAGTTAGAGTCTCCCATATCTGGCCATCTTCTCTTTGGCCTTCTCACATTAACACTCAGATTTTCGAGAGTTCTTATTGCTTCAGGTTAATGATCAGTTGAGTTAGATTTTGAAGTTGTGCATGAGAGGCCTCCAACCCAACTTGATTTGACTCAGCAAAGCAGGGAGTTGGGCACCAGTTTGGCTTTTTCATCTCTTTCTGCTAAACTGAGAGGTGGAATATTGAAGCAATTAAAAGGACCCAAGTGCCAGATTCCTGGATGTGAATCCACCTTTGCCACTGGTAACCCATGAGATAGCAAGAATAGCACCTATCCTCCCTGTGCCTTGGAGTCCTCACCTGTAATGAAGAGATGTAACTTTTAAGGAATCTCTGAACATTAAATGTGTACACATGTGAAGGTGCTTGAAATCACTCCTGACATACAGTGATGCCAGATAAAGTAGGAATTACGGTGATTTCCCCTTCCTTAGTTCCTGTGTTGTAGAATTCTTTTGGAGACTTTGTGGTAGATTGAAAATTGTGGGTTCATATATTCTTGAATCCTGTGACCGTATACTATCAAAATAATCAAAACTCTAGCATGATTTTCTAATAATTATTAGTGGCACAATTGCTTTATCCTAGTTAGGTAGATTTTTATTTTTATTTTTTATTTTATTTTTTTTGAGACAGAGTCTCGCTTTGTCACCTGGCTAGAATGCAGTGGTGCAATATCAGCTCACTGCAACCTCTGACTCCCTGGTTCAAGTGATTCTCCTGCCTTAGCCTCCGAGTAGCTGGGATTACAGGCGTGCACCACCATGCCCTGCTAATTTCTGTATTTTTAGTGGAGATGAGGTTTCACCATGTTGGCCAGGCTTATCTCAAACTCCTGACCTCAAGTGATCCGCCCGCCTCGGCCTCCCAAAGTCCTGGGATTACAGGCGTGAGCCACCTCGCCCAGCCTGATGATTTTTTTTTTTTTTTTTTTTGAGACGGAGTCTCGCTCTGTCGCCCGGCTGGAGTGCAGTGACAAGATTGCTGCTCACTGCAAGCTCCGCCTCCCAGGTTCACGCCATTCTCCTGCCTCCGCCTCCCGAGTAGCTGGGACTGCAGGCGCCCGCCACCACGCCCGGCTAATTTTTTTCTATTTTTTAGTAGAGACGGGGTTTCACTGTGTTAGCCAGGATGGTCTCGATCTCCTGACCTCGTGATCTGCCCGCCTCGGCCTCCCAAAGCGCTGGGATTACAGGCGTGAGCCACCGTGCCCGGCCCCGGCCTGATGATTTTTTAAAAGTCAAAATTTTACCAAGGGAAATAACATTAAACATATTTTCCACTTATGTTCCCTAAATAGAGTTAGTATATATTTTCAAATATTATAAGGGGAATAATATAATAATATGAACTTAACAGGTCTCACATACAGCTGCTTCATAACAAAAGCCAAAAGTCTATTCTAAATTTTTGGAATCCTGAATTGTATTATTACTGAGATGGTGGGGACATCTCACTGGGGCACAAAAAAAAAGAGGTAGGCATAGAAAAATATCACTTGGACATAGGAAAATACTGACTGTTCATTTACTCTTTATGGAAATGCAGACTGTAATCACGGAATGCTAGAGATTCTATATAGTGTCTCTGATGGGCAAAATAAAAATGAACTTTGAATTTATCTAAGCTCTTCAAGGAGCACTTATGTGAGGACGCAGAAGGCTGCCTCAAATAACAAACAATATTATTTTGGCCTGAATAGATATTGAGGTTTGATGTAGCCACAGGTAATCTTCACTCTAAGGGAAACACTTAGCATGGCCCTGTAAGCTCACCAGTGTGGGTCTGCTTCATAATGGATAAATTCCCAAGTAACTGAGAAATTGAGGAGTTGGATAGTTTTATCATTATTGTAAAACCAACTGTTAAAAAAATTAAACTGATTTTAGAATAGCTGTGCATATTTTTTTGAACTAAATATTAGAACTCATTTTTGGCAAGTCCAAATGTGCTTTTGATTACAAAAGGCTAGAATCTTTGAAACTGGAACTGTTCCAAATGTTCTGGCGGCTATGGTGATGCTAGGAATAGCTGGAGCTAAATCTTTATTCCTGACAAGAACTAGTTTTATGGTAGGGATAAACTGTAGCCCTAAAAAGTATGTATCTAATGTATTAGTGGGTAGAACTAATTACACAGTTATTAAAAAGTATCAACTATTCATTGACTCCTTATGGGAATACAACCACTGCTCTCATGGAACGCGGTGGATGAAACCATAATGAGGTTGTTCCTTCCTTTTGTCAAAGACCACTTTTGTGCTTTGACCCTATCCTAGTGTCTGCCAGAATAACTGGCCATGCAAGTTCAAACTCTACAAGGAAACCCGCACCCTGCCCAGATACCTGTGAACCCAAAGAGAGATTACCTCAGAATATATGTTCTTCTTTCAATCTTATAGAGCAATACATGTGAGACTCAGCAGTACAATCTAAATACAAATTACAAAATAAAGATGACAAACAAAATCATAAGCAACTAAAATAACAACATCAGAAGAACCCAGAAATTGGAAAATTATATGTATTATATTTGTACTGCATATGATAAAGCTTTAATAATAGTCTGAAAATTACTCTCACAAATTGATAAGAAAAACACAAATGACAGCAAGAATTGGGTAAATCATGTGAACAGGAAATTCACTAAAGCTTAATTCCAAATATTAATGAAAAATATGTGAAAAATTGTAAACCCTACTAGAATATTTAATTATAAATTAATATAAAATTACCTATAAAATAATGAGATATAACATTAGTGATTGAGATATTGACAAAAGTAGTTTTTGCAGTGGTAGGTTAAGAATTAGTCATTTCATCTTCGTTTAAATCTAATATGGTAATATTTATTGGGAACAATAATAATAAAAAAAACCCTTCTAATTAGCAATTCCAGTTCTGTGAATCTATTCCATAAACAGTGCAATACAATTACATAAAGTATAAGTAATTAAGTATAAGTAATAAGTAATTTATCAAAGTCCAATGAAAAATGTAAATTAAAACAAGGACTCTCAAAAACAAGTGGTTCCATACATCGTGGAATATATACAATGGAATATCATGAAGAATTAAAGTGAATTAATTAGAACTATAACGGTTGTCTTAGGGGGATTTCTACTGTGTACTGACAACTGAAAAAAGCAGGATTTACAACTGCGAGCATACATAATTCTATTTTTTATAAAGCATGACAGAGAGAGAGAGAGTGTGTGTGTGTGAATAAACACACAGCTGTATAAACTGGAAGAAAGTTGTAGAGGATGCACTCCAGGTTGTTCACATTGTTCACCTGTGGAAGTGAAAGTGGTACAGTGGAAGAATGAGGTAACAAGGCAGAAGAAAACAAAGGTGCTTGTGATTATTCAAAACAGCGCATATAGTATGATCTCATTTAAGTAAAATGATATGCCAAAATACTCTTCTGCAGGTTCATTTCTTCCAGGTGTAACCTCCTTCCTGTGTTGTGCTGTCTTGAGGTGAAGACCTCCTCTGCTTATCTTTCCTGTTACCTCCTGGGTTTCTGTCCCTCATCTCCTCAACTAATCACACCTCCCCAAAAATGTAAAGCACAAACAAGTAAAATATATTTGCAATTCACGGCGGGAAAGACAACTTTTCTAAGGCAAAGTATAATTTGTGGACATCCACTACTGCCTTTGGCATAAATACACTCCTTTCTCTTTCCCATAGTAGTTACACTTTTGTACTCACAGCACAGAAAACATCACCTTTTACTAGCAAGCCTTTTAGATGGAGTTGAGAAGGTAAAATTCCACAATGGAATAGAATCCAATTTTCTCTGACAAGTTGCTTGTTTGCTTTTTTTTTTTTTTTAATAAGTGTTTTGTTGTTAGTGTTTTCAATTTCTAATATAAAGATATTACCAAAAAGAACCTCTTTGCTGTTTTGACAAGGACACTTCATTACATTTTTATTAAAGAAACACTAGGCCTAGGTCCTTCACAAGATGAGTTGGATTTATTCCAAAATAGGTAGAATTTTTCCAGAGATACGATGGTCGGTATCAATCTTTGAACCTCAGTTTTTCCACCTACGTAACTGGAACAATCATTGTATTAATAACATATTCTAAATCCAAGAATATCATTGAGGCATAGGTGTGTGTCTTATATGAAGTTTTAGTGATTATCACTCAAGTGATCAAATGGGATATAATTTATATAATAAATGTGTAAATTCATAATATAAATTTGGTATTGGTAAATTTATCATATTACAGAGTATAGCATATGTAGAGTAGATTTTAATTTGGAAACAGCATCTTATTCACCATGCCAAACATACACATATATAAAGCCAAAATAATAATATGTTTACTGAGAATGAAAAATAAAACTGTCTTGAAAACTAGAATACTTGAATTCACATTTGTGCTAATTCTTTTTTTATCTCCCATATCCACAGAGGAAGTTACAATAAACTATTAATTTAATTAAAAAATTATAGAACTGTAATATTTGAAGTTTATATGATAAATTATCTCCTTGCATGCAGATATATTTGCAAATATTAATATTTCTACAGAAATAAAAATATTATAGAAGCCAGATACTTTTTTGATAGATTCTTAATAGGAATTTAGATAAATTAGATGTATATTGGGTTTAGCATTCCAAGGCTAAACCACACCAGTTGTTTTATTCTCTTCAATGTCATGCTTTGAGTGATACCAACTCTAGTTAAATCCTCTGTAGTGGGTAGAACTGTGTCCCACAAAGATATGTTCAAGTCCCCAACCCTCATACCTATGAATGTGACTGTATTTGGAAACAGGGTCTTTAAAGATGTAATCAAGTAAAAATGAGGCATACGGCATTAGGGTAGACCTTAATCCAATGACTGATGTCTTTATAAGAAGATTGTGTGAAGCCACAGAGATACATATAGAAAGGGACTTGTGACAATGGAGGAAGAGATTGGAACAATTAGTCTACAAGTCAAAGAACCTCAAGGATGCCAGCAATCACCAGAAGCTGGAAGATTCTCCCCTTGAGCCCCTGGAGGGAGTGTAGTGCTGCCAACCTTTTGATTTAGTCTTCTCCTCTCTGGAACTATTAGATAATCATTTTCTGTTGTTTTAAACCATCTAGCTTGTGGTAATTTGCTTTGGCAGATCTGGAAAACTAAAACATTTTCCTTGGCTTTCATGACAACTGAACTCTAATGTTTTTCTGTTGTTCATTTACAATAGTAAATTAATAAATTCATTCTTTATCATTGTCTTATGTAATTCAGATCCGATATCATTTCTTGTAACAACTGTACAAATCTATATGCTTTCAAGATAAATATTGGATACATGTCATTTCTAAATATGATACTGTAGAACCAAATTTCTCAACCCATGCTATGAGATATTTGGAAAACTTTTGTTTAGAATTCCACATTCAAATATTGAATTTTCCACTACATAACAAAAACAACATTTGTCTAAATATCCTTTTTTGTTTTTTAAGTTGGCTTATTTGAAACTCTAATGAATACAGCATTTAATAATAAATACTATAATGAAGTATTTTCTATATGCATAGGATAAATGGTCAATCAAAACAAATTAACCAAACACAGATAAATGGAGTTTCCACTTTAACAGAGAGAAACAGGCAGTAAATAAGAAAATTCAGATGACAACTACTGCAAATAAACAAATGGAAAAGAGTAATTGGATGGATGGAACGGGACTGGAGTTGGATGGCTCATTTAGGTTTGTCTGTAAGGGAGGTCCTCATGTGGAGGTGATCCTGGAGCTGAGACTTTCCTGAGCCAACAGTAAGCAGAAGAAATAAATGATGAATCTTAAAATCCTGAGATAGGACCCAACTTTACAAGCTAATGTAATAAGAGAAAGAATGCCAGTGCATGTTTATCAAGGTATATAGTGCAAGAAGAATGGGCTTGAGACAAACTATAGAGAGTATTGTATAGGCCATATGAAAAGTTCAAATTTTCTTAAAAGTTAATGGGATGATATTGAAAAGTTCTAAGAGATGTGGGGCTTAATCACACATTTTTAAGACACTGCTTTGGAAAAATGCTTGGTATCTGCACACAAATAGCAAGAGACGGATGAATTAGAAGGTGATGTTTGCTCTGCAAATGGCTTGGAATAAGGTGGTGCTTGCAGATGCAAACATTAGAAGATTTCTATTATATTTTTTATAGGTTGCGTCTTGAAGTTTTGGTAGTGAAATTGGATTGTGATGGGAAGCTTGAGGGAACAGATGGAACTGAGCAAGACTTGCAGTTTTTCAGTTTAAGCAAAAAGATGTATGACAATGTCATCTCCCAAAACGTGTAAGGGTTTCTAGAAACTGCAATTTTAAAAGTTGTGCAATAATGAAACTTCCTCAGTGTATAGTCATTTATGCCAGTAAAAACCCCTGATGTTAAATGAGAGATCAATTTGGGAAAGATAAATTGGTATTTTCAGAGCTAACCATACAGAAATATATTATTAATGCTCATTTGTTTGTATTTTGAGTCATTAGTGAAACACCCTTTCATGTATATTAAATACAATTAAAAAGAAGTAATATGGATGCAACACCATAAAGCTATAAAATAGGAACATCAATGAAATCAAAATGTCTCACTAGAGGCCAAATAAGAGTTACTGGCTCAACTAAGAGACTAAAAGCTGCTAGCAGGTGCCCTAGGGCAATTCAGGAGATGAAAGAAAACTTCACTGAGAAAAATCTTTCTAAGAGGAGGGTGATAGGCTGAACACCTGGTCAGAGCTTAAAGGTCATTTATTGGACAAACTCAGTAAATATTTATGGAGGTCACTGAGGCACAGACACAGAACCCGTAGGCTCCAGCCTCAGGACAGGGGCTTGCATATTTTATACCTGCGAGGAGAAAGGCAGGCTTCAATTAGTGCATGCAGGCTTTGCTCTTCAGAGCCCCCTGCAGAGCTCCAGGAATTGTCAAGCTCTTGTTCCCATTTCTGTCTGCAGCCAGGAGCTTGTCGTTCTATGCCATGTAGAAAAGCCTGATGCCCATGTTTGAAAGAGAATCTTTGGTTGGCTGGTACAGCATCATGAACCATACTCTTGCAATTATGATTTGACAACAATAAAGGCTTACCTTTTTATCATCAACTCCGAGATGCTTTGGTTCTCTTTATGTTCTCTAACTTGTCTTATATTTTCAAATGGAAGTAGGTCTTCTAAAGTGTAAATAATAAACTGACAACAGTATCAACAATAAAGAGAGGCTTTGCTAGATGAATATCTTCCTTATTGGTATCATTTCTGGAAGGTCTAAAACAGACTCACAATTATAGGAAACACATTTATTGTTTCCATAAACATTCAAGCAACGTGCAAGAGATGTTCCTATAAGGTTATTGATTAGTGAGAGACAGCAAAATAAATAAATAAATAAATAAATAAATAAATAAGTGGGAGACAGATAGGTGTTAAAGTCCTTTGGGGTGTGAATAGTGCTATGGATACATAGAGAAGGAATGCACAAGCAGGTAAACTGAGGACAGGATGATCACTAAGAGTTAACTTGAACAGAGGAGGGGCATCATATACTGGATAGAAGAAAAAAAAAGGTAAAAGCATTGAAGTGCAAGAGGACATGAATTTGTCAGTGGAAAACAAACAAAAATCCTAACTTAAAAAAAAAATGGCCAGGTGCGGTGGCTCATCCTTGTAATCACAGCACTTTGGGAGGCCGAGGCAGGCAGATAATGAGGTCAGGAGTTCGAGACCAGTCTGGCCAACATGGTGAAACCCGTCTCTATTAAAAATACAAAAATTAGCCAGGCACGGTGGCATGTGCCTGTAATACCAGCTATTCAGGAGGCTGAGGCAGGCAAATCGCTTGAATCTGGGAGGTGGAGGTTGCATTGAGCCAAGATCGCAACACTGCACTCCAGTCTGGGTGACAGAGCAAGACTCTGTCTCAAAAAAAAAAAAAAAAAAAAAAAAATAATTAAGCATTAGTACATCTCAATAGCTAAGGGACACACACTTGATTTTTTTTAATCTTTAGAATATATGTGTTTTTTTCTCTGTTTATATTAAATTGTTCAATATCAAACTCTAATCTATATTTTAAAGTTTTAGATTTACATGCAAAAGTATATGTTTTGTGTTTCTGATGCTTTAGTAGGAGAAATACAATTAAAGTATAATTTTGAAGATGACATGATAAAAATTGAAAACAAATACTGAATACAGTGTTGAATTCATTAAAACTGGTTAATCAATTTGAAAAAAAGTATCAATTTTTACCAAACTCCAAATAAAGTGAATTCCATATATATTAACAATTTAGAAAATTAAATGCGGAAATTACACATTAGGGGAAAATACGGTGAAGAAACTATATAATCTGGGAGTAAGTTATTACTTTTGTCAATTTCCTACAGCTAAAGACCACTAGGAACACACTTGTAGTCAAACAAATTTATTAGATTTTGTAACATGGGATTATGCTTCTCGGAGCTCATGGGGTATCAGTAAAAGGCTGTTGGAAAGGACTTACAAGATTCAGGTTTGTTAGGAGATTTGGGGGGAGGATTTAAGAAAATTCGATTTGCTCTAGATTGGATGCTATCATAAAGCAGTAGTTATCCTATAATTGTGTATCTTAATAAATCTTACCTAGAAGAATGAAAACTAAACCATGTGTAAAAGAGTATTTGATAAAGAAGCAGCAATCACTCATATTAACCAGGATTGGGAGATGTTTGGTCATTTCTGTGTCTTGGACAAAGTTTATCTTTTCTTCTGTTTTGAAATATAGGGTGGTTTTCTCTTTGTTTTGACCCATCTTGGACACAAATGGGATTGTACAATACTAATGTTCTGTAAAATTGCTTATGTTCAACAAAGAATACCAGAGCCAGCTTCTAAATATCAGGGGAAGCTTTGGTCTTTCTCACTTTCAAGTTGTGATTCTAACAGCAGGTACTAAATTGGAGAGGATAAATAAATATTATTACATAAAGATTTCTAATCTCTGCACAGAAAAATGTATAGACAAAGTTAAATGTTAAAGTAAGAACACTTTCATAATATATGACAGGCAGAAGGTTAATATCCACAATAAATAAAATACTTTTACAAGTCAAAATACTAGATGAATTTTTCAAGAATAAAAAAGATTTAACAGGCAATGGATTTAGAAATTAAAGACACTAAAAAATCCAATAAGTATACATTTTTGAGAAATCAATCTTAATGGCACGTAAAGACATAGAAATTAAAATACTAGTGGTATACTGTATTTTCCTATAAGTCAGGTAAAATTGATACTATAACCTTTGTTGGCAAGAATATAGGCACTTCCACATGTAACTGGTTAACAGCAATATGAAACGTAAAGACTTGAAGACATACTTTCCTTTTGACCTAGCAGTCTCATTTATAGGAATTTATTCAGAATAAATATCCCACAGATACTTAAAACCATGAGGACAAAAATGGTTGTCATAATATTTTCAACCTTTGTGCAAATTTTCAAACATGTGAAATTAGAGAGAATAGTAGGATGAACCCTCATATACTCATCACACAGCTGCGTCAAATATCATTATTTTGCTACATTTTTATCTACACATTTCCATCTTTTTTATGCTGTTGTATTTCAAAACAAATCCCCTACAACACATCACTGAACCAGCAGACATTTCAGTGTGCATCTCTAAGAGGCAAGTTCTTTAAAAAAAAGAAAAGAAATGCCATTTTCACACCTAAGAAAAATTTCAATTTACTCATAATGGCTTTACACACTTAGTAACCAGTTAATATCCAAATTTCCCCCAATTTTCAGTGCCCTTCTCTTCATCAGAATCCAAAGTCCCACGCTGTATTTGTTACATTTAAATCTCTTGCTTACTACAACAACATTCTTTCTGGATTTTTACTTTTCTGTGTGCCTGTTTTTAAGCCAATGATGGTTTGAAAAACCTGGTTATTTATCCTTTAGAATGTCTGTCATTCTAGATTTGCCAAGAATTTTTCTGTGACATCACTTAAATTGTTCCTTTGTCTCTTGTATTTCATGTGAATTCAAAATAAAAAATCTAAAGATGTGATAAGATTAGTGATTAAATGTTTAGAATGCTTCATAAATGGTACTGTGAAATTCCTATTGCTTTTTCACTCATGAAACAAAAATATCTGGTTGTATCGCTTTTAACGATGCTAACATTGATTAGTGTTTGAGGGTGGTCTTGGCTATCAATTCCTCAACAGTATGTCACATAGTCATGTGACAGACATTGGTGATTATTTTCTAGGTCCATATGTCACTCAGTTGTAATATTTACTTAATAGTTTAAATTGAAAACAACTTAAATTTATTAAAATAATGTTGATTTTGTTGACGAAATAAATTAATTGTCATCCCACAATGGAGTACTATAAAATTGTTAAAAATATAGAAATATATATACAGAAAAATTCAACATTTGTTGACAAATTTTATAAAAAGTCGTACAAAATTTTAGTATAATTCCATTTTTGGAAAATACGGCTTTATATATTTAAATCTCCAGTATACTTTTTTAATATTTATTTTTAAGTGACAAATAACAATTATACATATTTATGCTGGACTATGATGTTTTGTTACACGTACACATTGTGGAATGATAAAAATCAGGCTAATTAACATATCCTTCACCTCAAATACTTACAATTTAACTGTGGTAAGAATATTTACAATTCAATCTTGTAACTGTTTTGAGCTATACAATACATTATCATTAACTATAGTCACCATGCTGTGCAATAGATCACCAAAATCTATTCCTCCTGTATAACTTAAAGTTTGCATCCTTTGGCCAACATCTCCCATTTCCCCACCCACCCCTGATAACTCACTCCACTGTCTACTTGTATGAGTGACTATTTCAGTTTCTATATAGGAGATCATGTGGTATTTGTGTCTCTATGCCTAGCTGATTTCACTTAGCATAATGTCCTCTTGGATCACCCATGTTATTGCAAATAACAGAATTTTCTGCCTTTTTAAGGCTCACTAGTATCCCATTTGTATCCATACCACATTTTAAAAATCAATTCATCTGTTGATGCCACTTGCCACAATATCTTGGCCGTTGTGAAGAATACTGCAATGAACAAAGGAGATAAGATATTTTGTTGACAGACTAAATTCAATTCCTTTGGATACATACCCAGAGGTAAAATTCCTGGATCACATAACAATTCTATTTTTATTTTTTGAGGAATCTACATATTGTTTTCCAAAATCGTTATACTAGTTTACCTAAGTGCAAACAGTGTTTTTATTTTGGAGTTTATTCTGCAAAATAATAACAATTGTTATTAAAGCAAGGATATATTTATTATTTATTATATGATCAAGTATTACTAACAGTAAAGGGTAATTAAAAGCAAAATACTATTTTATTTGAGTGATTACAGTCTGGTGAGTCTTTTGTAATATGTTGAATTTTATACCATCATAAGAGTATAGTATTTATTCCAGTGCTTTCTAAAATGAGGGTAAATTGCCTGAAATTATTATATAAATTAAATAATACAATGATAAAGTTAATTTATATAGAATTATATTTTCTTAATACCTATCCATTAAAAACTGTTGAGAATTTCTCATATGTTAAATTTCCTTCTCCACAATCACATCTTCCACTGTGATTATGAACCCCCTTCTTTTAGTTCTACAAGTTTTTATATGAAGGGTCTACCAGTCAAAGGCACCTTCCTTAATTCAGACTATGGTATCTTCCCTAAATATTCATGTAATCTTTGAGTTTGACTTTGTGATTTAGAAAATTAAGATTTCAGTGTTGTGCCTACTACATTCTCTCTAGTTTTTAAAATTTGTATAAATTTACGGAGTCCAAATGCAGTTCTGTTACATGAAAATATTACATAGCAGTGAAGCCTGGGCTTTCAGTGTAATCATCACCCAAGCGGTGTACATTATACCCATTAAGGAATTTCTCATCCCTCTCCCCACTCCCACCCTCAGACTCTTCCCAGTCTCTAATGACTATTATTTCACACTTTATGTCCATTACTACATTCCCTTCTGACCCTTAGGGAAAGGTCAGGCCTGTCCCTTAGCTTCCAGAGCAAGAGTGTCAAGGCACACCTAGCTATATATATATATTGACTGTCACAGTTCTACTTAAGTTACATATAGGTTTTTTTTAAAAATTATACTTTAAGTTCTAGGGTACCTGTGCGCAAGGTACAGGTTTGTTACATAGGTATACATGTGCCATGTTGGTGTGCTGCACCCATTAACTCGTCATTTACATTAGGTATATCTCCTAATGCTATCCCTCCCCCCTCCCCCCACCCCACAACAGTCCCCAGAGTGTGATGTTCCCCTTCCTGTGTCCAAGTGTTCTTATTGTTCATTTCCCACCTATGAGTGAGAACATGCGGTGTTTGGTTTTTTTGTTCTTAATATTCCATCTCCAGTACTGATGGAGAACTCAAGAATGAAGACTGGTGAAAGTATTAGATGATCTGGGAGCATAAGGCGAAACCTGTTCCTACCACAATGCTCTATGAAGAGTTACTCTTTTTTTTTTTTTTCTTTTGAGATGGAGTCTCACTCTGTCACCCAGGCTGGACTGCAGTGGCATGATCTTGCTCACTGCAACCTCTGCCTCCAGGGTTCAAGGGTTCAAGCAATTCTCCTGTCTCAGCCTCCCGAATAGCTGGGATCACTGGCGCCCACCACCATGCTCGGCTAATTTTTGTATTTTTAGTAGAGATGGGGTTTCACCATGTTGGCCAGACTGGTCTCGAACTCCTTACCTCAGGTAATCTGCCCACCTCGGCCTCCCAAAGTGCTGGGATTGCAGGCGTGAGCCACCACGCCCGGCCAAAGCCCTTTTGTCTACCCTTTTGGATCTCAATCCCCTCCTAAATATATCCTTATATTGAAATGCTATCCTGTATCTGTTATTTTTCATTCTTGTGTGTATTTTGAAACTGTCATAATCCATAATATTGTTTTGTATATTTTAAAACTTTATGTAATTGTCATTAAATCATTCAGAAGCTAGGTTTTATTTTCCTCAACACTGTGCTTTGATATTTATTAATGTTGACAATTATAGCTCTGGTTCCTTTACTTCATTTCATAACATTGAATGAAACACATATAAAATGTATTCATTGTCCAGCATATGGACATTTTACTAATTTTCAGTGTTTTGTTATTTTACATTATATTGCAACAAATACTTTTGTATACGTGGACATACTTTTGTGTATTTGTATTTCGTATATCTCTGCATATATACATGGAAAATGTACCTATCTCCAAAATTACTAGATGTAAGGAGATGTCTTTTGAGAGTGAATGTAGAGTGAGTGTAGCAATCAATTTGTTTCAATGTTCCCATTTCTTTACATCCTGCAAGTACTATAATAGTTATAGTGAAACCTTTAAATGTTTGCTAATCAAGTAGGTGGAAAATGTGATCTTATTTTAATTTGTTTTCATTGACTACTAGCGAGGTAGAACACATATTCATATTGCGAATGAATGTACCTTAAGGTTTCCTCTTCTGAAATTGCCTACTAATTTTTTCCCTTTTTAATTTTTTGAGGGAGGTCTTCTTTTATAGATTTGTAGGCATTATAAAAAAATATCCTGGACATTAGTTCTGTTTTGGTTAAATGTGCTATAAATATCTTCTTGTGACCTGATACTTGTCTTTTCTCTATGTTTATAGTCCTTTACATTTTGCTATACAGAAGACACATTTTTATACCTTTTTGTTCCTGTATTTTGCTAAAGAAAACCTTCCTTACCCTAATATTTCTCTAAAAGATTGAACATTTTGCTTTTCCCATTTTGGACTGTGAGTCACTGAAATTAGTTTGACTCTCTTCTCTTCCATTGTCCTATTTTTCTATTCTACCCCCTAACTCATCTCCTCAATTACACAGCAGCAGTCAACCTCTTTCTTCATGGCTATCCCAGCTCCTGTAATCCCTTCTCCATATCCCCTTGTTCTTCTCCTTCTGAAACCAATCTTCCCAAGTTTTAGTAAAAATATAACCCTTCATTTTCCCATCTCCCCCATGGCTAGAACATACATGTGTCCTGCAGGTAACACCATCACATACACTCACGGGAGACTTCAACTGAGTCACTTGAGGAAGTGGAATTGGTTTGATGTGCCCACCCCGTGGTGTGGATCCCTTGGAGGCAGGGGCTGCAGCTTCCTGACTGGGACTGCTTGGTGGCTTGCTTCCGTGGTCAGAGGTGGAAAACTCTGTCATCCTGACAGCCAAAGCTCCTTTCTCAGACCAGTTCTGTGGTTAGGAAGTGGGTCCTGGAAACCTGACCCTGAGGCTTTCTCAAGATACCAGTGATTCTGGTAGTTAACATATCCATAAAGAAAGCTCTTTCTACTTAAACCAATATAAACTGTGTTTTGAGTAACTAAGAAAACTGTACAATAAGCAGCTTGCTAGTAAGACTTCATGTCTGTTTGGAAGATGCCACAGACCTTATTCTTTGTAATAGTCTTAACTCTTCCTGGCGCCCTGCTCTCTCATACATATTTTAGAATCTGCTTGCCAAGTTCTAACAAAAACTCTATTTTAATATTTATTTGATTCTTTTGAACTAATGACATGAGAGAAAAATGGACTTTTTAATATTGTGTCTTCATTTTCAAGAAATCAGTGAAACTTCGTTTAGACCTTTGTTACTGTTTTTCAATATATTTTATATTTTTTCTACATAGATTTTATGAATGGTTTGTTAAATTTAATTTTAGGTGTCTTGATCACATTGGGGAGGTTGTAATTATTTAAAATTCCTGCTTTTCTAAGGGATTTTCTTTGTGTACAATTGAATACAAGTGACTATTCAATTGCAGCCCATACATGTTAGAGATCTACTAGCATATCATGTGGTTTTTCTTTATAATCCCTTATTTTGATGAATTTTACTTATAGATTTTCTGTTATTATATGAACATTACTTTCCTAGCATTAATCAGATAAGTTTATGATATAATATCATTTTTATAAATTGTTGAATTTGATTCCTAATTATTTCTTTAGAATTTTCTGTATATAAGTTAATCAGCGAAATTGATTTCTAATTTATTAACTTATTCCTGTTAATGCATTGGTCTGAGTTTAGCCTTAGGGTAATATTTGTCTCGTATAAGAGTAGGAAGAATTCCATTTTTCTATTCCTTGGAACAGTTTTTTAAGATTGAGTTTATTCCTGTAAAACCATCTAGGTTTCTCTGTTTTTCTCTCTCTCTCACTTCTGCTCTTGCTCTCTGCCTGTATATTTCAACCAGTAATTCAATTTTCATTATAGAACTTCAAGTTACCTGTTTGTAGTTTATTGAGTGTTGGGATATATTTGATATAGTTTGGTATATTTTTCTAGAAAATTAGTCTAATCATCTAACTTTTCAAAAATATTGGACAAAAGAAATTTTACTATTCCCCAAATATTTTTATATCTGCTCTATGTGTATGGATCCTTCACATTTCTTTGTTTCCTATCTTAAAATTCCTTGAAAAATCTTCTCTGAGGTTTGTGTATTTTATCCTAAATAACCAGAAAAATTCAGCATTTTAATGCTGCCTATTTTATCTTATTTTCTAATTTTTGTTCAGGTTCATTTTTACCAATTTTTTCTCCATTTTCTTCTCTTAATTTTTTTCTTCCTAAAAGTCATATTTTGAATACTTAACAATTAATTTTCAGCATTTTTCTAACAAATCCTTTCTATAAGTAAAGGCTCAAAGATTTCCCTAAGAAGTCCTAGTTTAACTACATTTTATGTTTTGATAACCTTTTTATGATCTTTGCATTTGAAATATTATATAATCCCTTTAAGATTTCTTCTTTCATGGAAGAGACGCATAGTTATTTAGAAACTTTATGTGTCAAATGTTTGTGTGTCTCAACTAACAAGTAGATCTTCAGAATGTTGTTGATGTTTTGGTTAATTAGTCCTATTTCAGTAAACATTTTATTGAAATATAATATAGAGAAAATTGCCCAAATCATAAGGACATGGTTTTATTACTTTTCTTAAAGGAATTTTATTCTCTCATAGCTCCAATATTGTCTCTCCTGCTCCAAGACACAGAAAAGAACTGCTAGTTTTTTATATCCCAGTCCTGGACCTTTCCCTAAGCAAGGCTGAGATTCTTGGAATCTTGTGCTTTGCCCACATTTGACAAACATTCTAGGTTAAAGGTGAGAGGAGAACATCAGCTCACCTCTCCATGGTTTTCTGTTCTTTAGAATCTTGGATCTGTTAGTGTTCATCTGCTATTTGAAGCTTTCAGTAGGTTTTCAGTTGTTCTTTGGTGAAGAGTTAATCACAGATAAGCTACTCCATCTTCCCTTAATCAGAAAATGTGTTTCTTATTGTATTAAATTTTTTATATTTTTATAAAACTTTCTTTAGGGCCACTGAGATGATTACAGTTTGTAACTCTTTATTTGAATTTAAAATGAGTGCATATTATCTACCTCTTAGGTACAAGATTCTAAAATATTAACTATATGAGTTTTAATTTTTTTTTCCAGAAAGGTGAGATTTTTGTCCTATGATTGAAAATCTTCATTTTTATCCCTTTTCAAGTTTTTCTTCAGACCATGCTATATTCATTGATAGTTATTATATCTTCTTTGTGAGATTTTAAAAAAATATCTTAGTGACCTTTTATTTCTTAAAAATGATTTTTCCCATAAAGCTTGCATTATCTGATTTTAGTAAAGCTAAATCAACTACTTTTTCTGTATACCATTTTTTGTCATATTTTCACTCTTAGAATACGTTATGACTTAGGTATATCTCTTATTAACAGTATGTAACGAGACTGTGTTTTTGGTATTTTTCTTTATGGGTGAGGAAACACATTGGAAGATAGTCTGAGAGACCGCGAAAAGATTTGTATCTGGCTTTTAGTATAAGCGTTTCCGTGGAGGCAGCATTTAGGTTGGACACGGAGAATAATCATTAGCAAGGCTCAGCGCTGTGGCCACAGACCTGGTTCTGATGGTTTGGCCCTTGCTGCATCTTACCTGGGTGACCTTGGCCAAGTCCCTTTCCTTCTCTGGGCCTCAGTTTCTGTTCTGTAAATGGGAGCAGCAATGTCCACCTCACATTAGTGAAAAACTGTTCAAGATGTAATATGGTCTCTAGTTAATAATGATAGGGACAGGAGGCAGGGAAATTCTAGGCAGAAGAGGGCAGGTCCTTGGCGAGGGCCCCAACCCCAAGCTCAAAAGCCTGATATCATGGCCCAAAGTAAGAATATACATCCCTGTTTTTCCGCTGGAATGTTGCCTTTTCCAAAACCAACCATGGCCCACCCCGCCCCCGGTCCTGTGCCCACAAGATTACCTTCCCACTCCCTCCCCTTTTCAGCTCCCCTTCCCACTGAGAGCCACTTTCACCAGCAATAAAATCCCCCTCATTTGCTATCTTCAATTCATTCATGCAACCTCATTTCTCCTGGACACCATATGAGAACTCGGGTGACATGTGTATGGGTGCAAAAGGCTGTCATACTGACCCTCCACTGAGCTGTTAGCACTCCATGGACAGCAAAGCTAAAGGGGCACTGTAACATTTCCTTTGGGCCTTCAGAAGTCATGGGCTCCCTCCCCTAGATGCTGCCATAGGGCTGGTATAGAGTTCGCTCTTGCTGGTGCCCAAAAGTGCTTACCCCAGCTCCTGCACCCACTCACCTGTGCTCCTTCTCCTGCGAGGGTAGGAGCAGCGAATGAGTGGCATTCGCCCCTTCCTGCCCGCAAAAAGTTCAGGGAAATATCCTGCTTCAATAATATTTATGTTGATTTCCAGATTTTGATCATTACAGTATGGTTAAATAAAAATTCTTCAAACAATTTTTACAACTTTTCTGTAAGCCAAGAAATAGTTCAAAGTCTAAAAATTAAAGAGTATAAGAACTTTGTCCAAATGCAAATGTCCCAGAGAAAGGGAAGAGTGCCCAGTTCTTGATGTACTTTGTTATTCCTATTTTACAAATAAGATTTAAAGCTAAAAATGTATTCCTGACTTTCTAATTTCTTGAGTTTTTTAAAAAATAAATGAGTGTTGAATTTTGTCAAGGATTTTCTCAGGAGTATTAAGATAATTGATAATAATATTATGTATTTACTTAGATTTATTAACATGGTATGTGGTATTAATAGCTTGATTTCTGAGCAGTGAACCAACCTCCAATTCCTAGAATAAGTCTCAGTTCATCATGGCATATTACTTTCCTAATGGAAATCATTTTCCTAGTGGATTCTGCTTGCTAGTATTTTTTATTTTTGAATTTTTGCATCAATATTCATCAGCACATTGGTCTATAATTTCCTTTGTACAGTTGATATTTGCTTGTACTATCTTTGTTTTTATCAGTGTTATATTTCATGAAAGAAATTAGAAAGTTTCCCATCCTTTTCAATATAGAGAAATAGTTTACAGAGTATTACAAATATGTGTTCTTTCAAAGTTTAATAGAATTCCCTTATAAAGTCAACTGGGTTTGGTGATTATTGTGGGAATAGCTCCTTGATAAATTTTTCTGTTTCTTCTGTGAAATTGATTGATTCATGTTTCAAACTTTGTTGATTTTTTTTCCCTCATGTTCCTTTAACCTTTACTGTTTATGCTTATTTTAATCTTGAGGTTATCTGCGAGAATTCTTTGACAGCTAAGTTGTGGCTGTATCCCAAACGTAGTATTGCTTTTGGGTCTGCCATGAACAAAAGGGTTATTACCCAGGTTATCACTTTAATGTAATTTTTTTGTGGATTTTATATTAATTTTAGTGTGTTTTATTATAATACATGTAAAGACTAGTTTTAAAAGTTATGCCTTATTCAGTTCCAATAACTTGCCTGGTTGTAACAAAAGGTCCCATCTCCCTTTCTTGTGGTCATTAAAACCCAAGATCTATGATAACTGAGTCTAGCTAGCACCCCCACCGCCACCTGATATTCACCCACCTGGGGAGCACCAGCATCCATTCAGACTTATTCCCATTACTTTGGTTTTTGTTCTCGTTCTTTTGTTTTTCTTTAATTTTCATGTGAGTTCCTTATTATACTTGATCAATCTATTTTACTGTAGAAGGATGTCTGCCATATTATTAGAAAATCTCATTCTTTATTCTTCCAAAGCAAGGTACATCAATTATCACCTTGCAATAAAAATTTTAGGTTTCATAAGCTGTATTTGACTGCAACTATGGAAATAACATAATTTTGCTTTTTTAATGTTATCCTGAACCAGAATCAGTATAAACTTGTTTTATAAAATGTATTTTATGGAGAGCATTTATTTCAAAAGTGAGTGACTATATCATATTTGGAAACATATTTTTAATATATAATGAACTGAAGTGCATATATTCAAATTATTAAAGTACTTTTTATTATTATTAATCATTCTTGTTAAATAGAATATAATAATGTTGATGCAGATTTTTGTTTTTATGAAAATTGTAACACACGTTACAATTTTATATAACACATTAGCTAATTTTATATAATTTTTTAAAATTCAGGATGTATTTTTGTTTACTGATTATTTTATATCTAGATATAAAAAGAGAATTATTTCATAATATCATGACAATTATTAATTTAGGGGAGTAGGCAAATATTGATTTAACAAAATATTTTACAATCAAAATGCAAAATATTTTTAGAGTATAGAGCTTTTCCTAAGGAACCCAGTATTCTTGGGGGTCTTAAAACAATATCAAAATCACAAGTTAATTGAGTATTCATAATGTTTTGCAAATATTTTTATAGATATCTTGGGATGAGTGGGTTTCTATAGAGCAAAAAACTTTATTGAGAAAATTTTTGTGTATCTTTTTCAAAGACAATTACGTATTTTACATTAAATAACTCCCGTCTGTTCATTTCTAGCTAATTATATCAGTGATTCTTTCAAAAACTGGAAGTACCATTCCTACAACTCTCACCAGCAAATAATTAGAAGTTAGATGCATCATGTTAAACATATATTTTCTTTCTGATGCTATAGTCAGTTGGTCATTATCTCAGTAACTTTTTTTTCTTTTTATAGACAAATTATATATTTGTCACAAATGTTTCCATTTTTTCCCCCAATTGTAGGTGATATATGGATATTTGTCAGTCTTTTTGCCTATAAATTATGTATGGATGTAATGAACGTAGATATATTGGTTGACTGGTAGATATTTTAGGTAAAGCTACATACTCTTCTTGACTTTAAGCTAAGTAACATATTACTTGGAAAATGTCTGGAAGAATTGAGCAAATGGCAAAAATTAATCTGTTTAGCCTTAAATGATAGCTGTAATGCTCATTTTTAGTTTATCGAAGTATTCATTTTAGTTGATAAGCCAATTTAAATCCACTTGGTTAACTGTAACAGAAAGGCAATCTTCAAATACATCAAGCATGGTCTTTAAATAAGGTAAGATACAAAGAACTATAAATAGATTGGAAAGTAATATTAATGCTGAGTATAGCACTATGGATAAAAAATGTTAAGTGTCAGTTCAACCTTTACAAATGCTTTGCTACAGTGCCTCTGATATATACCTATAATAATGGTTATACAGCAGAGTTTCCGATATAATTATGTTGGTTTTATTAGAAAATGAATTGATTCTGAATTCATTAATTTATAAACATTGAAATATAATAAGAATGAGTTATCCATTTAATTGCACAGCCAATAATAATAACTGATAGGCACTTTGCATTTAAACAATCTAAATGATGCTTTTTAAACAGGGAGAGAAGTGGACTCAGTGGAGTACTTCTTTAGATACTAACCTTTTTTTATAACAAAGTGGTGTGAGAAAATAGGCAATAATTCAGTGTTCATATACATTTTAAAAGTTTTTTAACTGCAGTCACTTTTAAAATTGCAGCTATCTTGCAGCATAATATTAAATTTTACACAGTTGCTAAAGATAAATGATTTTTCCTGATCAAATTATATGAGGATGAATAATTTTATACTATATAATTGGTGAGCTGGATAATTCAATAAGTCCATTTGCTATGGTTGACTTCTTTTCACAAGTAGAATTTCTACAATGAGGAAGACAGTTTTGTCAAAACAGCTGTCAAATAGCAACAGCATTAAAAACATCAGTGAATTAATTAAACATTTTCTGACTGTAAAACATGCTACATACAGGAAAACGAAAGTAGTTTGACAACATTTGTAATGTTTTCATAAAGGATAATAGGAAACAAAATAAATATGGTCATTTCATGCAAATAGAAGCTACCTTGCAATGAAAACATCTTGTTAGAAGTTTTCTTCATATTTTCAGCAAATAAAAGTTTTTCATTCATTCTTACCAAAAGTATCCAAATGCTATTGTCAAAAACAGTTACATGCAAATTAAGCTATTAAGAGTATTTTGTCCAAGCTACCTATTCTCCATTTCCTATTTTCCTATTTCCTTTTTACAAACATACAAAAATAAGTTTTCCCAAAAATATACCCAAGAAATGCATTTATTATAGACTTTTTTTTACCTATTTGCAAAATTAATTATAGATGTACATATGTATATAGAATATTTATGCTTATTAGATAATTACATATACTGATATGTTGATTTATACTTGCCAATCATCGACACTTTGTGGATGATTGCTTATTTGTCCTCTTTCTTAAGTAAAATCAAACTGTGATGGACACCATACATTTTATTGTGTTAATTTTTATTTATTTTATTTTTTTTTGAGATGTAATCTTGCTCTGTCGCCCAGGCTGGAGTGCAGTGCCACGATCTTGGCTCACTGCAACCTCCACCTCCCTGGTTCAAGCAATTCTTCTGCCTCAGCCTCCCGAGTAGCTGGGACTACAGGCGCGCACCACAATGCCCGGCTAATTTTTGTTATTTTCAGTAGACACAGGGTTTCACCATATTGGCCAAGCTGGTCTCGAACTCATGACTTAGTGATCTGCCCTCCTTGGTCTCCCAAAGTGCTGGGATTACAGGCTTGAGCCACCGTGCCTGGCCTATTTTCTTAATTTTTAATGGATACTCCTCAGGGTTATGTCCCATAGCGACGTAATCTGCATGTTTTGCAAATATCTTAGGCTATTCTTACTAATTTTTAGGATTTTTTTTGCTTGTAAATACATTGAATCATTTTATATTCTAAGTTTGGAGATAGGCAATGGCAATCTCTAGGTCTTTGGGCTAAATACATATTATTCATCGGATTTGGGTTTTTTTTTTGTTGGGGTTCACGGTGGGATGGTCACTCCATGCCATGTATGTGTTTAAAAATTCTAGCCTATGAAGATAACTGAAAATACTCTAATTTGAATTTCCCCATTTGGTAGACTAAACTATCATTCAGCAAATTTTCTTCCCCCAGGACTCCCCAAATACGGTAATGAGACAGGCATAAGGTCACAGTTATGGAGATCTGTGTGAGGGAGAATGGAAGGTAAGGGTCACTGGTCCATAACAATTTGTAAATCCAACAGGACAAATGCTGGATTTTTCTTGAATAGGTTTCAATGCCTGGAAATAATCTTCTGTGATTTTGGCTCTACCCTCTGGTTTCTTGGTTTCTCCCTCTGAGTCAACCTCTTTTCATGAGAGGCAGCACATGTTTGCAGGTGAGCAGTTTGTCAGCCTGCTTACTACCCATAGAGCCTCAGGGTTCCAACACCCTCCTTTACTTTGTACTCTCTCTCTCCCTTTCAGTTCAAGATGGCCACGCCTTTGCCACAACTATTTTCTCGAGAAACTTTGTGGATTTCTCTCCATTATACATAATCTACACTTAGAAATCTCTTTGAGATGATCTCTATTTCTGGCTCCCGCTGAGATTGCTGATGAACAATGTCCTTATGCATCTTAGAGGATCTCTGGTTTGGTTGAAAAGGTTTTAATGACCTTTGAACATCACCTGAGGGTCTCATATTAATAGTTTTTTGCACGTGATTTCTTCTAGGTATATTTCTGGAAAACAAATTAAGATGTATAGCATTGGAAAGTATGCGTGGTTATGTGCTTTTAATGTTTTTAAATTTTTAGATAATAGTTCAGTTTTTACTTTATAAAAATTGTATATCCAATAGAAACACTATTTTTTGTTAAAATGAATAATGAAATTTACATATTAATTGTGCCTTATTCATTTGTGAATTCTAAGAAATCACCACCATACATAATATAAGGCAGAAACCCAGAAGGTATTAACATCTTCAAGGTATAGTGAAATGAGTCAGATGGAAAATGGACCAACCTACTTTTAGATCAGGAATGAGATACAACATTCTCTGGAAAGCCTTACCTTGTGCTAGATGCTCAAGTTGAAAGACAGCTCCACAACTTGCTAGCTGGATGACTGTTAACTATGATGTGCCTCTATTTTTTTTTTAATTTTAAAAATGAGGATGGTAATAGTTTATATCTCATTTCTGGGGCAGATCAAATGAATTAATTTATGAAAACTGTTTAGAGTAATTCCAAATACAGATGAAGCACTATGTAAATGTGAACAATGGCTGTGGGCACTGCCAGTTCCAAGTACAGAGGGAACACTACCCATCTAACATTAAGTTGCTACGAACAAAACCGAAAGATTTTCTCATAGCAGTAAATTCCTTCTTGCTGACGTTGTTCTCTCAAACTCTATTCTGCTAATTAGAGGCAAGAAAAGCTCTAATTCATTTTTTAAAATTACAGTCAATTTATTTTTTTTTCTTTTTACTTCTAATCTTAGACTGAAGTATCTGTCGGAACCACACAATCTCCTACAGCAACAGTCTTCAAACTGGCAACACAGGAAGTCTTTAAGGAAATTAATTTCCAGGTCGTTGACTTCCATATGTTCTGTTCCCTAAACGCTATCTGCCATTTGAATATGCCTGAGGTCCCCTAATTCTTCCTTTTGCCCTCTCTCTTAATTAACTGGATTTGTCCCACTTTATAAAAGAAAAGTGCAGCTCTTTCCCCTTCTGAATTCTACATTGTCGTGGGAAATAGAAATCCTGCAGGCACCAACAAAAGATAGTATGAGAAAACTTTCCTCTGGAGTTCAAGTCTTGAAAACAAAGCAAGTCTTGAGGGCATTTTTTGGCAGCAAGACAAGAATCTTTATAGAGGGTAGCACACATCTCTCCAGACCACACATTTTGAGAAAGAGTCAACTCTCCCTATCTCTGTGTATGTGTGTATGTGTCTCTCTCTCTCTGTCTGTGTCTCTCTCTCTCTCATCTTTCTTCTCTCTTCTGTGTAAATATCCAAGAGGTAGTTAATAATAAAGTGGGTGGTAGGCTGAATAATGGCTCCCCAAGATGCTCAGGTTTTAATCCCCAAGCTTGTGAATATGCTGTTATATGACAAGGGAGAATTAAGTTGTAGATAGAGGTAAGATTGTTAATCAGCTGACCTTAAAATAAAGAGAGTATTCTGGCTTATCTTTGCCCAATCTAATCACAAAGATTCCTTAAAGGAGGAGGCGAAGGAGGTTTGAGTCAGAGAGAATTTTGAAGGTGCTTAGGCTGATGGCTTTGAAGACAGAGGAAGGGCTGCCAGTAGAAGAATATGGAAGCCTCTAGAAACTGGAAAATAGAAGGAAATGGATGTTTCCCTATAGTTACCAGCAGGAATGCAGCCCTTGCTGACATTTTGATTTTAGCCCAGTGAGATTTATTTTGGACTTCCGATTTCCAGGACTGTTAAATAATAAGTTGGTGCAATTTAAGCCATTGAATCTGTGGTAATTTGTCGTAGCAACAATAAGAAACTAATACAATATACTTATTGGAAATGAAAAAGCTAGAGATCCTTCTAAATTATTTTTGCCTTAATTACCAATCCAACAAATAAAATGTTTGGTGATAAGAAAATATTTGTTCACGTACTTGTAAAAACCAAACCAAATCAAAAGCATAAAGCTCCATTTCTATGTACAAAAGATGTCCATTGCTGTCTCCTATCAGGTAAATGGGCATCAGAGCGCTTTTATGCCATCTATTCTGGGCGGGTAAATTGTTGCATTTCAGGACAGCCATTTGTTCATGTCCATCCTCTTCAATTTAGCAATTTTACTTGCCTGGATTTACCCTTTCACAACAAAGGATGTTTATGTAACATTATCTAAACTAAAAATAAAAAAATAATAGAAATATCCAAGTGTAGAATACATATGTTATTATTTTTATCTCCAGAAGCACGGAGCACAAACCGTATCCATACACAAATCCTATTTATGTGTAAGGTGAAAAGAAGTTTCATAAATTATATACTTGATGTTCCAGTTTTGTAAGAAAAGTAACCCAAAACACTGTCTTGTTTTCTGTGTGTGGATGGAGGTGTACATGTCTATTGGTATACTGCTAATTTTTCCTTTTCTTTCCCTTTTCTTTTCTTCTTTTGCGTGTCTTCCTTTTGTTTCTTTCTGTGGACTCTGCATGTCTGAATATGTATATGTATAGGAGGAGAAGGAAAGGGAGAAGTACATTTTCTTTTTCTATAATTATATAATTTTCTATAATGCTTTTGATTATCTTTGTAGTGCAAAACATGCATAATGGTAAGTTATCTGTCACTGGAGACTTGGGCACCACAGAGTTGGCCAGCAAGGGGCTGAAAGTGCAGAAGGGACACAGCATGGTGTTCTCAGCACCATCATCTTTTTTTTCTTTTCTTTTCTTTTCTTTTTTTTTTTCTTTGAGACGGAGTTTCACACTTGTTGCCCAGGCTGGAGTGCAATGGCGCGATTTCGGCTCACTGCAACCTCCACCTCCCAGGTTCAAGCAATTCTCCTGCCTCAGCCTCCTGAGTAGCTGGGATTACAGGTGCCCACCACCATGCCCAGCTAATTTTTTGTATTTTTAGTAGAACTGGGTTTCACCATGTTGGTCAGGCTGGTCTTGAACTCCTGACCTCAGGTGATCCACTCGTCTCAGACTCTCAAAGTGCTGGGATTACAGGCACGAGCCACCACGCCCAGCCAGCAGCATCATCTTTCTAAAGGGTGGCAGAGTAGAAGGTGTCTCCAAGGAAACCCGCAACAGAGGTATTGGTGTCATAACAAAGTAACAGAAGTTTGCAATTTTCTGGGGTTTTGTTTTTTCCTGTTCCCCCCCACCCCTTTTTTTTAAATGGAGTGTACTGGATGTCTCTATAAGTTTGTTCAGATCACTGCAGAACCTGGAAAAGCTGTTGCTGCTATTGATGCATAACATACTGCTATTGGTCCATATATATATATACATATACATACATACATACATACATACATATATATAAATATAAATACATATATATACACACACACATATATATATAAATTTAATTTTTGGAAACTTTAGCTGTGCTGTCAGCTTTGGAAAAAGTATCCCAGTTTACTCTGTTGAGTTGGCATTGTACAGAAATTAACAGCCATATTGGCCTAGAAAGGTTAAACTTATTTGTTTTCCATTTGTACAGGGGTAAGGCACTGTATTAAATATGTAAGGTCTTATTTACATGGGTTTGATTACAAAACCTAATAAAGTATTCTCTAAATAATAGGGGGAAAAAAAAGAAAGGACCCTGGACACAGGATTGCCTGGAGAACTAGGGAACTAGGACTTTCAGGAAAAACAAATTAAGGAGCAGTGCAAAAATATTTAGGGAATGACAATACAAGAATATGTGAAGTACAATTATACTTGCTTATACTTGTGTAATGAGAAAGAGTGGTGGCAAGGATTTTTTAAAAGTCCATTCAGTGGCCATTTCCATGTGAATAGCACCTAGAGGGAGAAACAGTAGATGAACAGCATCTTCCGAGCCTCCCCAAACCCATCTTTACCTCTGTCCCTCCCAATACTACCCCTTCAGTCAAAGTAAGCACTCCTCAACTTGTAACCTCATCCAGTGTTTTGCCTGTTTTTGAATTTTACATAAATGCAATCATATGTTCAATTTTCTTTTTGTTTTTCTTCTTTTACTCAATATTGTTGGTGAGTTTTATCCATGATTTCACATAAATCTCTTCATGAGTATAAAACTATAATTGTGAAATGCATATAAAAGATTAATCGTTTTATATGAATATGTTAATACTAATAATATTTTTATATCAGAATTAATTGCAAATATCAAGGAGGCAGAGGGAAGTGCAAAGAATACTGAAACTCAAAGAAGTTACTTGGGTTACTTTTGACTCTGTACCGTCATAGGTACATAATTATTGACAGCTATATTATTGAGTCCCACTTGTCATTGTTTTCAATTTGTTTTTCTTTGTATCCTAATTAGCTAGCAATATTAGATTAAGTGTAAAAGCTCATTGAGCTGTAAATATTCTATGATTCTTTATTCTGTGGTTCTAGGGACTTCAAATCTCAATTAATCTTGCTCAGTTTGCATTTTCATCATTTACCCTATATGACTTACAAATTAGCAAGCAAAAGCAGATTTGGAGGCTTACCTTATGAAAAATTATAAAAATGGTTAAACCAAAAGTTTCTGACTATCATTTCAAATGAAAGGACAAATATTCTAGTAAATGCAGACGCCCAGTGATGAGCTCCACAAGGGAAGAGATGCTCTTGGCACATAAGCAGCTTGCTTTGTTTTGTCTGAGTTTTGCTTTGACTTATTTCTGTCTTCTTTTTCTTTCTAACTGACGTTCTTTTATTCTTTAGTCAAGTAGCATTTAGTGCTCACTTCCCAAATGTCAAGACTACTACCAATGGGTGAGGATACTAATGAGATGAGACATCATGGAGATCATGGTGGAGCGAAGGAGAAAGATAAACAAGCAAAGAACGCTTAGGAATTGTGATTAGATTCTAAATTAGTGACTGAGCTATATGTGACTCTGCTTTTAGTCTGCTTGCTTTTCAAAGTTGAAGAAATTGTAAACCATTTAAATCTTTTGTTAAGAGAAGTTCATCCCACTAAAATAGATTAAACACCTACTATGTGCCAGAGACTCCATCCTAGGCATTGGTGATTAGATCATGATAGATGATTAGTTGTCAGCAAATATTCATTCCTATTCCCACCTCTCCACCTCCACCGAAGGGACATGTTTGTCTTCTGCATGGATATGTTTGGCTTGGCCATGTGACTTTCTTTGTTCAATAAAATGTAGGCAGAAATGACATTGTGTCATTTCCAAGACTTAGCAGGCATATATATGGGTTTCTACTCATGCCTTAGGAAGCTTCTAACCTCTGCCATGAGGAGCTTGTCCTCAAGGTAGCCATTGCCTTTCTAGGTCATAAGATGGGATGGATGGGGCAGAGCTGCTCAGCCTGCAGCAGTAGAGCCTGAGAACAAATGCCACTGAGAGTTTGCATTTGGTTGTTCCTAGTGAAACCTAACACAGAGATGGGCATTACACCATCCTCAAGGAGCTAACATTCTGACAGATAATTTGCATATAAAGTGGTGAGTCTTGTTGGGAAGCGCTTTGCCCTGGAGATAGAAGCTGGTGACCAAGCTGAGTCTAAAGGTTTAAAAGTAGCCAACCAGAGAAGAGCTCAGAGTGAATCGGATTGAGCAGAACATTTTAAAATGTCCAAAGAGGGACCAGAGTATGCAAAGGAGCATAAAAATTACCTATTTTCAGGGCATCTGTGATAGTTATTTTTATATGTCAACTTGGCTGGGTTAAGGGTTGTCCACATAGCTGGTAAAACATTGTTTCTGGGTGAGTCTGAGAGTGTGTTTTTGAAAGAGATTGGCATTTGAATGACTAGACCAAGAAGACTGCCCTCACCAATGTAGGTGGGTGTCAACACATCTGTTGGGGGCCTGGATAGAACGAAAGTGTATAGCAAGGGTGGATTCACTGTCTCTTGAGCTGGGACATTCATCTTCCTCTGCCCACGGAGATCAGAGCTCCAGGTTCTTGGGAGTTAGGACACTAGGAATTATGACAGCAGCTCTCTGGTTTCTCCAACCTTCAGGTTCAGACTGAATGATACCACCAGCTTTCATAGTTTTTCAGCTTGTAGATGTCAAATTGTGGGATTTATCTGCATGACAGGATGGGGCACCCAAACTAGATGATCTGTGTGTCCCTCACGTAACGGGGTTAGCGGTTAGGGGATATAACTACCCCTTCTGAAAGCTCACACGTTTGTGTGCCAGGCACTGTACTAGATGTGTCACAGCTCATTTAAACCTCATAGTGACCCTACAAAGTAGGTACTATTGTTATCCTCATTTCGCAAATAAGGGAACTAAAGCAGAGGCCCTGATCCTGGTGTTTCTATGGCTGGTTCTGGGGGTGGGAGAAAGAGTGTAAGATGGAGGGTCGAGGGATGGACTTCTGGTCCTGGTGTCAGCTGCAAATTTGAGAATACCTTCAATCTTTCAGAGGATCTTCATAAAATGAAAACAGTAATGCCTGCCTACCCACAGGCGAGGCATGAGAGTACTTGGAAAACTCATAAATGACAGCACAAATGAATGGCACATCCCCTGACTCTCGATCTTAGGGACTTTCTACCACCGCCACAATCAGCCATAGGAACTAGGAGGAATCTATCTGCCTGTCTGTCTGTCTATCTATCTATCTATCTATCTATCTATCTATCTATCTATCTCTATCTATCTATCTATCTATCTATCTATCTATCTATCTATCTATCTAGCTATCTCTATCTATCTATCTGTCTATCATCATCTATTATCTATCTATCCTATCTAATCTATCATCTATCTAATCTATTATTTATCTATATATCTCTAATCCTATCATCTATCTTTCTATATCTATCTACTATCTACTATCTATCTATCTAATCTATCTAATATATGAAATATTGTATCATTTCACCCTTAATGCTAGGTTATGGCTTGAATCATAGAAATCATGAGGATGTCCAGTGACATTTATAGAAATGGAAATTTCAGAACTATGAATCCAATTGTGGCAAGGTTTACTTACACTTGAAAAACATTAAAATGTGTTTTATAAAAAGTTCATTGTTACATCATTCATTTGTCTTGAATAGCTTTTAATACAGTCAAATGAATGGTTAGTTTAATTAAATATAGGATTTGACTCCTGATTCCATTTACCTTGATTGATTTATAGTTTAATAAAAATGGTCACATAAAATGCTCCTATAAGCATAATTTAAGTCATAAAAATTTGATATTATCCCACTATCCTCTGCATAGGAGTGCTGCTATTTTTGTCACTAAAATTATATCGCTTACTCTAAAACCAATCACTTCAACTCCCCCAAATTCTACGTTCATGTGTGTGGGGGCGGTGTTCTGAACAGAACTGTCCAAAGCTTTCATCAAATAAATCAAAAAAAGCATCTATTTTCCCAACTCTTACTTTTGTTGCTATGTAGCCTCTTAACCTGCACCTATTCATGTATGCTTGTGTGGATATATTTTGAGCCACAAAATACAACAGGAGTTACTTTTAAAATACCATTTGTAGCCAGTATATGCCCTTCCTGTTAAGTTATTCTAGATTAAAAACTACACACATTTAGATAATTTACATTATTTTAGAAATGTGGCAATGACAATGAATAAAATATGCCTATGAGAAGGCTTCCTTTAGCAATGACTTTATTACTTATTGTGGTTATGAATAAAATGAAAAAGCTATTTCGCTATTTATGGTTGTGAGATCTTTGTCCCACTATAATAGGTGATATATAATTTTAATTATTAGACTGCTGAGATGATTCTGCAATTTTATGTAATTAGGCATAATATGAAGTTGTTAGGGGTGGCAGTTCCAATTCAGCAAACAGAGGCCTGAAGATCTTTGTTTTTCATACGAACTTTCAAACCAGATCTAGAGGCTATAGGACTATAAAAGGCAAATGTTTTACATATGCACACACACGTGTGTGTGTGTACACATACAGTTTTTAGAAATGTTTTATTTTGAAGTAATTTTAAACTTACAGAAAAGTTGCAAAAACTACATGGAAACTTTCCTTACATCTCTAATCTAGTTGCTCCTAATATTACAATTTTACATAATCATAGTCTAATTAAGAAAAGGGATTTAACATTGCTACAATTTCATTAACTAAAATATAGACCTCATTCTAATTTCATCAGTACTTTCTACTAATGCTCATTCTGTGTCCAAGGATTCTAGTCAAGATATCAAATTACATAAAATTGTTATTTCTGCCATATACCCCTCCTGTCTGTAACCATTCCACAGTTTTCCCTTGTCTTTCATGACATTGAAACTTTTTAAAAAGTATTATTTTATTTTTGTCTTAGTCTGTTTTGTGTTACTGTTGCAGAAAACCTCAGTCTGAGTAATTTATGAAGAAAAGAGGTTTATTTAGATCACATTTTAAATCATAGCAGGCTAGGGAGTTCAAGGGCATGGCCCTGGTTTCTGGTGAGGGCTTCCCTACTGCACCATAACATGGCAAAGGTCAAAGGGGAAGCAGATATGTGCAAAGAGAGAAAACGCGAGGGGTGACTAGTCTTTATAACAATTTACTCTTGTGGGAATGAATCCATTCCTGCGAGACCTAATCCGGTGACCCAAGAAGGAGAACTTACTCACTGCTATGAGAATAGCACCAAGCCATTCATGAGGGATCCATCTCCGTGACCCAAATGCCTTCCACTAGGCTGCACCTCTCAACACTACCACATTAGGAATCAAATTTCAACAGGAGTTTTAGTGGAGATAAACTCATTGTATATATTTATGGGTTACAATGTGATGTTTTGACACATGTATATGTTGCATAATGATTAAATCAGGTTAATTAGCATATCCATCTAACCTCCACAATTTATCATTTCTCTGTGGTAAGAACATTCAAAATATTTTCTTCTAGATATTTTGAAATATACATTATTGCCAACTATAGTCACCCTACATGCAGTAGATTGCCAGAACTTATTTCTCCTGTTGGATCAATTGTCCCATAAAATAACTGACCTTTGATTTTTATGGTTTCTTTTGAATAAACATAGAAATTGGCCCTCCTAATCTTGAAACTCAAGAGAGTTACATTTGTGTTACCTGAGTTCCTTTCTCAGGAAACCAACCACATGGGCCTCCGAGATAGTATCAAGGGATTAAAATCACCAGGTCACTGTATCTGGACAATGGGACATCAGACTCATCACTCATCCTGATGGCCTAAGTGACCACCTGCTTTCCTGTTGGCAAACTCCTCTTCCTTACCCATACCTAACTCCTTTCTTTCCATACATGGTTACATTTCTTTCCTTCTATATGAACCCCAGATTTTAGTTGGTCAGGGAGACAGACTTGAGACTGACCTCCCATTCTCCTTGGCTGCAGCACCCAATTAAACACTCCCTGGTAACACTCATTGTCCCAGCGATTGGCTTTCTGTGTGGTGAGCAGCATGACTTAGATCAAAACTCTGGCATTTTGGTAATGCTATCTAACTCTAATTTTGTACCCGTTGACCAATCTCTCCCCATTCCTGTTCCTTCTACCGTTCCCAGCCTCTGGTAACCACTATTCTACTCTCTACTATGACAAAAATAAACTTTTTTACATTTTTTACATTATCCTTCTATGGAAGGACAAACAAAGACACTTCAAGACCTTAACAGTCTTGAAGATTAGTCATTTCATAGGCACTCTCAGTTTGGGTTTGTCTGATATCTTCTGGTAATAAGAATAGGTTGAGCAATTTTGACGACACCAAAGAGATTGTGTTGTTTCCTCAGAGTATCATATTAAGGGATTAATGATGTGTATATGTCTTATTACTGGTGATTTAGCTAAGTGTGTGTCTACCAGGTTTCTCTAACATAAGGTTACTATCTGTTCCTTAGTAGTTGTTAATGATCTTGGGGGAGATACTTTGAAACTATGAAAATCTTGTTTCTCTGTAAGCTTTCACCCACTAATTTTAGTATCCAGTGATGCACTTCATTGGAAGATTTATTTCTATGATGTTTCCTGATGGTGATTCTTTATATGTTACTTTCTATTAGTCAGAATTCTACAGTGACAAAGAGCTATCTGTTCTCCCTTGTTAATTTACTTATTTATATTCCTTTATTCATTTACTCAAAGATTTGTTTCCGTTAGCATGAAGTCAGTAATATTTATCCCGTTTTTCTAAGTTGAAATCTAATTGTACAGTATTTGTTGTATTTCTCAAATTTTTCTATCTTAGGCCATTAGGAACTCCTTCAGGTTCGTAACAAGGCCTCCCTCCTTTTAATTTTTTGAGCTTCCTTATTTTCTTTTACCACCATATGATGCTCCAGGCTCATCTTGAGTTTCCTCTGCCCTAGTCCTGGAATTAACCCCCTTTACAAGAAGCCCTGGTTATTTTTATTGTGAATAGGGTTTAGAAACTGAGATCTGGGTGGTAGGTGTTAGTAGAGTGTTACTGCTTCTGGTCCTCTCAGTAGACAGAGCTAGGAAATATATGTATGTTTCATATACATGAACTCACTCATGCATATATCTATATGTGTATATCTCTATCTGTGTCTAGATACACTTAAAAAACAAAACTTTATACATAATTTTAAGTATATATGTGTGTGTGTGTGTGTGTGTGTGTGGTATGCCTGCATGTAAATATATTTATCCTTATAAATATATATATATTTGTTTATTTAACCATCAACTAATACAACATTTTTCTCATGAATAAAACCTATTTTCATTAAATGTTTTCCTGAGTGTGGCATGTGATATTATCCTCATTCCTTTCTTCATGTCATGACTCATGCCTGGAATAAATTTTCTTTTTCAAATCTGCCTACTGAAATTCTACCTATTCTTCAAGATTCAACTGCAATATTTCACTCATGAAAATATGTGTTATTTCTCTCTCCTTTGAATCCATTGTGTTTTCCTCATAGTTCTCATTTGGTTTATTTTAATTACATTTTTACTACTTTGTATGCCATTTGTTTAAAAGATAAACTTGAGTTTTAACTTAACGTACATTTTGTTATTTGTATATGTTTAGGGGATATTGTAGAGGACATCTTTTGTTTTGTTCTGCTCAGTATTCTTTTAAATACAGACTATCCCCTAACACTAATACAAACATACTTCTTGGGGCCTAGCAATCATAGTAGCCATCATCTGCTTTTCTCTGCTATTGCAAAGGTGTACATGTGATGTGGTTCTATTTGAACATGGTAATTCATTCCTCTTCCTAAGGCATATTTCAGAGTCAATCAGAACTCTCCATTGGAACTAATAGGAGGATACTGAGGATAAAAGTCTAGCTTGATTTTTAGCTGTAGAAATGTCAGCGTGGATATGGTCATTCTACCCTATCACTCTACCCTACAGAGATTTGTAAAGAGCTAAGAAAGTACCAATTATATTATTTGAGTACTTGCTGGAGAGGCAAGTTTCTCTGGACTTCCCAGATATGTAAGCCAGTAAATTTAAACTTTTTGCTTATGTTTATTTGAATTAGATGTCTATTACTTGAAAGACTGATACAGAAATTGGTACCAGGATATAGTATATTGCAAGTAATAAGCAGAAAAATATTGACTTCCCTGAGGTAAAGTAAAGCTTCTTCATTCCCAGCAAGGATGCTGTCAATCCTTGCTATGGGCACTAAAGGAGTGAATTAAGCTATTCCCTACTGTATTTTAGAACTCAGATTATGAGTGGACTGGAGGATAGAGCTTTAGCTCCAGAAGTAGAAAAATAGCAAGGTGGCCGGGCGCGGTGGCTCACGCCTGTAATCCCAGCACTTTGGGAGGCCGAGGCGGGCGGATCACGAGGTCAGGAGATCGAGACCATCCCGGCTAAAACGGTGAAACCCCGTCTCTACTAAAAATACAAAAAATTAGCCGGGCGTAGTGGCGGGCGCCTGTAGTCCCAGCTACTTGGGAGGCTGAGGCAGGAGAATGGCGTGAACCCGGGAGGCGGAGCTTGCAGTGAGCCGAGATCCCGCCACTGCACTCCAGCCTGGGCGACAGAGCGAGACTCCGTCTCAAAAAAAAAAAAAAAAAAAAAAAAAAAAAAAAAAAAAAGAAAAATAGCAAGGTGTTGTAGTGTGTTAACTAAATCCTGAGTCATTCCTTACACTGCAAGGAAGCAAAACAGCTTCCATTCAAGCTTGACTCTTTGAGAGAGCTAAGTGCACAGCACACGATTTTCTTAAAAGAGGGTACATCTTCCTATGACCAGCAATTCATGAGCTTTGAGATTCAGACTACGATGCATATTGTGAGATCACAATAATTGAATTCTCTGTCCCACATTGAAGCTAAATTTAGTAATTTAAAGGAAGTGCAAAGCAAAAGATGAGACATTGTTAAGAAAGAATCCCAAGAAATAAACATGCAGCCTCAGACTTTTCCCAAACCCCTCCTATTTTGTATTCTCTACCTGATATGGTAATGAACTATCACATTTTAAAGCATCATGCACTGAGATAGAGCCAAGGTGCAGGAAGCAATTCAGTACGCTGTCCTACCCCAGCCAATTATTTCATGTAGCTCTCTGTGAGGTGGGGAATAAGGCAGAGCATTGAGGTTGCAGCACAGAGCCCCACACCAATTGCTATGAGACAAAAATATCAACAACAGGAACTGGATGCATGGACCAAACATGTCTCGACAAGTTATCTAGTATCATTTTCTAGAGATAGCATCCATGATAGGTGCTGTGATTCACACTGTCCAATAATTACCTTGTTCAGTTCTTCTTTTATTTATACTTTTATCTCTGTGCCACGTACATCATTATTGCTTTATATCCTTTTGACTTGTAAATTCATCATCTCTCTTTTTCTGTTCATTAAAATTATCTTTTATTGCAAAAAAATTAGCCGGGCATAGTGGCAGGCTCCTGTAGTCCCAGCTACTTGGGAGACTGAGGCAGGAGAATGGCATGAACCCGGGAGGCGGAGCTTGCAGTGAGCCAAGATCGCACCACTGCACTCCAGCCTGGGCGACAGAGAGAGACTCCATCTCTCAAAAAAAAAAAAAATCTATATCTATATCTATATCTTTTATTGCAATATTTAATTTATACATATGCTCCACAGTGTTCTATTTATAAAATACAAGATATATTTTATTGTTTGTTCTAGGATTATTGTATGTGTTATTACTTAAGGGCTGAAGCCATTTGTTTTGTTCCTATTCCTTTATTTTTGCTTTCTCCTTTTTATTATTAGAAATATACTTTCCTATGAATCATTGCTCTAAGTTCAACTCTATCTTCTACAATATGTATTAATGTACAATATTATACACATTTCTATTACGTGTATATGTATATATTTCCTTTTTTAAACTACCACATTGCAGGAAATTAGGCAACTGGAATTACTAGTTTGGGGTTCATGTCTATTCTGTAGATTGTCATATTCTACAGTATAATTTGCCAGAAATAGATGGTGTTTTTCAGAGCTGAAAAACTCAAAGAAATATCTAATAGTCCATATTCTGATAATCACCATGAATATTGAAATGATTATTAAAATGTGCAATCAAGTATACAGATAAAGTTCAGAACTTTCCAATTTTCTAAGATGTTCTCTTCTGATAGTCAAAAGATAATCCCTTTGTTTACGTCGTCTCCATTTCTAAACTTGTCAAAGCACAAAAAGTGAATTTAAAAAGTTAAAAGCACAAAACAGACAAAAATATTATCATTAAATATTACTTTTTTAGGTCAACCCCATACCTCCATAATTATGAGTAAGTAACACACTAGTAAATAATTTGTGTATTTTTTCATGCCTACATTATTATTGTATAATTATTTTTTATAACTTAATTTCAGTACCATAACCAACTATCCAAAGGCATGATCATCAAAACCCAGATATACCACTGTATAAGATTATTAAAAGTGAATGATAGTATAACTGAAAATTATAGTCAGATCAGTACTGAAATGATCTGATATTTAAAATAAAGGTACATTATGAGTCAGATCTCTGCATATGAATTCCCTATTCTGTATCTTTGAACATTTGTTTCCAATAGATGCAAACAGATGTTTCTATAGATTTTCAAACATTATGCAATTCAGTCTAAGCATAATTGCTAATTGGTGTTTCTAAACATGACTTTTTGTACTACTCATGGTTTTGCAACTATGAAAACTGGTATTTATAACAGTAAATATCTATTGAAAATGTTCCTCTGTATACATAGTACAACTGTACTATGGCACAGTTTAATAGATTATTTTGATATTAGATAGACAGTATGTGCATCAATATACAAGAAGGTTCTTTTGATTATCAATATCTGCCATTATATATTTTCTATTTAACTATTTCTTTTTTTCTTCTAGTTCAGATAAAAAAATAGATTCATCAAAGTTTTTCTAATTGTGTTACTTGGAAAACTAAATTGATAGAATAGCGATAAGTATTACTCACAGAAGAGACTGTTATCAAAGAAGTTTAGGAAATTCTGAATTTAAAAATACATTAAAGAGAAGGATAGAACATTCTAATTTGTCTCATTTGTTTTAGCATAGAATCTTTTCTCATACAGTGATTGAACAACCTGGTGAGAACAATGTATTAGTCAGGGTTCTCTGGATAAGCGGAACACGTAGGATATGTGAAGATATACACAAGGAGATTTATTATGGGAATTGACTTGTGTGATTATGGAAGAGGAGCCAGGAAAACTGATGGTGTAATTCTCCAAGGTTGAAGGCCTGGGAACCAGTGGAGCTAATTTCTGAGAGCAGGAGATGAATGTCCCAGCCCAAGTAGAGAGACAATTTGCTCTTCTTTTTTGCTCTATTTGGCCCTCAGTTGATTGGATGGTACCTGCCCATTTTGGCAAGGGTGAACTTCTCTTTAATCAGTCTGATGAGCCAATGATAATCTCCTGAACACACCCTCACAGACACAGCCCAAATTTTTGTTTGATCTACTACGTGGGTATCCTTTAACCCAGACAAGTTGAAACATAAAATTAACCACCATAGCCAATGTTCTGAACAACAAACATTTTAAAGGTAGCATTGATTTTTATTCCAAAATTGTTCTAAAATGATTTCATTATATTAATAAGTTAATAATTTTATTTAAAATTTTAAAATGTTTATTTTAAAATGTAAACTAAAATATGTTATAGTTATCTATATCTAGTAAGCAAAAACTAGAAAAGCACTGAGTTACATTTTATAGAAAATTCCAAAACAGCCATTCCTTTCAAGAGATTATATTCTAGAAATATACTGCTATATATGATATATATAAACATAGTCTATATACATAGACTATGTTTTAATTTTTTAAAGTTATCTATCTGTATTTATAACTATAGTCACTGGAAAAAATAATTTGAGGAAAAAATGATTACTTCTGGAGAGATCACTTTGGAAAACATTAGTACATAGAGTAGGATTTTTCTTGGTTAAAAAGGGGGATATATTTTCATTAAATTGTATTTTTTCTAGAGTAAGACAACAATTCCTTTTACAGACAAATAATTTTAAAATAAATAAAATTCAGATTGCCTATTTTTTTGCCTACTGGATAAAGCCACTTTTAACATCTCAGTGTAATTTACTGTTAATATAGCTTGGTTCCAAATAAAACTGCATAACATATAATTTCTATTTTTCCCATTTAATTTTACAATTTAATTATAGGATGCATTATCATAAGTATTTACCAATATTCTTAATGCTATAATGACGTTATTTGTAGAAACAATGGATAACTATGGATATATCATGTTTTGTATTTTTTTTAACAGAGTTGTTGTAAAGACCATTTTTCCTCAATTAAGTTGTACAGATATTTAATGAGTTTATTAATTTCCTAGGGCAGCTGTGACAAAGTACCATGAACTGGGATTAACCACCTGAAATGTATTCTGTCTTAGCTCTGGAGGCTGAACGTCTGCTCTCCAGGTGTCATCAGGGTTGGCTCCCTCTAAGTGCTGTGGGGGTTATCTGTTCCATGCCTCTCCCAACTTCCAGTGGTTTCCTCAGCAACTTTGGAGTTCCTTGGCTTGTAGAAGCATCACTCTGATCTTTGCCTTTATCTTCATGTGCTGCTGCCCTCCTCTGTGTGTTCTGTGTCTAAATGTCTCTTTTTTATACGAACACCAGTTAGATTGGTTTAGGGCCAACCCTAATGATCTCATTTTAACGTGATTATTTCTGCCAACAGCCTATTTCCAATGAAATAAGGCTACATTCTGAGGTCCTGAGGGACTGTAACGTATATTTTTTGGGAGATAACATAACTCAGCCTTTGATAATGAATGCTTACATAATGCTAAAGAGTAAGCGAAGAAAGGAACTGTCTTCAAAGATCAAGAGGAGACAGAAGTAGGGGTCACAGTCTAGTTTGGGTGCAGGGAACTGCCCTTCCAGAGGCACGGAAGCTGGAAATATCCTAATACAACACACAAGCATCCAGCACATCATTTGCCTCATACATTTTCTCAATAAAAATCCATTTGTTTCTTTTTGTTTTTATTTCTTTACTTCCCTTCTCTTATTTTTCTATGGATCACACATATTCCATTCCTAGAATATAAAATCAAGGTGGAAAATAAGCTAATTTTTCTTATATTTTCTAAGCCACTTATCTATTAATATTACTGCTGTTCCTCCAATATGTCTTTGTTCTGCCTCAATACAAAAATTGAAACTATATCTTACTATTTTGCTTTGAATTATTTCAGAATATTTTATATTTAATAGATTTTGATTTCAGAATATAAAACGTATAAAATGTCAATTATAAGTTTTGTCATTCATAAAATTCATTCATGCCTTTAGTATGAAGAGTATAAAATCATTCCGTTGCTTTCTAACTTGAAATACTTTGTCATCTGTAGTACAACACACATGTCTTAACGTCAGAGCATTTCAGCCCTACTAAGCCACTCAAACCTGTACTGTACACAGCAATGCAGTTGTCTAAAGCTGTAATTCAACTTCATCACACTGCCACTATATAGCACATTTGTTCTAAATCATCTGCAGAAAAGTAGGTTTTAGGGAGGCATTTGGGAAAGAAAGTTCTTTTTAGAAAATTAGAAAAGTCTTCTAAATACTGTGATATTTGCGTAAATATTATCCGTCTATCTCAACCATTTTTAGAGGACAATTTTGAAATAAAATTTATTAAAATAACTTGCACCTATTTCTAAAAGCTTTATTTCTAAAAGCTTAAAAAGCCCCAATTTCTAAAAGCACCAATGTCTAAAAGCTTAAAACCTGGAGAATTTTAAGTAACTTGTAGTGAAAGTTTTTAAAAGTTATAAAATATAGCCACATACTAATTGATTTTGTTAGTTGTATTAGATAAGAAAAAAGGTTTTGTGGTTTTGTCCTCTATCTTTTCTAGCAAGTGTGCTTCTATTAGAATTATGTTGAGCAATCACTGAAAATTCCAGCTTTGCTGTCTTTCAGATATGCACCTAAGGTGGAATGTTAAAAATTAGTTCTAAAGGTTGAATAGAGGAAGGAATTCAATCAGACAATAACGTTTTGCTATTAGTGGCTATTTGGCTTTCAACAAATCAAAATAGATCGTATAATATACAACAATTTACTGTGCACTTATGATGCTACTGAAGGGATCAAATAGTAGAACACAAGTGACTTTGGGAACAGGAATATACAACTAAAGGCTGTTTTGATGATAAAACATCACCACTGCCCAAAGAAACCTTGCTCTCTTGGATTCTGTTGAATAATCAGAGTTAATAACATAATGGTAGCCACAGCTGACTGGAAGTACTATTCAGGCTGATTACCTGTGAATGCTCAGGTGGCTTTAGTTTTCATCTATTGCCTCTTTTGGAATAGATGGTATGGGCAGGGTCTGGGTGGAGGGTGGGTACAAATGAAGTCCTTTTGTTACAAGTCTGACGATAAAAATAAAACTGATTCCTCTTAGGGAATGGTGGGGCGCTGACTAGGTGGAGTTTCCACCTTGTTACCATATCTGTGTGGGTTTTTTCTAGTTTCCTTCCACATTGCAAAGATGTGCACGTTAGGTTTGTAGGTTTGTCTGAATGGGCCCAGTGTGAGTGTGTGTGTGAGTCACCCTGCAAAGAGATGTGACGTCCTCTCCAGGGCAGGTTTCTACCTTGTGTCCTGAGCTGCCAGAATAGGCTCTGGCCACCCAAGACCCTGAACTGGAATAACTGGGTAAATAATTATCTTACTTGTGCATGTTTATTTCAGTGTTTAATATTAGAAGTGTTTTGGTCCTTTATTTAGAAGTTTGGTGACGCTTTTATAGCCAGAAATATGCAATAGGAACTTAACTCCTGTTTATATTAATTAGCTGATGGTGAAATTGGTTTGATTATATGTCATTTTGCTAAAAGTTGCAGTTTTTAAGAAGCTATTCATGGCATTAAGTGAGGACTTAACTGTACACTGAGAATGGTACATGCTTGACCCTCTCACCTTCCAAAAATAGAACAGCCTCCCTAAAATAAAGCAACTTAGATAGACTGCATGATGATCAGAAATGAGCTATCCCAAATGATATGTCTCTGATGCAAACATGAGGCTATCTTGTTACAAGGAAATCATGCTTAAATACTCCATGTGGTCCTCCTGTTCAGAGAGCAAGAGACCAGAGAAGAAGCTATAACCTACTGCTTTTTCAGCTACTGTAGATAAACTTGAATTATGGGCACAATCTCTGAGCCGTTAAAAAAATAATAATAAACAGGGAAGATCCAATAGCATAAGGAATGACTGCTGAGTAGAATAGCTCAGGTTGTAGGTAAAAATGGGGTCAGAAAATAATGGTGCTGCTACGAACGGCATGGTATGACAATATTGCACTCTAGAAAGAAAGGAGTATACCCTAACTCAGGTGATTGCTTCATAAAGGGTTCTCTGTATTCTCTGTATTTATATCCATTTTGGATGAATTGAAGTGCAATGGTGCTGAAGGATACTAAAAAAAAAAAAGATTTTTTTTTTGCAAGATGCTGAAGGTGGTGAAAATTTGAAAATGCAGAGCTTAGTGCAATGACTGGCACATGGTCATGCTTAACTGATTGTTGTTAACAGTACCAATACAATGATACATGATTGTATTTACAGGGCAAAGTTGTTGCATGGCTGAATTCATCATTAAAGTTAGAAATAGATCAATTCATTGAAAATGCAAGTAAACCAAACCATCTTCTCATTCATATGTCCTAGTTTGCTGTGAAATAGTCAAAGTACTTGTATACAAATTGTTTAATCTCACTGTGTAAAATGCTCCCTAGTTTTTACCTGAAATACATGAGTATAGTAATATATATTATTTCTGTAGGATGTGTATAGTCTTTATAAATTATGCAAAATCTGTAGCTAGCTAGCTATATTTAGTATGTCAAATATAGATTTTCTTCAATTTCAGGTAATATACTTAAAAATAAATTCTATCAAACCTGTTACAGTAGGCTATGAAACATTAATTTTAATTCTCATCTTAGGTTGCAATATCTATTTTTAATGTTTATAATTAAAGAGATAAAAGGTAACTTTTAAAATGCAGAGTGATCGTCATTATTGCCATTTTCTCCATTTAAAATGATAATCATTTGTTTAATCAACATTAATCTTTAGAATTTCCCTGATTAGTAATTGTTTTAAAAAAAATATTCTAAAGATGCATGCTTCGTCTCTAACCAGATGGCAAGAGAGGGGAATAAAATCTAATTATTATGTAACTTTATTTTAATATGCCTCTATTTTATTAAAGTAATAACACATTTTATTTATATGAATTATGCTCCTCTGCAAAGTTTATATATTCAAGGTTTTCTTAGGCATTAAGAGGTAAATGCCCACGTTAATATTATTTATTCATAATGGTTTTCCTTTATGTAAGTACAATTAAAAAGATTTGTCACTGATCTGAACATTCTACAAACACCTATAAGAAAAATATGTATTCATTATTAAACATATTCTTTACTGTAGTCTTCATAATTACAATACTTACAATGAATTCAAAGAAAAGAATTGATCCTGTCTTCCATCACTCATTTCCAATCACTGGCCAAATTTACTTTCTCTCCTGGCCAGCATCCAGTTCTTTCCTAAGTCTGCTCATATATTGTCCTTGAGTTGCAATATCTAAAATTGCTATAGTCACTTCAGATGCCTGAACTCTAATAACGTTTACTCTACTCTTTATCTCTGTATTTTGACCATAAGCCTTATTAGTGATTTCAATCTTTTAAACTTTCTAAGCCAAAGTAATTCTTTTTCCCTTTTTTTAACCTTCCTATGGGAGCAATAATTTCCTATTTCATAATTTTATGCTAGTTTTATATTATTATGTATTTATTCTTCTCTAATATACTTTGAAGCACTGATTTTGGATGAAATTAAATTTGATCTTTATGTATTGTCATTTGAATAGTGAAAGTTGGTATCATTTGTTGCTCTCTTTCTATTTTTTTTGAGATGGAGTCTCGCTCTGTCGCCCAGGCTGGAGCGCAGTGGCGCATCTCGGCTCACTGCAAGCTCCGCCTCCCGGGTTCACACCATTCTCCTGCCTCAGCCTCCTGAGTAGCTGGGACTGCAGGCGCCCGCCACGACGCCCGGCTAATTTTTTGTGTTTTTAGTAGAGACGGGGTTTCACTGCGTTAGCCAGGATGGTCTCGATCTCCTGACCTCGTGATCCGCCCGCCTCGGCCTCCCAAAGTGTTGGGATTACAGGCGTGAGCCTCCACGCCCGGCCGGTGCTCTCTTTCAAGACTTAATTTCTTTCAACTACAAATATTGTTTTTCTCCACTCTAGTTCCATTTAAAATATTCTACATGGAGTATGTTTATGCTCCTCTTTGTAGGTGAATATACTTTGTTTGCTTTTAAATGCAGCCTCCTGAAATCCATAAGACTGCCTGCAATTCTTTCTAAAAAGGCATCACTAAAAATCCAGTATCTTCTAATGAAAAACATTTCCTACACCTTTGTTTTCACGGAACTTGTATCACCAATTATATCACAGTTTTTTCAGCCAATACTATTGTTTTGTTTTACATAAACTGTATACCAGAAATATGAGATATAGAAAAATAATAATTTTGAAAGACATGCCATTGAATTGTGGTTGGACAGTTCATCTAGTTCAAATACAAAGCATCCATTATTTGAACACAATGCTTAAAAAATATTTTACTGAGAACTAGGAGACTGTTTGTTCCTTATAGAAAGAGGTTATTATTAATATCCTTTTTTCTCTAAAGAATATAATATAATGAATGAATATGAGTAAGTACTACAGTGCAAAATGAAAAGACACTGCCTAAGAGAACATCTTGTAATCACTCAATCTATGATATTTTTGTTATCTTTCCTACATTACACAGGGTGTGTGTGTGTGTGTGTGTCTGTATAAAATGTCATGGATTCATATTAAATTAATCTGGCAGACTAATTTGTTGGGGGACTATTTTCTTGACCAGGTTTTCAATATATTTGTAGAACATAAAATATACCTATGTATATACACACATTTCTATATATTTGATATATTTTGCTAAATAGATTTTAGGTAAATCCTAAAAGAAGATAGAAATGTATTTTCCTCCACATTCTGTCCAGTCCTGGCTGGTTGGACAGTTCTCAAGTCTGTTAACATTCAAGCCCTTCCATCCGTTGAGTCTTCATCCTCAGGTTCTTGTGGTCTCTGTGTGTTCAAAGCTGGTTGCTCTGAGACCTGAAACCCTGAAATTCTGTGTTGTAAACACTGAGGCCACATTTGGATGAAGGAAGTCCCATTAGAGGAGGAGAAGTCAATGAAAATCTAGCCCCATTCCACATTAACCTGAATGGGAAGAAAACCTTATCTTTGAAATTTATTTTTTCCCAAAGCTTTTATTTTAAAAGTAATATTCTGCTTTAAAACAGTTTCCAAACAAGTAAAATAGATTATTATCTACTTCAAATACAAAGCACCCATTATTTGAACACAATGAATGAGTCTTCAGAAGAGGAGTGTTTTGATTGGACTGAGAGGAACAAGAGAGGCTTTTATGATTGGAGGTAAAGTCCTGATCTAGGAGGTGCTGCTCTCTGCTAGATGTGGTCCAGGAGGGCAGGGAAAGAAGTTGAATTTGAGGATTTGTACGCCAGAGGTATCAGCAGGATTTTGTTGAAAAGCCATATTTCTCCATGTCTTCCCCATTCAGACGGGAGTCTTGAGTAACGTGGGGAGCCCGGATGACAACTCAGTGCCTGGGTGAACCAGACCTGGCAACAGAGCGGTGCAGAGACCTAGGCATGTTGGAGTTGAACATGAAGGTCCAAAAAACACCTTTTTGATTTATACCATATGATAATATCAGATTCTTTGAAAGTTGTGGCTCTCGAACATTGACTTCTCAGTATGAAAGCACAAAGTAATTTGGATGCTTTCAAATGTTTGAAGGTTTCAAAGAATCTGGAAATTTTCAGATTCTTCCAATTCAGTATTTATAACATATCCTTCTGTTTCCTAGTTTGGAAACAGAATTCCTAATTCTTCCCCACTGAAAATTTAAGGAAGGTAGGAAAAGAGAAAAGAGGAAGAGGCAAAACATACTTGCTTCTACCAAAAGTCAAAAACATGTATTATTTAAGTAATTTCTAAATTATTAGATATTTCGATCCCATATTCTCTCTTACATTACTTGTTACTCTCAAGAAAATGAACTATTATATATAAAAATGTGCAGTTAACATTTCACCAGGTAATACATTTCTCTTCAACAGCTGTTCCTTTAAATATCTGACGTTAAGGATGGGATTGGGGATGGGCAACATATAGGAACGTTCTCAGGCAAATAGTGATCAAAACGACACCTTGATTATGGATAGAGCTTTTACAGAACTTGTCTTTGGTGGGCACGATAACAAATTTAGCCACCAAGCACTGGTATTGCTGAAATCTTGCTGTCTGGCCCCTATAGGCAGAGCAAGTGCCTTATACAGGCAGCTAGCTCCTAGAAAGAAAAATAAAAAAAAAAAAAAAAAGAGGGACTGAAATGAGCATGTTCAATTTCTTTACGCAAATTCTTCAATCTCATCAGCCGAACTAGTCGCTTTTTGTATCCTATGCAGGAATGAGATGCCAGAGAGGGACTGGGATTCTTAATTTAGCCGAAGATTCCTCCACATCGAAGGAAACATCAGGAATATGAAGTATATATTCTTCTGCTATGGTTTATGGTCTAAATTATTTAATCAACAGAAATTTCATGTGATTGCCATTGTTTCATGAGGAAACGTCGGTTTCATTAATGAAAGGAAAGTCTTTTTCAGCTATTTGAGTTCATTGTGTAAAATCTTTCTTTTGGGAAAACATTCAGGGCTTGTAAAGTTGTTATAGCTTACAGTTATGTATGGAATTTCTTTTTTTATGGAAAAATGAATAATATTTTTTCAGTGCAACTGTATTTTAGAAATATGAAAAGAATTGCTTTTTTTGTAAAACTTTAGGTTTTAAAATTATGCCATTAATTTTGAGGGAATTTCTTTTTTGCTTTAAATAATTGATCTCTAATGAATTATTTTTTAAATGAAATGATATTTTTAATCAAAAATGGAATAGATCTTTTACAAAACATGAAACAATATAAAAAGGTTTTAAAAAACAAAATGAGTAGAAATATAACCATTTGGAGGTAACAGCTAACATTTTGCTTATATTAATATTTAAAAAAAAGAGAAAAGTTTCTTACCATCATCTTTTTTTAAAGCATCAACTTTTTTTTTTTTTAGAAAAAGCACATGATATGGAGTTATTGGTTATACTAGCAAAAAACTAATGACACCTGATTTAACCATTTCTAGATCCTTGATGAAAAACGTGGAAATAATTCACAAATTAAAATTATGCAAAGTTTTGCCAGGCCTAAAAACCCAAAGAAGTGTTCCTGGTTTAGAGTTACATGATAATAGCTTATAGGATATGTTGGAAGCAAATTACAAGGTACTAGATATATAGTTACTAATTTAATTATATGCATGGCATTGAAATAAATGTAAATACTTTAGAATACACAAACATCAAGACTGTTTATTGAAGGGTGAACCTAAAGAAGCAATATATAAAGTTAACTTGAGGTCCTTCAGTAAGTAATTCCATTTTCTGGAATGGCACTGCTGACTAAAGATGTTCATATATTCGAGATTATAATGGTTTAAAAATAAAGTATTTTTTTCTACAATATGTCATGCTTATGATTTTAAGTAAGTGAGGTTATATTTATTATTTATGATCCTTTATAGTATGTTAAAATGCTGCATATATTATTTCTATATGCATCTTTGGAAAGTTTATATATACAATTTTCCAGTAAAAAAATAAATACCGCCCTATTAAGTTAAGCCCACAATAATCTAAAACATCTGCCATTAGTGGTGCCTTGATTACTGTTTTTAATCAAAGATTCCCAAGCAGTATCATCAAGAGACGTAAACAAAGATACTGAATATAATCTCTCCACTCTTTTCTTTATGGTATGCATTAAAAACAAGTGAGACAGCAGCTGATAGAAAATAATTTGAAACATTTCTCTGAATTGTCCTAGAAATATCACAACAGTTATTCTCATTGGTTTCTTCTCTAATTTGCAAATTATTCATAAATTTTATGGGGGGTGGCGTGCAGGCTTATTTTGCAAGCTAGCCATTAATGATTCGTCCTCATTCTGCTTACTCTTCCTTTCTCTGCGGCGCTTAATGATTATAGTCTGTTTCATCACATTGTAGCCTGACATTTTCCTTCCTTATGTTGCTGCTTTTGAAAACTGTAACTCCTCGCATTTATTTTACTTATTTTTCAAGATAATTTCAGCAATATGGTTAGAAATCTATTAAATATTTATACAGAATATTAATTATTAATTTATGTTAAGCAAAATCAACTTAACATTTCCTCTCTCCTCTGGCCTGATATGTTGGTTTTCCTCCTGGACAGTTCTATCCACTCTATATTTCCCCAGCTGGGCATGCTATCCACAATGATAACTCCCCCTGAAGTGATTACTGCGCCTCCTTAGCTTTTCGTCAAACCTATCTCGAGAACTTCAGAACTATATTTAAAGCTCCCCCTAGATCCCACAGGGACCTCAAACTCAGCATAGCCACAAAGCATTGTCTTCAAGCCTGCACCCTCTAATTCTTTGTCTTGCCTTAAATCTGTAACACCCTCATGCCCTTCTCTGATGGTGTCATTTTAGGTAGATGACCATTTCCTTCTTAGTAAAAGATAAAAACATAGATGCTAGAAGCAGTTGTGATTGGAGGACATTTCTGGAGGTTTTACTTTCTGTGGCTGTTATTGAGGTGCCAGCCTGGTTGCAGGGGTTGCTACTGAACTCAAGAGCTTGTATTCTAATGCCCCATAGGTCTCATTCTCTACCAGTAGCAGACGTCACACTGATGTGTAGCCCCTTCACTCTGCTCTCCAAAAGAAGCAACATTTCCTGCTTGGAGAAAGATCGTTTTTAAGGAACATACAGCTTCTGAAAAATTATCCCCGACATTTTGTGCCATTTTATTGTGTACCAGTCTTCTGATTTTTGTATTTTAGCATTTACTGGAGAGAGATTGTAATAAACAGCTGGTTTCAAACAAAGCCCAAATGGCTACGTAGGCTTTGCCACATGGAAGGATTAGAAAAATATCTTAGAAGAGTTCATAGGGAACAGGGTTTGAAGAAAGTATTTGCAAAGTAACACGACCTCACCCATTTCTCTCTTCACTGCCAGTAAGAAGGGAGGTTGCTATTAATCCTTATTCACTCTAAAGATCATATTGTCTGTGAGAAGCAGAGTCTGGCATCATTATCTGCTGACTGCCAATACCTGTAAATGCACATACTCACCATGAGTGCAAAGTAAAACAGCACTGGGACATTGAGAGATTACATGGTGAGTAGGAAAAGGCAAATAACATTCCTTGCAGGTATTGATAGGCAGGTGAGGTCGCCATTTATATGCTGGACTCTAGAAAAATAAAGGCAAGTATGGGCTGGATGGTCATCTCATGATATATTTCATCTGATCAAGGCAACCACTGATTCGGACTATGAGAGGCAAATCGGTACACCTCTCAGGGTTGACTTTGACAAGGCACATGCTGAAGACCTGAAGTCTGCATCTAAGGTACGGTATGAGGAAGCCGCTGCTGTGTAGTTGCAGTACAGTGGAATTCAACAACTGCCTAGCGTTAGGGAGGGAAACAGCAACAGAGAAGGACATCACAAGCTGACCACTGAAGTGTGGTACCTAAAAGGGGGCATTAGTGAAAGTAAAGAGAAAGAGTAGAACAGAAGAAGGAAAGGAAGCACACCAGACTCCCCGAAACTCTGTAAATGCTTTTGAGGAGAGCGTTTTTTAACTTTTCACTCTTTAGCCCTTACTGGAGTTACTACTTATGGTGGTTCTCATAATCCCTGGTCTTCAGAATACAAAGACAATGGATATTGGTAAGTAAGGCATTCAATGTCCTTCAAAGAATATCTCATAAAAGTTATTTACAGGGGAGATTTCTCCAGACAAAGCATCAGGTCTCACTTTGTAGGTGAAATTTTATTAGGTAAAATAGAATTTTCCAAAAAGTATGGCAGGCAAGGGAACAAAAGAAAGAGAAACTAGTGATTTTAAATTCCTCTCTACTTAATAACAGATTGTTTACTTCTTTTGGGGGCAGGTTCAGCTCATATGATGGCACTGCTCTCAGTTTGGCTGCTGCCAGCCTCCTTTCCTAATCATGATAACTAAAAAGTTAGCTGTGACTGGCCACCAATATCTCCCTTGCAGGGTTTTTTTTTTTTTTTAACTGTGAGATATTAACCCAACAATTCAGAAATGCATTGCAGAAAGACGTGTAAGTGATAAAGAGGGCCTGCTTATTTTCTGATTATGATCTGCATGTCATCTGTTTCTGGAGAGGAACAAGATACAATACTGAGAAATGAAAGGTATTAAAATCTAAGTGACTCAAACTCTACACCCTTAGGTAATGTTGATGAGAATAGTGACTTTATTTTCTGAGTTTATTTAGAGAGCTCTTACTAAGGGAGATATCCCTCTTTTTGTAGCAGTCAGTCCCACTATCAAAAATTAATTTTCATGCAACTCATTTCTTATTTGGATGTATAATTTCCTCTTGTTCTGCTTGTAGTGGAAGAACAAACCCGTTGGTCACCCTGTTTCCTTTGAAGGCCTCTCTTGTCACATGACTTTGCTGGATTCCCTCCACTAACAGCCTTGAGTACTCACTGCCCTACCCCTCAATGTCCTGTTCCCCTCCTCAACCCTGCCTTGAAGCTAGTTGCAAGTTCATTATTTTCTTCTATCTTATGGACTCTTGCATTGGTTGCTAAGTAACTTAGACATAAAACTGCTGCATATTTAGGTTCGGTGTATAGATTATTATAGTAAGAATTTATAGCTATAGTCCTGCGACTACATTCTGACCTCGGGTTTGTTTTTCATACAGTCACACTTTTAACTTATACTATCCATCACAGCTTACATACTTTTGCCATTCTACCTGAAATTTTATCTGGTAGAATAACAAGAAATCCAAATAAAGTACACTTTTTATCCAAAATGCGATGCATTATTTTTCCTGCCTTTGAATTAAACTAATTGTTTAACACGACCACTTCTGTGAATAGTGAAAAGGGCTGTTTCATCACTCTCGAAGCAAAGCCCAAGTAGTAAAAACTAAAGGTACCATCTAAGATATCATCAAATCTCGTCTTCAGAGCTTGTCCTTAAGTGTTACCAATATTAACATTACAGGATTTACATTTTAATTTGAAGTTTTAATATTGGGCCATTTAAAAGCACAGAATGACTACCAGCTTAAGCATCCCAACATACTTCCTGCTTTTAAGTAACCTTGATAGCTGGAATAACTCCTGGAATTTAGAGAGGTGGATACTCTGAGTTCTGTTATTTTCTAATGGGAGTGTTTTTCTTTTAATTTATCCTTTTAAAAATCTGCAAGATATGGCCGGGCGCGGTGGCTCACGCCTGTAATCCCAGCACTTTGGGAGGCCGAGGCAGGCGAATCACGACGTCAGGAGATCGAGACCATCCTGGCTAACACGGTGAAACCCCGTCTCTACTAAAAATACAAAAAATTAGCCCGACGTGGTGTTGGGCGCTTGTAGTCTCAGCTACTCGGGAGCCTGAGGCAGGAGAATGGCGTGAACCCGGGGGGCGGAGCTTGCAGTGAGCTGAGATCGCGCCACTGCACTCCAGCCTGGGCGACAGAGAGCGACTCCGTCTCAAAAAAAAAAAAAAAAAAAAAAAATCTGCAAGATATGATGGTGTCTTAAAGCCAACAATCAACTGAAATAAATTTAATTTGTTTTAGTTCCTTTGCCAGAAATAAGTTGATTCCTTAGTCATTTACGTGCATTGATTATAAGATAATAGCAAAACCATTTCTTACTTTGAACACTTTGTTGTCAGTAATTGTTATGTGTCGTATCTGAATAGTCTGAAAATAATTAGTTCTGTCAGAAGGGGCTCCTTCATACAGTCTTGCTTCCCACACCTGATGTATGAGAGGAGACAGGGGTTAAAGGAGACAACCAGCTTGGGTCTCTCTCACATATTTTTGCTTCAGTTCTTCTTGGAGGCAGTAATCCATGCCCGCCTCTAGGTAACCAACCCCCAAAGAATGTATGTTATGCCTGGGATAACAGCAGGACAAAATAACTCACTTTACTTCTTTTTGTATTAACTTATTTTGGGATTTTCCTATACCCTCCACACATATGGATAATATATTTCACTGGACATGTGTAATTTACTGAGCTTTGTTATTACTATGAAACCCAATTATTATAGAAAAAGAAAGATTGCTCCCATAAATACTCTCATGCTAACCTTATTTCAGACTAGCACTGCAGGTACTGTGCCAGGTATAATACGTTCTTGGTAGGTGCAAGGTAGGAGGAAATTTTTTCTGATGCGAGATGCTTACACGGCCAAAGAAATACAGGAAGCAGGTTGTGGCATTTTTGTGTTTGCTATTTCTTTTGATTTGTCTTACTAATGGTAGAGTAGTGAATAGATAATGAAAAGTTCGAGTAACAAGAATAGTTGCATATTTATTAAATAGAAGAGTGGGTGTGGTGATTTAAAAATACCTGTTAAATATTGGGTTTTTGAAATCAGTAGTTTGAAGAGTCGTGCAACTAAGAAGAGCTGAAATGTGTAGTTACATTTATAAACAGAGATTGAAATACATTGTATGTTTAGAAGTATCTTAATCGATATTTTAAAATATGCTTTCTAAGTTTTGTATTTGCTTGACTATGTTGTCCCACAGTCACACCGCATGTGTGGTTGTATAGATTGTTGAATCTTCCTGGAAATGTTTGAGTACTTTGTTCTTTATACTTTTAATTGCAGCAATTTAAGTATGTATATTTTATACATAGCTGCTTTTTAATCGTATGTATTAATTGCAACAACTCAAGAATTAAATGTTCTGTAGGATTTAGAATGTAACATATGTTCAAGAGGAACCAAAGGAACATAGAATCCTGCACGTATTTCCTCCAGCTTTTTATAAAGCAAAGCTTCAATTTTAGCAGTACTCATTGCCCTCTGGTTGCCTGTATGAAATTTCCTATAGTAGATAGTAGTGTTTTTTTCTTTCTTTTTTTCTTTTTGACGGAGTCTTGCTCTATCGCCCAGGCTGGGGTGCAGTGGCACGATCTCGGCTCACTACAACCTCGGCTTACTGCAACCTCCACCTCCTGGGTTCAAGCAATTCTCCTGCCTCAACCTCTCGAGTAGCTGGGATTACAGGCGCCACCATGCTGGCTAATTTTTGTATTTTTAGTAGAGATGGGGTTTCACCATGTTGGGCAGGCTGGTGTCGAACTCCTGACCTTGTGATCCACCCACCTCAGCCTCCCAAAGTTCTGGGATGACAGCCTCCCAAAGTTCTGGGATTACAGGTTGCATAAGCCACCACCCTGGCCAGTGGGTTTCATATATATATATATATATATATAATGGTGTGATTACAGGAAGAAATTAATTCTACTTTATATTGTTTACTGTATTCTCCATTGTCCCAAAGCAGAAAGTGTGAGCTTTACATACATTGTAATTATGGATGCTTTTGTGTTTTTATTACTTCCAAAATTTTTCTAGGGAAACAGGTGAATATTTCTTCAATGTCAACTCAAGCAAAATTGGGAGCAAGTGATACACACCCATTTAAAAACCAAGCTGAGAATGGAGTTTTACCTCTTCCCAAAATATCAAACAGAGGAAATTAGAAAGGAGACTCTTCTGACAGAACTTACCCCTGAGAGTAAGAAAACACCTTTCTTTATAGCCAACTACTTACCAATTTATGCAGAATAAGATACTGAGTTTAAACTTGCCTAAATCGTAGAATAATCTTAAATAATGAGAGACATTTTTCTAGACCTCCATTGCTAAATTATCAACTTTGGCTTTGATTCAACATTTCTTGTTACAAAGGCAGTATTAAGAGGATTTTGTCTTGGAAAAAAAATATATATATATTTATATATATTTTATATATTATTATATATTTATATATATTTTATATATTATTATATATTTATATATATTTTATATATTATATATTTATATATATTTTGTATATATTATATATATTTATATATATAATATATATTTATATATTTTATATATATTATATATATTATTTTATATATTTATATATATTTTATATATATTATATATATATTTATATATATATAAAATATATATATATATATAAATAATATATATAATATATATGGACATCAGTGGCCCAAACTGGGACTTTGTTTTTTTTTTTTTTTAAAAAAAAGAAGAAACAATTGGTTGTGAAGGGACTGCTAGAAGTGAAGGAGAACAAAGCTCTGCTTCCAGTTTGTTTTCTGAGAGCTGGTACATCCATTATTCTTTGGAATAACGGAAGATGATCCATTCTAATGGAAGAGTAGAGTTTGAGTTCTTCAGAGCCATGCCTGAGGAAACCCAAGACAGACTGCATTGAAATGGCCCACACTGGGCTGGATGAGGGGCCTCTTGTACAGAGATCACGATGTGCTGAAGACTAGTTTTTCCACCCATTTCTGAGACACATAGTTCTCTTTCCCCAGACTTCTAGTGGATTTGGTGCTCATACACAACTGAGATTGTGAGACCTTATGATCAGAAATAATATGACTTAGAAAAGTAAAATAATGTGGTATTTCTAATAATGTGATATTTCTATCTCCTTAGTGTTTGGCAGAGTAAAATAAATACTAATTATAACTTCTATTAGGGTTTGATCAGAGAGCTATGACTCTATGAATGACACACAATAAGCAATTTATTATAGGAATTAGATGTTATGTGATTGTGCGCTGGTTAAGAAGTCTATGCAAAGCAATTGACCTAGTATCTGACTGCAAGGCTGTTACAGGTAACAGGTGACAGGTTGCAGGTAAGCCAGGTTGGCAGCTGAGACATGCAGTGAGTCCTAAAAATCACACGCACTGAAACCTATTAAGATGAATTAAAATCGATAAGAACAAACTGAAACTTACATGAATTTCTCACCATCTTCAACCCAGGTGATGTCGATGAGCTACAGGAGAAGCTGGCAGCTTTCCCCACAGAGTTGGACACACACAGGCTCAGGACTCAGAAGTGAAGAAAGATTCCGTGGGGTTGGAAGAGCTGCAGGCCTGGATGAAGTCCCCAGAAACAAGGTGAGTGGGCAGAATGTATGTGAGCTGTTCTAGGGTCCAACCCCCTACACTGAACTTTAGTGTGTGAAACTAACATTTGGTGACAAGCAGAGCCCCAGGCAAAAATGTTGCTAGTGGATTACCAGAAGTAATAGAGAGAAGGACCACTCTTTGTTTCTACCCCTTAATATCTAGATCCTCAGACTATGGCTATGGGGGAAACATTGTATAGCTTTTGCTGACTTAGAGCATGCTCCACTTCCTGGACAACATTATTCCAAGCTCACAAACTGTTTCCACTAGCTAGCATGGTAACCAAGTCTTTAGAAGTCCGTTCCACTAATATATCAGGTCAGCTACATGAAGGTGATTTATTGGAGACATAAGACCAATGAATTTCGTGCGCTGGGCCCCATTTTTTTTTTTTTTTTTTACTTCATTTGCTGAAAATCTAGTTCCTTGGTCAGAAGCAATACTATGAGTAATATCAAGATAAAGACATTCTGTAATTTCAAGGATGACAGTTTTAGCAGAATCATAGTGGATAGATAGAGAAGGAAAATCACATCCAGAGAAAGTGTCTATGTTAGTGAAAGCAAAGATTTGCCCCTTTCATGATGGAAATGGTCCAATATAATCAGCCTGCGGCCAGAGGCTGGCTGAACCCCTCCCCCAACCCCTTCCCATGGGAAATGTTGTTTTATTGAAACTTAGTGGTGTCTTATTGGCAAATTAGGTTTCAACATTGGCTGCAACTAGATTGGCTGGGTGCGTGGAAGTCCATGTTTCTGAATCCATGTTATTTCCCTACCCATCACACAATGGCCACTTTTATAACAATCCTATTGGGCAAACATAGGATGTTTCCAGAAACAATGAAAACTGGCATCAAAAAATATGTCATCTGGCCAGGCATGGTGGGTAGCTCATGCCTGTTATTCCAGCACGTTGGGAGGCTGAGGCGGGCAAATCACCTGAGGTCAGGAGTTCAAGACCAGCCTGGCCAACATGGTGAAACCCTGTCTGTACTAAAAACACAAAAATTAGCCAGGCTTGGTGGTAGGCGCCTGTAATCCCAGCTACATGGGAGGCTGAGGCATGAGAATCGCTTGAACTCAGGAGGAAGAGGTTGCAATGAGCCGAGATCGTGGCACTGCACTGCAGCCTTGCTGACAGAACGAGACTTCGTTAGAAAAAAAAAAAAGTCATCTGGTCCTTTTGATTATTATGCTGATCCTCTGTTCAAATTTCTCCTTGGTAAGAATTTGCACAGGGCACAAATGTATTCAGGTTTCCTTTCAATTCAGAGTTCTATTCTCATCCTTCTTTCTGGGGCCTTCTTGTTAACAATTTTCTGATGGTAATTTTCAATTCCCTTTTCACTCATTACCAAACCGTTAGCTACTGCATGAGCATCCATGTAGATGGTTCCTCTGCCCATGCCTCCTTGAAGGCAAAGTGAATGACCAGGTACGCACCAGGTTCTGTCCACCAGGAAGTGCCCTGTATTGAGCACTGCCTGGAGTGGGGCTGTAGCACTTCAACTTTCTACCTGGAGTTACTGTAAGCATATCATGTTGCATTTTCTGCAAATAGGCTCAATTTTGCTTCACCTGTAAACTGTTTATATAGTTATTTACTTACAGGTTGGTAACAGGTATACAGGTCATGGGCATATGAACAATTTAGTCATGCAACTTATTGTATCTTTAGGACAAGCTAGAGCTGAATTAGCATATTATACTTTCATTTGATAAGGAGTCTGGGTTATTTCTCTATGGAGCTAAAAAACACTTGGTCCAAGATTCAGAGAATATGTGTAGTGAGACAGAATGGGAGTTGGAGAAGCTATGGCCCATGCCAACAAGGTGAAATAGCAGATCTGTGACAGTGACATGAGCTACCACAATGCATGGCACTCTGTGCAGACCTTCACAACATTAACAAATTGCTTTTCATGTTTACTATGTTTTATTTCTTTGGTATATTACATGTAAGTTGCTGCTGCATTTGTTTCTTTCTAAATATTTTCTTTCTCAATTTTCTTTATAAAACCATTTCCACTTTCCAAGAAGAGGCCAATGTTATATGCATCAGATATTCCACTGCCGTGCCATTATCGTGGTAGATTGCAAGACCCAGTGCTGTATAGAATGTTATTGACAGCAAAATACCACACAGTGTCTCCCAAAAGATGAATGCTAGTTTTCCTTTAGCCAAAAGCAAAGTGGAGGGATTCGATTTCCAGAAATAACATCTGAAGTCCTCAACAGAATAAATTTCTCCAAGGCAATACATATTGCAGTAAATTTCTGCCATACTGAATGCCAAAATAGGTTATCTTCCGGGGACTTAAACCATACAAGTCTGCCTGTCAGACTGTTGTCAGCAATAAATAGGTCCTCACTGCCCTTTAATACATATTCAATATGGCAGGATGGTAAACCAAACTCCTGCTTGCCCTACCCAAGAATTTCAGCACTGAAAGGAACAATAGGAATTTTCAACCTCAAGCCTCTCATTTTCAGTTGGAAAACTGAGACTCATCAAAGTGAAACGGTTTGCTCAGCATTAGCTAGGAAGGAATCACACCTGGAAGTGAAATGCTGCACCCCGTAGGCTGAATTCAGGGTAACTTTTATTTCACAGAATGAGTTGTGCCCTATTATGCTGATTCTATGGGCACAATTAGAAATCAAAGAAAAACCAGTTTTGGAAAGTGGAGAGGATAGAAATGACTAATCATCTTTCTTCGTTTTGGAGGGCAATAACAGCATTTTCTAGGCCTTTGATGGTTGAGCAGGGTCACTGGATTTGTCCTGGCTGATAGATTGTGAAAGGAAGGGACCCGCAGCACATTCAGACTGAGCAGTAAAGGGCTTCTCTAGCTTCTTTCTTCTCCTGCCACAGTGACCGTGGAAACATCCTGCTGAGATGGAGAAACTGTGACTCGCTCTGTCTGCATCCCTGAGCTTTCACCTGGAAAAGGCACTGACCTTGTGTGTGAGTAAAAAATAAATGTCTGTTTTGTTATACCACCAAGATTTGAGGGTTTGGTTATTTGTTATAGCACTGTACACTATTTTACCCTGACTAATATATTTTAAAGTATGCTTATATTAAAAACGAAGTGATATATAGAGACTTGGCAGAATGACTAATGAAGAGTTGCCAGTTGTTCTAATTTTGTCAACGATCAGCTTACTTTCAATGCATTAAGTGCTCTAAGCACAGGAAATATATCCCTGATGATAGTATATGTTGGATATAGTGTATTTACTTATTGAATATTTATTTAGAATATGCTGGAGATTTTATAGAAAAGTGAACATGAAATAATGATACTTCAGATTTTGTAAATGCTGAAGAGTGTAATTTTAATTCTACTCATTAAAGTTACCTCTCTTGCAAGTGTGGCTAAATTATATACCTTCTGCTTCTGGACATCACTTGGCCCAAATATCCCATCTTTTTTTCCAGATTTCAGCATAATATAACTCTGATGATTCTCTTTAGAATTGTACATTTGGGGATAGGCCTGCTATGAATGTCACAAGTAAATTCTCTAATAAAATAATAAGCACTTACACTATAGGAATAATCTGCTTGGTTGAGAATCATTAGAGCCTACCAATCTGCAATTATTATTTTCACTTAATTAGAGGACCTTAATGAATGCAAAATGTGTACTTTCCAAAGTATAAATGTAAAAACCTTTTTCTTATGCTTCAGGTCGAAGTCTGCAGACTTTCATTTTGGAGATATATTTCACTCTGAATAGTGAATCAGAGTGGGGTGAAACATCTGGCTTATAAAATGTTTCAAACCTCAAACCACTTTAGATACTTGGAAATCATCTTCTCCACACATTTATTATAAAACAGGAAGAGACCCAGAAAAAATGCCACTCTGTTTTGAAGATGGAAAGTAAGTGTCATTGATGTAAAATTCTTGGATTTCTTTTGTGTAGTTGTAGACTGTGATTGCCAGTATATGGTCCACAAAGTTGTTGGTCATTTTGTAAATTTAAAATTTGCCAGTTAGGCCTAAAAATCATCTCCCACATGTGATGGCAAGCCTAGAGGTGGTCGGCCCATGCTTGCCCCTTTTGTCTCTCTGCTCAGCCAGCTTAGTCTGTGCTGTCCACCCCCATGCTGATCACCAAATGGTCACTCTGTGGTGCTCCAGTTCCACCTCTCAGCTGTGTTCCAGGCAGGAAGAAAGACAAGAGCAAAACTGCATTCAGTAGAGCATGCCCACTTTGAGAGAGAGCTCGTGCAGAAGCTGGCCAGGGCAGCATCTTGCCTCTTCTTTACATTAGATCACTGGCTCCCAGCAGCAGCACCAGCTACAGAGCCTCTTGCTCCCTTCCTTCCTTGTTCTCCTCTGTCTCTATGTGTATGTGTGTGCATACATATTTATAGACACACACACATACACACAAAATACTATATTATGTCATATAGTTTTCTGAATGTGTTGGTACCCTGAATGATATATGTTGGTAGGAAAAGAGGAAAGTGTAGACATTTATGGGCAGCCGACTTTACCAGTTGGGCCTAGACTACCTAAAGATTATCAGTACAATTTATGCTCCAAGAAAGTAGTGTGCATATCTTCGTTACTGTAGTTCAAACACCTAGGAGAATACCTGGCTTATAGTTGGTACTAAGGACATATTTTCGAAGAAAGAAAGAGTCAGGGAATGCATACTTGTTTTAGGAAAGAGTGCTTTCAGCTTCTAACAAAGCCTAATTCCCTTTTCCTTCATTGTTCCTCTATTTCTTCGAACCAAACATATTGTATTGATCGACGATGGATGGTGACTATGAGTTTCTGCTTTCACTGGAGGTGGGGTGGGAGGTACACATCCAAACATGCTTAGCCTCCCTGGGTGGGTGGATCTGCGGATGAATGTTTCCATATCAAAATCTGAACTGACTACTTTCCCTTTGTAGTTTAAATTATTTCAACCACAGAGAGGAGCTGAATATTAAGTTAACTGTGTTCATCTGCCAGAAAAATTAAATATCAGTGTAGAAAATAATCTTAGCGTTCACTTAAACTGCCTTAACAGTTTTAAAAAGGCACTTAAATGTAGCAATCATATGTTTTGGTTTACCTGGAAGTTTCTGTTTGTTGCTTTTGAAGTAGCTTAATTATTCCTGTCTGAAGAGTCCTGGTTGGTGTGGTATTCAATGCTCATGCTACTCCAAGAGGGCCTGCTGATATTTACAGAGTCACAAAAGTCACCCATGATCTTTGACACTTGGTTTAATGATCTTCCCTCTATATTGTACTGGCAGTCTGCGTGCTTCCCTAAATGACTGTGCATGAAAATCATATTCAATTTTTTTTATTTTAATTGCTTGGGGGACACTTCCATAAAAATCTGGCTCAGTGTCTGGCTGGGGCATTTCCAGCAAGAACCCTGAGTGATTCTGGTGCAGGTGATACTGAGATCACAAACTGAATAACACTAAAATAAATGAAACGGGGCTTAAATTTTACAGCTCATGGAAGAGCTCATGAAAATTCTTAACAAGTAGAAACCTAGATGAAAATTTACTGCATGAAGCTAAAGACAAGTGTTTTCCTGATTAAAAAATCAAAAGCACAACATTTAAGTAAGAAGTATCCTGCTAATTCTCACCATGATAGTGCACATGCCTAATCTACTACATTGAAACATACATTTTATAAACTCTATGCCACTTGCATGGATAATTGATGTAATCGAATTGCACTGGAATTGGAATTTTCACTGCAGAATACCAGCTGTGGCTGCTGTCCAGGGGAGAACCCTGCTCCAAGTGCTCAACATTGGCTGCTGTAGTTCATGGAATATTTAATTGTCTGCTGAAAAATGAATTGCAATTAGCATTAACCAGCTTTTAAATATTTGCTTGCATTACAGTTTTTCCTTTTTATTTTGATGAAAAAGAAAAAAAATTAGAATGCTAAAGAATACAGAAGGCTTGGTTTATTTGAGAGTAATACAGACATGTTGTCCAGAACCATGCTAGTTGCTTTATTTTCTCTAATTTTTCAGACTAATGCCATGGGAGATACCCTCTCCATTATATTAAATAGAAAACTGAAACTCAGGCAGATAAAATAATAAATCCAAGTCCCCATTGAAAGTAAGAATTGAAAACCAAGACTATCTATGGCAAAATGTGATCTTCTCAACACTTACAGTGTCTTTATATCTTTGACTTCTCTTTTTCTGTCTCTCTTTATAGATTTATAACCTATTTCTCCATCCATCCATCCATCCATCCATCCATCCATCCATCCATCCATCCATCCATTTATCCATCCATCCATCCATCCATCCATCCATCCATCCATCCATCCATTTATCCATCCATCCATTTTTCCATCCATCCATCCATCCATCCATCTATCCATCCATCCACCCATACATCCATCCATCCATCCATCCAACTATCCATCCATCCCATTGCATGTTGTTTCCTATCTACATTCCTAACTCTGCCTATCATACAATTATTTGGCATTATCCTTTAATTGGCAATAGGGTTGCCAGCAGGTGTCCTGAAATTTTCCTATGCCAAAAGTTCTATTCTGTAAAGAGTAATAGACTTTTAAGGTGAGAAGGTTATTTTGAAGACTGATAAATATCTTTTCTGTTGTATGTGAGGAAATTTAGGCCCAGGGAAATTAAGCAACTTATTTACACTGGCATATTAAGTTATTGGCAGAGATTAAATATAATTAAGTCTTTTGACTCATAATTTATTTTTCCACCTGGAACTTTAGGTTAAAGGCTACTAGTTAAATATTGAATAAGCTCAAATATAACATTTCCAGGTAACCAAAAAAGGGAGAAAAAATCTATTCATAGAGTCGATTTGTTTTATAAGTTAATGCAAGGATTTTAAAAATCACATGGACTTACAAATTCCAGGATAAATACCTTCCTTTCTAGAGACTGACACTGCTGTGTAGAACACAAGGCAGCATTTCTGAATGAAATTGGCCTATTTATAAGGTTTGCCTCCAGTAGATTCTGCTAAACCTATGGTGTCAGCCAGATGCAGTGACTCATGCCTATAATCCCAGTACTTCAGGAGGCCGAGGAGGGAGGATCACTTGAACCCAGGAGTTGAAGATCAGCCTGGACAACATAAAGACACTTCTCTACAAAATAACAATAAAAATAATAATTTTAAAAGTAAGTAAAATAAAACCATGGTTTCTCTAGTGTTAGATTTGGATAAACCAACCCAAATAATATCTAGCAGTTCTTAGAGCTGTAACAATAGACTAACCATTGGTGTATCATAGACCATTCTTAAAATTTTCAAATGTCAGTACTGAATGGCATGGAACAGGAATAATATTTATCAGAGTATCTACTAGTGCCAGTCAACATGAAAATGCTTACATGTAATATTAATGCCAATCCTTACAACCATTTTCTAATTAAACAGATATCTTAGTAATTATAGAAATATTTTGTTACTTATTTTAAATTAGTGTTGTCATTTTACCAATTTTTAAACTAAGATTAAGAAGTGTTAACTTCCTTAAGCTCACATAAAGAGGATTACATGAAATACATTACCTGAAGAAAAATGTATTTCATTCTTGTATGAATCACAATATAGTAGAATATGGTAGAAAACATACTTATCACACAAAACAGCATGTTTGAAAAAAATAAATGTAATGGTTCAGGTTGCAGTTAATAATTGACTTAGACTAGTTTCACAGATAGTAAAATAGTTACGTTAACAATTTTAAAAGGATGGGTATGTTTTTGTTTCTTCCAGAAAATACTTCTCTGTGATTAAAATATTCAACTATATTCAAAATTCAAATATTTACCAAACTTCTAAAATATCCCACTGTGTTTAGCAATATAATAACTGCTGTGGGTTTTAAAAAAGAATCATGACTTAGGACTTTAATTAAGTTTGAAAAATCAGTGGAATCATCCATACTAATTTTTTTTACTCTTAAAAACTTTCAGAAAACTGACTTTATATCACCATATTTTAAACAACATCTTTTAGTGAAAGCATGTCTCATTCAGTGATCTAAAGCAAAGTGCATATAGATGAGGTGTGGAGGCAGATTGCCTGGGTTCAGATCCCAGTTCCGCCACTATTAGTACCTACCTTTGGGGTTTGTTGACATTAAGTGAGTTTAATCATGAAAAGCACTTAACATTTTGCATAAGAAATTGGCTAGCGTGTAAATATGAAACAAGTAGTAGTAATTATTAGTCAACAAAAACTTTATAATTGCAAGTTCTGAGGACTTTTTTTGGTGGAAAAGGGAGATTTTAATAAGTAAGGATGGTAAGGAAAATGTCCCATTTATTCTTGTGGTAATGTGTAATCTTTTCCTAATTAAAATGAGTGTTTATCATCAGACACCAACTTGACAGACAAACCACAGAGTAACAGGAAAACAGCTGAGTGATGTAGGAAAGTTAACTTGCCCCTCTGCCTGGAAACAAATACAACATTGGACATCAGAGAGTGCCAGAGAGACCATCTTCCCATCTCAGGATAGGCACCTAACCCAAGAAATAGTTTACTATTCTAGACAGAGAATCTATCACCTCCCCCGACAACTTACTCCAACATTTAATCCCCTGACTGTGGGAGTCAAAAATTCAATTTAGAAACAAAAATTTAATTTAACTCTAGAAAGAGAATTTCACATTTTTGCCTGAAACGCTTAGCAATTGTGAGATCAATGTTTTATGAAGGCAGGATTGTAATTTATAATTTCATAATTATAATTTATAATTTCAACAAAGTAGGATTAAAGTAGGGTGGTATTATCAATATTTAACGTAGTTTTTAAAAATTTACCACACTTATCACTCATTTATTCAAACAATATCTTTTTTTTTTTTTTTTTTTGAGGCAGAGTCTCCTTCTGTTGCCCAGGCTGGAGTGCAGTGGTGCAATCTCAGCTCACTGCAAGCTCTGCCTCCCAGGTTCACACCATTCTCATGCCTCAGCCTCCCGAGTAGCTGGGACTACAGGTGCCCACCACCACGCCCGGCTAATTTTTTTGTATTTTTAGTAGAGACGGGGTTTCACTGTGTTAGCCAGGATGGTCTCGATCTCCTTACCTCGTGATCCACCCACCTTGGCCTCCCAAAATGCTGGGATTACAGGCTTGAGCCACCCCGCCCCGCCGCAATATTTATCTTGTATCTACTATACATCAAGAGCTATGGTGCCCTGTTTATACCTTGTCTAATTCTCTGGAGGCTATAAATGTTGTCATTTCTTTATTTTTAACTCTCCTAGTGATTAACTCCATAATTAGTAATATACCAGTGTTTGTTAAATTATGAAATTTAGATGTCATATAATGTTTACCAGCATAAAATATAAAAATTTAACTCAGTTTACTGATGAAAAGATACAGTCCTCACTTCTCAGATGACAAGGCACTGGGTATTATTTGATATTTACACATTTTACATTTTAATTGACTTTATAGTTATAAATTGATTTTATAATTTGAATATAAAATTTTATCCACTTTTTTTTAAAGAATTAAAGTGATTTGTAATATGTCTCCCTGTCCTATGAAAATAAACAATATTCTGTGGACTCAAAAGCCATTTGTAAATATCTGAACAATTTTGTTTCCTGTCTCAATGCATTTGTAATTTCACAAGTACATATTTGCACTATCCACATCACTTCTGCTTTTTTCGTTGTTGGATTATAGTCAATACTTTCTTCGCAAAGCTCTTCGAATTCCTATAAACTTTTCCTTTTTTTTTTTTTTTTTTGCGGGGGCGGGTGGAAGGATGAAGAGGTATTGCAACTCTATTGTCTGATTTGCTCAATGTAAAAATAAACTATCCATCTCACAGTAAAATTATATGATTGGTCTTTTTTGCCTTAGTTTTTTGTTTTAAAGTTATAGATGCCTACAATCTCTTTTTCACTATTTTTGAGCAATTTTCTTAAAAAATTCAACAACATTTGTTAGCTCCCTAAGTTTGACAATGTGCTCCGGGTCAGTGGCTGCAAAATGCTGGTCTCTAAATCAGTACTAGCCTGGGTTTGCAGGGTTATGGGGTACTGTAACAAAAATGTACATTTCCTATCACCACACATAACGTTCATATTCAGCATGTCTACAGTGGGGACATGGTGCAGTATTGCTACTATAGATTTAATGAGGGTAATAACTGCAATTTATAAAAGTAAAAATCAAGAAGGGTTTCTGGTAGAAGGCAGCCATCTTCCTTCCTCAGTCCTATGCACACCTTACCTTAATCACTAGGGACCACAATTATTACGGTTATTTCAGTTTTTTTTTCCCTCTCCTAGTAATTAATTTCATGATTATTAATAATATATTTATATCACTCTACTAAAATTGCTAACTTAAAATTTCACCTGTTGACTTGCAATCATGAAATACTTATGAGATATTATTTGATAGGAGAATGACTTTACCTCCTGGTAATAATGCTCCTTATTTATTATGGAAATCCACTTGTAACCATTTTTTTTTTTCCATATGGTTGGAATCGTATTTCCTCTAACCCGAGCTCCAGGAAACTACAACAACTATTAATACATTTTTGTGGCATGATTCAAGACTCCAGCCTGAGAATGGAGTGAACTCTGGAAAGCAGAGGAGTAGTATAGAAAGAAAATAGCCTGTTGTGATACAATTTGAGCCAAAAAATCATCTCTCAGTAACCTGAAATTCCACTTCAGACTTTGTTTATGAGCCCTTAAGTTGAAACAGACCCAAAAATCCCATTGACTGTTCTTTTGGATAAACATAGAAATTGATCTTTCTGATCTTAAAGCTTGAAGCCTACATTTGTTTTATGTGAGTTTCTTCCTCAGGAAAGGACCTTCAGCCCTCTCAAAAATGTATCAAATAACTGAAACTCATCAGATTACCACAACCAGACAATGAGATGTGGACCCCTCCATCATGATTGCTTCCATGCCCCTCCCTTGTTCCTTTTTTCTTATACATTGTTACATGTCTTCATTGCTATATAAACCCCTGGTTTTAGTCAGAGAGATGGATTTGAGACTCAGTTCCCGTCTCCTCAGCTGCAGCACCCGATTTTAAAGCCTTCCTTGGCAATACTTGTCATCTCAGTAATTGGCTTTCTGTCCAGCGAGCAGCAGGACCTAGACACTGGTGTTTCAGTTAACAACGTTATATTTATTTTTCAGTTTGAATTGTCTTTCTGAATTAGTTATAAGGTGGTTGAATTGAATGACTGAATATTGAACTTTATTCCTTTTTTTTTTTTTTTTTTTTTTTTTGACGGAGTCTTGCTCTTTCACCAGGCTGGAGTGCAGTGGCGCGATCTCGACTTACTGCAACCTCCGCCTCCCGGGTTCAAGTGATTCCCCTGCCTCAGCCTCCTGAGTAACTGGAATCACAGGTGCACACCACCACGCCTGGCTAATTTTTTGTATTGCAGATCAATGGAAACCTAGGAATATGGTTAGAGGGGATATGCTGGGGGGTAAGATAGAAAGATTATAAAGAGTTTAGGAAGAAACTTTTGGTAGTGATTTAAATCTTCTTAACTTGATTGTGCTTATGGATTGATGTCTGCATACATGTATCAAAATGCACCTGAAATATGTGCTTTATTGTATGTTAATCATATCAATAAAGCAGTTAAATAACACACTAATTTGAAATTTTCCCATTTCTACCTTAACTTGAAAAGTAATCTGGAAATATTATACCTCCAAAGTGATAGAGACATGTTTAGTAAGTCACATTTAGGTTAGAGTTTTACATTTTTATTAGAAAATATTAATAACTTTTTAAATTTAATTCTTTGCGATTGATAGGATTTTTAAATTTGACATCTCATGTCAAAGTATTTGGCCTTGTATACTCATATTATGATGTAATGAAATACGATTATGTGGACTTTCACACTGTAAATGGGATTTGGGCAATTGGTAATCTAAACTACATGAATTTTATTTCTCTCTTTGGTATTAATTTAATATTGAGTCTTGTTGAAACTTTAAGAAGAAAGAATTGTGTATGGAATTGGGTGGGTTCTTGGTCTCACTGACTTCAAGAATGAAGCCGTGGACCCTCGCGGTGAGTGTTATAGTTCTTAAAGGTGGCGTATCCGGGGTTTGTTTCTTCTGACATTCGGATGTATTTGGAGTTTCTTCCTTCTGGTGGGTTCGTGGTCTCGCTGGCTCAGGAGTGAAGCTGCAGATCTTCGCGGTGAGTGTTACAGCTCTTAAGGGGGCGCATCCAGAGTTGTTCGTTCCTCCCGGTGCATTCATGGTCTCGCTGGCTTCAGGAGGGAAGCTGCAGACTTTTATGAGAGTGTTACAGCTCATAAAGGCAGTGTGGACCCAAAGAGTGAGCAGCAATAAGAGTTACTGCAAAGAGTTAAAGAACAAAGCTTCCCCTCTGTGGAAGGGGACCAGGGTTGCCAGTGCTGGTTGGGGCAGCCTGCTTTTATTCTCTTATCCGGCCCCACCCACATCCTGCTGATTGGTCCATTTTACAGAGAGCCCATTGGTCTGTTTTACAGAGAGCTGATTGGTCTGTTTTGACAGACAGCTGATTGGTGTGTTTACAATCCCTGAGCTAGACACAAAAGTTCTCCACCTCCCCACTAGATTAGCTAGATACAGAGTGTGGATTGGTGTATTTACAAACCCTGAGCTAGACACAGAGTGCTGATGGGTGCATTTACAAACCTTGAGCTAGATACAGAGTGCCGATTGGTGTATTCACAATCCTTCAGCTAGACACAAAGATTCTCCAACTCCCCACCAGACTCAGGAGCCCAGCTGGCTTCACGCAGTAGATCCTGCACCGGGGCTGCAGGGGGAGCTGCCTGGCAGTCCTGCGCCCTGCGCCCGCACTCAGCCCTTGGGCAGTCAATGGTACTTGGTGTGGTGGAGCAGGGAGCGGCGCTCCTCTGGGAGGCTCTGGCTGCGCAGGAGCCCATGGTGGCAGAGGGGAGGGGCGGCGGGGGGCGGGGCGGGGCGGCGGGGGGCGGGGGCGGCGGGGCGGGGCGGCGGGGGGCGGGGCGGGGCGGCGGGGGGCGGGGCGGGGCGGCGGGGGGCGGGGGCGGTGGGCGGGGCGCGCGGGAAGACTCAGGAATGGCGGGCTGCAGGTTCTAAGTCCTGCCCCGAGGGGAGGCAGCTAAGGCCCTGCAAGAAATCCAGTACAGCAGCTGCTGGCCCAGGTGCTAAGCCCCTCACTTCCTGGGGCTTGTCCGCCGGCCGGCAGCTCTGAGTGCGGGCCCGCGGAGCCCACGCCCACGAAGAACTCGCGTTGGCCCGCAAGCGCCGCGCAGCCCTGGTTCCCGCCCGCGCCTCTCCCTCCACACCTCCCCGCAAGCTGAGGGAGCCAGCTCCGGCCTTGGCCACCCCAGAAAGGGGCTCCCACGGTGCAGCGGCGGGCTGAAGGGCTCCTCAAGTGTGGCCAGAGTGGGCTCCAAGGCCGAGGAGGCGCCCAGAGCGAGCGAGGGCTGGAGGGCTGCCAGCAGGCTGTCACCTCTCAGAATGAACTTTTATTAAGAGACTTGGCCATCAACCTGGCTTCCATACTGTAAGTAATCATTGATACAATCTTTTGCCTGCATGTCATTCTTAAGGCTTTTATAACTCTCGCCGAGTTAATGCTGAAAAAAGTAGGCTACACATTGACATCAATGTGAGTCGCACACTCAAGACTAAATCCTTAGGTGTTATTTTTATTTTAATGCCCCTAGTTCTATTGCCTAAAACCAATAGAAAATATAAATTTTGCCCTGTGCTACTCTTATTAGTCCTTTATTCTCCTTAAAAGGTAACATTTATTCCTTCATTTCCTGCTGTATTTGTTCTTTGAAATTCATGTTAATTTTTCTGATCCACGTCGAGATGCCTTATATTCATAAACTTGAATTTTACTCCTCACGTATTCAAACACTAAGAACAAGTTGTCATCATAAAAATATTATTTTGCCTTTTTTCTGAGTTATTTTTGTTTACCATTTTTAATTTATGCATCTTTATTTTTCTAAGCCCCTGTTTTTATTGCTGGCTCATCCCATTCAATACCACCACCTTACAATGTCTCTTTATTTTCACAGTGTGATATGCAAAACATGAATGCATGACAGATGTTGTAAATTTGCCTAATTTGATTTGGGGAAAGAAATTGGGTCATTTATCTTAGTAAATTCAAAACATGATTTCAGTTAATTTTTTTTTTTCTGTAAACATTAAACACTGAGACAAGCCCTGATGCCCTAGCTTTTTAAAATTTTCCCTGTGACTCCACTACTGCATGATGAGAGGGGTTCTCTGTGTTCAACAGTGCTGTTCACATTATTAGTAGAGAGGTTTATAAATTATAAAGTCTTCATGATATCTAACAATCACAGGGACTGTTGGCAGTAACTTATGAGGTGCACTCATTTTCTTTTACAAGATGGCACTGTTTCCATTTATTACTTGATGAATTGCTTAAAATCCATCATAGTTTATAATTATTCATTCGTTCATTAATTTCTTTTTCTTAATTCAATATTGATTTGAGTGAGGAGGATGTTGATGTGGCATTAAACAAGCAGCTATGTTCAAATCTTCTGAAAGACCATCCGTACCTAGAGAATACCTATTTGGAACTAAATCCCTCACCAAAAGCCTATTAAAGCCTTCATACATTTTTATAAATTTCACAAATAGTAGCCAAGATCAGAAATAAGTGTCATAAATGATTGGAAGATACAGGTCTGAGTGTGAAGTCTTTATAATTTGTCATGGTTTTAGATGCATGATGACCCCAAGGAGATATCATAACCTTGGGTGAGACTGCTTCCCAATTAATTCCCAGAAAAGGGGCGATGTGTAAGAGGTCAGATCCAATGCTCCAGGATAATGGGTGTCAACAAATAGGAGGCAACTCTGTAAAATATTTGAAGAGATTTATTCTGAGCCAAATGTGAGGACCATAACCCATGACGCGGCCCCAGGAAGTCTTGAGAACATGTACTCAAGGTGGTTGGGTTACATTTAGGAGGGCAGAAGTTATAGGTAGAGACATAAATCAATAAATGTATGGTATACATTGATTCAGCCTGGAAAGGCAGGGCTTTTTAAAGTGAAAGGTGGCAGGTGAGGGGAGAGGGTTGGGGAGACATCCAGGTTACAGGTGGATTCAAAAATTTCCTGATAATTGGTTGAAGGGGTTAAGCTCTTCCTGAAGAGCTGAAGTCAGCAGAAAGAAATGTTTGTAGTTAAGTGGGAGGGAGAGGGGATTTAGAGGCCAAGGTTCTTATGTAGATGAAGCCTCCAGGTAGCAGGCTTCAGAAGAATAGATGGTAGATGGTAAAGGTCTTTTATCAGACTCTAAAGGGTGCCAGACTTTTAGTTAAATCTCTCCTGGAATGGGAAGAGACCTGGAAGGGGAAGGGGATTTTCTACAGAAGAAAGATTTTCCTCAAGAGACAACTTTGCAGGTGCCATTTCAAATTTTGTTCAAAGAAATATATTTCAGGGTAAAATACTTTGATTAATTTCAGGGACTTCTATCTGTCATGTGATGGTATACCAGAGTCAGGTTGGACTGTGATGTCTTATTGCTGTAAAAAGCCTGTTCTGTCAATGTTAAGATTTCTGTTTTAATGCTAATGCTGATCAGTTGTGTCTGAATTCCAAAGGGAGGAGAGTATAATGAGGCATGTCTGACCACCCCCTTTTCCATCATAGCCTGACTAGTTTTTCAAGTTTTCTTTGAAATGACCTTGGCCAAGAGAAGGGGTCCGTTCAGTCAGTTGGTGGGGGACTTAGAACTTTATTTTTGTCGTACGTGGAGAAATAAGGTTCTAAGTTCTGGTTGGGGGAATCTGGGTAGTGTATGAATGACAGTTGTCAACCAGTGTGGCCTCTCTTATCCTTGGTGCTTACCTGGAATATTTTGTCTTTGTTGCACATACATAATTTGGAGGATTTATAACTGGTCCTGTGTAATTCTTGAACTGTTCACTAGTTGAGAGTTAGTGAAAAACAATCTTATGCTTTGTGTATTAATGCCATTAGAATATTTAGTAGACAGTTATCTCATAATGAACTTGAAAGGCGAGAAACTAATCAAAAGATATTAGCTAAAGCCTTTATTAAAACATTGCAACATGAAACACATTTCAAGATGACTATGGGGACCAAGTAGATAAATATTTCATAAGATAGAATTGGGAAAGGCCACATGTAACCCAGTGGGTTAATCTTGCCCACTGCCTAGACAGAGCTGATTTATCTAGACAGGGGAATGGCAATAGAGAAAGAGTTTAATTCATGCAAAGCTGACTGTACAGGGGACCAGAGTTTTACTCAAATCAGTCTCTCCCAAAACTTGGAGACTGAGGTTTTCAAGAATAATTTGGTGTATAGGGGGTCAGAAAGTTGGCAGTGCTGATTGATCAGGTCAGAGATAAAATAATAGGGAGTCAAAGCTGTCCTCTTATGCTGAATCAGTTCCTAGGCAGAGGCCACAAGTCCAACTGAGCCAGTTTATCAAGACCTGGGTAGTGCCAGCTGATCCTTTAAGCACAGAGTCTGCAAAATATCTGAAGCACTGATCTTAGATTTTACAATAGTGATGTTATCCTCAGGAGCAATTTGGAGAGGTTCAGATTCTTGTACCCTCCAGCTGCATGACTCCTAAGCCATAATTTCTAATTTTGTGGCTATTTTGTTAATCCTGCAAAGCCAGTCTAGGCTGTAGGCAGGAAGGGGGTTTGTTTAGGGAAAGGGCTGCTATTATCTTGGTTTCAAAGTTAAATCATAAACTAAGTTTCTTCCAAAATTAGTTTAGCCTACACCAGCAATGAATAAGACAGCTTGGAGGTTAAAAGAAAGATGAAGGCAGTTAGGACACATCTCTTTTACCTTCTTTTCTCAGTTATGATTTTTGCAAAGGCAGTTTCACAGTCATAGTTCAGTTTTATTCCGAGAATTATTCACTGGCAAGTTCTTGGAAATTATGGGGAAACTGAAATCGTGTTGCTCATGGGATAAGATGCAGGAAGAGCAAGGTGTGGTCCTAGTTAAGCAGCTATTGGTTGGTCAATTTGAATTTAGCAAAAGTAGTGGAAAGAAACAGTGGAAACTAAGTTCTTGTAAGGATCAGTACAACGTTTTAAGTCCTTCTCTTTGGCCAGCATTGGCGTAAAAGATAACATGCTAAGGACAGTTGTCAGAGTCCAGATTTCCATTCGTGCCTTCCAGTATCTTTGGAGATTGTTGAGTCTTGAGTGCATTCAGCAGCTCCTTATGTGACTTATATTTCTGTTGTCACTGTAATAATCTGTCCAGGGGGTGGCAGTTAACAGGTATTTAGGGCTGTAAGTAGGATACGATGTAGAACTCTGAAGCCTAGAAACACAAGAACTAGAATCATTAACAGTCTTTGAAAGGCTGTCTATCCAGCCCACCGTTTTACCTGGTTTTAATCATAAAACCAAGTTCCACCCTCCATCTGGATTCCTTGATCCAGACGACCCAGAATGTGGCAGAAGAGCCAGGTTGTCAAGGTTTGTTTCCTTTGTGTCTCATTTTGTATCTGATTAGTGAGGTATTTTCAAAATAACAGAGTCGCTTGTATAAATCAAAGCATTAGTATTAAAGGAGGACATTTCTTGAAGTTTTTAAATCCTCGTTAATTAAAAATCTTGAATTTAAACTCAAAAGACAGGAATAAGACAGCTAGGAAAAGAAGAAGAAGAAGAAGTGTTTGGTGGTCACAAGGATGCAGGAGTCAAACTGCTAGCAGCAGTGAATTCGATGGGTCTGCAGCAACTCAATTCTTGCCTCCTTGGAGGAGAGAATTCAACCAAGGGACATAAGGCAGAGGGAGAGACTGAGGCAAGTTTTAGCGCAGGAGTGAACGTTTATTAAAAAGCTTTAGAACAGGAATGAAAGGAAGTAAAGTACACTTGGAAGAGGGTCACATGGGCAGCTTGAGAAATCCAAGTGCCCTGGCCAATGGTTGACTTGAGATTTTTACACACTGGATGGTTCTGAGGTTTGTGTTTCTTCTGCCTTGATTTTTCCTTGGGGCAGCCTCTCTGCATGTGCAGCGGACTGCCAGCACTTAAGAGGGGCCTCATGCAGAATGTGTTTACTCAAGTTGTGTGCATGCTCCTTTGAGGCATTTTTCCCTTACCGGTTGAACATTCCCAGAGAATAGTCATATGCCAGTTAAACTCTGCCATTTTGCCTCTTAGTGCACATGCTGGAGCGCACTTGCCCAACTCCAGAGATCTTATCAGAAAGCTAATCACCAGCTTCAGGTGTTTTATATTTATTGGGAGACTACCTTTCCCTGGCACTGGCTGTGACCAATTATTATTTTAGAGAGACAGTTTAACAACCACCTGAGCATCACCTGATGGCTGCCTGACATTCCTGCAGGGCGGGGCCTCTCCTGTCCATGTCTGCAGAGCTACCTGCTCTAACAAAACAAGAAATCTTCGGTAGAGGTTTTCCACCTGTTGCTTCATCAAGGTTCTTTGAAAAACAATCCCCTTTGTGATGTGCCTGCTTCTGAAGAATCCTGAGAGATTCTGTGTGATAGCTCCCATTGGTATGGAGATGCTGGAGATGCATAATGACTTTTAACTGAGAGATGTGACTCCAGAGTTCCATTCTGTGAAGTTTTACTGTAGTATTTATGATTGATAGTGCCTGGTCAAGTCTCTTTCTGTGGCCCAAGAGCATTCCGAGGTTGACGTCATTTTTAGCAAACCAGTAATCTTGGCAGATCATGCAGGATTCTCTTATTTGTCTTTGGAAAAAGCCGAGTGCAACTGGCTTTGTTGATTATATACTTGGATATACAGCATAAAATCTCTACAGCAATTGTCAATTTTGCAAACTTTAATTTTGGGGTAATATTTATTCTTTTAATTTCCATTGATGACTTAAGATGATAAGAACAGTTGAGTTCTGGAAGATGAACTGTCTTTTGCAAACTCCTTGGTTATAGTCCCTACAAAGCTGGTACCTCTGTAACTGGATAAGTAAGTTGGTGTGTCCCAAGTTAAGAATATATAGTCTAGAAAAAAAATTAAGCTAGTGGCAAGGTAGTTGTTTTTTGACAGGGAAAAGCTGCCATCCAGAAAACAGACAATAGTTGGAAGATATTTATATTCATTGGAATGTGACCATGTATAAAATGCATCTTCAAATGTTCAAAGCCTTCATTGAAGCCGTTATTCCTGTTAATGCTTCACCTTTACAGCTTTGCTAGTGTCATTCATTTGGCAGGAAAAACACATGCCAGAAACATCCTCAACAATGTAGAGTAAAATGGCCAGTGTTTTAAGCTTACAGCCAATTTTTCTCTTAACCTTCTAGGCAATAATCTGTGTTATCCAGCATTATCAAGGTGAAAGAGTGAAATCCTCTCTTACAAGATAGCCTGGAGAATTAAGTTACAGTTGGTGATTATTCTGGAAATAGCAGCACAGTGTTCATGATTACCTGGGAGTAACAGTTTGTGAAGCACCAATCCCCAACCTTTTTGGCACCAGGCACTGGTTTTGTGGAAGATCATTTTTCCATGGACAGGGTTGGGGTTGGGGGGATGGTTTCAAGATGATTCAAGTGCATTATTAGATTTATTATGCACTTGATTTCTATTATTACATACTCATCATAAGGTAGGATCAGTGGGAGCCCTGAACTTGTTTTCCTGCAACTAGATGCTCCCATCTGGGGGTGATGGGAGACACTGACAGATCATCAGGCATTAGATTCTCATAAGGAACATGCAACCTAGATCCCTCGCAAGCACAGTTCACAATAGCGTTTGCACTACTATGAGAATCTAATGCTGCCACTGATCACTCACCTGCCACTCACCTCCTGCTGTGTGACTTAGTCCCTAACAGGCCATGGACTAGTACTGGTCTGTGGCTTGGGGATTGGGTAGCCCTGTTGTAAAGGGTAAGAACAGACATGGGGACAAAGCTGCCTGGACTTTCCATTTACATCACAAAGCCACTGTATTTGCCACTGATTGTCCCTGACTGAGATGTGCATTAACGTCGCACAACAAATGTTAATAGGGAGAATCATTCACCAGTTTTGATGCTTGAACATGAATATGTTTCTTTAACTTGAGAGAGAAATATTGAAGTGATTTATACAAATACATTTTATGTGCATATAGTGAAACTATGAAAACTGAGCTTCTCTTAACTGAGATTCTTTTTCCCACTGCATGTTAAATTATATAAACAACAAGTTCCCATTATAGTTACATTTATTAAAAATTGAAGAATGGAGAATGCCAAAGCATTTTATTATCCTTCTATTTTGAAGGTAAGGGAGCAAATTTTTTTGTTATTCATTGGAATTTCAAAGATATTCAAAGATATCTGGGAGAAGTAGGAACGATCCACATGAGTCCACTGTGAGGACAACTGGAAATGCATATCTGGTGACTCCTGGACCCACTCTATTTGCCTCTTGGTTGAATTTAATCTGATCCTTTTGCCACAAAGAAAAAAAAATAACGCTAAATATAATGCCTTTTCTGAATTCTGTGAGTTCTTCCAGTGAATTATTTGAATCTGAGGGTGGTCTTAGGAATCCAAACTTACAGCTAGTATCAAAAGTTAAGGCTGTCTTGGGGACTGCCAAACTTCATAATACGTAAAACCTAAAATATCTGTGACTTTCTTGAGTTTCAAAACCAATGTATTTAGAAAATTTAAAGCATGAAAAGCTTGACCTTGGTATTGAATAAAATTAGACTTAGTGTTGACATTAATTTTATATAATAAAATGTGGAAGGAGATAAACAATATTCTAGAGAATACCCTTATTATATACTAATTCTAATTTGTCAAAGGATTCATGTATTTGTTCAGGACTATTATGAACCTACGTAATTCTCGAATATAATTTATAAACCTCTGAATTCATTAAAAATGTTAAAGATGGCTGGGAATGGTGGCTCATGCCTGTAATCCCATCACTTTGGGAAGCTGAGGTGGGCAGATCACGAGGTCAGGAGTTCGAGACCAGCCTGGCCAACATAGCGAAACACCGCCTCTACTAAAAATACAAAAAATTATCCAGGCGTGGTTGTGGGTGCCTGTAATCCCAGCTACTTGGGAGGCTGAAGCAGGAGAATCTCTTGAACCCAGGAGGCGGAAGTTGCAGTGAGCCAAGATTGCACCACTGCACTCCAGCCAGGCGACAGTGTGAAACTCCATCTCAAAAAAGCAAAAACAAACAAACAAACAAAAAATTTCAAAGACTTTCAAAATCGTAAGTTCCATCCTTTCTATTGCAACTACAGATCTTATAAATAGCAAGAAAGTCTGTAATTAGATTATATTTTGTTGTTGTTCTTACTGTTGCCTTTTTTTACATGGCCCGTATGTTTTTAAGCAAAACAAATGCAGTTTAATAATTTTTAGCTCTTTTTTCAAACTTTGTCTGAGCTAGATATTATTAGGATACATACATAAAGACAAAAAACAAAACTTTGATCACTGAGTCTCCAAAATTCCCCCAGAGAGAAGAAAAGAGTGGGAGAAGAAAAAAGGAAAAAAGTAACAGGAGAAGCAAGTGGGAGCTAGCTTCATACAAATATTAAGTTTTCATCAGTAAAATGTAATTATCTTTCCTCTTCAAGGACGAAAGGTTAGAGGCAGGAAACCCATTTTGACACAGACATACACACTCACACAAACACACACACGTGGACACAAACATGAGATTTATTACAATTGGTTAAAATAAGATGACCTCACTTAAATAATCTCTTTTAGACAAGAAAGAAAATTTCATGAAGGCTTCTCCCTTTTATGCCTCTGAAAGAACAATTTTCTTTATGTCAGAAATTCTTCAAATTGATCATTGGAATTATAAATTCTCCTTGGTGAGATTCATATATTCTATGTTTGGTGTTGTTCACATCAACGTAAATATTAATAAGCAGAGGGCCACTGGCTTCATTGTCTACAACAATTCTAGTGGTGAGAAGCAAACACGTGCTACCGCCCCTCTGTCACAAACAAACAATACATCTTTATCTCACACATAAAAGCCCCTATCAGTGACAATAGTAACAATGTAAAATGTGAGTGTCACTCAACACAAAATGAAAGATTTCCATGCAGAATCAGAGCTCATCTGGTGTCTAGCCACACCGGCCCCAGTCGGGGGAGAGAGCAATGTTGCTTCAGTGTTGTTGTGCTTCTTCACTAAAGTATCCGGTCCAGGTAATGGGAATCTTGTCCTGATCCAGTTCTTCTCAAAGGAGAAGCAATAGTGAATGCCATTACCTCAAATTAAATAAACCCACTGCAGCATGGCAACAGCTCAAGGTGAATGGCTTTCAGAGCTGACAGCATGGATTGGGAAAGGACAGTTTTTCTCTGAGAGCTGTTCTCTGAATCCTTGGAAGGTATGAAAACCTGGATTTATCAATCAGGTTGTAGTATTCAGGGGTAGCAAGTTTTGGGGCATCATTTAACAGCTATTGTTGGTCAATTTGGATTTAGCAAGTGATGGGAAATACAGTAAACGTCTTGCAAGGGTTAGTGATGATTGGTGTGTGTGTGTATATGTGTGTTTCTGTTTTTTTTTTTTTTTGAGATGGAGTCTCGCCCTGTCCCCCAGGCTGGAGTGCAGTGGCGCGATCTTGGCTCACTGCAAGCTCCGCCTCCCTGGTTCATGCCATTCTCCTGCCTCAGCCTCCCGAGTAGCTGGGACTACAGGCGCCTGCCACCACGCCTGGATAATTTTTTGTATTTTTAGTAGAGACAGGGTTTCACCGTGTTAGCCAGGATGATCTCGATCTCCTGACCTCGTGATCTGCCCATCTCGGCCTCCCAAAGTGCTGGGATTACAGGCGTGAGCCACTGTGCCCAGCCGTGTATGCGTGTTTCTTAATCCATCTATAAGCATCTTTCACAAACACATATCTAAAAATGAACCCTTGATTTTCCACTTCAAAATGTAGTCCTCAGATTTCCTCACCTCTGTTAATGGTAATTGTATTAGCCCATTTTAATACTGCTATGAAGAAATAACTGAAACTAGATTATAAAGAAAAAGTGGCTTAATGGACTCGCAGTTCCATATGCCTGGGGAGGCCTCACAATCATGGAGGAAGGTGAAGGAGGAGCAGAGGCATGGCTTATGTGGCAGCAGGCAAGAGAGAATGTGCCAGGGAACTGCCCTTTATAAAACTATCAGATCTCATGAGAGTCACTCACTATTATGAGAACAGCAGCATAACCACTCCTTATGATTCAATTACCTACAACTGGGTCCCTTCCATCACACATGGGGATTATGGGAACTACAATTCAAGATGAGATTTTGGTGGGGACACACCAAACTATATCAATAATCCAATGTTTTAATAGTATATGACTGTAATCTTAGTGTGATCTTTGCTTCTGCTGTTTGTCTTGTTTCCTTAATCCAACATATAAGCAAATTTTGTCAGCTCTACTTTCAAAAATGTGCATACAATCTGACCAGCATTCAGCATATTCACTTACCTTTTGATCCAACACTCTATCATTTCTTATTTGGACAATTTTAGTAGTTCCCTAACGGGCCAGCCTCAGGATTTTATTTCCATAAAGTAGCCAGAAAAGTCCTGTTAAAATATGAGTTAGATCATATCATTTCTGCATTCAAAATTGCCTTGTTGTTTCCCATCTCATGAAGAATTAATTCAAAATCCTCATCTTTTCCTCTAACATATGATTTGGCTCTTGGCTACTTCTCTAATTTCAAAAACTATGAATTTTATCCTTTTCTCATGTGATCTAACATATTGTCATTCTTTGAACAGCCCAAAGACATCCCTGCTTTCTGCTTGTTTTTTTTGAATATTTGAATATCTAGCATTAAACAATAATAGATTAACTCCTAAAATCTAATGTCATCAGCAAATAATTACCTAGTATAATAATAATGATGGACACATAATATACTTCTAGCACTTCAATATAGACAGTAATTAACATTTAATAAACATACAAAAAGTATTAACATTTTACAAAGGAGAAAACATGTTTGGAGGATTTAAGTAATGTGCACAGTATTATCTGACTTATAATTGGGTACTCAAGATTCCATAATATCTGATTGTTTCTGAACCATGTTGCACAATAACTAAATATTGTGCAATGCTACAACTGAGAAAATTGCAAAGGCTATTTGCAACTATCAGAAATGTAAGACAATTTTAGAAAAGTGCATAATCACTTTTATGACATATGTGTTCTCAGTACCTGCTTTGTCAGATTTTCTATGCATTAAGTCAGTGTCCTGATGAAATTTCATTGAAACTAGAAAGTTATCTTTAATCATATGTATATATCTATACCATTAAGTTATGCAAATGAGCATATTACCACATTTTCCAACTTACATCCATTAGCACTTCATGGATATATAGATACTACACTATTTAAGCTCAATTCCCACTCATACTTCTTGTTGAAGTTAGTCTTCTTAAACTCTTAGCACATTTTTTGTAAGATTTTTCTAAAATCAGGGAGGATGGATGCTGTGGCAGTGGACACGAAGAAGAAATGCCCTTGCACATAACCTCCTCTAACTACCTGAGGTGACTTGCCGACAACTTGACCTTTCTTTCCTTGGGTCTCGCCATCTTGAAGAATCCAGGCATCTCACAGGCACATGAAACGTGCTTGGTTTTTTACTTCGTTCCCTGTTTCCTTGGCTTACTTTTTGGTGCAAGCATATTTTGCAGCTCCCAGAAGATAGGGTTCCTCCCTGTTAAACATTCTGGAAGACACAGAAAAGTTGAGAAATTAAATCACCCAGAGGTAACTACACTGATAAACTAATTTCCCTTTATTCACTACAAATGTTTTGCAGCTGCTCCCACCCTGGTTCTGGCACTGAACTTGCCAATGGATCTTCATGAATCGGGGTATCCTAGATCTCTTTATATCTTTAGTTTTATATTTCCAGGATATTGTCACAATTTCATCTCTCCAACTCTTAAATTTAATTATTTATTTAGCAACCATATTTTCAGTTCTTTTTAATTTATTATGGCAATTTTATTTTTAATATCCAAGAGCTCCTTTCCACAGCCTATTGTCTCGTGATGTAATACATCCTAAAGTCCCTGGGAGGTACTATTATACTTAGAGGTTTTTTTGTTTCATTTTTAAGAAACTGCGTCTTCTAAAAAATCGTTAGTGTTTCCTTTGAGTTTTAATCTCCTTTCTGCAGAGAGGTAGGTTCCTTTCATGTCGCAGTGTTTCCTCAAAGGGCCAGAGAGTCTTCTTTGCTCATTCATATTTAAGAACAAGGCAATGCAAAGGCGATTGCTGAGGTAAGTACAGAAGTCAAACTTAGTGACTCATGAGCTTTAAACGGTGAAGATCTGGAGAAATGTCTAAATACTAGCCTTCATTTGTTTAAAAAAGAGTTTCATCTTTCTTCCTGAGTATTATTTCTTGAAAGAATAATTCCCCAATTCTTGCCCAGGGTGGTATGTCCCCGGGCACTCAGCTTTTGTGAAGGTATGCAATGTGCTATCTGTTGGGTGAGTTTTTGATTATTTCTTCCTGAACACATCCACTTGGAGCCATGTATTTTCTGGCTTCTCAGTCTCTGAGTTGCAGTTCTGTGAATTTTCTGGGGTATATACTTCCTCCAACTTGTTTCATCCATTGTCCTCCTCCATTTGTTTTTTGAATTATAGATGTGTGTAAAACTATCTTATGGCCTGATGGTCTTCCATTTCTATGTATCATTATGAGTTTACAATCAACATACCTCATAATTTCACGTAATTTCATGGTATCTTGGAGGCAAGAAGAGATGCTCATATGTGGTCAGTCTGGCATCCTAAACTGGAAGTTTTATTTCTTAAATATGTCATTTGAAGATTAATTAAATTTGTATTTATTTACTGTTCTTAATGATTAGAAATATATGTAGTTAACTTTAATACCAAGTAATGATTTTGCTTTAGATATATGTTTATCAAATTCATCCAGAAAATATATCAGCTTTGGTTTAATACTAAAATAACAATTGTATAGATTTCAGATTAAATACCCTTGAAAAAGGTTATATATCTCTATATTGCAAATTTCAACCTCCGATTCTCAACAGACTGGTGTGTAGAAAAGACAGAAAGACAAGAGAGTACACAGAAAGACAATAATAGTTCTTCTGGGTCTTTCAATGGCAACAGCACCAATAATAGCATCAAATAATTGAATCTACCCAGGCTCTGTTCCTTCCGATTGGAGCATCTGTCTCTCTTTTATTGTTGTTTTGCTTCTTTGACTGAGCTCAAGTAGTTTTCACAATATGTACAGCAGTTCTTACAATGATAACTTTTGCTTTTCTTCTTCTCCTGATGTGCGAGTATTTAACTAGACTCTATTCACCTCAGAACAAGATTTCCCTGGGTTCCCCTGGATGTTTCACTGCTGCTGAGTTGTTGTTATTATCTCTGTCTGTCGTGCTCATACTCACCTGGGTTCTCACTGGCCATTGACTTCTCATGGATGCAATGGCTGTGGGTCTCCGTCTCACTGTAATTTTCTTTGTCTGCCTGTTGGGCTTCAAAGTCCCCTGCCTGCTTCTCTCAGGGCTTTTAATCTATGATGTCTTTTAGGTAGTTTTCTCAGCCTACATCTTTAATAGCAGTGTCATGGTGAATGTGGCCATGGCAGCTGGCCGAAAATCCCCTTTACGTTCTATCTCAGAAGCTCAGCCTGGGGCCTGGTGTTGGGCGTGATGTTCCTCGCCTGTCTCTGCCTGGAAAACTGGTCTTCCCACGTTCTACTGGGAGCCACTTCCTCATGTTGGGCATTGGAGACATTGTTATGCCTGGTCATCTGCTATGCTTTGACCTTCACTATGACAATTACAAAATCAAGCCCGTGGGGACTCCTGTGGTGGCCCTGGACCTGCCAACATCTCTGGGCGCATGCAGAAGGTCTTCTACTTTCACTGCACGCTCATGGGATACTTTGTAGATCTGCTCACGGCTACTGTGGCCTCTCACATTCACCAGGCCGCCCAGCCTGCCCTTCTCTGTTTGGTGCCATTTACCTTATTGCCACTCCTCATGATGGCCTATTTAAAGGGTGACCTCCGGTGGATGTGGTCTAAGCTATTCCACTCCAAGACCAGTAGCTCCCAATTCCTGGAAGTATGATGGATCACGTAGAAAGTGACCAGATGCCCATGATAGTCCTTTTCTCTCAACTTGTGGTTTTGTTTCCTCTCAGAACTGGCCTGGTATTCAGAGATGTACCTATGTAAGGAACTGCTGGGTGACTGGGTTTCACATTTAAAAGGAGCTTGTTTGCAGGAGAGAAGTGCTGGAGCCCTGTTTGGTTCCTTCTCTCTTTTTTTTTTTTTTTTTTTTTTTTTTTGAGACGGAGTCTCACTCTGTCGCCCAGGCTGGAGTGCAGTGGCGGGATCTCGGCTCACTGCAAGCTCCGCCTCCCGGGTTCACGCCATTCCCCTGCCTCAGCCTCCCAAGTAGCTGGGACTACAGGCACCCGCCACTACGCCCGGCTAATTTCTTGTATTTTTAGTAGAGACGGGGTTTCACCGTTTTAGCCGGGATGGTCTCGATCTCCTGACCTCGTGATCCGCCCGCCTCGGCCTCCCAAAGTGCTGGGATTACAGGCGTGAGCCACTGCGCCCGGCCGGTTCCTTCTCTTTCTGCAGATGTAGAGGTGGAGCCCCTTCCAGAGGGACAGGCCTCTCCCTGGTGCGCCTTCCTCCCTGTTTTTTATGGATCTGCACTACGTGGTTACTTTGTGGGTAGAGAGAGATGTGACTGTTTCAAAACTGAAAACAAGGAGTTGTTCAGATCTTTTGACCACTAAAAGGATAAAAAAAAAATTAGTAAACTAAAATTTCTTCAATGAGCCCTCGAAAACTTTGGGACTAGCTTCCCATGGAGATTCTTCTTTCCTATTTTTTGATTTATTAAATATTTTCTGTGGTGTGACGCTTTCTTTCTTTTCTTTTTTTATCCAAATCTGGACAAACTAGAAATAGAAAGTTTGGGTGATCGCAATACACTCTATAGACACATTCTAGCATCATTTCCACTTACCAGGTATCAGAGGATCGTGGTGCCTGCAAATGCGTGCTCCTATATGCAAACACATAATTACCCGAGACTGGGTAATTGATAAAGGGAAGAGGTTTAATTCACTCACAGTTCCACATGGCTGGGGAGGCCTCACAATCATGGCGGAAGGTGAATAAGGAGCAAAGTCACATCTTATATGATGGCAGGCAAGAGAGCTTGTGCAGGGGAACTTCTGCTTATAAAACCATCAGATCTTGAGAGACTTATTCACTACCATGAGAACAGTATGGGGGAAACTGCCCCCATGATTCAGTTATCTCCACCAGGCCCCACCCTTGACATGTGGGGAATATTAAAATTCAAGGTGAGATTTGGTGGGGACACAGTAAATAATACTTTACTGAGGCCCCACTCCATGGAGAATAGGGTTCAAAGTCTTAGCCTACCCCTAAAGGTCTATGAGCCACAGCTTCAGTGCAGCATGTCGTAGAGCACCACACACTGAGGGCAGACTTCCCAGATCATTTCCAACCTTTCACTTAATAGCTTTGTTACCTGTGGCCAGGTTTTTACACACATCTCATAGGGTTGTCATAGGATTTAATAAGGTAATTTTTATCACATGGCTTTAAGTTGTTTTTTCAAAGTAATATCAAATATGACATCATTTGATTATCCAGGGAACTCAATTATTGATACAACTTAGCTTTTTCTCTGAAACAAAAAAAGACACTCAATGACACAACAATAAAATTAAAATAAAAACTATATAAAAATAAAAATGCACCATGAATTATTTATATTTAAAATTAGCTCAATCCCATGACATACGATGGAAGGTAAATATAAATCAAATCATGATCTTCTTAATTAAATAGAGAAGGGAAAACACTCATTATTTGCTTATAAAAGTTGAAGTTAGATGAGGGAACCATTTACCTGAGGCTCCAGAAAAGTCGTTGCTAGATGCTTAAAATAGGAATGTAAGAAAGAGATGTGAGAGAGACAGAGAGAAAGACTGCATAATAGAATCTCAAATATACGCATACTATTCCTTTCAAAATTTTGTGCTGCAATGTAATTTTTAGACAGAATTACCATATACAATTTTCTAATTCCTGTTTATAATGTTTCTCAAATGATTATATAAATAAGTTTAAAGTATAATTATTTTAGAAAATTGGGGTAAATCACTCTCAGAACAATCTTCAGTATTTATGTAACTGCTAACTCTAGAGTATTCCAGTATTCCCAATTAAAAATCCATTTAAGTAGGGAGCCATTGGAAAATAATATATAACAATGGGAAAACCAAAGGATATATTTTGGGGGATTAGTGGTAACTAACAAAATAGTGACAAAAGATGTAGTAATAAACAATAATGTCAATAATATAACCTTATTTACAAGAGTCTGATATGATTGTAAATGCAATTATTCTGAAAATTTTAGACAGGAATAACTAAAAACATTACAATCTCTCTTTGAAAAACAAGAAAAACAATTGAGAAAGGGAAAGGAGAAAATGTCCAAATGTAGATTATAGCATGAATAAAAATTTGTAAATGCTATATAGCTCTACTGGATTTTGAAAATAGAATAATAACTCATTAATTTCTCATTGTCCTAACTTAGTGTGTGTAAAATATTATCAATTCTCCAACTTTTTTCAGATAGATTTTGAATAATGGCCTAAATGTACCTAATTGTGCTATCTTCTATTTTATGTCATTGTAGGGGAAGGAACAGTATATTCTTTTCCTATTGCTGCAGAACAAATTATGAGAAATGTAGCAGCTTAACACAGGTTTATCATCTCACAGTTTCCATAGGTCAGGAGCCTTGCTTGTTTTGGATAGGCCTTCTGCTCAGTGTCTCATAAGGCAGAAGCAGGTCTCAGCTGGATATATCCTCATCTGGAGGCTCTATTAAGGAAGAATCCACTTCTGAGATGTCTCAAACTGTTGGCAGAATGCATTGGCTACTATATGACTGAAGTCCCTGTTTTCTTGGTAGCTGGGAATGCTCTTAGCTCCTAGAGACTCAGGTTCTTGGCGTGTGCTCTCTCCATAAGCCCTGCCCGCAATATGGCAGCCTTCTTCAGTGCCAGCAGCAGAATCTCTCTCATGCTCTAAATCTCCTCCTTCAGATTAGGCCAGGCTCACTCAGGATAATTTTTGATGAACAGAAAGCAAACATATCTGGTGTCTTAATTTCACAAATATTCTATTATTTGAATATTTCAAGATTTGTATATTTGAATTATTCAAAAAAGAATATTGGGGTCTATCTCAAAATTTTGCTGCCACAGCCTGAGTAGGGTAATTTTAACCTTAAAAAGATTTCGATATATACCCAAAGCAAATAAAAATAGTTTTGTGATATTCAAGAGTGACACCTTCATCAAAATAATTGACCAAAAAATTAAAGTATAATTTAAAACCCTAAATATATTTTTTGAAGAATATAGTAGAGCTTAGAAGTATAGCTTTAAATTTAGTATTTAAAATATGTTTCAAACAAATAATGGGAATTGATAAATTCATATCTCAATGAGGTAAAATCATTAGAGAAATAAATTCCCTAGAGGGAAAATTTTTATAGTTCATATCTTGATAAATTGTTTATCTTCTTGCATCACTCTTGTAACCAGTGTTCAAAATAGTAATAGGAAAACTAAAGACTGTAGAACCTAGTCCTCCAGCATATTTATCTATTTAAGAAAACAAAATGTTATATTTTATTCTAAAATAATACAAGATTATAATGGCTCTTTAACTTAGGTAATTGAATATTTAATTTATTGATATTCTTAAAATGTTTCTTTCCAAACAGACTACTTTTTTTCAGTTTGATCTTCTTTCAAATGTAAACATGCAGTTTTTTTGTTTCTGAATTTTTATATTAATTGCAGTTTATTAATCAATATTGATAAGCATTTCATGGGTATCAAGACCATTTGATTTGAGAAGCATTAAATCACCCCTTTATTAAGAAGGGTTTCTCTTATAATATACAATGTATCTTACTTTAAATAATTTGTTGGGTTTTTTAACATGCTACATAAAAAGAACAGCACAAAAACATGAACTTGATTAACCCATGACAGCTTAATCTCATTTTCTCTATTCCATGGAGAAATGCTGCCTTCCATCCATATTCTGTGTCTGTCTCATGTTCAATAAAATCAAATGTGGTATTGCTTGGTGTCACTGAGCCATGTACATGCCTGGGTGGATGCCTGATCATAAAGCTGCTGGGAACCTGCAATAAGGAAGTGGGCTGGGAAGATTTGGAGAACATGCTAGAATGTTTATAATAAAAAAGAACCTAAAGTTAAACAGATAAGGCTTAATGAATGTATCCAGATATCTCACAAAGCATAACTTTGTTTTGGAGAAAAGTACATTTAGTCAACTTAAAATTTCAAAAAGTTTCATTCATTTCATCCAATCATTGATGGCCATGGTTCTACTGCCTGTTTATTTTGCTACTTTTCAGATGGAAATGATTTTCTTGCCACCGTTCTGTTTCACCCCAAATGTTTGTTATAATAATAATTATTATTACTGTGGTCCATCTGACTCATTTTGTAACTTTCTGTGATCATTATTTTGCACAGAAACAGATTAAATAAGAAAAAAATGATGAATGTACTGTAATGGTGAAAGAATAATGATAAGAATGTAAAAACCCTTTAAAGAAAGTAAATATGTTTTATACACAAACATTTATTGTTCTTTCTGCAGTATCCAAATTTTAAGGGAAAGGAATAATGCATATGCACACGATTAAACCTTTATTTCTTTATCAGGTTAAGTAGAATAGCAACAACAACAAAAGCATTTATATTTTGGTTTGTTTAATTCCTCCCACTTGAGGTAAGGTAATGTATTAGAAGGGAATGGGAATGGGCTCAGAAGTTAATTTTGGTCCTACCATCCAAAGTTTCTGGGTTTTGACATTGAAAATGTTATTTATTTAATTTCAGTATTTCTGTTATTTTCAATGGGAAAGTAGAGATGCATATGTATCTTGGAAAGTTGAGATGATTAAATTAGGTAATAAATTAGGAATAGCTGTCCTGATGCCTGCCTTGCAGGAAGGCACTCCATGAGTGATTGCTATCCCTTAAATTGCTCTACAGGTAATTTTATGATGTCCTCATTGCTATAATAGTTGACTAATCCAACTCTAGAGTCCACTAGTTAATGTATGTTCTAAGTACAAATCTTTATTCTCAATTTATGAAAGAGTTAGTATAGGAAAGAGTTATATTCTTTCCTTTTTATTAACTGACTTCTATAAAGTATTAATGACTAACCTTGTGAAAGTGTTAAAGTACTTCTGAAGATGTCTGTTCCCAAGGAGCAATCTGTTTGCTTAAAGAATCTGCTTAAACAAATGACTTTATTAAATAACCAGGTATTTCTAAAAAGAATGGTATTAAAGAGGCAATACGAAGAATATTAATTACAAAATTTTCATTTTAGCCCACAAGGGGGAAAAATAAAATGGAACAAGAAAATGGACATAGAAAATGCTCAGTCTGTTTGGATTTTTACCTTCCAAACATTGCAGAAAAGCTTAACACATAAGAACTAATAATATTTAAATTATAATATCCCCCATTCCAAAGATCCAAGTGAGAACAGTAGGCCGTTGAAAGATACGTGCTTTTATGTGACATTATTTATGATAAAATTAAGGTAAACATCTAGACATGCATTAGATAAACAGCAAAGTCTAGGATCTTATTATTTACATTATTTGGTTCAGGTACTTTTCTCTGAAATAAGCCTTAGATTTCTTCAGAAAAGGTAAATATAGAGGATAAATGCTTTCTATTCTTCTATACCATACTCTTCTGTAGCTTAATACATTGCATGTAGTCATGATATGTCATAGTATAAAATAGTGGCAACATATGTTTCCTTCTAGCAGCATATGTTTAGAACAGTCTCATGCCTGTAATCCAGCACTTTGGGAAGCCGAGGTAGGTAGATCATGAGGTCAGGAGTTTGAGACCAGCCTGACCAACATAGTGAAACCCTGTCTCTACTAAAAATACAAAAGTAAGCTGGGCGTGGTGGTATGCACCTGTAATCCCAGCTATTCAGAAGACTGAGGCAGGAGAATTGCTTGAACCCAGCAGGCAGAGGTTGTAGTGAGCTGAGATCGTACCACTGCACTCCAGCCTGGGCAATAGAGCGAGAGCCCCATCCCCCCAAAAAAAAAACAAAACAAAACAAAAAAAAAACCAGTCTATCCATTTTCTCTTTTTTATTTTAGTTTCTATTTTTAAATTAAATTAAATTAAATTTTTTATAAAGACAGGGTCATGCTACGTTTCCCAGGCTGGTCTTGAACTCCAAGGCAAGGAATCATCATGCCTTGGCCTCCCAAAGTGCTGGGATTACAGGTATGAGCCACCATACCTGGCCTTCTATCCATTTTAGAATCATGTATTTTAAAGCTTTTTTGGAATTCAAAGTATTTTTAATGGAATATAATAAATGGTGGATTTATATGTGGATGCATTAAAAATAATAGAATATATACAAATGTGATTATCTAACTCTATGTGTGTGCATATATAACATTTTTTCTCCCTTTGCCATTCTTTTAAATATGTTTTTCTATGGGGAATATTAACTACATGTATTAGAAAATAAGATCATTATCACCATCAAGAACGTTGGTGGGAAAGCTATGTTGTAAGGGCAGGAGGATTTTTTAAAGTCTCGCACACATGGCAGTTACTGAATAACACGTGGCACAGCGTCCTTGCCCTCTATATGCTTACTAGTATTTGGCTTTAAAGTATGTCCAGCTTCTTTCATTCATTGCCATTTTTTCTTCAAAATGTCACTTTACTGATATTTTTAATTATAATTCAGTGTGCTGCTTAAACTACTAAACAAGAGAAATTGTAAAATAGGGCAATATTTTTGTTTTGCCATGTACACTCACTTGTTTACGTAAATAGTTTAGTATACTGTGATGTAAGGCACAGGTAGAGAAAGATGTGAATATAGTAATTTGAATATGAAGTGTATATATGCATTAATAAACATGTTTTCATGCAATTAAAATAATACATATGCTTCTTATCTTGACATCTAGACATTATCTAGGCATATACATTTTATGTTACAATGTCAGTTATTTGTATTTATTATAAAATTATCTCCATTTAATGCAGTATTCAATATATTTTAAAGTATATGTATTACAGATGTATACTTGTACACGTATATGTTTGTGTGTATATATATATTTTTGTTTGTTTTTTTTTTCTAGATGTAAATGTAGTCTTAGTTTAAATCTGGAATATCTTGCTAGGCTGGTTCTTTTCTTTCCTACATATACGAACATGATATAATAAAACAGATCATCTTGTTAACATACCTTTTATTTTATTCAGAAATAAAAAATCGTTTATTTACATTGCTCTAAAGACATTTATGAGTATTTCTATGCGATGTTATTTTAAACAGAACTTTTATCATTGATTGTGATGAAAGCTATTGTCGATAACCTTTCATGGACTTGATTTAGTGTTATTGGCAATCGCAGAAATGTCAAGAAACACTGTGGTTCTGGAGACTTAACAAGGTGGTGACGATATTTCATAACTGTGTGGTGTACACTTGAAATTTACTGAAAGAGAAGTATTTACTGAATTTACTAATTTACTGAAAGAGAAGTATTTTCATCACCAAAAAATTAAGTGAGGTGATATGTTAATTAGCTTGATTGCAGTAATCATTTAACAAAATATATGCATATCAAAACATGTTGTACACCTTAAATATCTATCATTTTTATTTGTCAATTATATGTCAGTAAAGCGAGAAGCCACTTTGGTCACTTCCTTCACTTTTTATGCCAGATTGAGACAGTTTCTTCTATTTGGGTAATGAGTGCAAGGGAGGTCTTCTGTGATTTCGTGAAGTAGAATTAGTTTGGAATGTTGGAAGATGAATTTCCTGCAGCTTCTTCAGTCACTTTTCTTCAAATCAAGGAGTAATTTTATTGAAGAAAGTCCAGGGTACCCAGAGCCAATAGATTACTGAAGAGTTCAAGAGGTGAACTCTTTTTCAGTCTGTCTTTTCTGAACAGCTTATTTGAAATCTAAATATTTTATATATATGTAGAAGTTTTTTCCAGTTATAAGATCAATATGTTTCTATTACATAATATAATATGCAGTTGTCTCTCACCATCCATGGAGGACTGGTTCTAGGATTCCCTACAGAGACCAAAATACACCGTTGTTACAGTCCTTTCTATAAAATAGTGGCAGCATATGTTTCCTTCTAGCAGCATATGTTTAGAATAGTCTCACGCCTGTAATCCAGCACTTGGGGAAGCCGAGGTAGGCGGATCACAAGGTCAGGAGGTCGAGAGCAGCCTGACCAACATGGTGAAACCCTGTCTCTACTAAGAATGCAAAACTAAGCTGGGCGTGGTTGCATGCACCTGTAATCCCAGCTACTCAGGAGACTGAGGCAGGAGAATTGCTTGAACCCAGCAGGCAGAGGTTGCAGTGAGCTGAGATAGCACCACTGCACTCCACCTTGGGTGACAGAGCAAGAGCCCCATCTCAAAAACAAAAAACAAAAAACAGTCTATCCATTTTGTCTTTTTTTAGTTTCTATTTTTAAATTTAATTTAATTTTTTATAAAGACAGGGTCATGCTATGTTGCCCAGGCTGGTAGAATTTGCATATAACCAATGCACCTTCTCCTTTTAAATCATCTCTGGATAATTTATAATACTAAATATAAAGTGTTATTTAGTTTTTATAGAGAACTTTTAAGTCTGTATTTATTGTTCTATTTTTTTTTTAATATTTTCTATCCACAGCTAATTGAATCCATAGAAGCAGAAGCTGTGGATACAGAGGGCTGACTTTAATACATATAAGCCAAAAAAAAAAAAAAAATGAAAGAAAAAAGGAAGATAAAAGAAGGAAAAATAATAAAACGTACAGAGAAAGGGAGAGAAATCAAAAAGTTGAAACAAAAAAAGAGAGAAAGGAATAAGGAAATAGAGAAAACTGGACATAAGAGGTGAGGAATAGAAGGAAGATGGAAGTTAGGAAAGATGGAAAATGGAAAGAAGTGAGGAAGAAAAATGAAGAGGAAGAGGGAAGGAAGGAAGAAAGGCAGGAAGAAAGGGAGGAAGGGAGGGATGGAAAAAGGAAGAAAGGAAGGGAGAGAGGGAGGGAAGGAAGGAAGGAAGTCTTTATACGTGTTATGCATTTAGTAATACTATAACTTGTGCATCTTTTTCTAAGTTCAATTTGTTTCCAGTCCAGTATGCATTTCCTTACGGATATTGAGCACAGAATGGGTTTTCTAATTTGCAAATTTCTGCTATTTAATCCCAATCATTTCCCCCAGTTTTTATTTTTGCTTGTTTATGTTTACCATTTTTTTTTTTAACAAACTAGGATTTGTCTTCCTATAGAAAAATGGAGATTGTCAGTAAAGAGAAACAGAATAAGAGGCATAAATTAGAGGTTGAGGAATCGCTATTACCTGTCTTGATGCATCACCCAGTGGATTTAAAGGGACACATGACTGAAACAGACCCCAGGTATTTGAGCCAGGAAGATGGACAGAAAGGATATAATCATATGCTTGTGTTTTTGTCTTTTAAAAAAATATTCTTTAGTTACTTTGAGGTGAAGACTCACTGGATAAGTTCCCTTGTAGCTGTCAGGCAGAGATGTCATTTTCAACAATTTTGGAACTTGTGAGCCTACTTTGCAATAATTCTGACTTGTACTTCTGGCTATAGAAATTTCTAGGTTTAACATAAATATTCAGTACCCATTTCTGCTTCCTTCAGCTGTCAGCTTCAACTCATCTTTAAAAGTTTAACACGTTAGATTTGTATAGCACTTAACTGTTTTTAAGTCAATTTCAGGAATAAAATTTCATTTTTTCTCAAACAGCCTTCAGATGTCAAAATTAATATCCTAATTTTAGAGAGAAAGGAACTCAAGTACACAGGGATGAACTGTTCTTTCCTGGGTTACCTGGACAGCCCCAGAAAGAAATAAGGTTACAACTCAACGTTTCTGAAGCCTACGTTAGTGAAATGAAGATGATTCTGTTTTGCTTTGCTTTTCATTTTATAAGACAAGCATCTGTAGGAGGAAATGGACGATCTGGCTAACCTCTCCTTTCCCTAGTCAATGCACTGGATCTTCCTGTGTTTTATCAGTCCCACTCTAATTATGCCTCTAAGTGCCTTGAGTGGGAAGATTTTTTTTTTTTTTCCTCTGTCCTTCCACACAGAAGTGCTCAACTTCTAATAGCAACTTAGGTTGTCAAGTGACTCTGGCCATAAAAGGAACCTGGTAGCGATCCCTTTGACATGCGTTAATACCTGAGTGTTATGGTTTGGCTGCGTCTCCACCCAAATCTCATCTTGAATTGTAATCCCCATGTGTCAAGGGAGAGGGCTTGGTAGCGGGTGATTGGATCATGGGGGGCGGTTTCTCCCATGCTGTTCTCGTGATAGTGAGTGAGTTCTCACGAGATCTGATGGTTTTATAAGGGGCTCTTCCCCTTTTGCAATCTCCTTCCTGTCGCCTTGGGAGGAAGGTACTTGCATCACCTTTGCAATCACCGTGATTGTAAGTTTCTCAGGAACTCCGCAGCCATGCTGAACTATGAGTCAGTTAAACTACTTCCTTTATAAATAACCTAGTCCCAGGTGTTTCTTCATAGCAGTGTGAGAACAGACTTATATGCTAAGATATGTAAGTGGTCAGAGAGATTTAGAAAGTCCCGTCGCACTGAAATCAGTACCCATTTCATTTGATACTTTTCCATTTTTCACTCACTCATGCATTCATTTCCTCATTCAAATGTTTTTGCTGAGCTGCTATTTCTTGCTATGTATAAACCACTGTTCCCAATCCAGCTAATGCATAGCGAAGTAGCACCCCAGATTTCAGGAACATTTGCCACCAACGGACAGGATTTTTTTTTTTCCAAGATAAAACTAAGACTGAAGAAAATAATGTTTAAAGATTCAAAAATAAGGGGGAAAGTATATTATGTAACCCTTAACAATACTTGGAGTGTGGGAGACTCAGCTTGCAATAAATGGTTGAATTCTCATTCCAATTTGTAAGACATCCCTGTATCATCCCTGTGGTTAAGGCTTTTGGGTGATGAATGAATCAGACTTTTATATGCCTGGGTAGTTAGGCTGTTTTTGTTAAATGATTCATTAAACTCTGTAAATCCAGAAAGAAGAGCAAGTTAGAGGCAGTACAGTATTTCATGCATGCTTGTTAAGCTCTTTCTTCACATAATGAGCAGAGTTTCAAAACTTTTGACTACACTGCCGCTAGCAATGAAATACTTTCCTGAGATAAGTGTGGAGCATCTTCCTATTTTGAGAAGATATTTGCTGTGGATAGAGAAAATGGGCAAGAGCCAAGTTACCACACGTGCTCCATTGTCTCCAATGAATTTGTGTTGAGCATCAAAAATTATTTCTTATCCTATTTTGACAACTTTACTGTTTCCTTTAACTCATCAAGTTGTAATTCATTATGACAAAAAGTTCAGCTCTTTAAAACATGTTTGCAAGAAACCTTAATGAAGTATGATTTCTACTTATTAAAAAGAGAAAGTGCAAACACAGTTCTTAAATGTGCATGTATATTTGTGTGTGCTTCTGCTTTACATTAATCCCTGTGAAGTATAGGATTAAGTTTACCATAGAAGTTACATTTTGAAAATAATGTTTTTATGTCATACTTTAACATAAATTTAGATAATACAGTAAAATGCAGGAACTAACAAATCATAGCATTACAAAATATAATTGAATTTGACTGGCTGTTGGTGAATTGGAATTTCATAGATGACTTTACCACTAATTTAATCTATGGTCTTAGCAATATTAAGTAAAAATATGTCTGAATTTTTCTGTTAACAAGAAAGGCAAATTATACACTAACATATTATAGGGATATTTCCATAGGTAATTTATTTCTTTTTATCAATTCACTGCAGTCTTCATTAAATCTTTAATAAAATTACATCTTCATGTATGTTTTTCATATTTATTACAATGGCCCTACTTTATTCTTTAAAGAGATGTACATTATCTGCTACTATGGCCTATGAAATTAAAGCACATCAGAGAATAGAAAATATGTTCTTACATTGGAAGACTTTATGTTAGTTGCTGTAGTGAATTTCTATGATTTTTATATCGCCTTGTCCTTTATTTTGAATATAGTTCTAACCTTTTCAGACCAGAAGCAGGTCTCAGTTACCTGTGACACAGTTTCCAGTTCTCTGCCACACCCAAATGGCTCAAGCTGGTGGCCAGAGTAAAGAACTTAGGGTATCTCTCCTGCCTAGCAGGCGGGGGCTCCCACTTTCCCACTGCCTCCTTTAAAGGGACCATTCAGGCATTTCCCCATGAACTTAAAGTGACCCACACCCTATTGCTTTACGTATACACTGCTGGTTGCCACGCGTATTCTTTTTCTCTGCCTGCCTCTTCATTCTTGCATGAATGACTTGTTACTGCTCTCCTAACTCATTACACTCTCCTTTCCCAGAATCTGAAAGTAATAAATCCTTGAGCTCATTTTCTGCTGTAGTGGTGGGTTGATTTTGCACCTTCCATCCGAAGAAAAAGGGACTTCCCTAGCTGTGGAGAACACAAGGTCAGGCTCCTGGCACCAGAGGGAGAGCCAGGCAGGCATAAACTGCACACGGGTCAGACAAGAGCGATAAGGGCATCTGCTGGTATAATCACCTTCTGGTCGTGGTTGTGAGTCACCTTCTGGTCGTGGGTGAGACAACCAGACATTAGGCCATCCACCAGGTAATAGAGCTGTGAAAGGCACGCTGTGAACACGTGGATCCACCTCCCCTTCATTTCCTAGTGGGTCAGGGCTGCTGGTGGATGTGGTACTGAAACCCCAGTTTAGCTTGGGGCTCTCAAAATAGTTGCATTACTGGGAACTCCTCTTTACAATATGAACATTTAAGCTTTCTGTATTAGGTCTTAAATAGAAGTGAAAATATTTGATTTATATATAATTATTTAATTTCCATAATTCACCTTCTGAATTGAGATATTCTGCACTGATGTAGGAACTTGTGGCTAATGTTAGAAAACCTGTTAATATTGTAATGATGTAGGAATAAAAAAACTATAATTGATTCTAAATTTAAAATATGAAATTTAAAGAAGGCTTTATGCCTTTTGCTTCCCACTTACAGAAATAAAATTTTAAAATATCTGAATGAGAGATGTAATCATTAGTCAATTTTCAGTATGTTATTCTATGTAAGCAACCTAGAAATATTTCTGATTTCTTTTATAGTAATAATATTTGAAGTTTCTTCAGTTGCCAAGTATTTTATAATTGAGATCTCTCTCTCCTCTCAACCCTGAAAACCTCTAACATTTTCTATGGGAAATTTCTATGTTTTACCTTTACAATGTCTGGGGAAGAAGTTGGGATTCTCTTCACCTTTTTGTTAATGGTTAAAGATGTCAACATAATTTTTATTTGTCATATTTAAAGCCTTTTTAAATACATATTGACACTACAGGTGATTGTCTAATTGCCGGCAGGCAGCTGTTCTGATGTCCAAAGCATTAGATTAGGGGTCAGGACACCTGATTCTCATTATGTGTAATACTATACACCTGTGTCCAGGACCAAATTGCTACTATTCTCTGGGGATTATTTACCTCATCTGTAAAGAGAAGAGTTTGGAAATAATTGATTATATCCTTTCTACTCCAAGATTGCATAATTTCTTCTAAGGAATACTACTCATAAGTATGACTATTGCTTCCTATAAAGGAATTCTATTAGGAAAAAATTAGTGATTTTTTAAAAAGCACATGTTACTTGCCAGATGCCCATGGAATTTGCCACATATTTCATATGTTGAGGCAAATTCTCTTAAAAGTGTAAGCTCTGAGACTTAATTACAGAAGGACAAAAAGAATAACGTGGATCAATTTCACATAAAAATTCAAAAACCAAAAATTTGAGGTCATGAAAAATAGGAAGGTGAATATGAGCAAAGCCATTTCTACCCATTGAAACTGTAAAATCAATAATATATGAACCATGGAGGTTTCCATTAAACTGGTATGCAGATAAATCATATCCATCCACAAATGGTTTCAAAACATGGAATTCTGGCATCAAAAAACAATCTGATTATTTTAATCTCTCTCTAATGTTTTCTTTTATTACTTTTCCATGCTTATGTTTTAAATGCCTGCTTTTATCTGAACAATGAAATTAGGGCTAGATTACTTATATTTGCTTATTTAGATAGTGAAAATGAGTCAAAAGTGTATTACTATTAGAGAACAAATATTACTCTATTATTATTTACAAAAGCAGGTGAATCTAAAATTACCTTAAATTAAAAAAAAACATTAAAACAATAAACAAAGCAAGAGAAGCCTTTAATAGATTTCTGTGCAAAACACACTGATTCAGTTCTTAATACCATGTGGTTGCCAGCTATGTAGGGAAACTCAGACATGTATAAAGACTGATTCTAGCCTACTGCTTCCTCTCCTCCCACCCACACCACCCAAAAAGTAGAGGCGATCTAATTTTTAACAAATTCCATATGTAGTATCTGCATATATAAATCAGAAGGCTTGAGGCTCTTGAGTATTAGGCAGCTGTTCTAAGGGGTACACATTGATCTTCTAAATCCTTCCACATAACCTCTAATTCCTATAGGCCACAGACACTTCTCCTGCTTCTTCATTGAATGCTGGGCTTTCCCGTATCTCTTGACAGCACCGATGTTTTCGACAGTCTATTTTTTTCTCTGTTTTGTGATCATTTGTCTCTACTGGTCCCTGAAGGCTGCTTTGCTCCATCTTGACTTCTCAAGGCAGAGTCAACATGGATGAGTTTTTTGCATATACACCAATGGATAACTCTTTGAGTAGAATGAGCCCACAGGATTACTAATCATAATGTAACCAACGCTCACTTTGCAGAATTGTTTTCAGGACCGAAAGTAAGCTTTACATGCTTCTGTGATGTGGAGGTATGTTCTCTGAGCTTGAGCTTTATCTTTTGGGATTTTGAAAAACTTGTTTAGAGAGGCAACATAGTTTGTGAAACGGTGCCCTTCTGTACTCCTTGAGTACCCTGGACCTGGGCCTCCACAAGTGTCATAATTCTTTTGTAACTCTTCTGCTTTAGGATACATTGTTTGACCTGGTGGCATAAAACAATAAAGTAAATGTAGCAATGGCAAGGCTGTGTCTTTCTTGTTTAGATTACTGAATGTACCATAGATGCTCATTAAATATGTGAATGAATGCATATGAGCATGTACGTATATGATGTACCATCACTCGTCTCTCTTTCCACAACTCTAGCTATAATCGAATTTCTAAAGCCATACCTTTCTAGCTCCAGGATTGCCTTAGGAAATCTGTGGCCTAGGAGTTTTAGTGCTTTGCACTTAGATCAAGAGGGAGTTAGAGTCCATATGTAATAAAACCTTCTATCCACCTACATCTGATTACAGGCAACTTCTGATAGCAAGCATTGATTAATCATAGTTTGTAATTGAAACCACACACCAGGTCACTAAAATTCAAAATTATAATCAAAGCTTCTTAATAAACCAAAGCTAAGTAAAAGTCATAAAAATTGTCAGAGGATAATTCTGTCTAGGTTGTATTCCCTACTTTTGTATATAGGGTCTTCTTTTTCAAATCTTCCTGAAAAGCATGTCTCTAATTATTAAGGAAGCATGTAACCACCAGGACTTCCCATTTCATATATGAACAATCTGAACTTGTTAGGGAAAATTTTCTTTAAAGTAATCACAAAGATTAAGGTTTTTAGGACAGAATCTTTATGACATTCTGAATTCAGCCCATCACCTGGAAATACATGCACATGCTCTTTATAAACACATGTGCCCATACACAAACACACTTATAAACCTATCACACCTTAACATGTGACCCAATGTAATACAACCTTAAGAAATTTTTATTTAAGTTCTATAAAGCTAGGTGGGATATTTAAGTAGAAGTAAAAAATAGTATTGAATTCTAGATGCTGTTATTCAGAATATGAGTCCAGATAACCATTTATCTTTAATGAGTCTCCTCTTATCAGAAAATAATGAGACTTTTTAGAGCATTATGAAAAATCTTCACCTGTAATTTTAGGATGGAAGGTCCTTCAAATACCAAAAAAGTGCATTCAGAAAGGTGGGCTTAATTCTTCCCCTCTGCATTTTTTTTCTAATAAAGTTAAAATACCCTTGAAATCTAGCAAAGTGTTGAGCCATGTTATATAAGAAGGATCCAGGTACATCTAACAGGTAACATTGATTGCTCTCTTACGCAGTGCTAAGAATTTCTGTTAGCATGTGTTATCTGCCTTCTGTCGTTTAGGCAACTCAGGCATGGTGAGTTTAAGTGACTTAAACTCACCACTTGCTTAAACTCACCACTAGTTAAGTGCGAGTTCAGGTCAAACCCAGGCAGCGTTACTGGAATGCTGACCTCATATGGCAGCAATCTGACTGGTGATTGCACTGAGAGACAATGCACATGGCATAAGAACAGCTCCTTTACGCTCCTCTTGATGAAGAAGAACAGGTGGAATACTTCATATACTTTAGATATTGATGTCACTATAAGCAGCTTTGACTTTGAGTTCAGAAAGCAATTGATGGGAATGCAGGCTTCTAGAAGTATAGCTGTCACACAGATTTAGGGTCTGAAAGCAGTTTTCTGGTTTACCTTTTGGCACACAAACCTTCTCTGGTAAGGGACTGAACTTAATTGGAGTCTAAGATCCGGTAGAGAGAGCCATATTGATACTTATATGAATTCTAGAGTTTTGGTGAAAAAAAATCAAAGGTAAGTAAGTGCAAAATAAATTGTTTTGCAGGCATAAATATTCAAACATATAAATATATGTCAGGTATAAATATACATATTAATATGTGAATATATTATATATAAATATAGTCAGATATAAATATTTAATCATCATAGATTTAGACCGAAGGAGGACAACATAAAGAACATTACTCATTTCTTTGAGTTGCTGGGTATAGCTCAATGATGGTGGATCTTGGGTACCAGAAAAAAATGTTGTTAAATGGGGGCACTTGAGTGGGGGCATGTCTGGGTCGTGCAGTCCAGGCTCTGTAACTGAACAAGGCTTATGAAAGTGTCCCATATGTCACTCTCTGATAATATGAGATTAGAGAAACCTAACTGGTATTCTTAAACTGTGGGGCTTTGACTACACTTGCCCAGTGGTCATGATTTGAGGCTGAAATTCAGTTCTAGAATAAAAGCAGTTCTCAATGTAAGATTTGCAGAGAGCTAGGGCTGCTTGAGACCTTTTTAAGGTATTCTGGAAGTAAAACCTATTTTCATAGTAATAATAATAATATTAAACTGTTAAGCTTTTCAGAAACTACATGACAAGTGATGTTGCAACAAATTGAATGCAGAGGCATATGTGAGAATCCAGCTGATGTTAAAGGATTTACCAAAATGTAAAATAATGACACACTCCACAATATGTATTTCTAAAAAATGTGGCTATGCAAAAAATGTTATTTATATTAACACATACTGATTTATTATTTTAAATTAATTAATCAATTTAAAGTGTCTTAATTTCTAATATGGTAAATATTGATAGTTATAACCCACATAAGAAAAAACTCTGTAGGGAGGGTTCTCAATAATTTTTAAGAGTACAAAGTGGCCCTGATGCCTAAAATCTTGAGAATACTGAAATTTGAGAAGAGATCAGACCAAGTGTTTTTGCAGTAGTTCTTTGCTGTTTTTGTTTTATTTGTCTTTAGCCCTTTGTTGTGTTATTACTTCAGTATGTGGAAGCAACTTAAAAGTTGAGTGGCAGAAAGGACAACAGGAGATAATAAGAGTAAATCCTTTTCAGTACTTTTTGATATTTAGCAAAGGATACCTTTGGCTGTAATGGCAATAAGAGTGAAGTGATAATTGAACTTAGCAATGAATTTTCCTTCCAGAGAAAGGAAAAGGTAAATAATTTATCTACATATAAATAAGGTATTTTAGAAAATTTCTCTCTATAACTGTTAGATGTAAATAAACAAAATGACAACTTATAAAACACATATAACTTTCAAATCATAGCACCAGTTGTTTTTCAAGGTCCCAGAAAAATGACTGTAGTAAAATGAAGCATATTGTTTGCAGGTAGGCATTAATTATATCATTAGTTAACCAAATACAGAATACAGGACACCCTACATACATATCAACTGAAGCTAATACTAGGTAAGAAAGACCTTTAATGAGATTTAAATGAAAATTAGTTTTGATGAAAGAATTACATATGTAAACATAGGTAAATATTAATAAAACTTTGAGATTAGCCAATGTCTTACAAATTTGAACAATATGGCTATTTGCAATTTTTCCTATTCCTGCATGTCTGAAATCTTAGAGTTTTTATTTTATGTATATAAAACTTATCCTAAAATTCTCCTGGTAGCGTGTTTGACACTTTACATTTTGTGTTTGAGCATAACACTGCCTCAACTTGTTAATACTTCTTTTGTCATTTATTTTACCAGAAGCATTTCACTTTCTTGAACTCTCCTCTCCACAATATCACTGAATACTAAATTGATTATAGTTTTAGCAATAATTTAATATGTAATTGTTGTAAACAAGAAGCATGGCTTATACCATTTCGTGGTTGTATTTATGTGGTTGAGTATTTCATTTTCCAAATCATGGTGACTATTAAGATGATGCCAGAAGTAAAAAATCACTATGGTTTGCAAGAGGTGGACAGTGGGGTTTATATCACCTGAATTGCAATGAAAATATATACATATTTTATAGCTCAAATATTTAGTATGAATGATAAACTTTTCTGAAATTCTTTTTTGTTATGTTGAATCTTACCTTAGTTTAGAAATAAATAGCATTATCCAACTATTAATTAGAAAAAATATTTCCCAAACAAACATAACCATAGTTATCTCCAAAAATAATTTAGAAAATGTATGCAGCATTTTAACTCCTTTTACTTTGACATCTGGGAGTAATGCAAAAGAGCATATTGTCAAATCAGGCTTGAAAGAATAAGATATCGTACTTAGAATTGAGCTCTACTAATAATTTCCACTATTCAGGTAATGAAAAGGGGCACAGTGAAGTTGAAAGAGGCCCAAATCTATCAGCACAGTTCTTCAACTACTCCTCATTTCAAATCTTTGCCCTACATATTGCATATAAGTTTTTTCATGTCTGAAGTCTCCAAATAATGCATGCAGTCACTTTGCTTACACAGAAAGCAAATATTATATTATGAATTAGCACCATTTATAGTTACAAAGTCTAGTTGATATTTTTTGGATGGCTCATTTAATCTCATGAATGGGAGCTATCCCTCATAAATCCATAATTTTCAGGTTTCTTTACTATGAGCAGCTTAGACAGCCCAGGTACATCCTGTGAATCGTGTTCCATCAATAAGGACTCTCCCACAGCAAATACCATTGACTCACTGCCCAATAGTCTGTTATTAGTATATCTACAAGAGATTAAACTGTGATAACTTAATTTTTTTCTTTTCCAGAGTTACTATTTTGGTAAAATGAGAGAGTGTTTATTATTATTATTATTATTATTATTATTATTATTATTATTATTATTTGAGACAGCATCTTGCTCTGTCACACACGCTGGAGTGCAGTGGCATGATCATAGCCCATGGCAACCTTGACCTCCTGGGCTCAAGCAATCCTTCACCTCAGCCTCTTAAGTAACTGGGACCAGAGGCACATGCCATTACGCCTGGCTAATTTTTAAATTATTTGTGTAGACAGTCTCCCTGTGTTTCCCAGACTGAAGAGAGTATATTTTAACTTGTTACTAACCATCTCTTTCCTACTTCTTCTAATTCTTAAATTGCTTAAGTTTTGATCAAATAATATTTAAATAGTCATATAGTGTTATTGTGATTATTAGAAAGTCATACCCCAGATGTTTCCAAACTTCTCAAATGTGATACACATTTTTTATCTGAGTAATAAATATTTGAGGCTGGATGCGGTGGCTCACGCCTGTAATCCCAGCACTTTGGAAGGCCAAGGTGGATGGATCACCTGAAGTCAGGAGTTCGAGACCAGCCTGGCCAACATGGTGAAACCCTGTCTCTACTGCAAATACAAAAATTAGTTGGACATGGTGACACGCACCTGTAATTCCAGCTACTCGGGAGGCTGAGGTGGGAGAATCACTTGAACCAGGGAGGCAGAGGTTGCAGTGAGCCGAGCTCATACCGTTGCTCTCCAGCCTGGGTGACAGAGCCAGACTCTGTCTTAAAAAAAAAAAAAAAAAAAAAAAAAAAAAAAAAAAAAAAACTTAAAAAAATGTTCTTATTTACTTGATTGTGACAAGATTTTGGAATTTTAGATGTAAAAGGTAAGAAAATTAAAGCTTAGAGACCTTAAGCAATTTTCCAAGGTTTCACGTATATTTAGTACGAATGCTTCTTTCACATATAAATCACAAGTCAGTATTTTATTCTCTCTACTATCATATACTTTGGTAAATCTTATTTGTAAAGTTAATTTTGACCTTATTTTCCATTATTTATTTCCTTCCATTGAGTTGTGATATTACTAGATATTTTATTTTTTTCACAGTGATGTACGTGCCATTTTGTATGAAAAGTAAATTCATTGGCACAGGAAATTAAAGAGAAAGCTGAACTTAAATGAGCATATAAGATCATCACAAAAAAATGATGCTATAAAACAACATTTTCATAATTGCACTTTGCCTAAATTTAGATTCAGATAGCTGTAAAATCTAATCTGAAATAATTCTGATATCTTTAATATAATTTATCATAAAGTACTGAGTGTTATTTTGTAGAAAAAATATTTTTTATAGATGAATAAGAATTGTGTGAGAGGATATAAATGTTGAATTACCTTTATTGACATGACTGATGGCAAAATTTATCACTGAGTCCTTAGAAATATTTGCCAATCCACTTCTTTTATAATTGGGAATATTTATAAATAGATTAGGACATTGACAAATTACATGAACATCCATTGGTAAGAATAAACAAACAAGATAAAAGAGATGAAAGTTTATATTTATAATTGAAATTTTTATGTTTATGTCTGTCACACCATTCCTATCAAAGTGGTTGCTCATTATACCACAGAGAGAGAATAACTTTTATGTCTGAAATCCTGCTTATAAAGATTTTGAGCAAAGCATTTTGTGAAGATATCAAGAGCAATTATCAAAATAGATACTGAAATTATTGTGACTGCAATGTGCCACTCACAGATGCTGACCATTTATTGCTTTTTATAGTGGAATGCAGTTTTTTAGAGTGAAAATAGAGATTGAAGATTTTATTCATTCAACGTGAAACATTTTTAAATTAACATCATAAAATTTATTGTTTGTTATTTAACCAGATCAAGATGAAAACACATTCAAACATCTTTCTTTTTCATTCTCAAAAACATTCTTTCTTAACACTTACAATATCTTAAACGTTTAAAGGGGATTGGACATGATCTCTGAGAGCTCTCTGAGGTGAAAGCTCTCTGAGAAAGACCTTTAAATTTTCACTGTATCTTTGCTTTTTAAACTATCATGGTAATATTTTAAAGAAAAGTTCTAGGCCAGCCATTTCTGCCTGGCTTTCCAAAATAGAGAAAAAATAGAGAAATCCAGGTAGAGATATAGGGCAGTATGTGTAAATTCTTAGGCTTTGTCCATTGTGATAACATTGCTTCACAGTCCAATGAAGCCTGTACCATTTGCATCCAAAATCATACATGCAAATACTGCATGTGTTTCCACTGAAGAAGCTGACCTCAGTTTTCTGTTAGTCCTTTAACTATATACACTAAGCAATAGTTTGTCTGGCTGCCCATCTATATTGCCCTTAGGAATATCATAGTCTATTGGCCATCACCATATATTCCTGTAAGGATCTGATCATTCCAGACTGACTGCCATTACAAATGTGTCACCCTCTGTGGTAATTACACCCACCTTGTCTCTGCTTGTCTGGTATCTATTCATCCTACTGGCAATATAGAAACCATCATTTTTTTTCCATCAGCTTCAACCATTGGAAAAAGACAATCTACTGAGTTAGTAACAATGCCAGTTGCCTCTCACAAGCATATTTCTTAGACAAGCTCACAAGGGCCAGAGGAATTGAGACATTTAGGATTCTGTCCAAATATCTCTATTTCTAGCTTCAGTGTAGACATGGGACATTTGCTGAGCCTGAAAATGTTGCCTTCTCTGAAATTTGATCACTCATATCATTGAGTTCTGTGCCTGCTTTCTGCTATATCAGTTCTCCAGCTGCAGGTGACGAGGGTCCTTAAATGCAGTCATGGAACCCTTTAAGCTTGTTTCAAGGTAATAATAAACTGGCTTGAATCTACTCTTTATAATGCATCAGCGGCATTCAGCAACAACCACCACCCAGTTTCATAGTCCTTATAGTTACTAGTTACTCATACCTCTCAAATGTCAAAGATACCACACATGTGAGTGCATCACCTTCAACACGTATTATGCCCCAATTCACCCAGTGTAGACCTTCTTCTGCTGGATGGAGCCAGGTAGGATGTGATACGCCAACGTTCAACTAAGTTGCCAAATCCATATAGAACAGCTGCACCACAACCCGAACCAAGGGAGATGAAAGCTGTCCCTCAGCCGTTGAGCCTGCTGAAGTGCTTCTTCCTCAACATAGAACTGTCCAGGGTGGGTGCAGTATCTAACTCAAATGCCATGGCCTCCAATTGTTCTCGTCTAGCTCTGCAGATTTTGTGGAACAAATGCCTCTCTGTTTGCCATAAGCTCTTTGGTCAATTTCCAGGAAGAATTGACCTGGAGGATTCTCTTTGCTAAGTTTGACCAATTAAATCGATTTCTCTGGAAGAGAGGTTTCCTTGAGCTCCTCATACCACCATTCTGCAAGTCCTGCCTGCCCAGGTCAGCGTTGATCCTTTTTTATGAACTTTGTGTGTCCATCATCCCTGCCAAGCTCCTGTGTGTTTTACTGCTACTTGCACCTGCAACCTTCTTCAGGGGATAATTTCTGGCCACCAGAGCCCCCTTACTCATATGGAGAAGTCACAAGTGCCTAGGACTTTATGTTGTTTCTCTACTCCTGAGGAAGCCTGTAGCCAATAATTACTTATTTGGAGTGCAAACATGGTGCTCATCTGTCTTAACATAGAGCAAACTCAGGGGCATAATTTACATTCCAGAGCTCTCCACAGCATCAGGCAGATTTGGCTTCTCCTGCTTCCCTATCCTGTTTCTTATTCCCTTGCCACTACTTCCTGGGAGCATTTCCTTAATAAATCACTTGCACTTGAATTCTTGGCTCAAAATCTGCCACTGTGGGAACCTGAATTAAGACAAATATTTTTATAACATCCCCATGACTTTGCAAGAGTAGCACCTCACAGAAAGCAGTGAATCCATAAAAGAAATGGGCTGAGACAGAAAAAGGACAGGATTCAGTATTAGAGTCTTAATAAAGAATTTCTCTTCAGGAGGTAATAAACAGCAAGGTAACAGAAATTTATTAAATGAGTCAACTAACTGTATCAAGTTTGGGCAGCAGGAAATTCATTGTTGTGGAACAATGAAATGACATCTTGCATTGTACATGATTTAAAAAGAGAACGGAGATAGGGCAGGGCTACACATACTGTGTTCAGTTCATTCTGGTTTATGTTCCTGGTCAACAAGTGACAACAATGGAATTCAGACAAGTTGTATTTCATGAACCTTCCCTAGAACTTTAGGAGAGTTATCTCAGTTATAAAGACTTGTCAGTTCCAGGAACATGGTAGCAGAGCAAGTCTCTGGATATTTAACTAACAATAAAAAAGGGAGAAAATTTTCCCTTCACTTCTATAAATGCTTATTTGTTTTCCTTGTTAGTGTACCAATTTAGTAGACTTTATCAATTAAAATTGATCCTTCTGTATGTATGTGTGTGTATCATTCTAATGGAGGATTCTGCAAAAATACATATGACATTTATAACAAAAAATTGTTATGAAAAAGGGCTTGATGTATACATATGTAATAAACCTGCACGTTGTGCACATGTACCCTAAAACTTAAAGTATAATATAAAATTAAAACAAACAAAAAAAGAAAAAGGGCTTGAAAGGAATGCTAACGTATTTTCAGGATTTAAGTGGGGAAGGGGCTTGGGCAGGACAATAGCCCATGGATAGAATACAAATAAATGGCATAACGGATATTTTTACCCATGGGGAGAAGGTGGGGGAGGAAGGTGAAGATAGGTCATCATAAGAAAGATTACAGGCCAGGCACAGTGGCTTATGCCTGTAATCCCAGCACTTTGGGAAGCTGAGCTGGGTGGATCACGAGGTCAGAAATTCAAGACCAGCCTGGACAACATGGTGAAATGCCGTCTCTACTAAAAATACAAAAAAGTTAGCCAGATGTGATGGTGCACGTCTGTAATCCCAGCTACCTGGGAAGCTGAGGCGGGAGAATCGCTTGAACCTGCGAGGCGGAGGTTGCAGTGAGCAGTGAGCCAAGATTGTGCCATTGCACTCCAGCCTGGTGACATAGTGAGGCTTTGTCAAAAAGAAAAAAAAAATACAGAGCTTTTATGTTTTGTTGATTTTTTAAAAGTAATAAGCTTAGCAGAAGTTATCCTTTCATCCACAAAAGCCTGGGAAGTACATACAGTACTCACCATTGTAACACTGAAGAGAAATAATAAGCCAGTCTGGAATATTCATGACCAGTTGCAACAAGAGCATTTTTCCAGTTGGACAGTAGAAAAGGGACGTAGTACTGTCTTATTTTGAAGTGTTCACAAGTTGGATGTTAACTGTGAGTCTGTCCTTGATGGCAAACTAATTTAAGAGCATAAATGTTGGGTAATTTTATATGAAGCAATATGTAAGTCTCTAATGCTAAAACACCATCTCAGATTCCAATAACAATGTTTCATTCTTGCCTTTCTCCAGGTTATTGAGTTTCCCCAGGTATTGAGAAGATAACTTATAAGACACCCCAGGATTAAATTAATAAATTTAATTAACATAATGCATCATTAACTCCCTTGTTAGTATGAGAAACTGGCATATTTCTCTCCTGTTATTACCAAGTTCCTGAATTTGTGTGGGTTTGACCTAGTTTACAGTTGCTTAGTATTTGAGAATCATGGCATTTTTGCTTCCACGTTGCCCTGCTAACTTTTGCGGCACTCATGCTACAATACCCTGGGGATTTCTCGCTTATCCCTGGACCACAATACCAGGCAGTGGCGGTCTCAGCAATTAGTTGGCTTGCCTTTCTCACTCAGAAAACTGTGGTTCATCCACCAATCAATCACTAGGGGAAGTGAACACATTTCTTACCACCTGCAGCCATATCCTTTTCTATCCTCTTTTCTTGAAGTCTTTTCTTTTTTCCCTAGTGTCTCATACCCTATTTTTTTTCAATCCAAGCAGAGTATTCTTCCCACCTTCTGTGGAAACATTTTCTCTTCATCTAACCTATAGGATTGCCTCTGTTTGCATCTTCCAGAATACATCATTAGTTCTTCATTCTTTACTCCAAGGTTATAGAGGAAAGTGACAACGTGGCTTTAATTAACATGTTGCACCAGTTAGCTGGAGCAACACTGGAAGAGCAGTAAATGATACGGATATGGTTTAGCTCTGTGTCCCCATCTAAATCTCATGTTGAATTATAATTCCCAGTGTTGGAGGAGGCGCCTGGTGGGAGGTGATTGAATCATGGGGGGCGGACTTCCTCCTGGCTCATGATAAGAGTTCTCACGAGATCTGGCTGCTTGAAAAGTGTGTGGCACTTCCCCCTTCTTTCTCTCTGTCTCCTGCTCCCACTATGTAAGACATGCTGGCTTCCCCTTTGCCTTCTGCCATGATTGTAAATTTCCTGAGGCCTCCTCAGCCACGCTTCCTGCACAGCCTGCAGAACTGTGAGTCACTTAAGTCTCTTGTCTTTATTACTTACCCAGTCTCAGGTAGTTCTTTATAGCAGTGTGAGAATGGACTAATACAGATACCATGTTTGATGATGGCAAAAGGGAAGGCGCTATGCAAGCCAGACAAAGCCCTGCCCATGAGCTCACTCTGACTTAGTGTTATGTACATTTCCTAATAAACATAGTTTGTCATTAATCCGCCACATCACTATAACTATGAACAGTAGTTATAGTGGTATTTTATGTTTAGAATATATATATATGCTTGTGTATGTATATTTATGATTCAAGTCACTGACTTGGAGTCTCTATACATTTTAATCAGAAATATATAATCAGTAATTTTCCGTTATCTTTATTTCATTGTAATGTATGAGTAAGTATTCTCATCACATCTTGATAAAAGTAGGTATATAACTGGATGGGCCCAAAAAGCAATTGTAATAAAGTTGCATGAAATTTCTTTATATGAAATTTAGTGGCCAGATTTTGGCAATGGTTTCTCTATTGTCACATTTAAAACTTTTTCAACAAATCTCATTATCCTTAAGCAGATGACACCATTGACGTTTTTAAAAAAAAATTCCAAAAAATGTGAATTTTGTAAAATCATTCCATCCTGGTTCTTCCCTGTCACTGGCCATTTTTAGTCCTTTCTCCCTCTCTATCCTGTTATTCTGATTCGATGTTAAATTTTTATGTTCTTCAGCTTTCTCTATTCTTGGCTTTTTTCTCCAGATATTCTTTCAGTTGAAGTGCCTTTTCCACTGGTTGTGCAAAGAGAGAAATTACTGGCTGAAGTAACTGAAGAGTCCCGGGGTGGCTTAGCTTCACTGCGGTACCAAAATGTGTTACCAAGATCCACTTCGGCTCTCTGCAGGGCTGACTCTGCTCTCCTGCTCTGCGTGGAGGCTTCATTTTTACACAAAATACGCCAGCAAGTGGGCAAGAGCAGAGCCAAACTGCAAGTTTCTGGATGCAAACCTCGGGGAAAGCCCAAGGTTCCCTCTCTGTGAAGCTCCAGTGGTATTTGACTGATAAGAGTCATTCTAATTACTGTCTAGAGGATCCTAAGAATCAGTGGAGTGTGCTAACTAGCCTAGGTCGGCATTTGGCACTGACATTTTGGATAGGACAATTTCTTGTGCAATAATGTCTGGGCCTTTGGTGGTGCTTAACATCCCTCAATCTAGGGAAATAAATACCTGTAACATCCCCCTGAGAATGGAGAACTATTGGGTGAGACCCATCAGGGGCCCTTAAATTAATAATTCTGAATTGGGTAGAATCCATCTGAATCAATGCTGTGGGCTCTGAATACAGGAGGATAGATTTCTGTTAGGAAATGTATGTACTATTTAAGGAAAAAGGTGTGAATTGTGGCTGCAGTGAATGGATGTCGATTATAGTGTTTTTCAATTTCTATACCCTCTTCTCAGGTATTATCATCCTTAAGACTCTAACGCTCAATGGTCAGCTAACAGCAGGATTCATCTGCTGAGATCTAAGCCAATGTGTGCAAATAACCTCGTCTGGTACTGGAGCCCCCCTGGGGTCTAGTCTTGAGCTTATCATTTCCCCTTCATCCTGAGTTTGTTCTTCCACATTATCTCACTTTCCATTGCTTATTCCATCGTTCAGCACATACTGTATCCTCTGCCACGTCACATTGATTATGTCTCCTACATATTGTTATAACCCATCCTTTCCATTCAAATATTTTTGTAATGCCTTGAGTTATCAAAAGAGAGTAAGTGTATTATTGCAGAAATGATTTATCTAACTCATTCTATCATCTCCCTACTTGTCCAATACATAACTGCCAGAATATTCTTTCAGATATTAAATATTGTTATTTCAGTGCATTGCTATTATTCAGTGATTTCTGATCCTTTGTAAGAGAGATGGAACTACGACTGTTCAATTATAGTTGAACAATTCTATGGCCTGTGGATTAAGTCTGCCCTACTGTCTGTTTTTTGTAAATAAAGTTTTATTGGAAGGCACTCACGCACATTCATTTACACATCGTCTATGACAGCTTTCATGCTGCAAGAGTTGAGTAGTTATCTTTTATAGATTAAATATTTTGACAGTTGCCCCATAGAATAAAATCCTGGTCTTTTAGAGTGCCATGCCCTCTAACATTTTGCTTCTATTATCACATCCTCAGCCATCCATATCTTGAAAACCATCTTACTATACTTTTAAATACCAGATGTGATTGGTTCATGGAACACAGCATGCTATTTCACTAGTTCTTTCCTTAATCCCTGCTGTCTTCTTCATTTGATCTAATTTCAGATCTTATCCAAATACAATTACACTTTATTCAAAACATTCATCTCAGACGTAGCTTCTTCAGAAAGTCTTCTGTGATTCCAGGTAGATAAAATATTAATAATTTCATTTTTGTTTTACTTCTCTACATTAAACTTTATTCGATTATTACAATTATGTTTTTTGTTTATAAATTCATTTTTTGCAATACCCTGTGAAACTTAAAAATAGATATTATGCATCATTAATATTGTTATCCCAAATCTCCAAAACATTCTTCTTTATATGGTAGAATCATAATAAATATTTGGCAAGTGCATAACTGAATCATTTTTAATTCTAAATTGGGGATACCAGATAAACATTATCCATGCAATGGGCTTAACATAGCCTAATTTTGTTTGTGTACATCTCATTGTACACTGTGTTACCTGTGGAGTTTCTATGATGCATGCTGTTAATAGAAACTAATGTAGCTGTAATATTAGTAAAGTTAGCTACCACTTAGTATGAAGAATTAAGTTTGATTTAGATATATAACATGATGATGTTGAGGAGTTACTCTCATAGGTGGATACACATTCTCTTAGAAAGCCAGTACTGTTAGAGATAGGTTTGGTTGAAATGCTGTTAGGATTTTTCTAGCAGTTTCCTTAGCAATGCAAATACTGTCTATTGTAATTTACTAAAATAACAGCTAATGCTCATGGTTCATTATTACAATGCTGATAATACCACTCTCTAACATTGTGACTTGTTTTTTCGAAGGATGATATGATAGAAATCGTAGAATATGATTTCTATGATTGCTTTAATAATAAAATACAAATTCTATAGTGTTTGAGTAACTCTTTGGCAGTCCCTGCCTCTGACTCCCCAACTTCTCATCGCTACATCCTGGGATATACAAGGTTCAGTGTCGCTCACTTTATTGAGCTTTTATTGATAAAGGCAGGAATGGTTTTGCCTTTATCTATGATCTAAAAAATCAACAAAGATTGATAATACTGATGTATTGTACCTCACCTCCACCATCTTGGTTAGATTATAATCAGTTTACTCATGCAGATAGCAGGAAGTTTTGTACTCTTGGAGATTGCACCTGGGAAGAATGACATCGTGGCTGCTTATGTTGCCCTTAACTCAGCTCTCCTCTTCCTCTGCCCACTCCCTTGGTCCAATGAATACAGATGCCTTTCTGACATGTCCGCTATCCCATGTTTATTACTCTTGTGTAGTTTGGCTTGAAGACTAGAGACCTGGCCCCATTCCCATCCTGTTTCCTTGGGGCTCTGTCATCCTTCTTAGAACAGGAGCACTTCTGTTTTCCAGTCCTTGTTTGGCAGACTGACTCCTGTGCAGATATCTGTAGAATGTGTCAACATTAACATTCCACAAAAGTATGCCTTGTCCTGTCATTGAACCTTCATTTTTAAAATATTGCTTAAATCATCATGAAACTTGTTAGATCAGTTAACAACATGCATATCTGAATAGCTTACCTCTCTTACTCTAATGGTATAGGCTAATCCATTCCCCAAATTGAGTTTGTAACATTTCAAGTTGGATCACAGTGTCTTCCTATTGAACTCTTCTGGAGTATGTTATGATACGCTTAAACCTAAGCTTGAGTATTGTCAAAAAATATGTGAGTACTGCATGGAAATGGAGGGAAATGAAAAAGATGAGTAATATCCAGTTTTTCTCAGAAAATATTTTCATCTTAATAGAAAAGGCAGTTTGGCCAGGCATGGTGGCTCATGCCTGTAATCCCAGCACTTTGGGAGGCCGAGGCAGGCTGGTCACCTGAGGTCAGGAGTTTGAGACCAGCCTGGCCAACATGATGAAACCCCATCTCTACTAATAATCCAAAAAAAAAAAAAAAGCCAGGCATGGTGGCACATGCCTGTAATCCCACCTACTAGGGAGGCTGAGGCAGGAGAAACTCTTGAACCAGGAGGCGGACGTTGCAGTGAGCCAATATAGTGCCATTTGCACTCCAGCCTGGGCGACAAGAGTGAAACTCTGTCTCAAAAACAAAACAAAACAGAAAAGACAGTTAAAGGAAACGATTATATGCATTCTGTAGTGAACAGAATTGAGTGCTGAATAGAACTGTATGTGAAATACAGCATGAGTTTATACAAAAAAGTAATTACTTGTTACTAATGGGATCTAGGGAAATTTATCCTAGGCATGTGGCTTGAAATTCAGAGTGAAAATAATTATATATACATATAATTACATATTGAGAATTAATGGAGAGACTTTCTGCTCTGAATAAATATCTTGTAAAAATGTACAGATAAATGAACATAATGTCAAAATCGTATTACACATTTGTCATATAAATGTGTATGTTGAAATGAACCAATTAAGAATGGGTTAAATGCAGAAAAATAGGTGTAGAGAAATGGTGATTCATGCTAAGGCAGTATATGGTAATAGAGGCTTTAAGCTGAAGAAGGATATATTTCCCAGAGTGAATTTTTATTTCACAGCAGAAAAGTAGATCAATAACATTTTTAATTTTAATGGCTCATGAATGTGGCAAAATGTTCAGATTTTGGGCGTTAGAGCATTCCTCTTTGGTGATCTTTGTAAAAGTAGTCTTAAAAAAGATCTCTGAAAAAAAAAGTAGCCTAAGGAGATAATTGAAAAAAAATTTGTTTTAATTAACAAACATGATATATATATATATATATATATATATATATATATATATATATATATATATATATATCTATTTCTCCTTTCAAAATTAGGCTTAGATTCTGCTGAGCACTGAAACTGGCTTTCGTCTCTAGACAAGCATGGCAAGTTTTCTCTTGTTTGTTACTTTCTCAACTTTCCCCAAATTCCACCGAATATACTATGTCAGTCCTTTCAAGAAACACACTAACATGATTTTGAAGAGATACTTATTGATTGGGGATATTTCAATTAGAAACCATTACTAGCAAATTTGTATTCAAGTATGATGCTACCTTAGGGGTTTGTAAGTGCTCAAGCATTCCTCTTTGAAGCCAATGATTTCCATATTTTTTATATTTCTTCAGTTTCATAGAAAGCAAAAAAATTAAAAAAGCATCTCTCATGTGCATTATGACGTGGTGGAGTGAGTTTCAAAACGTGTTAGTTTTACTCCCGTGGAAGACAGTGAATTCTGCCATTGCTACCTCTGGTTACACGAGCTTGACTCCAAAATCCTATTCTTCCTAAGCACCACTTTGCAATCCTAAGACATAAAAGACGTCCTACCGGAACAGAAGAGCTGGTCCCATCCTCACTCTCTCCCTTCACTTGTGCTTTACTCTCCAAGTAAAGAGGTATTTCCTTCAGGTTTAATGCATGTAGCTGCTCAGGTTGAGTTCTATTAACATACAAAAACCAGTTAGTCAAATCCCTCAAATGAGCAGACTTTAATTTTCCCTAGGCATTTTTTTAGGAAGCAAGTGTTTTCATTTGAAATGAAATTTATCACGGATTCTAACACTGTATTGAGAGCATTGCAACTCCTAAGAGCCAAGTCGCTTTTAATCTGTTCTGTGGGCCCTTGGGATGTCATGTATTTTCTAGAAAATAGCTTTACCATGGCACAGGTACTCACTACTTCCACAAGTGTTTTAGATTTTAAATAATTGTGTGGTTTTTTAAAATATATATTAGTGGATTTGTATGTGCTGGAATACATCAAGGCTTTATTTCCCACTACTTGTGCCAATCCTTACTGAAGCCAATTAAAATGTTTGGCAGTTGGCTTGTTCGCTTAAATACTGATGAAACAGACTATACTGAGGAGGATATTGTTCACTATTCTTGGACCGTTTCTAAGAATTTCTTTATGACAATTGTTCACCCATGATCTATAAAAATCGACAAAGATTGTTAATATTGATGTATTGTAGAAGCCTACTGAGTCTTCAGAGGGAGTTATGAGAGTCTTAGACCAAACATTTTGAGAAAAGAATGAAAATTAGTCTCTCTGGAAACATTTTCATCACTAATTGTTTAGTGTCATCTTTCCTTTTTAATTTTTCTAAAATTTATTGAGCATCTACCATGTACCAGACAGTGTTCTGTACTTCAGGTTTAATAGTGAAAAAGCATACAGAATTTTTTACCCCATGCAGCTTATGGAACTCAAACACTCAGAGCTGCTTGCAGCTTTAGAAAGAAATGCATATTTTCCTTTTAGTTACGACTTACAATTTCCAAACATTTAAAATGTAGTATCAAAATAACATAATGTATATCTGACTAGGTAATGCTACTAAAACAGAGACCAAAGTGGTACCTAATTATAATGAGGAAACATATCATTAATGATGGTGGCAACTAGTAATATAAAATTGAATAAATTTATTTTATCAAAATGCAACTTCAAAATTAAAAGCACAATTTGATAAATTATTTCAGTTATAAATGTATTTTGAAAGTATTCAACAACGAATAGCAATTTGTTATTGAAAATTTTCTTATTCAGTATTAATAGGGACATACGATATGAATAACCAAGCAAATTCAAGAGAGCATGATTAAAGTCCAAAAATAAATTTAATATAGTGAAAATTAAAGGGCACATTTAAATAGTTGATACTATCTGAAAAGGATAAAAGTTTTGCTTCCATGTCAGCTATAATATTGATGCAAGGGAGGCAGCTTAATTCATATAATGACTAATAAGCATATTGTGTTACAAAAATATATTTGTGCATTCCTTGGAAGCTGAAGAAAGCAGCACTGTGAATATTTTTCCCTATTGGAATAAGCAGTTTCTATTCTGGATCTCTCATGAAGTGGCTGTCTTCTGGAAAAAAAAATTAAAGATTTGTGGGAATTATTTATCATGTAAAAAACTCTACATGAAGCATTAAAGTTTGAAAGAAAAATAGGACAGATAATTTAGTTCTAATTTTTGCCTTACTTTTGCATGTGTTGCTAAGCAAATCACTTAATCTCTTTGCATCCCAGTAGGTTACCAGGTTGGAGAAAAGAAAAAGAAAAACAGGGTAAGGGGGTTTTCAGGGGTGGGTTTGAGGCACAGTTAGATGCATTACAGAGTATGTTAGAGAAACCTCAACAAGCAGTTGGGAATGGAGCAAAGAACCAAAGAAGGATGGTTTGCTGATGGATGAAGGCCAACAGTATTTTAGGCAATATTAAACCAGAAATAAGGGATTAAGGTCAAAATTTAGGCAAGATAGGTAAGGATTTGAAAAGGAAATAAGTGAGAAAATTAGAGATAAAGTACAGACAGTTTAATAATTGACTATCAGATGGTATGGAGTAAGCTCTGAAACCCAAATATTGTGGCAGGGTTAATGATACCAGTGAGCTATATTGAAGGAATGTCCATCATAAATATTCAATAAAAAACATTTTGTCTCAAAATACCACAGAATTTGAAATTCCACCTTTTAACATTTACTATTTTGATTTCTGAAAGGTTTAGTTCTTCAAATTTCCCTAAATAAAACATAAGTAAACTAAGGACAACAAGCTCTTGCGGGGGTGAGATCCAAAAGGAAACACAGAGAAGTATCATACACTTAAAAAATAAATCCCTTACGTGATTCTCTGGCTATCTAGTTAGCAGTCTCTTCATCAGTGCCGCCTTGGGTGACTTTGCTGAAGTTGCACTTGGTTCACATTTCTTCACGTAACCTGCATTCTTTAACCCTTTGCGTCTTTTGGGCTCGTATTACAGGTTCACTGAAAGTAACAATACGCATCACACATCTATGAAAGTAAAAGGCCACAAAATCCCTAGTTGCCTTCTTTTTGTATCCACCTCTTTCCAGCCATTGCTAAGCTGGGACAGTGGTTTATCATTCCGAGTAACTAAAAAAATTAAGAGGCTAGTATTCCACTGGTGAGGCGCCATAGAGAACAAAGCACTCCGATTGAGATGGTTTGGCTCTGTGTCTCCACCCAAATCTCATCTCGAATTGTAATCCCCATATGTTGAGGGAGGGACCTGGTGGGAGGATTATGAGGCAGTTTTCCCCATGCTGTTCTCCTGATAGTGAGGGAATTTTCACGAGATCTGATGGTTTAAAAGTGGCAGTTTACCCTGAACTCACTGGCTCTCCTGCTGCCTTGAGAAGAAGGTGCCTGCTTCCCCTTCGCCTTCTGCCATGATTGTAAGTGTCCAGAGGCCTCCCCAGCCTTGTGGAACTGTGAGTCAATTAAACCTCTTTCCTTCATAAATTACCCAGTCCCAGGCAGTTCTTTATCAGTGTGAGAACAGACTAAGACACTGATTATGATTATGCCAACACAGAATGTGTTGATTTCATTTTACCATTTCTGTTGAACTGTTTTAGATTTCTGGAGAGCTAAAAGTCTGCCATATAAAATGTACGATAATTAATTGGCCATCCCTAGAATTTGTTCAAAGGTACATCCAGGTTTTGTGAGGCCTATAACTTATATAATCTGGACAATAATCCATTTAAAATGCATGTAACATTGGTGAAACTAAATTAGGTGCAAGTCACTGGAAGGGGCCCATGCCAATGAAAGGCCCTGAAGCTTAATCTTCATTAGCTTCATGATAAGTCAGCCTCTATACATGATATAATTGGTCCTCACTTCTTAGTGAGCGAGGAAGGAATGGTAAAATCAGCAACTGGCTGGACTTGAAGCAGCAAAATAAGTCTAAGTTTGGCTCTGCCGTCAGGCTCACTGCTTTCACAGACTCTGAGGCTGAGGATGTTACCACTAAAATATCATCTAAAGAACAGATGAGGTCTAGAGAGAAGCAAATCCCAGCTCTTTTACTTTTTAATTTGACACTACCCAATGTCTTTGCATTGTAGTGTCTTTCATTTTTAAAGGTTCACTCTTACTGGCATACAACACAGGCTAGATCTGCTTTCCAGTGGTTCAAAAATGGAAAACTTTTTGTGTCTGCATCTATTCTTACACTAAATGTTTTAAACAGGCCCTTGTATCCTACTGTATCATTTATCCAACTATTAATTATTTAAGTGTCTATTTGGGGTTGAATTGTGAATCCCAAAGAGATATGTTGAAATTGTCACCCCTAGAACCTCAGAATGTGACCTGATTTGGAAATAGGTTGTTGCAGACATAATTAGTTTAGTTAAGATGAGGTCATACTTGACTAAGGTGAGTCCTTAATCCACTATGACTGGTGACCTTATGAGAAAAGGAGAAAAAACAGAGACATGGACACACAAGTGAGAATGCTGTGTGACAACAGAGATTAGACAACTGCAGCTGCAAACCAAGGAATACCCAGAATTGCCAAGGAACCACCAGGACATAGAAAGAGGGAAGGAAGGATTTTTTGCTACAGGTTTCAAAGGGAGCATGGCCCTGCCAACATGTTGATGTCAAACTTCAAGCCTCCAGAACTATGACAGAATACATTTCTGTTGTTTTAATCTACCCAGGTTGTAGAACTTTTTATGGTAGCCTCTGGAAACTAATATGGCATCTAATCCCAATTATGGGGCCTCAGTGCTGGGCATACAGCAAAAAATGTGATGATATAAACTCTGTGCTTATGTAATTAATCTATTGAGAAATATTGACTCTAAACATTATTTCTATCTATCTATCATCTATCTAGCATATCATCTATCATCTATCATCTCTCTATCCATCTATTTAACAAATGCAATAAGAGAGGGAATAATTCTTCAGATCCTACTTTATTTATCTCTAATGTGGGAAAATATCAAACATGCAGGTCTTGCTCTGATTATTAAAAAAGATAATGTATATATGAAACTCTCTTGGAAGCTAGAAAGAACACCAAATAATGGTTGGAAGGCAGTGCAGTGGCATTGAACGACTGGGGTAAGCACAATGTTTTTGGTCACAAATGACAGCAATCCAGCCAGTATTTCGTTAAAGTAAAAAGAAAACAAAATGAACCCAGGAAATTTAATCAGAGGCTTGAGTAGCTCCATGAAGAGGAGCTGGCTCAGAAAAGTCATTTGTGGACAGTTGGGAAAAAATCATATATGAACATGTAACACACCAGTATAATTATATGACTAAGAAATAGAAGTATATTTTGCCCGATGGGCAAAGAATGTTGCTCAGAAAAACAATATTCATGAAAGGCATGTCATTCTAGTCTCTCCACTTGCCCTTGAATCAAGCCTCTCCCACTTGCTGTTAGATCTTCGGCCAGTTAGTACTGTGAACCTCAGCCATTATTTTCCAAGCTGCGATAGATATCGCTATTCTGAAGAGTTTTTGTAAAGATTGATTTGGAAAATATCTATAAGACATATTTATTCATTAGAATAGGTAACCAAATTGGTATTGTTTATTATGGCCAGCAGAAAATTCGCAAATCCCATCCCTTACCTCTGTTCACTTCCTAATCCCATTATGTTAGCCTACATGGGAAAGGGGAATTATCGTATCAGATGAGATTAAAGTTGCTAACCAGCTGACCGAAAAATAAAAAATAGGGAGATTATTCTGAGTTATTCAGCTGGCCCCAAATAATCATGCTTAAATGCTTAAATGAGAAAAAGGGAAGTGGAAGAAACAGTGTCAGAGTGATTTGATGTAAGAAAGATGTGACTAGGCTTTGAAGATTGTGAAAGGACAGACCAAGAAATGAAAAAGGCAGGAAAAAGCAAGAAAACAGGTTCTCACCTGGAGCTTCCTGCAGTAAACGCATTCCAGCTAAGATGTGCAGTGAGCTGAGTGAGACCAATTTTGAACTTGTGACTTTTAGAACTGTAAGATAATAAATCTGTGCTCTTTTCAGCCACTATGTTTGAGGTAATTTGTTGTAGCAGCAATGGGAAACTAATATAGTTATTTTAATCTTACTGAGAAATATAGGACACTTAGTAGGATGAGCAAAGTAAGAGGCTATAGCAATGAAGAGGAAATACATGAAAATAAATTCATGAAACTTACAAAAAATCTAAGGAAAATGTGGGCATATCATGGTGATTGCAATATGCTGTGATTAAGTGATTGAAAAAGATAAAATGTTTTCCTGACTGGGACATTAAACTTATGAGAGTTCCTGGAAGAGTATAGGTGCTGGGGAGTTTCATGCGTCTGAGATTGTGTGATTTTTCTTACCTTGAGAAAAATTGGGGGAAAAATAGAGAAACTGAAAGGAGTTCAGGTTGAATAGAGTTTAAATTCAAAGAGTTAAAAAAATGACAAGAGCTGTAGAATAGTGTAGAAAAGCATTAGAATACTTTTGTGAGTCTTGGAACTCATAACACTCTTGAGTCTAACAACAAATAACTATTGAGTCTTATAAACAAATAAATTTAATTATAATGATGAGTTAATCATTTGTGTTACTATGTGTAAGCTGGATAATTTCTAGACACTATTTTTCTTTAACTGATAGAAGAGATAAAATACAAAATTATTTCCTCATGGTTTGTTTTGAAGACTAAATGAAATAATACAGTTCCTAGCACATAGTAATGAATAAATGTCACCATCATAATATAAATAATAATTATTATCACGTTACTGCAATTACTATTATTATGACTATAGTTAGTATCAACTCAGAAAGATTTTGAAAACCATTTTTAGAAGCTTGAGCTTTATCTTCAATGCAAAAAAGAACCAAAGAGGATTTTCCATGGAAAGAAAATGATCTGATTTGCATTCTACAATAATCACTTTGGAAATAACACAGAGGAAACATGAACACTGACCTATTCTCCCTCCCATTATACACTTAAACCACAGTGAATGAATACAAGTTATAAGCCCCATAGATGGAAAACAAGGAGAAAACACCCTAAGAAAAATATAATTTTGGAAAACAGCAAAACCAGTGCATGAGTAGGAACTGATTTTTCAAGGCAAATTTGAAATCTGGATGTCTGTAATAAGGAAAACAAATAAGTCAGTCCGCATGTAATAAAACCTTTGAAATGTTCAGAACACTGAGGAATGTGCTTCTCTACAACCAGATGTTCAGGGAGGGGCTGAAATGAAGAGAAGTTTCTACTCTTTCAGCCACCACTGCTTTTCCCAAGTCCACCATAGCAAAAAGATGAGAGCCCTAAAGATTCTGGAAAAGTGGAAACAAGACCCGGCTGGGCTGGGAATGAAACACTGTACTGTAGAAGGAAGTTTGACTTATGCCTGCACTTAGACAGGAAGGCCTCTTTCCCCGCTGGACATCTAGAATTGGGGCAGCCAAGCTAATTCTGTTCTGGTATGTGATTGGAGTGTTTCTCTCTGGGGAATATTTCTTTTTATTTCTTTTCTTTTTTTTTTTTTTTTTTTTTTTTTTTTTTTGAGACGGAGTCTTGCTTTTTCGCCAGGCTGGAGTGCAGTGGTGGGATCTCAGCCCCTGCAACCTCTGACTCCCTGGTTCAAACCTGATTCTCCTGCCCCATTCTCCTGAGTAGCTGGGATTACAGGCACGTGCCACCACGCCCAACTAATTTTTGGATTTTTAGTAGAAACAGGGTTTCACCATGTTGGCCAGGATGGTCTCAATCTCCTGACCTCGTGATCCACCCACCTCAGACGTCTAAAGTGTTGGGATTACAGGCGTGAGCCACCGCGCCCAGCCAGGGAGCATTTCTAATTAGGGGAAAAAAAAAACAACAACTGTCGTTGATTGTATTTTGTGCCCTTGGAAGAACCTGCCAATTCTGCCATTGTTACCTTATTGTGGGGCTAACACATGAATGCCTTATAACTAATTACTTCTTACTGCCCTTCATTTTTTTTCTCATTAGAATTTCCCACTCTTTACAACATTGTTTATATACATATAGGCCCCCTGAATGATTTTGTTTCCTAATGTTTCCCCAGTTGCTAGAATATTGCCTGACCCTATGTATTAGTTAGGGTTCTCTAGACAGATACAGCTCATAGGACACACACACACACACACACACGAATATAAAGGGGATTGTATTAGGATAAACTCACACAATCACAAGGTGATGTCCCACAATAGGCTGTCTGCAAGCTGAGAAGCAAGGAAGCCAGTCTGAGTCTCAAAACCTCAAAAGTAGGGAAGCGAATCGTGCAGCCTTCAGTCTATGGCTGAAGGCCTGAGATGCCCTGGCAAATCACTAGTGTAAGTTCAAGAGTCCAAAAGCTGAAGAACTTGGAGTCTGATGTTTGAGAGCAGGAAGCATCCAGCACGGGAGAAAGATGAAGGCGGGAAGACTCAGCAAGTCTGCTCTTTCCACGTTCCTCTGCCTGTTTTATTCTAGCCATGCTGGCGGCTGGTTAGCTGATGCCCACCCTGATTGAGGGTGGGTCTGCCTCACCCAGTTCACTGACTCAAATTTTAATCTCCTTTGGCAACACCCTCACAGACACACCCAGTAACAGTACTTTGCATCCTTCAATCCAATGAAGTTGACACAATATTAACCATCACACCCTGTGTACATATATATGTAGGTATACACATATACATATATGTACGTACATGTATAGTGTTTAAGTAAATATTGAAAAATAAACTTTTACTTTCCCATGTTGTATGTTCTTTACAGACAAGTAGGGAGATCAAATGAAACAGACAGATAAATGGATCTCATATGATCAGAGGCAAGGAAGTGAACAGACAAGAACTTAAAAGGAAAACCAAATAATGAGAGAAAAGATACTGCATGTTACAAGAACAGATGCTATGAAAAAATCAGCAAGTACTCCAAGAAAAGTTTTGGAAATTATAAAATAAATAATTTTTTTTAAAAAATATGAGAAGTACTGAATGACAGTCTTGACAATATAGCTTGGACATTAGAAATGGTCATCAAATGATGGTGAATAATAAACAAAATAATGGAATTAGCTCTGGAAGCCCAGTGTCTGAGTAAGAGAAATTTCAGAATAAAACCCCCAAACATAATAAAGGAGAAATTAATGAAAGGAAGTGAAGGAAGCCAGTGAAGTGAGTGAAGGAAGGGAAGAAAGAAGGATTCAGAACTAAATAATTTATCCAGATTGCATAGTGCCCGTGGATAGCTCAACAAAATGAATGAAAATACTATACTTTCAGTAGACAACTTGATGATTATTCATTTCCTTTGCTAAGACAAGGTAGATAAATAGCATCCTTTATAAATGGGTGTGATTTGGTGTTAAATAATGTCTTTCCTTGTTCATTTTTCTGACTGCTTATTTTTTGGTATGCTGTTTTGTTTTAATAATAGAAGAAAACTGAGCATGTTCTAATGTCAAATCAATGAATCAAGACAGGAAGAACGTGAATATACCGAGAGAGTATCCATCACAAATGATTACATCACCATTAGCAAAATGTCTGTTTTTTTATTTTATCTATATTTATTGTTGCAATTCTGAAGGAGGTTTCATGACTCTAATATGAGAAGAGAATAAAATTTTCAAGGTCCTAAATTGAAATGTTTGCTTATACTCTTTTAATTTATCTTGCTTACATATATAAAACAATCAACAAATTTTAAGTAATTTGCCAATTTTTAATTGCAAATCAAATGTAATTAAAAATAAATAATTTGAAATTTGGATAGCTTGATTGTAATTGTAGAAGTTATACATACAACCAGTATTAACTATGTTCTTATTATGTTCTTATTAATTAACAAAAATTAATTAGTAATTAATTTTCAGTAGAGACTATTACAAACTTAATAAAACCAATAGTAAATGTTATAATGAACTAAGTTATTAATATATCTATCTGGTATAGCATTTAAAAAAATTAATCTATTGAACCCGAACATGAAAATGGAGATGAATTTTTTTTCTGGTAGTGACTTACACTTGATATTTTATTTTGTTTAGTAATTGAATAGGGCTGAAAATGGAGAGTTCCCCTTCTTTACCACAAATCAATGAACATCCTTCTTATGTCATGTGGACTGATTAACACTCTAGACTGGAGATCCCAATTAGATATATAATTAAAAAATGATTCATTTTGAAAGATGCATAAGTAATTTTAATACATCACTTTCAGTTTAAACAAATTGTAATGTTTAATTACAAACATAACACCTGCATTACCATGTATATATTTTACCTTATCGCTTCACTAGTTACTCAAGAAAATGACACCTAATTTAAGAAAGGAATAATGGGCTATTATTTAAGATTGATGTGAAAGTTAGTCAATCACACACTTGTCTTATTTAACTTTTTTATTTAATTCACCATCCTGGCTCTTATCAGAAACTGATGAGCTAATTTGTTTGCTTCTGCACTTATCAATGGGATTCCATTAAGTTAAATGGCTTTGCAAAGGAAAATCTATAAAGGAACAGCAAATCTACTGGACATGATAATGAAAGGGACTCTGAACATAATGTTTTACATGAAAGCTACTCTAAAACAGTTCAATACTGGATCAATTAAACTGGAGAAAATAATTCAGTTGGGATAATTGTGTTTTACTGAAAGTTTAAATGTTTGTTAAATACAATAATTTATTCTGATTTGTGAAACATCAAATGATAAAGTTAATTATCATTAGTCCACTTTGTAAATCTGAGAATATTTACCCTAGAAGACTGTGATAGCCAGGTTAATAAGCTAAATATTGATAATGCGTGATTTAACATTTCTCTGTTACTTCATACATACTCTTTATTTTGCCATCCTTTCCTAATTAGGTTCGGTTTTGCTCCAATTAATTCTCATCACAGCCTTTTTCCCACTCAAATTAAAATTGAGTTTTGAGGACTCCTTTTCCAGCCATGGTGGTGTAACAAAGTCTGTGTTTACCTTCTTGTCTTAAACAGTTAGAAAGATTGACAAATTTTATGAATTAACACGACTTAAACATGAGACACCAGGCAGTGCATGTCTGAGATGCCCAAGAAAAGATAAAACAAGTAAGATAAAAATTTTCATCATTCAAGATTATTTCAAAAACACTCATTCTGAATCATGGATCAGGGAGCAAAATCTAAACCAAAGACAATTTTCTTGCTGAGTCAAGGTGAGAGAGTATAGAACTTAGAGAATCTGAAGAGGCTGGAAGTTTCAGAACAGAGTTTTTAAGAAGAGAGAACTACCCAGAACAATGGCCTTAGAATCTGCCTAAGGAAACCCTTTGAGTCTTTGCTAAATAATGAGAGCTATATACATAAACTGAAAAATCTAAGTGGTTGAACAAAGTATGCCCTCAAAACCCTAAACTGAGCAACTCTCAGAGTTCACTTAGATATGGAAACTGTTCAAATTTCTAACAAGACCTTCAAAGATCCCTCAGCATTCAAGAAGGCCACAGGGAAAACAGTCTTTAGTAGTGGAGACAAACTCTATCTTACTAAAGGAGAAAACTAGGTTTGCACTAATAAAGTTTAAAAACAAGATATAAAAGTTTTTAGCTGAACCACAAGTAACAACAACCACAAAAAATCCATATACTCAACGTTGGAAAATGCACAGTTTTCAAGATGTAATAAAAATTCCTAGGTGTATAACATGTCAAGAAAAAAATCACATTTATAACAGTATCTAAAAATTAAACAGGAATAAATTTAACCATGGAAAACTATAAAACATTGATAAAAAGTATTAAAGAATTCATTCTTTAATGTATTCTTTAATACTTTTTATCAATGTTTTATAGTTTTCCATGGTTAAAATGAAAAGATATCCCATATCCATGGATTGGGAGAATCAATATTGTTAAAATGTCCACACTACCCAAAACAATATGCAGATTCAATGCAATTCCTATCAAAATTCCAGTGGCATTCTTTTTTTTTTTTTTTTCCTTCCCCCCGAGACAGAGTTTCGCTCTGTCACCCAGGCTACAGTGCAGTGGCGCGATCTCTGCTCCCTGCATGCTCTGCCTCCTGGGTTCACGCCATTCTCCTGCCTCAGCCTCCTGAGTAGCTGGGACTACAGGCACCCCCCACCACGCCTGGCTAATTTTTTTTTGTATTTTTAGTAGAGACGGGTTTCAACATGTTAGCCAGGGTGGTCTCGATTTCCTAACCTTGTGATCCACCTGCCTCGGCCTCCCAACCAATGGCATTCTTTACAGAAAAAGAAAATAAATCCTAAAATTTGTATGAAACAAGAAAAGACTGAATAAAGCAATCTTGAGCAATAAGAACAAAACTGGAGGCATCACAATATCTGATTTCAAAATATACTACAAAGTTGTAGTAATAAAAGCTATAGTAATAAAAGCTACAGTAATAAAGTAATAGAAGCAGCAGGATAACAGACACATAGACCAATTGAATAGAATAAAGAGCCCAGAAATAAATCTATGCATCTACAGTCAATTGATTTTTGACAAAGTTTCCAAGAGCACACTTTGGGAAAGAATAGTCTCTTTAATAAATGGTTTTGGGACAAATGAATATCTAAATACAAAAAAAATGAAATTAGATTCTTATCTCACACCATATACAAAAATCAACTCGAAATATAATAAACACTTAAATATAAGACATGTAAATGTAAAACTACTAGAAGAAAACATATAGGAAAGCTCCATTACATTTGTGTGGGCAGTGATTTTTTTAAAATATAAGCCTAAAAGCACAGGCAGCAAAAGCAAAGATAGACAAATTTAATTACATTAGACTTAAAAGCTTCTGCATAGCAAAGGAAACAGTCAACAGAATAAAGGGACAACCTATGGAATTGGTGAAAATATTTGTAAACAACACATCTAGGGCTTGATATCCAAAGTATATAAGAAACTCCAACAACTTGATGGAAAGAAACCAAATAACCTAATTAAAATATGAGCAAAGAATATGCATAGGCAACAAATGGCCAACAGGTATATGAAAAAATGCTCAACATTGCTAGTTATCAGGAAATGCAAATAAAAACCATGGGATACCTGTTAGAATGGCTAACAACAAAAGGAAGAAAGATAACAAATGTTGGTGAGGATATGGAGAAAAGTTTACTCTTGTGTGCTGTTGGTGGGATTGTGAATTAGTATGGCCATTTTGGAAAACAGTATAAAGATTCCCAAAAAATAAAAAATAAAACTACCATATAATTGGCAACCTCACTACTATGTCTATATACAAAGCAAATAAAATCAACTATATAGATGAGATACCTGCGCTCCTGTGTTTATTGTAGTATTATTTACAATAGTGAAGATGTGGAATCGATCTATGGGTCCATCAATGGATGAATGAAGAAAATATAGCTACAACCCCCCGCAACACATATGCACATACTAAAATATTATTCAGACTTCAAGGAAATTTTGTCATTTGCGACAAGGAACCTAGATGACATACGACATTATGTTAATAAAATAAGTTCCACTCAGGAAGACCAATACTGTATGATCTCACATGTGGAATCTAAAAAAGTTGAACTCATGGAAGTAGAGAGTAGAGTGGTTGGTTACAGCAGCTAAAGGCGGGAGGAAATTGAGATGTTGGTCAAAGGATATGAAATTTCAGTTAGAACAAGTTGAAGAGATCTTTTGTACAATAAGGAGATTATAGTTAATCATAATGTATTATATTATTGAAAATTGCCAAGAGAGTAGGTTTTAAGCATTTCACCACATAAAAAAGAAAAATATGTGAAATAATACATATGTTAATTAGCTTGACTTAGCTATTTCACAGTGTAAGCCTATTTCAAAACAACATATACATGATAAGAATATACAATTATTGTTTGTCAGTTAAAATAACAGAAGAATATGCTAAGATAAAGAATGATACTGAAATGTAAAGAATATTTATTTTTTAATACCTAATAGATTTTATGCTAGATTAGAAATAGATTAATAAAGCTTTTACAAATTAGAATATAGAACTAAAAAATTACCTAAAATATAGGTAGATATTAAGATTAATTTAATATTAAAATTAAAAATATTTAAATATAAAATATAAATTTGAAGTCATTAAAATATAGGTTTGAGATTGAAGTTATTAAAGAAAAATATAAAAGACTTAAGAAACAGAATTAACATTTTGTCACCACTTCTGATATATTGCATATGAATTGTAGTTCAAATAAATGCATTACTCTTGGAAACTCTCATCTGTCTCCTACAATGTCCAATTCTTTACCTATAGTAGGCCTTCAGAATGCATTAATATTTGTACAGTCTATAAACATAACCTGTTAAATAAATTGACTCAAGTGTAAATAATATTTATTTGTTTCTCATTTCTTTATTTCTATTTTTGTTTTGTCTGTTTAGTTTCAGTCTTATAAGAAAGGAGAGAGGACATAAGGCTGAAACATGTTCTTGAAGATAATGGCTGTGTTTCAAAAATGATAGAAATTATGAATCTTCCTATAAATAAGCACCACAACAATCCACCAGAATAGTAAAAAAAAAAAAACCTATCTAGCAGAACATAATGAAAATATAGTATTCCAAAGTAAAAGAGAAACACAGTAAAAACAGTAAGAGAGAAAAGAAAGATTACTTACTGATACGCCTTGGCTCTGTGTCCCCACTCAAATCTCATCTTGAATTGTAATCCCCGTAATCCACACGTGTTGAGAGAGGGATCTGGTTGGAAGTGATTGGATCATGGAGGTGAGGTTCCCCCATGCTGTTCTTTTGCTAGTAAGTAAGTGAGTTCTCATGGGATCTCATGGTTTTATAAGTATTTGACAATTCCTCCTTCACATGCTCTCTCTCCCTTGCCGCCATGTTAGACACACTTGCTTCCCCTTCTGCCATGATTGTTAGTTTCCTGAGGCTTCCCCAGCCACGTGAAACTTTGAGTCAATTATACCTCTTTTCTTTATAAATTACCCAGTCTCAGAAAGTTCTTTATAGCAGTGTGAAAATGGACTAATACACTTACAAAGAACAATTGTTAGATATGCAGCTGATTGCTAATCAACCATAATGAAAGTCATAAGACAGTCAAAGTATTTTTTAAATGTTTTAAAATATGTAGGTTGGCTTAGGATAGTGTCAACAACAAACTAATATTTTTTAAGTGGTGGGTAATAAATAGACATGCTTACTCAAACATGAATTTCTGACATTGTTTTAAAATGATTGATGCTGTCACTTGGACACAATAAATAATGCCCTCTTCAATACTCCCAATTAACTGTTATCACAACTATTACCAAGGCAAATCATAGTTTTAAAATTTTTTTTACAACACTCTACACTGAGCTTTGTGATATAATTACCATTCAATAATATCTTTTTTCCCTATCCCATTCAATTGTGATGTATTTATTATTAGAATCAGGATATTAAAAGTACCCCCACCTTTTCTCCCATATTCCAAATCAAGGAAGTTTGATGCCTTCTTTCTCCTGATAGTTGCCCCTCAAACTTCAGGTAACACCAATTTGAACTCCTATAGGAAACACAGGCAGCTACTTAGCCTGAGACACTATGTTTACAAGCTATTTAGTCTGTAGTCTATATTCACTAGATATTTCATGGGCAAAAAGAAATATATCAGGTAGTAGGAATACAAATATAACAATGCATTTGAACTGAAGGATGAGAAGTCTGAAAGGTATAAAATAAACATTGAAAGCCTAAAAATGGTAGGTTTTATTACAGTCACCTAGAGCTTTATGCCAGGTGACTTTTCAGCCTTATGCCAGCCTTTTTTTTCACATGATCACACACTGAAAAATCCAGTGTAAAACTCACTGCTCTCATTCTTTGGATGACACTAGAGTAAAAATGTCTGCATATTCTGTTTCTGAGAGAAATTACAAATTGCAATCAATAGATTAAAACGGCTAGCTGTAAGTACTCCAAGTCATACAAATCCTTTGCAAAGAGTGGACAAATACTATTTCCCTTAACTATTACCTCAAGACAGAGGCAACTGCATTCATGAATTAATTCAACAGTGATTAAGAATGTATCGTATTTCCAAGTTTGTGTAACTGAAAAGTACATTAATCAGTTATATTCAGGCTATAACAAACAAATTATAACAAACAAATTCAGGCTATAACAAATTCAGGTTATAACAAACAAAGGCTATAACAAACAAGATAAATTTGTCATTTATCTTGAAGATTGAATTAGGAGCCTGGAATTAAGGCAGAATCATATTTAACTTCAAAATCCAATCTGGGACGAAGAACAACTCTTTGTTTCAAAAAACCCACTCACAAAAAAAAATTGTACATGTGAAACATGCTTACATGAGATTATCCTTTCAGGTAAATGGACATTTGGTGTGTTTGTGCAGGTGTACTTATTTGTGTGTGTGTGTTTACGTGTGTGCATATGCATACATGCAGTTGTAGGCTAAATACTTTGAGTACAATCCTATGATTCTTTTCATTTTGTTGGTTCTTTATTTTTTAATAAGGGAGTAACTCAAATTACACTTCTTGAAGAACTGTAGCAATAGGCTAGACAACCAAATTCTACTGGAGTATGGCTTGTCATTTGCAGAACACTTTATCTTAAAATGCTAAGTTGTGTTGCTTTTTTGACATATTGCAAATGAACCTTGTTTCAAAGAAATGTATTATTCTTGGTAACTCCAGTCTCCCTACTAAAATCTCTAATTCTTTACATATAGTAAGCCTGCAAAAATGTTGTAAATACAGGCTTAGTATATAAGCATAAAAGTATATGCTTATATGAAATATATGCTTATATGAAATAAATGAACCCACATGTTAAAAATAGGTATCTTTTTTGTTTGCTTATTTATATTATTGTTTTATTTTTAGTTATTTGTTTATAGTTATTTTTATTGTAGTAATTATAAGTGCTTTATTTTTCTCTCATTACATTGGACTTAGCACGTTCCCTACATATGTAATTGAAAAATTACCACATTTATATAATCATACCTCTTTCTAAAGATAGAAGCTGACTTGCTTTGTCAATCTGGGGAAACAAGTGTGGTGCTTTTTATTATACAAAGTTTGGACTTCAAAATGTCAATAAACAAAACTGATGTTTGCTAAATCTGTGATTAAACCCATTTCCTCTTAATTTTACTATATTTATATATTACTAATATTTACCATATTACGTATATTCAGTGTGCAAAAGTTTTAAGTCCAGCATTTATTTTTCCATTTACAGTAGCGTGAATGATAAAAACAGGTATGCTTTCCCCTTTCTAAAATCTTGTGACATCTTCACCTGTATTATTTACTTGCATTTGGTGCTACTTAAACTTCGGGCAAATGTCTGTGTTGGTGATAACAAATTAACAAGAACTTAATCCTGTATTACAAATGAAGATGGACAAGAGAAATTCAAGAGTAAATCATCACCTGCATATCATTATTAGTAGTATTTCATTTATATAATAAAAGTGGACAGTTTATTTACTGTAGCTTTCTTATTTTGATAAGGAAACACATTTACGTCTACTTTTAAAAATAAGACATTCACAGCAATTCTTTCTCTGTGCCATGATCAAACGATAAATTTTTCTCCTCTTTACAACATAACATTTGGTTGAGAGATCAGCTATCAAGACGGGGATGACAAATTGAGTGACGATGATCAAAACAGAGTAGAATCGTACTTGCTCTTTGTGGCTCCATGGCCACTTCTTTGCTAATATAAGGCAAGTTTAGTAGTGTCAGAAAAATCAGTGAATAGAATTTGAGGCAAAAGCAATGAAAGGAAAGATGGATAAAGAATGTGACATATTTGCCCTGGCACTTTTGGGACAATAACTACCTGGCAAGTTTAACCATGCTCAATCACAGTGACACAGAGGGAGGAACGGGATCTCTGCGCCAGGTGCTCACTCAAATTCAGATTCTGGAAGACATGACACAGAAGAGCAGTACAACTTGTGAAATCTACCACTTAGCAAGTAATATTTGGACAGCCAGATATAATGTATAATAGGTGAGAATAGGTTGTCAATCCCTAGAACCTTGAGGGAAGTTACAAGGAAAAAGAAAGACAAGAATATTCACTATTAGTTTACTTTTGCCCAGGTTCCATGTGAACTCTCCTTGCCAAAAAGGTTTTCATAAAAATTATTCCATTTCACATGAACTGACTCACTTCTGAAACTAAACATTTATCTGTTTAGCATGCAGGAAATTATTTTTAATTTTAGGATACATAATAATCTTAAAAACTAGGGTAGAAATCACATTTATTAAAAATTTTTCTGAAATAGGAGTTTTACAGTGTCGTTTTATTTATTTTCTTTAGTTATTTTAGTAATTTTCCTGAAATTAAAAAAGTGGATTAAACTAGAATATTTTTAAAAACAATTTCAAATGAGTAACTCCAATTTAAAAACTTTTCACAACAATAATATTGAAATCATTATTTAGGAATTTATCTACTCATCCTATGGCTTCTTTAGAAACTAACTTTATTTATAATTGACAGTTACCTATTTGTAAATACAGGTGTTTTATTGTACCAAATAAGTAGATAATTATAAATTACAAGATTTACTTAAAGTGTAAAATAGTGTTTTATAAAGAAAAATTTAATCTAGTCAATATAACTCCTGCCTTCAACAAAATACTTAAACCAGAACTATTTACCAATTACAAAACTTATAATACAATCTGTAATTTAATTCTTTTTGTTGTTGTTGTTTTGAGACGGAGTTTCACTCTTGTTGCCCAGGCTGGAGTGCAATGGCGCAATCTCGGCTCACTGTAACCTCCGCCTCCCGGGTTCAAATGATTCTCCTGCCTCAGCCTCCCAAGTAATTGGGATTATAAGCATGCATCACCACGCCTGGCTAATTTTTTTGTATTTTTGATAGAGATGGGGTTCACCATGTTGGCCAGACTGGTCTCAAACTCCTGACCTCAGGTGACCCACCTGCCTCAGCCTCCCAAAGGGCTGGGATTACAGGCGTGAGCTACCACGCCGGCCCCTGTAATTTAATTATAAACACACACAAACAGACACACACACACATACACCCAGACTTTCCAGTTAAGCACACACTAAAAGGGAATATAACCAACTGTAACCCGTCCACATAAAGATTGACATTATTAGCACACTAACTTAAAGGTTACGGGTAGACAGAAGAATACATAGCTAATGATATGAATTTGGCTTTTTAAAAAATTAAAATGTATCATACTGTATATGATACATGAAACCAGATATTCTAATATTTTGAATATTTCATAAGTTATTAAATATGCTACATTAAGATATGTGTACACAGTTGTATATCAGTATCTTAGTTTGTAAACATATTTAAACATATTTGTGGTTTTAGTTATTGATATCAGTGTTTTTCACTATATTAAAAAATAAATGATATGATTCTTGTTTTTAAAGATTTGTATTCATCAAAAATTAGTTATATGGAAAAGGATTCCCAGAAGACATTTCTTTTTCTAATAGAAGGTTTATAAAACTCTAAACATTTTGGGACTGCTAAACCTCCCTTCAAAAATATTTTGCTAATTTTTAAATTTTTATATACGGTGCATGAGAACTCAAATATCCCATACATTTGTCAATTCTGATTATATAATTTTAGAAGCAAAATACACCACAGATCTATTTTGCTTGTTTTAACATCTAAGGAAGATATCTGACTGTTGTTTTAATTTGTATTTCCTTGGCACTATTAAGTTTTAATTTTGTTTCATAGTTTCAGTGGCCACTTTTATCACTCATTTTTTTAAATTGAAAGACTGTGTATCTTTTTTGTTTTATGGGGGGCGGGGGGCGAAGTCTCGCCCTGTCGCCAGGCTGGAGTACAATAGCAGGATCTCTGCTCGCTGCAACCTCGGCCTCCTGGGTTCAAGTGATTCTCCTGCTTCAGCGTCCTGAGTAGCTGGGATTACAGGTGCATGCCACCACGCCCAGCTAATTTTTTGTATCTTTTGTAGAGACGGGGTTTCACCATGTTGGCTAGGCTAGTCTTAAACTCCTGACCTCATGATCCTCCTGCCTCAGCCTCCCAAAGTGCGGGGATTACAGGCATGAGCCACCATGCTCAGCCTATGTGTATCATTTTTAATGAAGATGAAGTGTTGTAATTGGAGCTTGGTTAGGAAAACGAAAGACGTCCAGTATATTTCGAATGTTGGAGGGCCTTTTCATTTTCAAAAGATAGAGGTTAAAGGAATTAGTCATGTGTAATGGAAATGTCCAAGGTAGGGCCCAGGTGCTGCTTAAATGATACGGTCAGGAATCTGCTATGCTTTGTTTTGCTTCTTTTTTTCAGTTTTTCAAGGGGGAATTGTAGGAGAGAAAGAGGTCTCATTTTGTCACTCCAGGCTGGCTTCAAACTCCTGGTCTCAAGTGCTTCAGCCTCCTGAGCACCTGGAACTACAGGCATTCACCACCAAGCCAGGGGCGTTTTGTTTCTTAAGGAGGACATTTCTAGTGACGACAAAGACCACCTGCAGCCCCGGCACAATATTTATCCCATCTCTTACCAATTTTGTAGTAATTATATTTATCCCAACTCACCCACTTCCAGATCAAGTAGAAGAGTCTTTTCTAATACCTCTCCCCCACCACACACAGTGGTACAACATATATTTCAAATATGGGTTGAATCCAACTGTACTTAAGTCCTTTTGTGTATGTGACATGGGTCACATACCAATCACTGAAGCCATCACTGGAGAATGAAGAAAGGGGTGGATCCTTAATGAACAACAACGTGCTATCTCCTGTAACTTCATTTTTCATAAAATTGTAGTTTTCACTGTACTGTAAATACCAAAGTAGAATATAAATTACACACGCATGCATGCACACACACACGTGTGCATACACCCACACACATATTCTCCCAAATATGTTTGTTGAAAAATAACAGGAGAATGAATGAATGTTTTACCACTATTTTACAAATAGTAAAAATATCAGGGGAAAAATATTTACTGATGTGTAAAATAATAGGTATCTGCAATACAGGCAAATCTAATAAAATTATGTGTATATTTTTATATGAAATAATCAGAGACTAAGTTACAATTTGACCTGCAAACATACATTTCACTTCTAAGGAACACACCATATTAGTGTCCAAAACTCACATGATAAAATCCAGCTTTAGACCAATTCATTTATTTTTTAATAGGTATAGCTATTATACTATTTAGAAAATCAGTATTAAATAAATTATCTCTTATTATTAGTTCAGTATTCACATATTCCTTGTATCATTTGGAGCTACAATAGTTAAGACCTACACTTAACTTTGCTCTCACTGTATGCCTTATTATGTATTCTCTCTAAATAAAGTCTCCATTCCACGAAAATAGAAGACATTAAAAATAATAAGATTTGGGGTTATCTTGTTACCAAAATTCCAAAATACATGCACCAGCAAATGCTTTTAGAAATTAAAAAAGGAAAAGTTTATGGTTCATTTTAGGCAAATTACTAGAATAATATGCAAAATCTTGATATTGGCTAAGAATGTTTCAAAATCAAAAAGGACATTAATCCTCATTATGACAATACACTCAAGATAATGTAAGCAATAAATAAAAACATATCCATACCTATTCCAATTTATTGATAATAATGAACAAAAAACCCTTTAAAATTACCAGAGATAATATAGAGACAACTGACAGAGAAGTGATAAATTGTCATTAAACTTATCATCATAAAATAGATGTCACAAGAAGATAGAATTCTATATACACCTGTTAAAATTTATAATGAAAAATATATAAATTTTTAGAGAAATAAAGACTGACAGAATTTAGTATTTTTGGACCCTCATTGAGAAAGCTGCATAAACATTTTGTTCTCTTGGAAGAAACAAGTAGAATAACAGAAACAAAAATAGTCTGGTAATAGGTAAAATATATTGGCAATTTAAATATATACTTTAAAAAACATTGCTTGGTTTAAATAATAAATTTAAAAAATAGAATTTCTATAAAACCATTACAACTAAGACAGAGTAGTGCTATAATCATTGCTTAAAATATTTTCAGGTATGTTTTCACTGAAATAATAGACATATGAAATAGATTTACACATAGGAAAACATTTTAATAGTTACATCAGAGGAGAAAGGAGATGAAAACTGATTCTCCATATTATTTTATTTAATCTATGCATGCATACATGTGTATGAAGAAGATAATATAATCATTCCAATTAGGGTGGTGGGCACGTTTTCATTTAAACAATCTCTGTTCTCTTTCTGTATACTTGCTAAAATACAGTTTTGAGACATTTTCACGTAAAAATAAAGTATCAAAAACGGTGAATAACATATTACCAGAGTTCTATTTTTATAATAGTTCTCTTTTTATATTTCGTTTGTATATTTTTTGTTTCTATATTTCTCAAGTTTTTATATTTCTTGTTTGTTCACAAGGAGTCTGTGGTGCCTTTGCAATATGTATATTTGCCTCAAACAATTAAAATAATTAGAACAATTAAAAAATTATGTCAGTATGGTTATGTAAACTATTATACCACATGTTATAAAATTCCACACAATTCATGACTACTTTTCTTTAATACTTCTCTTTATATTTCAACTTTGTATTTTTCTCTGATAAAAAAACAACCTAGCAAGTAGTAATTAAAGGATGGAGCAGAATCAGTGTAGTCAGGTGAGAGAGTACATTTGCAGTCCTAGCAGGATGGTCCTCAGTCTATGGGATCCTGATCACAGCAGGCTTTTCATTAGCAACGGGATTTTCCAGAAGGCTGCGTTAGTAAGTTAGTGGCCTCTTTTCCTTGCTGTTCAATTAATCCAAATTTCACCACTGGAAGTATAAACCTGTAGAAAAATTTTATGATTAAGACTTACAAAATCATCTTCAAAACATTAGGAACCAAGATATCTGTACTTACCCTAGAATTTAATTGAATTGTTTTCAGTGAGCTAAAAGATAGTGTTTTTAATTTTCACTTTAATATGTAATTATGCCCCAACATATATAGTTACCTGACATTAGTTACTAATATGTTAATTATTGCAACCTTCTATACATAAAAAACATAACAGTTTTTCAATATGCATATTGTGGAAGAATAAGACATCTATACAAGGGTGTAAAAAATATTAAAACAATATCAAGGAAATAAATGCGAGACCATACATAATAATTATTTGATTTTGTATTCATTTGCTTTTCCAAAGTTTTTGTGTGTTACCCTTAAAATATATATGTATTCAGTCATTTTGAAAAGGTCATTTTCTCAGTGTTGGTTATGGACAGGTGTCTTCATTATTTCAAAATCTGTGAGTTGAGCAATAATTAAGGCAACAGCTGCACTTGAGACATGATGGGCAAGACATAACAGCACTTGTTTTCCGAATAATTTGTCTTAGGAGAATGCCTATTGGTAACAATGCATGAGATAAATTACACACTTTAGACCACCACACTTATATCCAATCCTCATAAACACTTTCTTAAAAATTATCTACCTGTTTTCTTGCTGAGGTGTGTTCAATTATATTTTAAATCTAAATAGATGTTCTGGATTGGCATTTAGAACAAAAGTTCTACTCCCATCAGCATCTTATTTTATGAATTTGTAAACCAAAACGAAAATTCTAAGCCCCTCAGTCGACTGAATGGACCCCCCTCTCCATCAAGGGATTCCAAAGAAACCTGAAAAACTAGTTGAGGCCGTTGATACAGGAGCTGAAAAGAAATTATTTAGGCAGTCAGTGAGGGTAAGAGAGTCCTCAGTAAGGCTTTCCTTTTAACAAAAAGCAGCCCCCAAATCATTTCTTTTCTAATAAAGAGCAGCCTGTAAAATTGAGCTGCAAACATATATGAGCAAGCTGGAAGCTTGCATAGGTAAATGCAAGCAGCTGTGCCAATAGGAAAAGGCTACCTGGCGGCCAGGCATGTTCAACATGAAAGTTCCTTCGTCCCTTTTCTTTGTTGTCATGTGTGCAGTAAAAAGGCAGGCAACGTGGCGCCGGCCAGGTAGAGACCCCATCTGCATAATAAAAGATGAGAGTGGGATGGCCAACTTCTTCACGCACTATGCAAACATCACACCTGGTCTGATGAATCTCTCAGGCCCTCTGTAAATCAGAACTGCCTCCTCAAGCTCGTCTATAAAACCCTGTGCATTTCACCACAAAACTGGAAGACCCACTTGGGGGCCCCTATGTCTCTGCAGGAGATAGAGCTTTTCTCTTTTCTCTCACCTATTAAACCTCTGCTTTTAAACTCAGTCCTTGTGTGTCCACGTTCTTGATTTCCCTGGCATGAGAGGACAAACGTCGGGTATTTACCCCAGACAACGACGCCGCTTTACTATGACAGAAGATGGAGGTCAGATGTGCCTCATTATACCCTTTCTCTTTTGGAGTTTACATACAACTGACCAGCATTAACATTCAGATAGAGATCGTAAGCATGATGAAACAGTTTTGTAACAGTAAGATACCAAATTCCAACATGACTCTAGTATGAACATCACATGACAGATAAAGACATCAAAATATTTTACCCAAAAATATGTTTCTTTGCCATATTTTGAAATGGCCCTGCAAAGCTGTTTTTTGTTGTTGTTGTTTTAAATGGAGGAAAGTTGCAACTGTAAAGAATCTCTGTTAACATAACTAGATCTTCCCCTTTCAGCCTCTCCCAATCCTGAAGAGGTTAACTGAGAATATAGCAACTTTTAAAGGTCTGAATAGGGAATATTTGCCATCTATCATCTCTGAGGGTGGCCATCTATAAGACTTCACCTGTATAATAATAACCTTGGTCTCCAGGACCCTTTTTTACTTTTTGAAACAGTCTCACTCATTCACCCGGGCTGGAGTGGAGTGGCGTGATCTCCACTCTCCAAAATCTCTGCCTCCCTGGTTCAAGAGATTATCATGCCTCAGCCTCCTGAGTAGCTGAAATCACAGGCATGTGCCACCATACCCGGCTATTTTTTGTATTTTTACTAGAGACGGGGTTTCGTCACATTGGCCAAGCTGATCTCAAACTCCTGACCTCAGGTGATCCACCCACCTCGGCCTTCCTGAGTGCTGGAATTACAGGGGTGAGCCACCGTGCCAGGCCCAGGATCCTTGATTCTATTGATTCCAGGTCTTCAGATAATAGCTTAACCCTTTCGACTAATTGCCAATTCGAAAATCTTTGAATCCACCTATGACTAGTAAGCCCTCCCAACTTCGATTGTCTCACCTTTCCAGACCGAACCAATGTATTCCTCACACTGATATCTTATGTCTCCTTAAAATGTATAAAACCAAGCTGTAACCCAACCACCCTGGACACATGTTCTCAGGACCTCTTGAGACTGTACCTCAGGCCATGGTCAGTCATATTTGCCTCTGAATAAACCTCTTTAAATATTTTGCAGAGTTTGGCTTTTTCCATTAATAAATTCTTAATAATAATTTTACCATTTGATGGATGACGGTACCAAAATGAAGTTCAAGGAAAAGGACATGCCGCCTTCAATTTTGCTCTTTCTGTTTTAGAAAGTTTGAGTATTTTAACTTTCACGTGCGTCCCTGTGAAGAGACCACCAAACAGGCTTTGTGTGAGCAACAAGGCTATTTATTTCACCTGGGTGCAGGCGGGCTGAGTCCTAAAAGAGAGTCAGCGAAGGGAGATAGGGGTGGGGCCATTTTATAGGATTTGGGTAAGTAGTGGAAAATTATAGTCAAAGGGGGTTGTTCTCTGGCTGGCAGGGGTGGGGGTCACAAGGTGCTCAGTGGGGGAGATTTTGAGCCAGGATGAGCCAGGAGAAGGAATTTCACAAGGTAACATCATCAGTTAAGGCAGGAACAGGCCATTTTCACTTCTTTTGTCATTCTTCAGTTGCTTCAGGCCATCTGGATGTATACGTGCAGGCTTGGACCCAGAGGCCTGACATTAACTATGTTGTGTGCTGTATTATCTTCAATTACCGAAGTGGTCTCATTGTCTGGGGTGATATTTGAGATTGTTTGTTTCCTGGTCATGGAAAATTAGAACGTGGACACATAAATAGTGACGTTCAAAGTGGAAGTTTAATAGGTGAAAGAAAGAGTATAGTTCTCTCTGTTGTAGAGAGAGGGGTCCTGAACAAATTTTCTGTTTTTGTGGTGAAATGTGGGGGTTTTATAGATGAGCTTGAGGAAGTCGTGTCTGATTTACATAGGGCATAAAAATGGATTGGACCACGTGTGTCATTTGTATAAGGTGCGAAAAATCGGTTAGGGCTAGGTGTGTCATTTGTACAGGGTGTGAAAAGTTGGCCATCCCCACCCTAATCTTTTGTTATGTAGATGGGTTTTGGGTTTGGCTGGTGCCACGTTGTTTCTTCATTGTATATGTGGTAAGAAAGACGGAAGATGGAGCCTCCGTGTTGGATATGTCTGGCTCCTCCCAGGTAGCCCTTTTGTATTGGTGCAGTTGTCAGCATTCACCTGTGCAAGTTTCCACGTTTCTCATCTGTGTTTGTTGTTTGATTTTTCAGTCTGTTCTTTGTTAGAACAAAAAAATAATAATAATAATTTCTCGGGCTGCTTTTTGTTAAAAGGGAAGCCTTGGCAAGGAGTCTTTTGCCCTCACTATCTGTCTAAATATTTCTTTCTAGCTCCTGTATCAGTACTTAAAAATACCAGAAATGAGCCTGGAAGCTTTAAAATCACAGATATTTTCTTGATATTCCTCCTTGTTGACAAGTAGAGTTTGTGATGCCTTTGCAATGTGCATATTTGTCAGAGGAGCGTGAACCAGAGCAACTCCATCTTGACTAGGAGCTGGGTAAGATGAGACTGAGACCACCTGGGCTGCATTCCCAACTGGTTATAGCATTCTAACTTACAGGATGACATAGGAGGTCAGCACAAAATACAAGTCATAAAGGCCTTGCTAATAAAACAGGTTGCAGTAAAGAACCTGGCCAAAACCCATGAAAACCAAGATGGTGATGAAAGTGACCTCTGTTTGTCCTCACGGCTACACTCCCATCAGCGCCATAACAGTTTACAAATGTCATGGCAATGACAGGAAGTTACCCTATATGGTCTAAAAAGGGGAGGCATGAATAGTCCACCCCTTGTTTAGCATATCAAAAAGCAATAACCAAAAAATGGGCAACCTCTGTTTATGGAGTAGCCATTCTTCTATTCCTTTACTTTCTCAATAAACTTGCTTTCACTTACTTTATGGACTCACCCTGAATTCTTTCTTGTGTGAGATCCAAGAACCCTTTTTTGGGGTCTAGATCTGGACCCCTTTCCTGTAACATATTTGCATCAAACAATTATCATCAATATTATTTTGTAAACTAATGTATTATATGTTATAAAATTCCACACAGTTCTCTACTACCTTTGTAGAAATACAGTTCTTCTCTTGCATGTCCTTTATTAGACAAACATTTCAATCTAGGAAATCTAGAGTGAATTGAGATCCAGGGTCCTTTTGGCAGAAAAGATACAAAATATAAATTCTCATTTGGGTCCAAAGTTTATTAATGTATAACCCTGGGAGAAAAGAGTAAATGAAGTAAAATCGAAGAAAAATACAGTACATCTTTTGGGCATGCAACTATCAGTTGAGATCAACTGTGTGTCTTGCAGACACTATCAAGATGGATTTGGGAAGGATACTCAGGTTTATTTCTCCAAGTATAAGTCATACAAGTTGAATGTTTTATGCCGTTTTAGTAAAACAGTGTTGGATTTCTCATGAGAATGTGAATGCCGACAGAGAAGCAGCTTTTAATTAAGAATATAAATAATAACATCCCTCAGGAGGGCTGTGGAAATAAGCCTCAGTGTCAGAAGATTAACGTTTTACTATTTTTTTCCTATTCAAAGTGTCCCTTACATCTTAATTCCTACGTTGTAAGCCAAATTACTAAGAAAGCTGTTACAGGAGAGGGGTCCTGGTCAGCACCCCAAGAGAGGGTTCTTGGATCTGGTGCAAGAAAAGAATTCAGGGCAAGTCCACAGAGTAAAATGAAAGCAAGTTTATTAGGGAAGTAAAGGAATAGAAGAATGGCTACTCCATAGACAGAGCAGCCCTGAGGGCTGCTGGTTGCCCATTTTTATGGTTAATTCTTGATGATACGCTAAACAAGGGGTGGACTATTCATGCCTCCCCTTTTTAGACCATATAGGGTAACTTCCTGACATTGCCGTGGCATTTGTAAACTCTCATGGCACTGATGGGAGTGCAGCAGTGAGGACGACGAGAGGTTACTTTTGCGGCCATCTTAAGTTTTGGTGGGTTTTGTCCAACTTCTTTACTGCAACCTGTTTAATCAGCAAGGTCTTTATGACCTGTATCTTGTGCCGACCTCCTGTCCCATCCTGTGACTTAGAATGCCTTAACCATCTGGGAATGCAGCCCAGTAGATTTCAGCCTTATTTTACCCAGATCCTATTCAAGATGGAGTTGCTCTGGTTCAAACTTCTGTGACAAAACTTCCCATGCTTTTTGGATCTGATATTTGAAAATAAAACAAATGTTTACTTCCTCGAATCATCATCTCCTTTGACTCCATTAATGTCTGGAGAATCTTTTAACTTCTAAAAATTCCCAGTTTTAATTTGTGGGGGCCAAGGAGGTTTGCTGGAAAATCACTGGCATGAGGCAGATTGATTAAAAGGAGAAGAAGCACACAAATGTATTAAACGTGTATGCATGGGAGGCTTCAGAATGGACACTCAACATCCCCTCACCTCAGTAAAGTACAAAAGCTTATGTGCCATCTATAGATTACAGAAAGAATGTAGGCTCAGAGCATGGCCCAAAACAGGTTTTACTGGCAAGAAGGTTATAAGAGGGAGAAAGGAAGAGGTTTGGCTAGCAAAAGTGGTCTTATTATGCAGATTAAACACCACAGGTAACAGCTCACAGAAGGAATAGATAGTGAATGTTTCTTTTCAGACTTGAAAAGTGTCAGTCTCACAGTTATTTTCACCTATATCTTGGAACAGATGTAAATTTCCTCCACAAAACACGGTATTCCAGGACCTCTCCAGTCTACTGGCCCTGCGGCAACCATTTCAAAATATGTCAAATATATTTTGGGGTGAATTATTTTATTTCCTAATTCATAATGGAAGACATTCCCGATTTCTTCTTTTTAAATACTGAATCAGACTGGCATTCCTAGGAAGAGGCTTTAGTGGCCACTCTTGTGGTAATGAATGTAGATTGTATCATCTTTCTTCTCCAGTCTGCATCCTAATGTGAATGGACTCAAAATGAGACCCTGGCTGAGACCAGGCGACTTCGGCAGCCACAGGGGTAGAGTGGGGCTGCAATTCTCGCATCTGATTTGCTGATTGAGACTCTGCCACCACTCAAAAGCTTTGTGGCTCAAGTTATAATAAGATACAGGGTCGACATTAAACAGTCTGCCTATGTGTATTAGTTTGTTAGGGCTACCTTAATAAAGTACCACAGACAAAGGCTTACACAACACAAATTCATTTTCTTACAATGCTGGGTTCCAGAAGGTCAAGGTTTTGGCAGAGTTGGTTTCTTCTGGGTCCTCTCTCCTTGGCTGGTAGATGGTTGTCTTCTTCCTGTGTCTTCACAAGATCTGTGCCTCCTAATTCCTCTTCTTGGAAGGACGCCAGTTCTGTTGGATTTGGGCCCACTCTAAGGATCTCATCGTTTTAACTTAATTTTCTCTTTATCTCCAAATGCAGTCATATTCTGAGGTATTGATACAGGAGCTAAAAAGAAATTATTTAGGCAGATAGGGAGGGTAAAAGAGTCTTCAGTGAGGTTTTTTCTTTTAACAAAAAGCAGCCCCCAAATCATATCTTTTCCAACAAAATGCAGCCTGAAAAATCAAGCTGCCAGCATAGATAAGCAAGCTAAAACCTTGCATAGATAAATGCCAGCAGCTGTGCCAATAGAAAAAGGATACTTGGAAGCCAGGTATATTCAACATGGAGATTCCCTCTTCCCTTTTCTTTGTCACCACGTGTGCAGGAAAAAAGCAGGCAATGTGGGGCCGGCTAGAGACCCCACCTGCTTAATAAAAGATTAGGGTGGGGCAGCCAGCTTCCTTGTGGGCTATGTAAATTGCATACTTGGTCCAACCACTCTTTGGGTCCTATGTAAATGAGACACCACCTCCTCAAGCTCATCTATAAAACCTGTGCATTTCACCAGAAAACTGGAAGACCCACTTGGTCACCCCTGTCTCGCTGCAGGAGAGAGAGCTGTTCTCTTTTCTCTTTCTTTTGCCTGTTAAACCTCCACTCTATTTTTTTTTTCTTTTTTTGAGATGGAGCTTCACTTTTGTCTGTCGCCCAGGCTGGAGTGCAGTGGCGCGATCTCAGCTCACTACAACTTCTGCCTCCCGGGTTCAAGTGATTCTCCTGCCTCAGCCTCCCGAGTAGCTGGGATTACAGGTGCTCATCACCACGCCCTGCTAATTTTGTATTTTTAGTAGAGACAGGGTTTCACCATGTTGGCCAGGCTGGTCTCGAACTCCTGACCTCAGGTGATCCACCCGCCTCGGCCTCCCAAAGTGCTGGGATTACAGGCGTGAGCCACTGCGCCCAGCCTAAATCTCCACCCTGAAATTCATTTCTTGCGTGTCCATATCGTCGATTCCCTAGGCATGAGACAATGAACCTTGGGTATTTAGCCCAGACAACAATGCCGCTTCACTATGGGCCGATAGGAGTTCAGCATATAAATTTCCCAGGATATAATTCAGCCCATAACACTATGAACAAAGAATTTCACTCTAATTAGCCTCATTGTTTGGGACGTGTTTGGAATGTCCTGGCCTCTGATTTTATTATGTCCTGTAATTCTTCATCATAGCTGACCAGGGCAGGAAATTCTCTTTCTAGTCTTGATGAGGCAAACCGCCATGTAGAATGGCTTATGGAAGGGCCCCATGGAAAATAACTGCAGGCGACTCCTTGGAACTGAGAGTGGTCCCTAGCCAGAGTCAGCAAATAAATGGCGCCTTTCATCCCACAGCCTCAAGAAAGGAATTCTGACAGCAATTTCAGTGAGTTTTAGAGCAGACCTTTCCCTGGTTGCGTCTCAATGTGGGAATGCAGCCTGGACGCCACGTTGATCGCAGCCTTGTGGTATCTGGAGCCCACGGTCAAGTGATGCAGCACTGGGAGGGATTCCTTTCCTACGGAAACAGTGAGCCAGTCAGTGTGTATTGTTAGAAGCTGCTAATATTTAAAATAATTTGTTACATAGAAGTAGAAAATTAATATAGGAATTTTTTTAAGTCATACAGAAAATATCTCAAACCAGAAATAATCCAAAATAATTGTATATTTACTTTTGAGATAGAGGTCTGTTTTTGTTTCCTTGAAAATGGTTAGGTCTTCCAGGAATCTTAGAATTAATAAGGTCTTACAAACTGTCCTAAAACCCTAGTTACCAACTTAAATCTTTAGTGTCCCCCTCTGCTTACTTATTTCACTAGGTTTGTGTTGATTTTATTCTTTTCAATCTTCTCCTTTCTCCAGCTCTCTCTTCTTGACTTTTGTCCCTTTCTCTACCTCTCACTCTTTTCTAATTCCTTCTCTCTCTCTTTCTCTCTAGCTCTCAAACTAGGTAAAGCCTTACATGGAAGTAGTAGAAACAAATGCTTATTTGTTGCTAAAGCAGGTTCTAAATAATGACCTGACAGCCCTATAAAATTGTGAAATATATACAGTATAATGCACAATTTATACCAGCCAAGGGAGTAACAACGCCATTCATTTATTAGCAAATTTTCAAAGTATTTTTCATCTGTTAAACTACAGTGAAAATAATAACTCTATTGATAAGAATAATTAGAAATGTAATTTATAATTGGTGAGTTAATTGAGGAAAATATCCCTGGGGCAGATATTGAGCCAATCTTTTGCCCAAAGGTATGATATATGAATGTTCTTTTACAAGTGAAATGAATAACACAACCTTAAGAGTTTGTGTGTATATATAATATGTGTATATATATACACACACAGGCATATATGTATATGTGTATGTGTGTATATGTGCATTTCTGTATTATATACCATTATTTGCTTTTTGTTTTTATGTTTACTTGAGTAGAGATTTGGCAACATATTTAGATTATAAAAATGTTGAGTGGGTCAAGGTCATTGCTTGGCCTGCCTCTAGTCAGAACTGAATTAACAACCTCTCAATATAAAGTGAGAATGATAGGCTGCCTGTCAGGGGTTGTGAGCAAGGTGATAAGACCGAGATGGTTAATCTGGATAAGATAAACCAGTTTTATACTCTTGGAATTAATGATTTATGGTGGAGTAGCAGCTGTAAGAGAATGCAATAATAGTTTAAAACAGAGTGAAAGGAAGAAAAAATCCAAAACACTCTTGAAGAAAGAAAATAGGTAATAATACTATAAAATATAAATATAGTAATGTTTATGAGGAGGCTAAGTCACAATATTTTGAAATAATAAAAATTGGGACACAATTACTATTTAATTGGTAATGTATATTTTCTTAAAGTATTTGGTCATCTTACTTCCATTCATATAGACAGAAAAATATGTAGAAAGTCTACAGTCTCTGTGAAGAAATGTCACATTATCTTCTCTCTGGAACATTTTTGGGGACATGAGAAAAACATTTTTTAATAAAAAAAGATTATTTAAAATTATTGACCAATAATATCCAACAAGAGCTCAGGAGTGAAATCCATTTTGCCATTAAAAATGACAGCAAAACTGCAATTACTTCTGCACCAACCTAATACATGCAGAAGACTTCCATATCCATTAAAATCAAAAGACTTTTTTTAAAATAATATTTTAAAATGACTTAGATTTGCAGATGAGTGGCAAAAATTAGTACAGAGAATCCTTGTATTGTCATCTCAGCTTCTGTTAATGTTATTTTGGTAACCATAGTACACATATCAAAATGAAGAAGTCAGTACTGTTACCTTTTTAAATCACAGACTTTATTTGAATTTCACTAGGTTTTTCATTAGTGTTCTTTCAATCCAAGATCCAACATAGGATACAAAGTTGCATTTTTCCTTCCTGTCTCCTTAATAAAGCAAAGATACATCGTTAATTTTCTATGTGTTGGTTTTGGGCTTTCCTTGTGTTTCCTGACCTAGACACTTTTGAAGAATATTGACCTGGTATTTTATAGAATGTCCTTAACAGGAATTGTCTGATGATTTCTCACGGATAGAATAGGGTTTTGGACTTTTTGGAAAATATGACAGATATGAGAACTTTTTATACAACATTTTATCAGGAAGTAGAAAATATCAACTTTATTACTAATATGTTAAACATGATCACTTGGTTAAGGTGGTGTCTACTAGGTTTCTCCACTGTAAAGTTACTATTTTTCCTTTCCCATACACTGTTTAAAGCAACATGCTAGGCCACTCTCAAAGGGAAGGGAATTAAGAACTACCTTCTGGAGAGAGGAAAATCCAGGAATTTGTGGGCCTTAGTAATTAATAATTTTTTTTTTTAGTGGGGGGAACTTAAGCTCTGCAAATATGCTCTTTTTCCTTTAAGTTTCACCTACTAGGAAAAACTGTATCTATTAAATTTCCTGTGACATATTTTACTGCAATATTTTAATGATGATTTTCTATTTCCCTTGTTTGTTTTACATTTATTATTTAGAAATCCTTTTGTAGGAAAGATTTGTCCCTTATTTCCCATGTAATTACTAATATGTCATTTATTTCTATCAGTATGGACTCATGGGTATTTATTTTGTACTTTAAGTTATAAGACTACAATAGCATTTTGTTGATTTAAATTATTTCAGCTTTAGTCACTGTGAAATTTTTGTTTCATTTCTGAAAAAATAGTTTTTATTTAAAAAATTATGATAGGAAATGAAGTTAATATAGAGGGTGTAATAGACATACAGCCAATGGATACAATAAAGTTCAGCTTCTTAACCACGAATAATGATTGCACTGATTAAATCACCACACAGTGTCTAACTAGGGTGCTGGTTTTAACTTTTCACAGCAGAAACATACTCTTTTAATTAAGTGAAGGGTTTTTTTAAATATTAAAGATATATACTGGTTTATCCTAGCTTTATTAATGAAATATCTCAAAGTGGAACAAAATATCTGCCTGAGAAAAGCAAAATCCTATATCCAAAATTCCTTGAGTAGCCATGGTTTCCTACACGGTCTTTTTGGTGATAATTATGGGGAAAACAAGAACATAAAGTTGATAATTAAGTAAAATTAATAAGAACTAAGTAAAAATTAGGCAAATTAAGTAAAAATTAGTAAACATTACTAAACAACAACATGAAGGTTACAAGTAAAATTAGTAAAAAAAGGATTGCACCATGTTTTAGAAAATGATACAAAATCATGCAATCTAGTGATAAATTTAATTCTGATATTTTACTTAGGATCATTGAGCAGTGAACTCTGTAAGCCACATGCTTACATAAATCAGAATAGCTGAGTAGATCAGTTGTTTAACATATCAAATATATGTGACCTTCTTTTAAAAACTGAAGAACCTAGAAGGCAATTTTTTCAGGTTACCTTTCAGGTGAATTTGCAAGATTAACTGCCAGTAATTCAGAGTCTGCTTCTCTTATCATATATTGCCTAGTTCTTTCCATTGTGGAGCATTTCTAAGCTTTTTACTTTTAACTTAACCTTTAAAATCTTGGTTTGGCACAAAATGTATGATTTTGTTATTTGATTATATTTTGAATTTAAAAATACTGTTCATAATCCCAGAAATTATAATTCTCTTAATTGTAGCAGATTTAATGTTGACAAAATTATAATACCAAGAATAGATTTTTTAATTAAATAAATATAGTTTCAGAAGGATAAAATACACATTTAAAAACATAAATGAATGTAAGATGAATTACATTAAGTTATATTTATAAATGGCATATCAGAATTCATGGGTTTATTTAATACCTTCAACAAATCTTGAGTATGTCTCATTTTCTCTTTGTTTTTGTTATAGGACCAGTGTTTACAATACTTTGAATTTTATTTGAGATATATTTGAAATTTTAAGTATACATTAGGAATAACTGATGGCAGGATATGTGCAAAAGTAAATTGGAATTTGTTTTTCCTTTTGTTATTTTTAGGAGTTTTTATAAAATGTGATACTGGTGACAGTGAGCAAGCCTAACATTTATTTTCGAGTCTGATATTGAGATATCAGCCATGCCTCATTGGTTCTTATTTTTCCAGCACTCGCTAAGTATCTAATACAATGTGACTGTTTCTTGAATGAATAGATGAATGAATAAATGAATGCGATCCAATGCTAGAACCGCAAGGATTATTGTATGGACATTTAAAATAAGTTTCGACTGCTTTATTTTCATGTTAAAATAATACGGGCATTCCCTGAATTACGTGAGTAGAGGCTAAAGTATAAAATGGAGTAAATTTTATTGTTAAAGATATTTTATCACATTTAATTTCTCCTTAATATCTTTGAACATTTATGACCACTTTCTAGAAGTGGCTTCTTTAATATAAATTGTCTGTAGTTTGATGTGGTCACACTCCCCTTATTACTTGTGGTAGAAAATGAGAACATTTAGTTTAACTTTTAAAGAAGATTTAGGATGAGATTTATTGAGCATTTAGTTGAAATGCTGAAGGAAAAGACAAGACTGGAGAACTCACTGTCAAATAAATACTTTGGCCTGAAGGTGACTCACCTCACTTCTCACAACCCATTGGCTGGAACAAAATGCATGTTTCATATGAACCACAAGGTGATTATGATCCTCCTGTAAGTTTAGAGATGTTGAGAAATTGCTGTGGGAGGTCTGAGATACAAGATGAGACAGAACATGAAAAAGATGAAACTTATGCCAAAAATTATTTTTGATAAATGCCTAACATGAATTAAAATATATCAGTTGAACAAATTAAAATGGCTAGATTTCCAATTTTTTTCTCTCTTGCTATGAATGGTAAAAATATTATGCCTTTATTGATGTCATTGTGCCTTTGTTGTTATGAGATTTTTTTAATTGGCTAAAAATGATCATCAAATTAATATTTTTAAGTTAAGATTGTTCAAATGTATTTTAAACTTAGAAGAATCGTAAACCCATTTGAGATTAAAATACATATTTGAAGAAAACAATAAATGTTTTCAATGCATTCTCAACACAAGATCTCAACTAATGATTAAACAATAATAGTAGCAATAGGAAGACAGACTCTTTCAAAATGGATATATCGGAAAGAAATACTATGTGCTATGACCAAAGAGAAATGCTATATGCTATGACCAAAGGGTCTCCATGATGCTGTGCAAGGAAAACAAAAAAAAAAATCATAAAATTACTGAGTTCAGAATATCTGTATTCTTTTTTTTCTGACAAATGTGGATAATTTTTACCCTTCTTGGCTTGCAGTGTTTTGTTTTTTTTTTTAATACTGTAAGTTCTGGGTTACATGTGCAGAACGTGCTGTTTTGTTACATAGGTATACACATGCCATGATGGTTTGCTGCACCCATCAACCCATCATCTACATTAGGTAATTCTCCTAATGTTATCCCTGCACTACCCCCCAACCCTGCAACAGGTCCCCACGTGTGATGTTTGTTCTCCTCCCTGTGTCCATGTGTTCTCATTGTTCAACTCCCACTTATGAGTGAGAACATGCGGTGTTTAGTTTTCTGTTCCTGTGTTAGTTTGCTGAGAATGATGGTTTCCAGCTTCATCCATGTCCCTGCAAAGGACATGAACTCATCCTTTTTTATGGCTGCATAGTATCCATGGTGTATATATGCCACATTTTTATCCAGTCTGTCATTGATGAGCATTTGGGTTGGTTCCAAGTCTTTGCTATTGTGAATAGTGCCACAATAAACATACATGTGCATGTGTCTTTATTGTAGAATGATGTATAATCCTTTGGGTATATGCCCAGTAATGGGATTGCTGGGTCAAATGCTATTTCTAGTTCTAGATCCTTGAGGAATTGCCACACTGTCTTCCACAATGGTTGAACTGATTTGCACTCCCTCCAACAATGTGAAAGCATTCTTATTTTTCCACAACCTCTCCAGCATCTGTTGTTTTCTGACTTTTTAATGATCCCCATTCTAACTGGCTTGAGTTCTGGCCAGGGCAATCAGGCAAGAGAAAGCAATAAAGGGCATTGAAATAGGAAGAGAGGAAGTTAAATTGTATCTGTTTGCAGATGACATGATTGTATATTTAGAAAGCCCAATCGTCTCAGCCCGAAATCCCCTTAAGCTGATAAGCAACATCAGCAAAGTCTCAGGATACAAAATCAATGTGCAAAAATCACAAGCATTCCTATACACCAATAACAGACAAACAGCCAAATCATGAGTGAACTCTGATTCACATTTACTACTAAGAGAATAAAATACCTAGGAATACAACTTACAAGGGATGTGAAGGACCTCTTCAACGAGAACTACAAACCACTGCTCGAGGAAATAAGAGAGGACACAAACAAATGGAAAAGCATTTCATACTCATGGATAGGAAGAATCAATATCATGAAAATGGCCTTACTGCCCAAAGTAATTTATAGATTCAATGCTATCCCCATCAAGCTACCACTGACTTTCTTCACAGAATTGGAAAAAACTACATTTTAAAACACTTATTTTTTTCACCTTCACTGAAATATAATTCATAGGTAATAAACCGATCTTATTTGAAGTGTACTATTTCATGAGTTTTACTGAGTGTATATCCTTGTATCGACCAACTCAGTGAAGACACAGGGCATTTCCTTCTTCTTTTTAAAAATTTTGGCTTTTATTTTACATAAAGGGGAATATAAGCAGGTTTGTTACATGGGTGTATCGCACCCAGGTAGTGATCATAGTGCCAAAAAGGTAGTTTTAAGATATTCTATAGCCAGCCAGGCACAGTGGCTCACGCCTGTAATCCCAGCAGTTTGGGAAGCCAAGGCGGGCAAACCACTTAAGGTCAGGAGTTCAAGGCCACGCTGGCCATCACGGCAAAACCCTGGTTTCTACTAAAAATACAAAAATTAGCCGGGCATGGTGGCGCACGCCTATGATTATAATCCCAGCTACTTGGGAGGCTGAGGTACAAAAATTGCTTGTACCCAGGAGGGAGAGGTTGCAGTGAGCCGAGATTGCGCCACTACACTCCAGCCTGGGTGACAGAGATTCTGTCTCAAAAAAAAAAAAAAATAAATAAAAGATATTCCATAGCCACTTTTTGTTTTTGTGTTTGTTCCATGTTCTATTTTGGGTAATTGTTTTTATAAAATGTGCACTAGTAGTAGGAAAATTATGGGAAAAAATAGAGTATATTAAACAGAAACAAAACACAATGTATTTACATGAACATGAAAAATAAAAAGTAAATTCTCAGACAAGAATATGTTTACATATAAAATCAAGGCAAAAATAATAATAGTAAATTCAAGCAGTTAAAAAGTAGCTGGGCTAATAAGTTTAGGATAGCTGATGTTTTCAGAACAAACAACTCCAAAATATCAAGAACTTAAAATAATTTTTAAAAATGCATTCACACAACATGTCTGATGTGGACGACCATGGGGACTGGTCTCATTGCTGTTACTCCAATATCCAGGCTAGCAAAGCTCTGCTGTCTGAGGATGCTAGCATCTGAAAAGCAGATGTAACAGTGTACCACTGTAGCAAACGGGACTTGCAAGTTAATACATTGGCTGTTAATCCTTTGCCACCTGGATGTGGCAAAGCATAATTTTAATCACATTTCACTAGCTAAGGCAAGCCATGTGGTCATACCTGTCTCCAAGGTTGAAGGAAAATATAACTCCAAGTGACACAAGGAAAGGAGAACTAGAATGTTCTCTAAGCATAAATAATATTGACCACAGACGCCCTAAAAGAGTTCTCAGTATTTCATCTAATGGAGATCTTTATGGATGTAAACAATTGTCAAAAATGTACAATCACCAGTGCCTTTCTATACCCTATAAAAGATACATTGTAAGAACACTGAAATAATTAAAGCCAATACAAAAAAGAGATTTAAAATTCTCTATTTATGAAATCCAAGAAACTTGAGGTTATATTTCTGGGAAATCTTTATTTTGTTAGTTTATACTTGAACTGTTCATTCTAATTATTAATACAAGAAAGAAAATAAACCATGAAAATCATACATGCAGATCAGGTATTTTGCAAGAGAATAGCACTAGTGATGTTTATTTATTTCATTTCATATATTGGTCATTTAGAATAACTACTTATGTTTTCTTTGTTTTTTTTTTAATTTTTTCAAGTGAAACAAACAAAACATCACATGTTTGGTAGTACAATTAAAATCCAAACATGAATAAATAAGAAAACCATTGTTCAGTTAAACATTGTAAAATTAAATAATTAGTATCTAAATAATCTACTGAAACCCTCAGGACATATGGTAGTGTTTGCCAATAAAGCTGACTGCATTTGATATTTTTTTTAGTCAAATAAATTATAGCTACATTAGTAACCTTGGAAATATCTGCTCCTATTTAAATGCTGAAAGAATAGGGTATTTGGCCAGAATAAGTAATGCATTTTGGGAGAAAGAATTTGTATATTTTACTTTCTTGTAAGGTAGAGTAAGAATTTTTTGTTGGTTGATTTTTCTTTCTTTTATTAAAAAATATTCTTGTAAAAAAATCTCTTAACCATTCACTTTTATGTGATTTAAATAATCAATTCTAGGAAAACAGCTAAATTCTAGTCCAGAATCCTTTTGGCAGCACACATACAAAGCTCAAAGTAACACATTATTTACATGAAATCAACTGTTGTTAAGTTGGGGACCAAGTATTTTCTGAGTACCCTGTTATAATGTCTGCTGAGCCCTGGAGTTGCAAAGATAAATAAGTCACACTGTTTCTGCCATCAAGGAACCTGCATATAATGTATATAAAGTGGTAAGAAAGAGAGAGAAACTAACACATAATTCTAACTTACTGTCATAAGCCTGAAGAGTTATCCAGAATGGTCTTGGGACATTTTACTCTGAGGTATCACTTTCTCATTTATAAGAGGTGATATACAATCATTACAATCATGCCTTCCTCTATTTACCAACTTTGAGAAAACTGATTATGTATTTATGTATGTATGTATTTATTTATTTATCTATTTATCGAGACAGGGTCTTGCTCTCTCACCCAGGCTGGAGTGCAGTGGTGCAGTCACAGCTCACTGCAGCCTCACGTGATGCTCCCAGCTCAGCCTCCCTAGTAGCTGGGACCACAGGCACATACCACATCACCCAGCTATTTTTTTTATTTTTTATATCACCCAGCTAATTTTTTTATTTTTTATAGAGACAAGGTCTCCCTGTGTTGCACAGGCTGGTCTGGAACTCCTGAGCTCAAGGATCCCTCCTGTCTCGACCTCCCAAAGTGCTGGGATTACAGATCTGAGCCACCATATCCAGCCAAGAAAACTGATCTCAATTGGGAAAAATTTGTATTTTACAATTCATGAAGGCATTCACCTATTACTTATATTTGTTTACATTCTTTCAGATTTGACCAACAAGGATACTCATATATTATTCTTATTTAATAATACATATTTATATTTATATTTAGATGAATCTGTGGATAATAGTATAAAGCCCTTTTTGGTAAGATAGAATAATGAGTCTTATAATAGCAAATGTTAATCATGTAGAGAAAGCAACCACTAATGAAGATGGATCATGTCTGACCAATTTGTTTTATGAAAACATATTTTTACATGTATTTAGTTATTTAATGTAAAAAACTAAGATTAAAACTACAATTTACTTGCTCTAGTCGTTAAGTCACTTGAGAAAACAGAAGTATGGAATGAATGAATTACAAATAAAAAAAGTGCAGACAGCTTGAATTTTGAATCTTGCTGATAGTTATCTGAAAATATTAAAGACAGCTGAACATAATGTTTATATAGAGTTGTTTTTAAAGGTGAGTTTAATTCATTCCCTGAGTTCATTCTGAGTCCAGGGTTATTCTAGTTGCATAGCTTTGAGTAAACTGTTTAGCCTCTCCCATCCCAAACTCTATCTTTAGAATATGGTAATAATAATAATAATTACTAGGTAGGGCAGTTCTAAGAATGGAACAAAATCACGTATCTAAAGTGTTTGAACTATTGACCAATTCATAGAAATATCTCAATACAACTGAACTGTTAATAACAATGATTACAAGGAGAGACTAATCACATCTCATGGAGATGAAAGCGGGCTTGCACAAACTCAGCCAACCAATAAGATCAATAAAGCCAGAAATCACTTTACGATTTTGATATGATTATCTCACTTTTTGACCCTATGACTCGTTAGTATTCCAGAAGGATCTTTTTTTTTTTTTTTTTTTTGAGACGGAGTCTTGCTCTGTCGCCCAGGCTGGAGTGCAGTGGTGCATCTCTGCTCACTGCAAGCTTTGCCTCCCGGGTTCACGCCATTCTCCTGCTTCAGCCTCCCGCATAGCTGGGACTACAGGCGCCCGCCACCACACCCAGCTGATTTTTTGTATTTTTTTTTAGTAGAGACGGGGTTTCACCGTGTTAGCCAGGATGGTCTCGATCTCCTGACCTCGTGATCCGCCAGCCTCGGCCTCCCAAAGTGCTGGGATTACAGGCGTGAGCCACCGTGCCCGGCCCCAAAAGGATCTTTCAAAACAGGATTTGCTAATATTTATTTATTAAGGACCAAATTCTAAGATTAAACATTGCCTCACCTCAGATCAAGCTTCCTGAACTAATCTAAAATAATCTCAGAGAATGGAAGTCCTTGAAAGCATTTTATTGTTTACAATGGCAACAAAACTGATGGGCATCTCCCTCCCTCCTTTCCTTCCTTCCTTCCTCCCTCCCTCCCTCCCTCTCTCCCTCCTTCCCTCCCTCCCTCTCCCCTTCTTTCTTCCTTTCTCTCTCTCTCTCTCGTTCTTTTTCTTTCTTTTTATAATTAAGTCTAGAGCTGGCCCATCTCAATCATCAATGCAACATACAAACTTTCTGTTTAAGAGTATCTGTGTGTATATATGTGTGTGGGGTTTCTTCCGGAATAATGCTTCATAATTTCCAGTGATACATTTTCTGAAACCTTTCTCTAAAAATATCTTACTTTTAAATATTTGAATATCTTTAATGACAGTGATCCCTCTTAAGCCATTAAAATGGTTCTTAAATATGCCTTATACCCTTACATTATAATAATTGTGAGTTAAGGGCAAACTTCACAGGTTAAAGTTTAGCCCTGCATCTTATGAATTAACATAAATTATCAAAATTCATGAACCTTTGCTGCAAATTATATTAGTTCCTTTTGAAATTGACAGAATCAATTTTTGATATTTTTCTATATTAATCATTTACTTAATATACACAAATAATTAGAATGAAGCTTAAAACTCTACATAAATCCCATAGGCAGAAATTAATAATCAAGGAAATCAGGGCAAGAAAGACTATTGATAATTAGGCAATAAATCAAAGATAACATTAACAGAACAATACAAACAATATGAACACGTGATAATAGAAGAAGCCAATGTTTGCCTCTAAGATTTCTGAGTGGCCAGATCAAAGAAAGGAATGTAATGCTTTCCAACGGTTATTGTTTCCATAAGATAAAAAGACAACAGATAATCCATTCTTGAGATTTAAGGATGGACATGATGCAGGATATGATCTTCTTTAAGAACCAAGTTTTCTCTTTTTATTGTTATTTTAAATTTGATCATTTGCTACAATTTATAAAAAGTGAATAAAGTGATTTAAAATTTGTAATAGTTCTAGGAAAAATTCATACAATTATAAAGGCTGTGGTTCTTTTAAAATACATTTTTAGGTAAAAGACGCTAAGTATAAACTAATAAAGTTAATCGGAATTGATACAAATAAAAACTTTTAAGTTTTTTTAAATAATGTAGCAGGAAGATGTAAAACAGACTTTTATGCCTTACTAACATAAATGGCAAATCATACTAACAAAAGTATACATTATAATTCTTCATGGTGTATATAAGACACTGTGTATCTTAATATGTTTACTACTTCTAAATAATTTGCCCCCAAATTACTGCTTCTTTATTTAAAATAAGAAAATAAATATTTTTGAAAGGTTATTTAAATAGTGTATCATTGGCTGTGTATGTGTTTAACTCCTAGTTTACATAGTCTGGTACTGTTTTCTCAGTTATTAATTAATAATGTTCCAGGTATATGTAGTTGTTATAATTTGTAAGATGCTTTCTTTTATATTGCCTAATTGTTTATAACGTGATTGCGTATATGTTAACATATGAATTCCTCTAATTGCAGTGTAGACATCCTATGGTCAAGAATCACATCTTATAGAGTCTTCGATGGGCGAGTATATTTGTAGGCACCCACCCATTCTCATGACATTATATTTTGTGGTCTAGTTCATGGGACAATAATCAGTGAAAATTACTGGACATTTTCCGAGATAATTTATGGCCATCTTCTGTATGTATTTACAGATCATATTATCAATACATTCTGCTGACTTTTGCTAACATTAGGCAAATGAGAGTTGTTTTCTCTACAAAGAAAGATCCTTTTCTGCCTCCCAACTTTTCAGACTTCTCAACTGTGATGGCACAGAAAACTTCCGATGAAAGACTAAGCTGGATTTGAAAACAACTGTGGCATGCTGGCTGAGGCTGTGACTCAAGTCATCTTAAACTTCATATTTTATTATCATGAACATAATCTGGAGCCGAAGAAACAATCTCCCCTGTCTGAGTATTTGAATAACTGCAGACACGGGTACCAGCCAACAACTTAATTATGGATTTAAAAAATTGGCATTAATCTTTTCTTTCCTGTATATATTCACTTGTAATGCCACAAGTCACAGTAAATTGCTCATTAAACTTCAAGCAATGCTATGTAATGCTTGCTACCATTTATAGGCAATGCTCTCCAAAGAACAATTAGAGGGAGTATTGTGACACAGAACAATGGAGACAATTATTTCTGAAGTTTATTAATGCTAATTAGCATATGGCATCTAAGACAGCTGCTGATACTTCATTGCTAAATACTGAGGGACTAATTAGTGCTTGATGTTAATTAGCTTCTTCTCATGCGCATTGTCCTTAGATGCATGTGCACTGTCACCATCGGGCTATTAAAAATCGGGCCCTGTGCTCTGCAAGAACGTGAGGTGGCATTTAGGAGTTCGTTCAGAGTGTATGGCATTCTTTCCTAATACATACACCCTTAATAGATTCCATAGGAGCTTTAATAATCCACTCTTTGTTTAAAACCTTCTAGTAAATTATGATTTTTTTCAATGCTGAAGAGAACTGTTTACTGTATCTTGTAATTTTTCATGTCCTGTCACTCACAAGTGAATTCAAATGCTACAGATCACTGGCATAAAAATATTTTGGTTATAATTTATTTAATAATCGAACTGATTTTGGCTTTGCCTCTCACTTTATATTTAATCTTTTATTTATGATTAAAATACATTATTAAGCCAATAGGTCAAATATGCACACTTTCCCCATTAGCTGATTTAATAACATTTTTAGTTTCTGGGTTTTTTTCTTCAGTGACAGCCAAATACAGATTTTTTTCTTTTAAAACCTGAACTAAGAATTTACCCATTAAAAACTCATCTTTTGAAGACAATGTGTAGGTTAAGCCGGTGATCTAGGAAGTGTTTTCATGTCAGTCTTAAAAACTTTTCAATGACACTCTTTGTTTACTTGCTTTTCTTCTGGTTTTGGTGGGTGGGTGACTCACATGATCAATTTGTTCACCAAATTTCTCTAACAGTCAGATAACTTGTACACATGTTGGACATTTTTTTCAGGCATAAACTTCCCTGTGATTAGTAAGTGAACTTAAAAGTTCAGTATACAACATGAAGCTCTGTAAAGGGTGACCACAAATATGTAGTAGTCTGATATTCTAAAGATAATCTCTGGTTTAATTACACACAGTGTTTTTATGGTACTATATGTATACATTTTGAATGATTATTAACAATACTTAGAGTTAATAATAATTGTCCAAACATTTTTGCTCATAATTTTATAGCCTTGAAGTATTTTGGCACTTATGCAATTTGTATGAGAGCATGCCATTCAAAATAAAGGAATGAAACAAAGGTACCCACAATGGAGACTGTAGAATCACCTGCCAAAGAAACTGCAAAAAATAAGTATCTAATAGGCCAGAAAACATGCAAAAAGAGGGACAATAAAATAACAAATAATGAGGAAAAATAAATTTTAAATACACTTCATCCACATTTTAAAATGCCCATTACAGCTTTCTAGATTGTAAAAACAAACAAAATGAAGTAGAAACCAAAATTTTATTTAAATGAGTTCCAAAATTGAGATGACTAAATCTCATTTAATTCCAGCGTGTAGGGATTTCCCCGAGAGACAGGTTCAGTGTGTAGAAGAAATGAATGCCGTCTGATTTCTCATTAGGATTTTTGGACTTAGGAAAATAAGGAATATGCCCATAAAAGAAGCTGTCTTTTTATTCTTTTTCTTCCTCCTCCACTTCCAGCTTTTCTTCATTATCATCTCATTTTTTACGTTCCTTCCAGCAGGTGAAGAAAAGTTTTCAAACAAGTGAGACTTCGGGAGCTATAATATGGTTTAGATTTGTGTCCTGACCCAAATCTCATGTTGAATTGTAATTCCCAGTGTTGGAGGAGGGGCTTGGTGGGAGGTGAGGTGATTGGATCATGGGCCTGGATTTACCCCCTCGCTGTTCTTGTAATAGTGGGTGAGATCGCACAAGATCTGATTGCTTACAAGTGTGGAGCACCTCCCGCTGAAGATCTGATTGCTTACAAATGTGGAGCACCTCCCACTGAAGATCTAATTGCTTACAAATGTGGAGCACCTCCCACTGAAGATCTAATTGCTTACAAATGTGGAGCACCTCCCACTGAAGATCTGATTGCTTACAAGTGTGGAGCACCTCCCGCTGAAGATCTAATTGCTTACAAATGTGGAGCACCTCCCACTGAAGATCTAATTGCTTACAAATGTGGAGCACCTCCCACTGAAGATCTGATTGCTTACAAGTGTGGAGCACCTCCCGCTGAAGATCTAATTGCTTACAAGTGTAGAGCACCTCCTGCTGAAGATCTGATTGCTTACAAGTGTGGAGCACCTCCCCCTGCTCCCTCTTCCTCCTGCTCCAGCCATACAAGACACGCCTGCTTCCCCTTCACCTTCTGACTTGATTGTAAGTTTCCTGAGGCCTCCCCAGCTATGCTTCTTGTACAGCCTATGGAACTGTGAGTCTACTAAAGCTCTTTTCATTATAAATTACCTGTTCTTAGGCATTTCTTTTTTGCAATGTGAGAACTGTCTGATATGAGGTGAAACGTGAAAAATATGTAACTTAAAAAATCACTTTTTAAGAACTCTGAATGTTGGAATATCAAATGCACAGGTAAACAACCCAAACTTGACTCTAGTCTATTTGTGGTACTGGGCCTCAAAGTCTCAGATTCCTTATCTGGAAAATGAGAATTTTTATGCTCACACAACCAGTAAGTAAGAGTGCGTTCTCTGACTGCCTTGCATTGAGGGGCTCTTGTTTCGAGGGGCTCTGTGGCCTTAGGAAATTATTTAATAGCTCCATGTCTCCACGTTTCCACCAGTGAAACTGGAGTGACAATTTTGCTGGCCTGTCTTGTACCAAAGACTCTAGAAAACAAAAGCTAGGGAAGGATTAAGCGACAAATACTTCAGTTTAGACATGCATAGTAATCATTTACCTATAACTCTGGGACCATCTTTCACTATATTGAGGGTTTTATTCTTCTCAAAATTCTTGTAAGTCAGTGACCCCAAAGCTGAATTTTAGAAAAGACATTGTACTGACGTTTTTTAATAGTCTCAGGACTATTAAATTAGCTTCATTAGCCTTAAATTTGCCTTATTACACTGTGTATCATTTGGGGTGGAGAATAGCAAATGTTATCTTAAGATATTCTGCCTGTGAGAACCTATAAAAAACAAACTCCACTGTAGTTCGTATTCAGATATAAAGAGAGAAAATAACTATACCTGACCCAATTGGCTGACTTTTGAATAATTCACAGATAAATCATTTTGCTTTAGAATACCTTCCATTGTAAATTATCCGTCCCTTTGAGATGGAAATCATCTCCCAGGCTCCTGTGAGTTTTACAGCCCAGGAATGTCTTTCTCAAGTTCCTGGGAACCATTCCTTTGAAATGCAATCAGCAAGAAAGATAATGTTCCTTTCTCCCAGGTTCTGTGGGAGGGTAGGAGCCTAACTCACCAATTATCACCAACTACCAAACACAGGTGGTCTAATTACATTTACCTACCTTCTCTATCCACCCCCTTAGTCTCTTCCAGTATTTTTTCGTAGCTCATTCTTGTTCTTGAAAGTTTTCCTGTCTTTTGATTCAATGAAATTAAGTTCAATCTGTCTACCTTACATCATCAGCCTTCTTGAGTAAAGTCTTCCTTGCCTGTTTAACTCTGTCCATTGTAATTTTTCTTTGACACCTTTAACACCCTTATAGTAATCTTGAAATGTTGATGAAAGTATTGTTGGAAACATCTATATTTTGTCTTTCAAAATTTTTTATTAATATTTCAAAAATGTATAAATATGCCTATACATTAAATATTTTCAGCTTTGTCAAGAATACAACTAAAAAATTCAATTTCAGGTCTCAATCAATTTAGAAGTTTATTTTGCCAAGGTTAAGGATCGTGACCCATGACATAGCCTCAGGAGGTCCTGAGAACATGTGTGCAAGGTGGTTGAGTTACAGCTTGGTTTCATGTGTTTTAGGGAGACATAAGACATAAGTCAGTACATGGGAGGTATACTTTGGTTCAGTCTAGAAAGGTGTGACAGTGCGAAGTGGGGGGCTTTATAGGTCATAGGTGGATTCCAAGATTTTCTGATTGGCAGCTAGTTTAAAGAGTTAAGTTACTATCTAAAGACCTGGAATCAATAAAAAGGAGTGCCTGGGTTAAGACGGGGGTTGTGGAGACCAAAGTTCTTATTATGCAGACGAGGTCTCCTAGGTAAAGGTTGCCTTTAAAGGCAACATGGCTAATGTTTCCCATTCATATCTTTGAAAAGTGTTAGACTCTCAACTAATCTCTTTAGGATCAGAAAAAGACCTGCAAATGGAAGGAGATTCTCTATAGAATGTAAGTTTCCCCATAAGGGACAGCTTTGCAGGGCCATTTCAAAATGTATCAAAAACATATTTTGGGGTAAAATACTTGTATTTCTTTCAGGGCCCTACTATATGTCATGTGATGGTATACTAGAGTCAGGTTGGAATTTGGTATCTTACTGCTTCGAAGAGTCAGTTCTGTCAGTCTGAGAATCTCTGTTTTAATGTTCATGCTGATCAGTTGTGGCAGAACTCCCAAGGGAGGAGAGTATAATGGGGCATATCTGAGCCCCTACTTTCTGTCATGACCTATACTAGGGTTTCAGTTTTTGCTGGGTTTCCTTGGCCAAGAAGAGGGGCTGTTTATTCAGTTGGGGACTTAGAATTTTATTTTTGGTTTATAGAAGCTACCATGCTGTGCCCAATATGACTTAGATAATAATGGTTTCGTAAGGCTGCTGTCACTTGTGATATGTATGGGTTTTGATTCCTAGTTATTAAAGAAGTATGCCTTTAAGAGTGATTGCAAATATAAATGCAAAATTTTGTTTTGCTTTGCCTTTGCTTTGTTGGGGAAAAAGGTAGGTGTTATTTTGCTTTAGGTTGATATTTCTTGTGCCACATAGTCACATTCGATTAAATAGCTCCTCCCTAAAATCTGTTCTAACCTTTGTACAGAGCTATTATCCTTCTGACAATTCTCAAAGGTTATAGCAATTAGAATATAATATGTCTTTGCAACTAAAATTCAAAAGGTCTATTTTAATTATACTTTACCATAGATCAATAGCCCCCATTAAAATGATACTTTTTTTCTTTATACTGTCTCTGCTTTGACTACCCTTGTAGTGAGTTGCAAATCAGATTTAGCTAAAAACTTATCTAATTATTTTCTTCTACTGAAACATCTAATTTAGCTAGGGGAAAAATAAAGAAGCTCACACTTTTTTTTTTTTTTAAAGAGAAGAATATGGCCTCTGCCTGATAAAAGTAGATTAGTGATTTTAATGAAGCGGCATTCCCAGGATTGGTGCAAATAGAAGCAATGGCCACTAAGGGCTTCCAGGATGTTACGACTACAACCATAGGTGCAGAGATGTGGTGACTTGTGCTTTTAAATGGTCAGAACAGGTTTTACCCTCTGCTATGCTATTGCTATTTAGGCTTTTATTTTGTGTTCTTTCTCCACATAGAAATATATCTTTATAGCTGGATATTAAAAGGAGATAAAATCTGCTCATAAATTTGGAGAAGGAAGTCATTGATACGTTTGTGAGGACTTCTAAGGCTATAAAGTAACTATTGAGAGGTGGTTTCATCTGGCGTGGGTGGTCACTGGGTATTAACTCTTAACTAGTTTCATTTTATAACCGTTAAATAACATATAACTCTTCTCATTGAAACTCTTTAAGATGAATCAGTTCTAGAAAAACTACAAGTAAAACAAGTAAAAAGTGGCAAGACATGGTGAATATAAAGAGATCCAGTGACACATATTTTGTAAAAAAAATTATCTGACACTCGTATTTCTATACACTATATGAAATAATATTCCAAGATGATTCAGGCTTAAAATAAATCACTGATGCTATCAGACAATCTTGAGCTTATTCTGAAGCACCAAAATAATTAACCTAAGGCACAAAATAATTATTATGTTGCTGATTTATATAACCTTTGGTAATTTAAGTCCTTCAATCATGAAAGCTTTTAATCGTGATATTGTGAGCAGCGGCAGCAACGATGCCATGTGTGTCTCTCTTCCACATTGTCCTCAGCATCTGGATGTGTCCCGCACATAGACTGTCCACAATAAATGTTCAGTGTATGAATGAATCAAGCAACCATTCAAGGGGTTTTAATTGTTTTAATAAAAAGGAATTCTAATCCTCAGTAGATGAATGTATTCAAATAGATACATATGTTCCTGCATACATATGATACAAGCATACATAGTATGAAATCTAGTAAAGCCATATTGCAACTGGTTGGTGTTTTTAAAGTAACTAAATTATCATTTATATAAAATATATTTTGTCATTTAATGATAGTTTAGAACTAGCTTAATGATGGGGTTTGGCTCTGTGTTTACACCCAAATCTCACCTTGAGTTGTAATAATCCCCATGTATCAAGGCTGGGGCCAGGTGGAGATAGTTGAATCACGTGGACAGTTTCTCCCATACTCTTTGTGATGGTGAGTGAGTGAGTTCTCACGTGATCCAATGGTTTTATAAGGGGCTTCCCCATTTGTTCGGCACTCATTCTCTTTCCTGCCACCCTGTGAAAAGACACCTTCTGCCATGATTGTAAGTTTCCTGAGGCTTCCCCAGCCATGCAGAACTGTGAGTCAATTAAACCTCTTTTCTTTATAAATTACCAAATCTCGGGTATTTCTTTGTAGCGGTATGAGAACGGACTGATACACTTAAGTTTATAATACAAAATATTTTGGAGTTTATATAACCTGAATTATTGTTCATATGTAATTTATTGCTCAATATTACTTTCTACCATTTTTATAATAAAAACCTAAGGAATACATATAGTTTCTTCCTGTGTAGTTATAATAGACTTACAGTGTTGTGAAAGTAGCTATATTCAATAACTGAATGGGCCCTGTGATTCTTTTTCTCTTCTTACCCGTCAACTCATTACTAAACTACAGTAAATAAGACATTACAGTAAATTAGGGCATTTAGAAAGAGTAATATGAAGTTTCATTTTAATATTCCATACCTGTACATTATTGTGATGGTCTAGGTTAAAACAACTATTGTGATGATATTAAAATGCAGTTCAATCAGATAAACTGCAATATATAAATAATATACATTTCTTGTGTGTGGTTAAAATATATAATTATTTTGAAGAGTAGTTGGTGATATTCATAAGTTTGGAAGACTAGTTAAGGATATTTTATTCAGTAAGTTTGCAGTAAATACATAGCTTGAGCATGCAATTTTTTTAAATAAATAATTTTTGAACATATCATATTATCTCCAAGATTAATTTGTTGGGGCTGAAACAGCAGTACCCCAATATGAAGCAGCCTCAGAAACAAAAGTTTCTCTTTGATCTCCTGAGGGGTCTCTTGTCTCTGGCCCCTCAGTCTTGCCTGAGTATAGCCTTAGAAATTAAAATCCCTGTTCCCCAAGACAGGTCAAGACAGGGGAATATTACTCTAACTTCCCCTACATTTCGGTCTAAAAACAGGCCATAAAGGAATTATCTGAGCTACTTTGTTTGAATGCATATCATAAGATCCTCACCGCAGAGAGAGTCCCACCCGATACCAGAAGAAAGAAACGCTGCACAGAGAGGCCAGGAAAATCCAAACAGTAAGGCCTTGCTGGGTTTTTCCATTCAGTCCATTAGCATTAGATCATACCATTTTGCCCAAGCATAATTCTACATAGCTGTCCATACTTCATTGAACCTGAACATAAAAATGTATAGTTTTACCTGTATCTTTGGGTTTTCATTCTGAAGCCTCCAGTATCATATACAGATATGATTAAATAAATTTTTATGCTTTTTTTCTCCTATGAATCTGCCTTTTTTTTCAGTGAAACCTCTACATAATATTTCATTATATAAATGAAACATCCATTATAGTGAAAATCTTAGCTTTTGAAATCTGACTGCATGGCTTTGGAATTCAGAATCGCTCTACTTCAGTATCCTATTTAATGTGTTCAAATTTTCGGTACTTTACTACATTCAATGGTCTGTCAATCTGTCTATCACCTACCTTTCTATTCATATCTCCCTACCTTTCTATTCATATCTACCTATCAATCTCTTTATTATTTACCTCTCTATTGTCTATCTTCATTACCTACTTATCTATCTACCTATTTACCTACCTATCTACCTACTTATCATCATCATCATTATCATGTATCTCTAGCAGTGTAGTCTCTTGATTTATATCCTATTTGCATTGTAGTAGACATTGAGGATGAAAGAGCCCCATTTAGGAATACTAGAAAGTATATAAGCATTCTAAACTCTGTTTTCGCAGTAGAATTCCCTGGCAGGGTTTTATTTATTTAACTATTTTCAGTGTGGATGTCAGTTCTTATATTAGCACAGCTAAGAAAGATTATTTGAGAATGGGATTTGTAGAACTGATAAGTTAAAGATCTCCAGAGAGCCACTTTCAAGTAGGGTATAATAGCTTTTAAGAGGCTACTGATCTCCCTAAGCACCATTTAAAAATTGAGATATAATTAAAATTTTATCTATTTAAGGCACCAGAGAGTTGAAGGAGCAATAAGGAGTAGAATGGCTAAAATTCTGAAAAGAAGAGGACTTCAGAGAAGTTTGCTGACGATCTATAGCTATTCTGATTTCTGGGAATAGTTACTGGTTCTGAATTCAGGCTGAGAATCCACAGTTGGGGAATGGGGAAATCAGAAGAAATCTGGGTGGTTTCCAAAGACTGTATAAAACACAAAACAAAATACAAAATGGATGGTGTAAGGGTACTAAAAACACAGACAGTATTTCCCTCAAGACATTGGTGGAGTTAGGAAGCTCTGCCTGGTAGGGGGCTAAAATCTTAAGCCAGAATTTTCTAAGAAGTAGTTTTCTGCTATCTTACAGTGCTGAGAAAGCAGAAATTAGAATTTGGGATTATGGAAAAAGGCCATGTTGAATAAATCTGGCTATTTATAAAAGTCCAACAAATGCAGCCTGGGAATAGGAGGGTTTCAGCCTTCCCAAAAGTACGGCTCTGTCAAAGTCAGCTCAGTCCTTGTTTTGATAAAGATGTTCAATCCCATTCTGACTAGCAGAAGAATGGGTGATCCTTTAAAGATGGTTAATGTCATCTATATTCTCTAAATTTTTATATACCATAGCTGACATTCAGTTGAAATTAAGAGAAATGCCAAGAAACAGGATTTTATGATAAAAAAAAAACAAGAAGAAAGAAAAACAGGCAAAAAATAGGAATTAGTACTCAGCTGTTTGAACTTACATTAATGGAATAAGTAGAAAATGACTTTAAAATATGTGTGATTAATTTGTTGTATGAAGGTGATTAAGAGGCTTTACAAATTCATGGGAAAACTGTACGCTATTTAAGAGGAAGATATATATCATTTAAGACTAAAAATGCAAGGCCTGAAGTGAGGTTTAACTACAGAATGAAATAGATTAGAAGTCAGGGTCATGAACTTAAAGACAAGGGAGTAGAAAAACATTCTAAGAGGCAAATGAGACAATGTGAAAAGACTTAATATGTGTGGAGATAAAATGTAAGGATTAAAAAAAGCATCAATATTTGAAGAAAATAAAGGCCAAGAAGCTATAAAAACCAATGAAACAAATTGAAACCTGTATATCCAGTAACTACTTCAAACCTCAATAAATATAATGAGATAACTGCACCTAGAAACATCTTCTTAAAATTGCTAGAAACATAGGCAATAACAAAATGTTTAGAGCAGCCAGGTAATATGATCTAATTTGGTCATTCGAAACATCAACAATAGGAGTAGGGGCTGAGTATGCAATAGAAATAATGGAAGTCAGAATACAATTGAATTATGTCTTTCAATTGCTGAATGAAAATAAGCAACCTAGTTTACAGTCCCACCAACAGTGTAAAAGTGTTCCTATTTCTTCACATCCTCTCCAGCACCTGTTGTTTCCTGACTTTTTAATGATTGCCATTCTAACTGGTGTGAGATGGTATCTCATTGTGGTTTTGATTTGCATTTCTCTGATGGCCGGTGATGGTGAGCATTTTTTCATGTGTTTTTTGGCTGCATAAATGTCTTCTTTTGAGAAATGTCTGTTCATGTCCTTCGCCCACTTTTTGATGGGGTTGTTTGTTTTTTTCTTGTAAATTTGTTTGAGTTCATTGTAGATTCTGGATATTAGCCCTTTGTCAGATGAGTAGGTCGCGAAAAGTTTCTCCCATTTTGTAGGTTGCCTGTTCACTCTGATGGTAGTTTCTTTTGCTGTGCAGAAGCTCTTTAGTTTAATTAGATCCCATTTGTCAATTTTGGCTTTTGTTGCCATTGCTTTTGGTGTTTTAGACATGAAATCCTTGCCCATGCCTATGTCCTGAATGGTAATGCCTAGGTTTTCTTCTTGGGTTTTTATGATTTTAGGTCTAACGTTTAAGTTTTTAATCCATCTTGAATTAATTTTTGTATAAGATGTAAGGAAGGGATCCAGTTTCAGCTTTCTACATATGGCTAGCCAGTTTTCCCAGCACCATTTATTAAATAGAGAATCCTTTCCCCATTGCTTGTTTTTCTCAGGTTTGTCAAAGATCAGATAGTTGTAGATACGCGGCGTGATTTCTGAGGGCTCTGTTCTGTTCCATTGATCTATATCTCTATTTTGGTACCAGTACCATGCTGCTTTGGTTACTGTAGCCTTGTAGTATAGTTTGAAATCAGGTAGCGTGATGCCTCCAGCTTTGTTCTTTCGGCTTAGGATTGACTTGGCGATGCGGGCTCTTTTTTGGTTCCATGTGAACTTTAAAGTAGTTTTTTCCAATTCTGTGAAGAAAGTCATTGGTAGCTTGATGGGGATGACATTGAATCTATAAATTACCTTGGGCAGTATGGCCATTTTCACGATATTGATTCTTCCTACCCATGAGCATGGAATGTTCTTCCATTTGTTTGTATCCTCTTTTATTTCATTGAGCAGTGATTTTTAGTTCTCCTTGAAGAGGTCCTTCACATCCCTTGTAAGTTGGATTCCTAGGTATTTTATTCTCTTTGAAGCAATTGTGAATGGGAGTTCACTCCTGATTTGGCTCTCTGTTTGTCTGTTATTGGTGTATAAGAGTGCTTGTGATTTTTGTACATTGATTTTGTATCCTGTAAACTAGTTCAACCATTGTGGAAGTCAGTGTGGCGATTCCTCAAGGATCTAGAACTAGAAATACCATTTGACCCAGCCATCCCATTACTGGGTATATACTCAAAGGACTATAAATCATGCTGCTATAAAGATACATGCACATGTATGTTTATTGCGGCACTATTCACAATAGCAAAGACTTGGAACCAACCCAAATGTCCAACAATGATAGACTGGATTAAGAAAATGTGGCACATATACACAATGGAATACTATGCAGCCATAAAAAATGATGAGTTCATGTCCTTTGTAGGGACATGGATGAAATTGGAAATCATCATTCTCAGTAAACTATCGCAAGGAGAAAAAACCAAACACTGCATGTTCTCACTCATAGGTGAGAACTGAACAATGAGAACACATGGACACAGGAAGGGGAACATCACACTCTGGGGACTGTTGTGGGGTGGGGGGAGGGGGGAGGGGTAGCATAAGGAAATATACCTAATGCTAAATGACGAGTTAGTGGGTGCAGCACACCAGCATGGCACATGTATACATATGTAACTAACCTGCACATTGTGCACATGTACCCTAAAACTTAAAGTATAATAATAATAAAATAAATAAATAAAAAGAAGCAACCTAGAATTCAACAACAATAAAAATATCATTTAAAACAAAGGCCTAATATAGATGCTTCATATTCAGCTCTAAACAAGATAGACATATTTTTCTTTATTCCTACTACTAATTACAGCTAAAAGTCCTCGATATTATGTGTCAAACAGACACGATAATATTCTGAAAAATAAAAATAAGGCTGGCTGAGGACAGTAAGTTCCTTCAGTTTTTTTGTTTTGTTTTGTTTTGTTTTTTGCTTTATATCACCTAGACTACATGCTGGAGGAGCTGGTAACCTGGACATGCCAACAGATACGGACAAAAAACACACCAAAGAAAGCCCACTCTCTCTAGCTAAAGTGCCAGTAAAGAATAGCCCAGAAACACAGAAAACATTTGGACAATAGCCTTACTACTTTACTCAAACACTTTGGGGGAAAAATGGCCTACTCCCACCCCATCAGCAAAGGCTAAGTGGGAGGTTAGACTTTTACTCTCTCAGACTTCAATGAAGTACCCCTACCTGTTACATTATGCTGTTGTCACAGAAGGCTGAGTGGAAGATGAAACTTGGAATTATTTGATAAGAATTTTAAAGCAGCCATCATAAAAATAACTCAGTGAGCAAACTAAATAGAAAATTTAAAAATAGTCTCTGCAAAAACACAAGACAAAGAAACAGAAAGTGTAAAGAACCACTTTAAATGGAAATTTTAGAAATGAAAAGTAAAACAATCAAAATTTAAAAAGGAAATAATATAGGGGCCAAACATCAGAATGGAGACACAGAAATGAATCAATAAACTTAAAAATTAAAACAACAAAACCCCCATCAGAATAACAAAGAGAAACAGACCAAAAAAACAAACTAAAACAAAACCAAAAACAATAAACAAATAACAGAAGTCAGACCCTCAGCTCTATGGACCTATGGAGCTATGATAAAGATGTTTTAGATGTGCACAAAGTGAGAGAATTTTGAATTTTACTCCAAAAAAGAACCAAATTAGAGGAAAAAAATTAAAAAGGAAGAAAGGCAAAATAAAAAAAGACAAATAGTGTGTTTAAACTTAGCAGTAGTAATTAATACATTAAATAAAAATAGACTAAACACCCAGACTAAAATACAAAGACTTTCTCAGATTTCTTAGAAACCCAGTACTCAGTCATATGCAGTTGAAAAGAAAGAAAAGTTAAAATATGTAAATACACAAATGGAAAGATATAAGGAGGAAAATAGCAGAAAATTATAAGCCATGCAAACACTAATTTAAGATGCTGACATTGATATATTGTGAGAAAAGTAGACTTTAAAACAAAATGTTCTGTCAGGGATCAAGGGTCATTTTATGATGATACAGTAAACATTTTTGTTTCAGGAAGATACAACAATCATAAACATATTTGTACATAATAACAAACCTATAAAATACAGTGTGTAGGGTGGGAGGAGGGGCAAAGGACTGACAGAGCTAAAAGGCAAAAACAGAAAAATAATGATAGATTTTGGATATTTAAACATTCCTCTCTCATTGAGTGGTAGCTCACACACACACACACAAAATCAATGAAGATACAGAAGAGTAGATCAACTCTATGCACAAATTTAACTGACTTGATAGTCGTTGAGTATTGCACCCAACAAATACAGAGTAAACATTTTTTCCCCCAAAGTAGACACAGAAAATTCATGGATAGGTCATATTATACAGCATGAAAAAGCAAGTCTCAATAAATGTCAAATCCTTAAAAGCATATAGAGTAAGACATCAAAAATCATCTGATATCTAGAAAAGCCTAATATATTTAGAAGTTAAGCAATACACTTCTAAACAGCCTTGGGGGAAAAAAAGAAATCATGAAAATATTTAAATATATATATTTGAAAATATATTTGCTAATAAAAATATTGGGGGATGCAGCAAAAGTATTGTTAGGAGGAAAATTTATAGACTTAAATGCCAATATTAGAAAAATAAGTTATTTGAAAGTCAATCTTATGAATAGATAAAAAGCTGGTGAATTAAACCTCAAAAAGTGTAAGACAAGAAATAATGAATAATTTACAAAAAAGTTAATGGCATAAAATACAAGCAAGCAATATAGAACATTTTCAAAGCCAAAATCTGGTTCTGTAAAGTAATAATAAAATTGATAAACCTTGGCAAGATTGAATAAAAAAAAAAGTTCCAACATCAAGAATGTAAAAAGTTGTAGGCCATAGATCTTAGAATTGTAAAAATATACTATATGTAATATACAATTACATATTATATTATTAGATAACATTATATAATTATGTGTATGATGAAATGTATTGTGGACAACTTTGTGTTAAGTTCAGTAATAAATTGTTTCCTTATAAAATTCAATTCAGAAATTGTTCCAAGAATAAATAGAAAATCTAAATAGAACTATATTTATTACAGGAATTTAATAATAAAAGTTAGCCTAACATCTATTAAACAATTGAAATTCATAGTCAAATACATTCCAAACATAAAAGGCCAAGCCTGAATAGCTTCACGTAAACATTTTGTCAAATTCTTAAAGAACAAATATTAGCAATTTTCCAGAAAACTTTTAAAAAATACAGAATGAATAAATGCTTACCAACTCGTTTTGTAAGTCTAGCAACATCTATATACCAAAAACTGAAAAGGTTATTACAGTTAAAAATTTCTAGAGTAATATCCCATTTTAATGTAATGTCAAAAATCTTTGGTGAAATGTTTGCAAATCTACTCCATTAATATATAAAAAGATAAAAATCATGACTGAGTAAAAATTGTTGTGGATATGCACTTTTAAAAAATTAATATGAGGGCTGGGTGTGGTGGCTTATGTCTGTAATCCCGGTGCTTTGGGAGCCTGAGGCAGGCAGATCTCAAGGTTAGGAGTTCGAGAGCAGCCTGGCCAATATGGGGAAACACTGTCTCTAGTAAAAATACAAAAAAAATTAGCAGGGCATGGTGGCACATGCCTGTAATCCCAGCTACTCAGGAGGCTGAGGCAGGAGAATTGCTTGAACCTGGGAGGCAGAGGTTGCAGTGAGCCAAGATAGCACCACTGTACTCCAGCCTGGGCGACAGAGTGAGACTCCATGTCAATAATAATAATAATAATAATAATAATAATAATAATAATAATAGCAGAGTAACAATTAAAAGAAAAAGGGGGAATTCATATGATTAACTCAGTAGATACAGAATAAGCATATAACAAAATTCTATATCTGTTGGTGATATAATTTCATGTCTAAAAATTAGGAACAGAATAAAATATCCTCACTCTTTTTAGGGTATTTAAAAACCCCTTTCATGATTATTATACTTTATAATAGAGTATTGAATGCTGTTCCCTATACATCCCCTAACATTAGGGGCTCTCAAACTTTTATTCTACATTGAACTGGAATTCTTAGACATTAACATTATGCACATTCAATAAAAAGCAGAAAGATTGTGAAGGATAAAGTAAAACTCTCCCATTTGTAGATGACATTGTTGTATGTTGTTTTGTTTACAAATTTGGTAAATTATCAAAGTCAACAACATAAAAACAGTTGGATTTATATATGGCATAAAACTTATGAGTACCATTTACATAAATAATTAACTAGGAAAAACCTAAAAAATAATGCTAAACCTATAAACCACTATATGCAAAAGCCCTATTGAAAAAAATTTACAAATACCTAAGTATATTTATTTCACAACATAACAAAAATTGGTAGAGCAATATATCACATTCATGGGCTAAAAGAATTAATATTGATATGAAGCCTTTCTCCCAAGATTATTCTACAGATGAAATGTTATTTTAACCTCAGTCACTGAAGACCTTTTGAACAAATTGCAATGGGATTCTATAATGTACATGTAAAAGCAAAGGCTCTGAAAAAACCAAAACATTCATGGGGGAGAACAGCAAAATTAAAGGACTCATATTACCTAATTAGAAGACCAAATCAAACTTTCTGTAATTAAGACAATGTGTATTAGTAAATGGAGAGACAATGTAGATGTGGTTAAAGAATGGAGTCCTCCCCCAGAGCCACACTGATACCTGTTAGTCAGCTTTTCACCGTATTATATAAACCCTGATCTGACCTCAATCGGAGGGTTACCTGGTATCAGGTGCACCTTGAGGTGCTCCAGCTGAATAAAGCTCTCAACAACCTCGGTTTGAGTAACTTAAACACTTTGACAAATGTACGCCAACTTCAACAGAAAGAGAACAAAATATACCTGCTCATCTTGATGTGAGCTGTATTTAGTAAAAGTCAACACCTATTCTTGAGAAAAGCTTTTGGCAAAATAGAAACATAAATGAACTTCCTTAATTTGATAAAGCTTAACTACCAAAAACTTTGACAAATGTCATATTGGTGAATTACTGAAATCATTCACTGTCCCTCTCCACTATTTCAAGAATGAGATTTTTCAATATTATCAGGAATGTCCTAGCTAATGAAGTTGGAGCTAAGTTATGAGGATGCAAAGGCAGAAGAATGATATAACGGACTTTGGGGACTTGGGGGAAAAGGGTGGGAGGGCCTGAGGGATAAAAGACTACAAATTGTGTTCAGTGTGTACTATTCAGGAGATGACTGCACCAAAGTCTCACAGATCACCACTAAAGTACTCACTCATTTAACCAAATACCACCTGTTCCCCAAAAGCCTACAGAAATAAAATTTAAAAAGAAGAAATTTAAAAAAAAGAAAAGGCATAAAAAGTATATTGAAAAAATAAAGCTTCCTCATTTACAATGATATTATTCTGTACAAAGAAGACATTTTTTCTTACATAAAAAAAAAAAAGGCTGGCATGGTTGCTCATGCCCGTAATCCTAACATTTTGGAAGGCAGGTGGATTGCTTGAGTTCAGGAGTTAGAGACCAACCTGGGCAACATGGCAAAAACCAGTCTCTACCAAAAATATAAAAAGTAGCCAGGCGTGGTGGTGTATGTCTGTGTTCCCAGCTACTTGGGAGGCTGAGGTCGGAGAGGATCACTTGAGCCTGGGAGGTGGAGGTTGCACTGAGCCTCCGGGTGACAGAAACTATCAATGAAAAAAGAAAAAACCCACAGAAAAATTATTAAAATAAATAAGCACATTTAGCAATATATTAAATACATAAGAAATATTTAAAAATAAATTATACTTGTATAATATCATTTAGTATACAAAACATCAAAAACTGGAATTAAATTTAGGAAATATGTACAGGAGATTAAGGCTTAAAATTACAAATATTGAGAAAATTGTAATAAAACCTAGAAACCCAGAGTTTGAGGAGATATGACTTGCTCTTAGGTTGGAAAAGTCAATATGTAAAAAGTATATATTCTTCAAAATAATTAAGATATTTAAATACAACCCAAGAAAAATTCTAGGAGGTACTTTTAGTGGAAATCTACAAGTTAATCTCAAAAATTAAAATAGCAATGCAAAGAACAAGATAATTTTAAAAAGAACAAAGAAATAAGACTTTACTGTGTCCTATCATAACCTATTTGAAAGCTGTAGTGATTAAGAGAGTGTGGTATTGACTCAATGTAAAAATTTCAGAAGCAGGAACACATTTGCATGGTCACCTAATTTACAAATGCATCTGTATCACAATATAGAAACAGCTCTCATTTCAGTAAATGATTCTGGGCTTGTTGAATATCTATCTGAACAACTATGTGCAAAGATAAATTCTGAATTGATTTTAGAAATAACTGGAAAAGTAAAACAAAGTTTTGGTAGAAAATATAAGAATATATATTTATGGGCTTGGCATAGGTGATGATTTATTAAATAGGACACAAAATACTACAATGGTAGATGTGCTGTATTATGCCTTATTAAAAATGTACAAATTTCTGTTAATCAAAAGATACCATGAATAGAGTGTAAATGAAGCCACAGATTGGGAGAAAATAGTTGCAATACATCTTCTGGACTTGAATCTAGAATATATAAAGGATTCTTAAAAATTAAGTAAGAAAGCTAGAAATAACTTGTACAGGCACTACTATAAAAATGATAACTAAGCATTCGATGATTATAAAAATTGCTCAACATCTTTAATCATCAATGATATATGCAAATCCTTAAACTACCTATTATTTATTTAACATCCACGAGAAGTCTAAATGAAATAAAAACTACCAAGTGATGGTGAAGGTTTTGAATAATTGGACGTCTAATCCGACACTGGTGGGCATGCATGCAGGTATAAGCACAGTGGAAACCCATCGGGGAGTGTCTATTATACTTGATAATGTGCAAGCTCTATTCAGCAATTTAGCTTCTGTGTCTGTGCCCAATGGAAAGGCACGGATATCTCATTAGTCACTGGAATAGGGCCTATGAGGAAGCATCTGCGTGCTGATGATACGTTGATTTTGGACCTGAGTGCTGGTCACATGGGCATGCTCCCTTTGTGACGAATGCATTGAGTCTACAAATTTGTGTTTTTTCCTGTACCTATGTGGACTTAAAATGCAAAATTGTGTTCTTATAAAAATCTGAAAAGAAAAATGCCAAATAAAATTCAAATGTAAACAATAAACCAGTCCTAGTGAGTAGAAAGAAAGCTTGACTGGCAGGTAAAACAAAACTCAGCATTTCACTGCTGTGGAACACATCAGCTAGGGTAAAAATCCATACTGATAAGTACAATTTCTTTCAAGATGGGACATGGCAGCATCACTACCCACTTGGCAACAAAAATAAATAGGTTCCATAAGGGGTCGCAACTCCTGGAGAAATAACAGGGGACTGACGGGTTTAGTTAATACATCTGAATGGTGTAGAAAAGCTTGGAAAAATTCTAAAGAATTATGAATGAAATTATTTCATTCTTAGCTATAAAAGTCCTCCCAGTTCCATTTCCTTTTTATTTACCATCCATGGACTCGATTTCTCATGTTGTGATATGTGATACTGTTACATTACCTAATTGGTATGAAACAAATTTACGTAGACCTTCACATCCTTTTACCAGAATGATTTTAAAAGTACATGTAAATAAAATATGCCAAGGCAAGAGGATTGCTTGAGACCGGGAGTTTGAGACCAGCCTGGGCACCATAGCAAGACCCTATCACTACAAAAATAAATTAGCTGCACATGGTGAGTCAGACACACACACACACACACACACACACACAGATCATTCTTTTCTTTTTCTTGTACCTCATAATTCAAAATTTTATTCAGGATATTTTGTGTTAAAGAGGATTATAGATTAATGTAAATATTTTTCACCCCAGGGGTAAAGAAGAAAAAATTCCCCTTCCTCTTTGAAGACATTAGTGGGGTGTATGGACCAATCTAATATGTAGTTGAGTTAATTCTTGACTTTGTGGCAGATTCATCACCAGCTTCTAGTATATATGGTTAGGACACTGTTTTCATCAGGGCTTAGAATCTAAGCACCAGTAAAATCCCAGATTTCACTCTGCCCAGTCTATTGTCAGAGTTCTCCATAGAAACAGAACCAAAAGGATGTATATGTAAAACCCTGGATTTATTATGAGAATTGGCTTACATGATTATGTATACAAAGAAGTCTCACGACATACCCTGTGCAAGCTGGAGACCCAAGAAGATCAGTGGTGTCATTCATTCCAAGTCCAAAGGCCTGAGAATCAGGAGCCTTGAGGTTAAGCACAGGAGAAGATGGAATGTCCCAGTTCAAGCAAAGAGAAAGAAAATACACCCTCCTCTCCCTTTTTGTTTTATTTAGTCCTTCAATAGATTGGATGCTGCCCACCCACGTTGATGAGGGTGAATCATCTTTGCTCAGTTTAGTGATTCAAATGCCAATCTTCTTCAGGAAACAGCCTCACAAACACACCCAGAAATAATGTTTACCAGCTATCTGGGCACCCCTTATCCCAGTCAAGTTGATGCATCAAATTGACCATCAAATGCAGCCTGACAGTTCTTTTGCTCTTCATTCACCTCTCAGTTTCTTAAATTCAGGAGCTCTCTCTTTCTTGCTGTCTGCCCATGCACACGGCAAAGGCTCTTGCACCTGGGATATGGGACAGAGGACTGTGCTCAGCCTGTCAGCCCTGCCCCAGACTCTGGAGGTTGCACCCTTTGTTAACGCTCCATTGAAAAACCTGGCTGGTTGTGCAGACACACAGTCTTTGACTGTGACTCCTCAGGATTCTAATCTCTCACATCAGGCTATAACTGGCTATTACAAGTTCATTAAAAGTTAGGCTAGTTTACCCTTACCCCCATCTGTTGAAGTTATTATTTTTTTCCGATTCCCATCATTTCAACAAAAAAATAAAGCAGTTGTGGAGCTCTTCTATCCTAGCAAAGCATTGACACTTTCTGAAATTCAGTTAAGATTCATTTTATCTTCAGCTGTATGATGAGGAGGAAAAATGTGATTTTTATGACTCATCCATCTTATTCTTGTTTTAGGGTGGGTATGATGACCTCTTGTGATTTTATATCTTCACTGAAAGCAATGGACTGTTTTTGTTTTCCTGTTAAATTCAAAATCTGAAAGTTGCAGAATTATTAGCATCTAGCAATTTTATTATATTCCATAATTTTAAACAGATACACACTGTAGAGTTGTCTTCCAATTTATAACTCTATTGCCATTCTCAAATATCTCTGCATTGAACAAATAATACGTGTAGTCACTCTTATTTCACATACAACTCAATTACTTGTGGTTGAGAGGCTGGTTATTACTGCATCTATTTTATACTATGGTTCATCACCTATGCCTGCCAGCATGTTTCTGAAATTGTGAAATAATGAGCTATGCAATGTGAAAACTTTAAGATAGCTGCAGGTGTTTGCGATAGTTTCATGAGTCTTCATTTGAAACTAAAATAGTCAGCATTCTCTTTTTTAAATCCTTGTTTGTGTACCCATAAACTACTGAAATTAGAGTCAAAAAATAAAGTATGAGTATAGAAATAGTTCAACTCTAACTTGATCCCTAGATAAACAAACACTCATTTCCTTTCAGTGAACAGCCAGTGCACTGAAAATAATTAGAGTGGATGTATTCTGCTTCCTTAGAAGAAAAGCTTTTCTTTTTCTGTTTTGATTTTATGAGAATCTTAAATGGAACTTCGTTGACAGCTTATCCACTGATATGCTTCTACATGATTGTTTAAAGAGTGGCTACGGCAATTAGTGTCTTTTTTGTACACTTTGCAATTTGTGGGTAAATCTGTTTGCCTCACAGAATCTGGTATTTTGAATTTTTAGCCAAACAAATGTCAACACATTTATATTTTAAGCTTTTTATTTTGCCTTTGGAAAAGCCAACATTTTCAAATAATACCTTCATTAAAAGTATACTTTTCGCAGTTACCCTTTCATTATTTTGTCTTGGTTGCCTTACAGTTATAAGTTTTCTTTCCCCATCCTTATAACTGTAGCAATTAATTGTGGAGTTTCACAATTTTCAGCATATAGGAATGTAACTATAGGGTATTTTCCAAAGAAGACTCTCAGTTATGGACAACAAAATGGAATGAGTTATTTTTGCCTGTGCAAAATCTATCTTGTGTTAGGTTTGCATAATAAACTGCTTAAATGCTATATTAGCCAAGGTACTTAATGCTCATTTCTGTAACAGTAAAAATTTCAGTAACAAGGCAAAACAAAAGCTTGTTTATTCCTTACATGGCAGTCAATGTAAGGACACCAGTCTCTGCCCAAAATAGTATCTCAAGGAAAGCAATTACTTCTGTTTTCTGGATTCTTTAGATAGTAGCACTAGAGTTATCCTGGGATGAACGCAATGGCCTTGGGAACTGTTGACTGCTTCCTCATAGAAGAATCAAAGCTTTTTCTTTCACATTCATTTGAAGACATCTAGTTATATAATGATCCTACTTCCAAAGAAGCTTGGGAATTGAAGAGGACACTGATATTCATGAGTTTTTATAATTCCTCACACAAATAGGTAGCCAAGTCAGAAGTGAAGGCTGAGAAGTCCCAGGGTATGGGGATGATTCTGTGACTTCCCTGAACACTGTTCTCAGAATCCATGTGGGCATAGCTAACATTTGTTAAACAGCTGCTATTTGTGAAAGCCTCATTTCGTTTTCTGATTTGATCATTATAAGAAATCTCAATTTGGCATTGTGTTTTTCTTTTAAATTTGATACATTAGAAAATTGGATGTCAGATATAAAAAGTGGCTTCCAAGCTATGTAACCAATGAATCCTAGACTGTGTAGAACACACGTTTGTATGTGTGTGTGTGTGTGTTTCAATTTGTGTGCTTTTGTGAAGATTTCATGTTGCCTCTAAATATTGATCATGGAGGATTCTTTTCAGATAATTCCATAAAAATGTTTTCATTATGATTGTTAATTTTAGCAAGAGGTCTACACAAGAAACCTAGTACCCAAATTTAAAATAAAACATACAACTTGACTTTTATCGTACTCATATGTGACAGAGATCTACTGCCATGATTCATTTTGTTTTAATATTATCTATGGCTGAGAAAAAGTTGTACAATGCTAGAAATACTCTAAAAATTTACATAAATTTTCATTCAAATTAGATATTTTCCTGTGTTTTCTGGAATACTAGACAGGGCACAACAGCTATCAATTAACATATTAACAATATAAGTTTGCTGCTAATATAAGATAAGGATAAAAAATGATTTTTCTTTTTTGACATGATATAAGTGTGCATAAATTTATTAGCAATACGATGTTTTTGCTAATTTTTGTTTTAAAATTATATTGATAGTAACAATTCAGTTACTATAAGTGAATGACTAAAAACTTTATGTATAATCATTGTATTTAAATAATAATATCGATGAAGTAACATAAAAGAGAAAATGTACCACCTTCTCCTTTGTGCCACAAAATAAAGGAAATTATTTCTTTGCATGTCAGTTTGCATCAATAAACATGTCATTGAGAGAGTTATAGGGTATTTGTGTTTTCTACATTAGGCATTCATTAGTGCCTGATATAGATTATTTTCTAACTTATTGAAGTGTTTGAATATAACTGGGCATTCTCCCTCTTTTCAATCACCACAGGAAGCTCAGAACTGCCAGTCATTTCTTAAGCTCCAGCAATTGAGGTCACTGGTGACCTGAAGGAGACTAATTTCAGTGGAATCATGAGGAAGAAACGTACTCAAACAGAGCTCAAGAGAGAATAGGAGGAAAGGAAATGTAGGCAGTGAGCCCAGATAACCTTTGAGCAGTAATTCTGTATTTAAAACTGCAGCAGAAAAATGTAGCTTAAAAGAAAGATGGATTCCAAAAAGGGCTTTTTTTTTTTTTTTTAAAGATAAGTAGAGAGTATATCATTATTGCTGGTGGGGACAGTGGATCAATTCATCGAGCAACACCCTTGCTAAGGTAAGACTAGATGGAATGGAGCATACAGTATGAGGGTCCTCATTCTGTAGAAGCTGGGACCATGTTTCCAAATTACAAGAAGAGAAGGCAGAGGTGAAGTTGGATGAGAAGGAGTCGTGGAAGTGTGGTTTATTCTCATTGTTCCTATTTTCTGTATGAAATAGAAAGCTGAGAATGTCAAGAGCGTAGAGATTTTGAAGTCTTGAGTAGAGAGAAAATATGAAATGCACTTGTATGAAAGGAGATTGAATGGGATAGAGAAATTGAGTAGAATTAATGTATAACACCAAGAGTCTAATGCGATAGGTTAGAGGTCATGGATTTAAAGTAAATTTGTATCTTGCTGTGTATTTTTCTCTAGGCACTTTCAGCTGTGAGGGTTCAGCGACAGAGTTAGAGAAAAGTTGGTCTTAAAGGGAGTTACGGTTTTGCTAGGAAATAGGATGGCAAAACTGCCAAGGGAGTGAAAAATATGCAAGGCAGCGACCCAGCAGCTGGACCATGCACTCTTCACTGGATTAAAAGGGAAGTGGGGTTATAGGACTGGGGAAGAACAGTGAAAAGATGGCAGGATGAATGGATTACAGGTCTTGCTCAGATTAAGAAGTTGTTGAAGTGAAGGTAGAAAGTGTTCACCTGAAAAAACTGCAAGTCAGAGTAGAATGCATTAAATTGTGATTATGAAGGTGACGTGGCTTTTAGAAATGACTAAGGCCTAGTGGGGGTCATGGTGGCGTGGAATGGGTGACAAATCAACCCCATCTAAGAGACTGTGGGATGGGAGGATTGCCTGTCCTGTGTTGAAATTTTAAAAGCTAAAAAGCAGTAGGAATAGAGGGAAAGAAACAGAACCAGAACATGGAATCTTCAAGGAAAGTGATGAAGCATTGGACTGACCTATTCAACAAGGAATAGTAGGTGATACAATCTTACAGCTAAAATAAAAGCTAAAAGGTTTGAAGGTAGAGGGAAGGAACATGGTCTGGAAGGAGGAATATGGAGTGAACATACGTGGGAGCTAAATAAGTGGATCTCAGAAAAATAGACAGTAGATTGGTGATTGCCAGAGGCTCGGAAGGGTAAGGCGGGGAGGGTGATGAAAAGAAGTTGATTAATAGTGGGTTGTAAAAATTAGGTTTGACAAAGGAGATAAGACATGGTGTTCAATAGATCAGTAGGGTGACTATAGTTAACACAAATCTATTGTACATTTCAAAATAGTTAGAAGAGAATAATTTGAATGTTCCTAGCATAAAGAAAGGATAAAGAATGAAGGGGATGTATATCCTAATTACCTTGATTTAATGGGATGAATGTATCAAAATATCACATGTACATCCCTTATGTATAAATAATAAACAACAAAAAAAAGTAGAATGAGGACTGCACATATCATATCTCCAAAACAATGACTCCTGGGTCAGAGAAAATTCTGAAGAGAAGTTCAAGGGGGTACAGAGTCCTTATAAGAGAGCCCAAGGGTCAGGGCAAGAAGAAAACTGAATGGAGGCTTGCAGGCATGGGGTATTTTTCTGATGAGGAATTGTGAGCTCCAGAGGGCACTCTGTGGGAAGGCTTCAGAAAGTGGTGTAGATGGAAAAAGATCATATACAATGAAACACTGGAGCTTGAGAAAAGACTGGTGGCCCTGGGCTGCTTGTGGTGAAGGAAAAGAGAGAAATCCCCAATTCCAGTGGTCTAAATGCCTATGATGGTGAGTCTGGAGTGCATTTTGTGGCTGGGGTTTCAGTAAAGACAGACGTGGCTCTAGAATTCTTAAAAAGCGAAATGATCATCTTCCTGTCTTTCATACCCAGTAGACTCTGACTACAAGAGAGGAAAATACAGCATCATTGGTAATCAACCTTATTCCCCATCTACCTTTCTTCTTCACGTAGGAATTTGCAAGTTGTCAGTCACAGAACTTTAGGGTTCATTAGGGTTAAATAAATAACAGTTTAAATTGCTTGGTGTTTTTATAACATTTAAAGATTATTTTGATGGCAGGACACAACACCCTGACAGATAAAAGATGGAACTCTTCTTCATTACATTCAGCTCCAAAGGACAGAAGGCTGCAGTGGCATCACACAGAGGTTGCCCCAGGAGCAGCTGACAGCAGGCTGGCGCTGTGGGGGCAGCTTATGCGTAGCAAGCCTGTGGGGTGAGCTAGGTTTCCCAGCCTTCCTGTGGATTGGCTAATTTAAATCATTTTGCTGTCTTCAGTTGTCTGTTTCCTGGCCCTGGGGTGATTAGGGCTGATGCATAGTGGACCTGGAGGGCTAGAGCCCAATAAAGAATGTGGTTGGGGGTGTGAACTTTGCCGCTGAAGAAGGGAATGGAGCCTTTAGCCAGGACCTCAAAACTGGGTCAAGACAGCATTTAAGAAAATGTATTATGCCCAGCTAAAGCAATTGCCAATCAAGGAATTTAAGATACTTTCATCTTTAACTTGAATAACATACATAGCTAAAACTGAGTTTTGATACGAATTAGACAGCATTATATATCTATTTGTACTATACAATCACATAGTTCCATTTAGGTTAGAAATTGTGGAGCGACTATGCTTTTGCTAGTTTTTCTCAAGCTACATTGGCCCCTTTATAAGTGACATGGCATGCTATTGGTCATGGATCAATATGCCCTGCTCTCTCCACAGGTTTCAGGTTAAGCACTAATGCATTCTAATAGTCAATTATTATTTTTTTAAGATGACTTCTCACCAAATTCTCACACATGAAATTTCTGAAGCAGAAATCCAACATGAGGAATTCCTTAGGGCAGATTTCAGCGCCAATCAAATGTTATCGGGAACCATCATGAGTCACTCTTTCTGCTAAGTGAGTGTCAAAAACTGACGTCTTTGGCTTACTGTGAAAAGTTTCTGTCTGTAATAGTTGTGAATTATAATTCATCAAAACTCATGCTTACAAGTTAAAATGTTCAAATAATATTTCATTTCAAATACAGTGTCTAACAGGTGTTCAAAGTGACACTTGAGTACCGCTTTTTACGAGGCTCTGTAGATTGTGGCATCTGGTAATATATTATTTGTAATTTCAATTTCTCAGTGGCATACTTGGAAAGTATCTGAGTGACTGTCTTCAGATGAACACGGCCCTTGTGTCAAAATAAAAGTCCAGGCTCTAGAAAATTACAAGATTATGAAGCTCTTTATACAAAACTAGGATCTGCCTGATTTTTTGCAATGCAAATAAAGGAAGCAATCTTAGTGTAATTCATCTGTGTTTGAAATCCCCTTGCACTGCAGTAAAGTGTTCTTTAATTGGCTGGTAAATCATTCTATGATCAGTCTAGCAAATTGTTTTTCTCCTTTTTTCTGTGCTGACTCTGGGGAGCACTGGGCTGTTTTATGGTGACTATTGTTTTAGTCTTCTTTTCAAATGAACTGCTGTAACCCCTGTATCAGATAAACAGGTCCAAAAGGAGAAGCATTAAGTCCAGGTGTAATAATTCAAATACTCCTAGAATTAAGTAAATATAACACTCCTACCCCAGTATTATTGAATTTGAGACTTCTTATTAGCAACTGAAAGAGTCAAGCTTTGTGAAAGTCTGCTTCCCCCAAGATAAATTTGAACATAGCATGTTTGCTAATAACTAGGTTGGGGTTTACAGTGTTTCCTCAGGCCAGGCCTGGGGCTACACTGTACCAACACAACAGCAAATCTGGCCAACTGTGTAAAAACAAGCTGCAGTACAATGATAAAACAGTTCAAAAAGATAGTAGATTTTAAGTCTTCAAAAAATTTTTTTGTATTATTTGGAAGTGATGGCTGATATCTGTATCATTTGGAAATTATAGCTGATATTTTTCTAAAGATCAAGGTTGGGGTAAAATCATGAAGTTTAATTTTGTCTTAACTTCTCTTTCCATTTTCATCCTGTTCTTTCTTTGTTGATATTTTTAACCATCTCTCATTTAGGTTTTCCTCTATGTGTCTTTCTAGAATGACTTTGTTCTCAACCCATCATGAATTAATTCTTCTAATTGTGGCATTAATTAAAAGCAGTCTTTTTGAAGATTGTGAAAATTCCCAAGCCTTCCAGGCCCAAAGAATTTTATCTTAGAGTACACCTTTCAGGGATTTAAATTTGGGCACAGAAGCCCTCAAATCATATTATTTAAGCAACTTCTATTTGGCGTGCCTGGAAGGGAAATTCAGATCTTCAGTTTGTGCTGTTCATCTGTTTCTTTCCTCAACGCTAGCTCTGTTACCATGCACATAGCTGTTTCCAAATCATTGAAAATTCATTTTTCCAAAGCTACATCTAATATACTAATAATATAATGTTACCAAATGAATCAGATCTGGTATACCTTATTGCTTAATATTTCAAGCCCCTCACACCTTTTATATGCTGCTGCTGTAAAGTCATTCTCTTTGTTAATTTTATACGGACCATTTGAATAACTGCTGTGCTATGGGAGCTGTTGGTATGAATGAAGCATCATAAAATTTTACTGTATTTTTTATTGCATAACTGTTATACCAATAAACATATTGAAAGGAAGCTATCGGTGTTTAACATGTAGCAAATTCTCAGCATAATGTTATTTGAAACCTTCATTTAATGCATGGCTAAACCTTGTTTCATAGATGCACTTGAGTTGAATGAGAACCAGCTCAATATTACTTACGGTAACAAAAATGCCTTAATAGAAGAGAGATGTTCAATGTATGATTTGCTCTCGTATCTGTCATTGAAATGGAAATAACAGGTTCATGCATAAAAACAGAAGAAGGGAAAGCATAGCAGGGCTATAGAAATGTAATCACATTAAAATGCATATTACTTTGATATTTTAAATAGATCATGTTAAGTTTATCTTTCCTCTGCCTGACACAATTCACTAAAATAAGAAAGATAGCATACGTATGGTTCAGAGGCCATGATTAATTAGGCAATATCCTGAATGGCTCTGGGATCACTGCTCTCAGATAATTTTGATTGTTGATCTTTTGCAGTGGTAGTAAGTGCAGTGCAATTAAATGATTCATATCCCACATTTAAAAATCTTTACATTTCATAGGATTGCGTATTGAGAGAGGCATGGAGATTTAATCACACCAATCTCAATAATGCTAATGACAAATGGGAAAGTCACAGCCAAAGTGACACAGCCAATGATTCTTCACCAAAGTAGATGTGATGCATATCCATTTACCTTTATAAAATATTTCCTTTTCTACTCTCAATTTGAATATTCCATACAAATATATGTTTTAAAATTTGGAAGCACTGATTAATTTCAAGAAATTTGTGGAGCATTTTGAGGTGTTTGTATAAGTCTGACTATATACATAGACATACATATACACATTTATAAACAGAGAAGAAAAGTGGAATCTGGAATATTTGATCCAGGTTTTTTTGCGTGTTTTTCTCTCTTACTTAATCAGACACTTTTCTGGAATGTGGAAATTTGTCTGGAGGTTTGACTAATGATCAAATATTCCAGATTTTCACTTCCTGAGGAACACATAGAATCTCCAAAATGTTACCTGCATTCTTTGTGAGTAATGTGGTACAGTCTGCTTTGCTGTGGTTTGAGGAATGGAAACTTTGCAAAGAAAAAAATATTCTAGATATCAAAGCCTGACTCAGAAGTCATAGGAGCAGTTCAAAAAAAAGGACTTCTTTGTATTTATGGCTAATTCAGTTTTTGGAAACATCTAGCTATTAATAAACATGGATGTTTTAAAGGATAGTGAATAACATCCCATTCCTTCTCTTCCCATCTAAGCCCAGAGCCTACTGGGTTGAAGATTTAAGAGTCAGGTAAGAGTCAAGCTCAAAATATCGTCTATGGTAGAGATAAAGGTGGAAGATGTGGTTTGAATTTGATGCGGTCACACAGATATTCTGATAATGCTTCCACTAATGTAAACTCATGCACTTAGTCACAGGAGAGCTACTACAGGGCCTTACCTGGCCTAATGTCTTCCATATGAAGTAGCTGAGACTTTGTTCAAAGGGTTTTGGTCTAAAACTTAAAATCAAATTTAATTTTTAAAACTTACAACTTGTTTTTGTTGGGGAATAAAATGATGAGGTGTAAAACTGGCAATGAAAATCATTAGTATTTTGTAGAAAATCTAGAGGAAATAGATAAATCTCTGAAAACATACAGCCTTCCAAGACTGAATCAGGAAGAGAAATTAAAACCGTGAACAGAACAATATTGAGGTCTTAAATGGAATCAGTAATAAAAAATCCATCAACGAAAAGAGACGTGGACCAGACAGATTCACAGCTGAAGTTTACCAGATGTACAATGAAGAGGGAATACCAATCCTACTAAAACTATTCCCAAAATTTGGGAAGGGACTCCTCCGTAACTCATTCTATGAAGCCAGCATCATTCTGGTATCAAGGTCTGGCAAAGACACAATAAGAAAGAAAACCACAGGCCAATATTCCTGATGAATACAGATGTAATAATTCTCAACAGAAAAACTAGAAAATCAAGTCCAGCAGCACATCTAAAAGTTAATTTACCCTGATCATGTAGCCTGTATTCTTGGGATGAAGAATTGTTCCAACGTGTGCAAATCAATAAATGTGATTCATCACATAACAAAATTAAAAACAAAAATCGCATGATCATCTCCATAGACACAGAAAAAGTTTTTAATAAAATCTAACATCGCTTCATGATCAAAAACCCTCAACAAATTAGGCATAAAAGGAGCATACCTCAAAATAATAAAAGCTATCTATTACAAATCCACAACTAACATCATACAGAACCGGCAGAGCTAGAAGCATTCCCCTTAATAACTGGAACAAGACAAAAATACCCACTCTCACTACTCCTATTCAATGTAGTACTGGAAGTCCTAGCTAGAGCAATCAGGCAATAAAAGGAAACAAAAGACATTCAAATAATTAAAGAAAATGTTAAATTATCTCTCTTCATTGATGATATGATTGTATACCTAGAAAACCTCTGACTCTGCAAAAGGCTCTAAAACTGAAAACAACTTCGGTAGTTTCAGTATACAAAATCAATATTCAAAAATTAGTAGCAATTCTATACACCAGTAATGGTCGAGCTGAGAGTTAAATCAAGAATGCAATACCATTTACAGTAGCCACAATGAAAAATAAAATACCTAGGGATATAACTAACCACGGAGGTAAAAGTTCTCTATAAGGAGAAATAAACACTCCTGAAAGAAATCAGAGATGACACATGCAGTGGAAAAATATTCCATGCTCGTGGATTCAAAGAATCAATACTGTCAAAATGGCCATACTGCCCAAAGCAATGTAGAGATTCAACATTATTCCTATCAAACTACCAATGTCATTTCTCATATAAATGGAAAACACTATTCTAAAATTCATATGGAACCAAAAAAGAGCCTGAATGACCAAAGCAATCCTAAGCAAAAAGAACAAAACTGAAAGTATCACACTACCTGACTTCAAACTATATTACAAGGCTATAGTAACAACAACAACAACAAAAAAGCATGGTGTTGGTACAAAAACAGACACATGCACCAATGGAGCAGCACAGACAACTCGGAAATAAAGCTTCGTGCCTACAACTATCTTATCTTCAACAAAGTCGACAAAAACAAGCAGTGAGGAAAAGACTTGCTATTCAATAAAAGGTGCTGGCATAACTGGCTAGCCATATGCAGAAGAATAAAACTAGACCCATATCTTTCACCATATATAAAAATTAACTCAAAATGGGTTAAATACTTAATTGTAAGACCAAAAACTATAAAAATCCTAGAAGAAAATCTAGGAAATATCACTGTCAACATGGGCTTTGGCAAATAATTTATGACTAATCCTGAAAAGCAAATGCAACAACAACAGAAAAATTAAAAGTGAGACCTAATTAAAGAACTTTCACACAGCAAAAGTAACTTTCAGCAGATTAAAACAGATAACTACAGAATAGACAGAATATTTACAAACTATGCATCTGTCAAAGGTCATATATCCAGAACCTATAAAGAAGTTAAATAATTGAACAAGTGAAAAACGACCTCATTTAAATATAGGCAAAAGACATGAACAGACACTTCTCAAAAGAATACTTACAAATAGCCAAAAAACAGGAAAAATGATCAACAGCATGAATCACTAGAGAAATGCGAATCACAGCTACAATGAGATACCATGTAACACCAGTCAGACTCTGTTATTAAAGAGCAAACAAATAACAGATGTTGACAAGGTTGTGGAGGAAAGGGAATGCATATACAGTGTTGGTAGGAACCTGAGTTCAGTCATTGTGAAAAGCAGTTTGGAGATTTCTTGGCAAACTTTAAACAGAATTACCATTTTACCCAGCAATCCCATTATTGGGTACATACCCAAAGGAATATAAGTTGTTTTACCAAAAAGACACCTGCCCTCATACGTTCATCGCAGCACTATTCACAACAGCAAAGACATGAAATCAATCTAGATGCCCATCAATGGTAGATTGGACAAAGGAAATGTGGTACATATACACCATGGAATACTACGAAGCTATACAAGAAGACAAAACCATGTCCTTTGCAGCAACATGGATGCAGCTGGAGGCCAGCATCCTAAGCAAATTAACACAGAAATAGACAAATAACACGTTCTCACTTATAAGTGGGAGCTAAACATTAAGTACACATGGATATAAAGATAAGAACAATAGATATTGAATGCTACTAGAGTGGGAAGAAAGGGAAGGGGACGAGGGCTGGAAAACAACCTGTCAGGCACTATGCTCACAAGCTGGGTGATGTGACGGTATCATTCGTACCTCAAACATCAGTGTTGTGAAATATACCCATGTAACAAACCTACACATGTACTGCCTGAACCTAAAATAAAAGCTGAAATTTAAAAACAAACCATTAGTACTTTTTATTCAAAATGCATTTTACAAAATAACAGATTATATCAATGTATTGTAATTTTAAGGGAAATTTCTTCCAATTTTACTTTAAAATATATTTGATTTAGGATGCAGAAGAAAATAATACTTTGTGTTTACATTATATATTTTCACTTTACAGCACCCACTAATTCTAAAAGTTTGCATTTCTTTCCTTGAATTTTCTAGGTATATTATTTGCACACACTGATGTTTGTTTGTTTGTTTCTACTTGCCTATATCTCAACTGTTTGGCATACTTATGTTTATAATTTGCTGGTCAACTTTCTTCTTTGAGCACATATCTTGAAATATTTCTATGTATCTTAAATGTGAAGAGAATAAAAATTATATTTTAAAAGGTACCATATATTTTGATATATGTTGATTGAAGTTAATGTATTTTTCGGGAAATCAAAAAAGTTATTTTAGTCTCCTCATAGTCTACATACTTTTCATTCTTTTACATGTTAAGATATTTTTATTCAGCTACATTGAAATATTAGACATTTCTATCTATTTTTATATTTTATTAATGATATATAAGGCCTTATTTCATCATAAAAATCCTCTACCTAAAGCCAAAACTGTGTGTTAAAAATTACAAATACTAATATTTATCTTTAAGTTACAAATATAATCAATTATTGTACTGTCATATTTCCATGAAAGTAAAAAAAAATCATATTGACTCTTTGAAGTCAATTGAAATTGAGAATATTTTTACATATCTTCATATAACATCTTTTAACATGCATTAATGTTAAAAATAAAGCATTAATATTTGGGAAAGAATATGTTTATAAATTAGAAAAATTATTCAGATAAATGTTTTGGAAACTGCATCTTTATCTCATTTATACATTTGACACCATCTTCCTACTAACAGAGCTGCTGTGAACCATGAGCCTTGAAAAATGTTACTTTTCGTATCTGCACTGTCTCACATACAACACTAATTGAAAAGCTGCTCTCAGAAATCTTCACGTAACATAAACCTGTTATTTCAGATTTTGCATAAATTTTATCTTTTCAGAAAAGCTAGTCTAACACCCATAATAGGATTTTTTCTGCTTTTTTTTCCCTCCTCTTATTTTCTTTCTATTAGGAATATATTAAAGAATAATAGTATTAGATTTCTTAAAGTCTTACTTTATTACCTAGGATTTTTGAAAAGTAGTTATAATGGTGACTAATAGTTATGGAGCATGGGTTTATGCAAGATCCATAGGTCATTTAGTCTCCCCCTCCTGGGAAAGAATTACTACCTACACAGAAGGAGTAGGTGGAGGGGCAGGATTTGAGAGGAAAACTCAATCCTAGGTTCAACTGGCTTTGGGGCCTAGGCTCTTACACACAGCATTCTCTGCTAACTGCAAAAGGAACACAGAACAAAGCAACACACATCTGTGAACTTTTTCCTTAAGCTTTTGCTTTTTGATTTTTGTTTTCCAAATTCACATATATTTATATATTTTTAATTGACTTTGTACCTTATATATTTATAAATGTATTTATATTTATATGTATTGACATTCTAACTTATATATTTATAAATTTAGAACATCAATAGACATAAATATAAATATATTTTAAATACATAAGGTAGAAAATGTTGTTTTGATCTATGTACACATTGTAGAAAGATTAAATTGTGCTAATGAACACACCTAGCACCTCACTTAGCAGTTTTTTGTGGTCAGAAAGTTTAAAATCTACTTTTTAGCAATTTTGAAATCCACAGTACGTTACTATTGTGTGTGGTTACCACGCAGTGCAATAGATCACTGCAACTAAGTCCTTCTGTCTGAGTCTTTGTACCCTTGGACCAACATCTTTATTTTCCCAATCCACTCCCCCATCCCAGCCTCTGGTAACTATCATTCTACATTCCTGTAAGTTTGACTTTTTGATTTTTGTGCTTTAATTTAAAAGAGTGATGGTTCTCATGTATTGAAATGATTTGGCAATATCTCTACTCATTTAATATTTTGTAAGTGAGCAGGGTAATAAAGTCATTTTAAATGTCCTTTTTAAATGTCCTTATTACAAGGAAAATGTTATGTTGTCATTGACATTCCCACTTTTATTTATACCTTTAATATGACCAACTAGTAAACTTTGCAAATGTTTTTGTAAATAACAACTAAATTTGACTTTTGAATATGGAAGAAAAATATGCATTATTTTCTCCTGTTGAATGAACTTGTTAAATAATTATTAAACTAAATTTTGTAATAAAATATTTAGAAGATAATATGCTTCTTGCCCACATAGTTTTAATATTTATTATTTATTTATCGATCCACTGCTTCATTTTTGCCACTCTATTGGCAGAGAAAGAAAATTAATATTGATAAATACATAATACTTCCCATACAGTTATTTGGATAGTACTTATCTTTCTTGGGACACAGTACCCACTGCTAGTTAATCTTCCTGAAAATCTCTAATAAAGACACTACGAGTTTATTTTTTAAAATCACTCTAACCCAGAGATCTTTCTTTAAAAATACCTTATTTACAATATTTACATTTCAAAGTTTTGTCACAATAATTAAATGGTAAAATATTTTGAAATATATTGGCTTGGAGGACAGATAGTAGTTTGGTAGAGAGATGGGTGAGTAGAGATATATAGGTACGAGGTACACTCAGTGAATGAGTGAATTGTAACACTTTGCCACTAAACAGACGTGACCCTAATATTGACATCCTGGGTCCTAAATTTACCACCTGTGTGACTGACCACATCAAATTAATAACTTTCTTATGGGAATAGTGTATATTATAAAAATCAAGTAAATGTGCAAAGCCTGTAGGCTATGATTTTTTTCCAGAGTAAGCTTTATATACTTATTCTATAATATTATACTATCATTACTAATTCAATTTCACAGAATTAATGTGAGGATAAAGTAATATACTTTATACAAAAAGACTGAAGCCATGGCTGGCCCGTAACACATCCAACTTTGTTCCTCAAAACCCCTATCATTACCCTCCTCTGAGGGTGATTTACTTAGTAATTACATGGTAATTTACTTAGTAATTACAACATGTGGAATGAAAACCGTAAAATGTGCTTTGGAGATTCTCAGTAACAAAGATGTTACAATAATGTTTACTATAGGAATAAAGACATTAAAATGACTTTTAGATGAAAAGGTAGACCTATCAATGTGATAGGTCAAATTATACTTGTAAAAACAATGCTGAATACAAGCACCGTATTTCCCAGGGAAATCACTCCTTCCTCTTTGGCCGAAAGCCAAGTTCAGAAAGTGTCTTACCGGGAGGGAGTCCTGTCCTCCACCATATTTGCCAGGACATCACTCCCTCCTCCTCAAGACACTTCCTGAACCGGGCTTTTGGCATACTATGCCCTTCTTATCTTCTTCCCTGGCTGTTCTCTTAATTTCCTTTGATGGTAATTTAGAGGCACCCACATCTATGATGTTGGAGTGTTCCTAGGCTCACTGGTCTGACCCGTCTCAACCATTCCTTGGGTGAAATAACGTAGTCTAATGGCTTCAAAATCTCCCTGCTGAACATCCAAAGTGTATGCCTTCAGATTACACCAACTTTCTGTTAAAAGTAGACGTCTGTACCCTATTCAGTTGCTATTTCTTTTTATAATTCGAATGGTTATATGTCAATTTGAACACTTGATCTTCCTGGACTTCCAAAATCTGGAACTTTCCTAGTTCAATCTGAATCTTCCCTAGTTCAATAAATGGTAACTCGTTTCCAGACCTAAACTCTTCCAGACCTGTTTCTCAGACCTAAACTCCTATCATTCGTGACTCATCTCTTCCTTTTATAAGCCATATGTAACCTATCGTCCAACTTGCTTTCAAAAAATACCCAGAACTGGCTAGTTTCCTTCACTCTTCAATGTCAGCTCTGAACCAAATCACCTTCGTTTATCATTTGGATGAATGCAGTGTCCAGCTGCCTAGTCTTTCTGCTTCTGCTCTTAACTCCTGTTATATTTCCCAAAGAACAGCCCAACTGGTTCTTTTAAAACAGAAGTCAGGCGGTGCTGTTTCTGTCCCAGAGTGTTCATAGCTTTTCTATTTCATTCAGAATAAAGATCAAGAATCTATGCCTACGCTGTACAACACAGCAGCCACTAACCACGTGTGACTACTGAGCACTTGAAATGTTTAGTCCAAATTGAGATGTGTTAAAAACTTAGTAAAAAAAAAAAAATATGAAGTATCTTACTGATTTTTGGAGTTGATTACATGCTGAAATGATTTTTGCTATCCTATGTTTAATAAAATGTATTGTTAAAATTAACTTCATCTGTTTGTTTTTTAATGTGGCTGTCTGGCTATTTATTTGAGACACAGTTGCACTCTTGTTGCCCAGGCTGGTGGGCAATGGCATGATCCCGGTTCACTGCAACCTCCAACTCCTGGGTTCAAGTGATTCTCCTGCCTCAGCCTCTGGAGTAGTTGAAATTACAGGCACCTGCCACTACGCCTGGCTAATTTTTTGTATTTTTAGTGGAGACGTGGTTTCCCCATGTTGGCCAGGCTGGTCTCGAACTCCTGACCTCAGGTGATCCGCCTGCCTCGGCCTCCCAAAGTGTTGAGACTACAGGTGTGAGCCATCGCACCTGGCCCTGTATGGCATTTAAAATGATGCATGTGGCTCACCTGACATTTCTAGGAGACATCACTGCACTGACAGGCACTCAGACTCTTCTGTTTCCAGTCTCCCACTTGCTTACTCTGGTCACACCGACCTCCTTGCTGCTCTTCAAGCATTGCAGACTTTCAGGGTCTCTGAACTCGCCAGGGTCTAGCTGCTCCCTCAGACTAGGATTCATTTGCTGCCCATATTTTTTATGGTGCATTCCATCTGCATCTTCTGCTTCATCAGAGTTTTTTTCAAATATCACTTCCACACTGAGGTCCTCCAAGGCCACCTCATTTAAAACTGCAAGTTTCATTTTTAATAGTTGTCTTTACTGTGGGAAAATAAATTACAGATGTCATTCATCTGAACCAGTGTATAAAAAAATAGTATCAGAATGTTAGGTTGAATAAAAAGAGTCTCTATAATTAAGAATATCCTCATCTGAATTATTTAAGAATTAAGAATTATTCTAAAGAATTAAAAATTACTAAGACTGTATGTATGTGTGTGTTTGTGTTTATACAGGTTTGCAGGTTTGTATTAGTTTCTGAAATTCAGGACTGTTGGTATTGTGGGTTAGAGAATCCTTTGTTGTGGGAGGCTGTACTGCAGGATGTTCAGTTGTGTTCCTGGTCACCAGTATCTACCCCACTGAAACAGCTAACGTCTCCAGCAATTGCTAGATGCTCCTTAGGGAGCAAAATTCTCTTGATAGAAACAGGTTTGCATTTGAAACTGAGCTGCAGGCAGTATGGCCCTTTATTTCTAAATACTTAAGGATATAGCTCTTAAGATCAAGAACAAATTCAAATTTCAAATTTCAAATTCAGGACATTTAACCTTGGTATAATCCTATAGTAGAATATAGAGCCATTTTCAAATTTTATTCACTGTCGCAGTCATTTCCTCTTTATTTATTTTTTCTTGATCCTCGATCCAACCAAAATAATGCTTTGTCTTTGTTCTTTGTTGTCATTCTCTTAAATCACTTTTAATTTGAAAAATTTCTTCAGTCTGTTTCAGGTTATGAATTTAATGACATCACTCATTAAATATAATATGAAAATTAGATATTGTGATATATGACAAGTGAATATTGTGTTTAATTTCTCATAATTTTATGTGCAAATATGTGCTTTTATGACATTGTGTTTTAGAAAAAATATTTAAAATTTTTCTATTAATAAAGTATAAAATATGTACTTATATCACAATTGTGATATACAACATTTTATTTTATTATAAAAGTAATGCACATGGGTTGTGGAAAGTTTAAGTACACTAGCAGTTTTAATGAACGGCATAAAACTTCTCATAATTTCAAAACCCAGCAATAATTAAATAATCATTGTTAATATTCCAGTCATTCAGGAGAGAGAGTACATAATGAAAATATTTCATACTTACATAATTGTAATACATTGTATACATCTATGAAAATTTATACTATTTTTTCTTTTATCCTCACTAAAATTAAACAAAAAACCTATTCTTATATAAAGACATGTATCTTCCATCTAAAGATTTTATTTTATTTATCTTTATGGTGGCAAAGGAAGTCATGGAAAACCTCTGGTAAAATTTAGGAAAAAACTTGCTTTTTGCCCTTTTATTGTTCTTATCTGCAAGAAAAGTTTGGCACCTTTGCAATAAAACAACTAGAAAAAAGCAACTTCTTCTGAAAAAGTACAAAACGATTTGCTTGATAGTTTCTGAATTATAGTACAGACATATGAAGAAAAATACGTACTTCCTTAAAAATCCTGAAAGTAAACAAGAAAAATGGCCATCTCAGGTTAAAATATATATAAGAAAAATGGGCTGTGAAGACACAGTTTAGCTCTCAAAAATAATGGAGACATTCTTGACTGTTGCTTATTTGATTAAGGTGGTGATGATAGAAATTATTTTAAGAATATTAATAATAAGAAGATGATGGTGATAAAGAAATTCCTAATATACTGATTGTAAGTGTTAGGGGAGATGACATGTTTTTATACATGTATTTTAGAAAAGTAAATCTAGGTTTTATCATTTTATCCTGGTCACTAATGTTAATAATTTCTGAATCAGTGCACAGTCAACTTGCCAGGTGTATAAAGGAAGCTGCTGATGAGGGCTATAAGGAAATCTAAATATAAAATAACCACGTTATCATATTGCTAATGGGTACCACTGAATAATTCAACACCAATAATAAGGAATAAAAATCTGTCTCATATTTCTGCATTATGATTCAAGGTGGTAATTTACTTCTAATAACCAAAGTTGGTGCCTTTTATTTTTCTCTGAAAGATTTTTAAGCTAATGTTTTGCTTTTGCTTTATTCAACGTCTTGGGGAAAAATAAAGAGGAAGAGTGGGGTGGCAAGGGGAATTCAACTAGAGGATGAAGATTTATCAAATGGTTAATGCTCTGTGTCACTCAGTTTCAGGAAAGGGCTGTGGACTTCAGAAGGAGACAGTTTATTGTCCATTTTGTGCTATAGTTATAGAAGCTGGGAAGTGAAAGAAAGTAACTCAAACAAAAGATGACAGAGTTCTTAGATGTCATTACTGTTTCTATTTTTTTTTTTTTTTTTTTGCTGCTGTTTGTTTCTGTGGATTTCTTTTATTTTTGCCTATAGCCAAGTTTAGAGTTGAGGAGAAAGAGGAAGCGGCATCATGGTAAACCTTGCAAACCTATCATTTTAAAAGGATCCCTCTGAAAGCAAAATTATATTTTCAAGGTGGTATTTAGAGCTCTTTGAATGATTTGTCAGTTAAACTTTACTGTTGAAAATATAATTTTCATTATCTGTCTCATCAATATATGTGTATATATTTTTAAACTCTAAGCAGAATTTATAGGTAGCATTTTGAAAGATATTCCAATAAAGAAATAGCATAGTAATCACAAAGTGGCACATGGTACATAGTGGCTTGATAATGTTGATAGCTATCCATGGAATTTCATCAATATTTATTTTTTATAGGGAGCCTGTGTAGTCCTAGAGCATATACAGGGCATTTTGGATGAAAATACTTTGCACAGAATTTGGATTTAAATCAAAATATTGAACCTTATTTTTGAAAAATAAAAACGTGGATTTTTTTTCTCATAGAGTTTAGAGGTTACATTCGTTTGCAAGGGCTGCTATAAAAATAAAACTAAACTGTGTGGTGTGAGCGACAGAAATTTATTGTCTCACCGTTTTGGAGGCTAAAATAGAAGATCAGGGTGGTGGCGGGGTTGGTTCCTTCTGAAGGCTGAGAGGGAGAATGTGTTCCACACCTCTCCTCTACCTTTGGATGGTTGCTGGGAATCTTTGTCATTCCTTGACTCAGATGTATCACTCCCATGTCCACCTTCATGTTTAAAGGGTATCTCCCCTCTGGGTGTGTCTGTGTGCCCAAATTTCCTCTTTTTTAAGGGCACAATCACATTGGATTAGTGCCCCCCATAATGACTTCAGCTTCACTTAGTCATCTGCAAAAACATTGCTTCCAAATAAAATCACATTCACAGATAATGAGGATTAGGACTTCTACATATTTGGGGGACACACAATTCAACTCATAGCAGATGGTAAGGTATCAATGGTTCTCATTAAAATTCTGGTCAAGTTGTTGTGAGTTTATACTTTGAGAATTCCTCTCTGCCATAATCATTAAGTAAAAATAAGTTTTTTAATAAAATAAAAGTAAAATGACATAGCCACAGCCAGAAACAGGATAGCTATCTCTCTGGAGCACAAAACCATGTAGCTGAAACGGTGCGATGAGAGACTAGGACTGACCCACTGCCATTGACAGCAGGAGAAAAGCAGAAATCTGAAGGCATGATTTCAACAGCAGATTAAATAGAGCTGAAGGCATCATGTTTTGGATCATGTTTGTGGTGTTCATGGTATCACTGTAAATAAAACATTTAGTGTAATATCAGATAAAGAGATTAAATTTATTATATTTAAATTAATGTAATTTATTATAGATTTTATATGAGGTAATAAAAATCATATATTAAATTACATGTAGAGAATTCAAATTATATATATGAGATCAGAAGGAGGAAGTCTAAAATGCATATTATGGTAATTTAGAGGAAACTAAGATGGGGCCAGCACTATCTTAATAGCAGATAAAAATCATCTTAAAGAAAAGCATAGTTATTCAGATTGAAATTGTACAATGATTAGAAAGAAGCATTTTTTTAATTTTATTACTATTATATTTTAAGTTTTAGGGTACATGTGCACAACGTGCAGGTTTTTTACATATGTAGCATTTTTAAAAATTCAAATTTAATATTTCCCTGAAATCATGCCCTCCTTCTTGTTTCTCTCTACACACATACAGGAGTCAATCCTTATTGACGATAGTTATGTTCTATGAAGTCTGACCTCTGCTTTAGAATGCACTTTCTCTTTGCACAGAGCTTCAAGGTAAGCCAAAAGTGAGTTATTAGGGCCTTCTCAATCTTTTCTGGGCATTCACACAGCCCTCCATATACACATTGCCTCCTCGATTCCTAGGAGTAAAAGCCTACTGTCATGCTTGCTTTGGCAGTGCACAGATCAAAAGCCTACTAGGGACATCTCATGCCCCAAATGTTCCTTTTAGATTCCCTTCTTTCCTTTTCCTTCCTTCCTTCCTTCCTTTTCCTCCCCTCCCTCCCTCCCTCCCTCCCTTCTTTCCATGTTGTTCAGGTCACACTCTTCAGCTAGATTTGGGGGAGAAGTGGGCTCAGAAATGTTGGGCATGTGTGGCAGCACCTAAAACGTTATGGAAGCAGGGTGAGTCCCTGAGCATGAAGCAAAGGAGACATGTAAAGGAAGGAATATCCAGTTAGTATCTGAAGGTGGAACAAAATCATTTAGTTAGTTCTAGCCACACAATCTGGTTTTACCCGGATTGAATAGTTATATGACTCAGGAATCAGAACCCAAACGAATTAATAGGCAAGAAAAATGGCATCCCAGAATCTGTGAAAACTCATATTGATTGAATTTTAAGAACAAAAAAGGACCTTAGACGTGTCAAAATCAACTATTCCAAGTCCCTCTGTGGTATTAATGACATCCTGTTAAAACAAAAACAAAAACAAAAACTTTCAGCAACATCACTTCAAAATTATCCTTTTTTATTTTTGCATAATTTTAATTCATAGAATCTTTTATGAAAATATTTCTAAAAACTTTCTGCACTTAAATGTTGAAGTAAATTTGCTCTCATCTATCAAGACATATCTATATCTAAATATAACCTAAATATATCTCTGTATCTATCTCTCTATAATTTTTTAAAAGTCAACTTGAAACAAAACAAGCAAAACAAACAAAACCAGTTTCTCATAGCTAAACACAAGGTTCAGCCAGTTTATGATGTTTGATTGGAAAATTTAACCTATTTCCATTTAAAGTAAATATTCGTAGGTAAAAACTTATTATTGCCATTTTGTTAATTGTTTTCTGTATGTTTTGTCCTTTTATTCCTTTCTTTTTGCTGCCTTCTTTTGTAATTCGATGATTTTTTCTGTAGTATTTTACTTTAATTCTTTCTCTTTATCTTTTGTGTATCGATTATACGTTTTTTGTGTGTGACTACCTTGAGCTTACATGAATCACGTTATAGTTATAAAAGTCCATTTAAAGCTGAAACCGACTTGCATACAAAAACTCTACACTTTTATTTGTTCTCACATGTTATTAATGTAACAATTTACATATTTTTGTATTATATAGCCATTACTTATTATATAGTTATTCATAGTATTTTTGTCTTTTATCTGTTATACTAGAGCTAAAAGTGATTTGTACACTATTATAGTATTAGACTATTTGTGTATATATTTACCTTAACCAGTGAGTTGTATGCTTTCCTTTGTGTTCATATTGTTATTTAGCATCCTTTTGATCCGACTGTAAGAATTCACTTTAACATTTCTTATAAGGCAGATCTACTGATGATAAATGTCCTCAGCATCTGTTTATCAGGGGAAGTTTTTACCTCTCCTTCATTTCCGTAGGATAGCTTAGCATGATGTAGCTTTCTTGGTTGGCAGTGTTCTGGATGTTTAATTTTGTTTTTTCTTTCAGAAGGAGATTCCTTCCTTTTTGGTACAACAACAGTCAGTGCATATAGCTCTATTGCAGTAGAGTACTTAAAACACTCGATTGTACATTTCTCTCTTCAGTTGTGAGCTCTAGATTTCCGGAAAACATAACTTTTCTTAGAATACTGACGTGTATAGCAAATCAACAAATATTCAATGATCCATCAAATAAGCACTCACAATGTTTGCTAAATCAATGATTTGATCCTTAAAAGACCTAGAAAAATTGTAGTTAAAAAATTTAAATGTTGACCAGTCCATAGTGGCTCATGCCTGTTATCCCATTGCTTTGAGAAGCCAAGATGGGAGGATTGCTCAAGGCTAGCTGTTTGAGACCAGCTTAGGCAATATAATGAAATCCTATCTCTAAAAAAAAAAAAAAAAAAAAAAAAAAAAAAAAAATTAAAAAATTAGCCAAGCATTATGCCATCATGCTGTACGCCTGTAGTCCTGGCTACTCAGAGCCTGAGGCTGGAGGACTTCTTGAACCCAGAAGTTCAAGGTTACAGTGAGCTATGATAGCACCCTTGTACTCCAGTCTGGGCAACACTGTGGGACTCTGTAAGTTTTTTTAAATTAAATTTTATTTTATTTTCTGTGATAATTTAAATTTATACCATAGGACTAAAGGTATGTCTAAAGAGAAAAATCAGAGCAACTCTAATTACTGTATTTCATGTTTCAGATAAATTATATCACATTCTAAGCAAAAAATTTGAAGTGATAGAAAAACCAAAATTTTTAAGAAGTTACGTATCCTGCCATATAATTATTTAAGCTAATTTTGCTTCCTATGTTTAAAAATACCTAGTTTTCTTGGAATACAGACTATATAATTATATCCTTTTGTTTTTTCGGAATTAAAGACTTTATATTATGTATTAAGATTCCAGCTATCACTAGTACACTGTCATTACTAGCCAAAGTAGAAAATAATAAGTACTGGTAATAGAAGCGCTCACTGGATTGCCAAAGTCCTTTTGTGTTCAGGTAGAAAATATATGTTTGAATTTTGAGATGAAGCATTGCTAGGTATCAGATAGACAATTTTTTAAAAATTTAATGACTGGAAAGAAAAAGTATCTGAAGTTATGTGAAAACTTATCTATAAACTTTCCCTACATGGTTGTGAGAGTCTAAAAAAATTAAAATAAAGATTATAAGTACATATGCACACACAGACACACAGATACTTAAAGGAATTGTATCTGTTTATAAGGTTTATATCTCTACATAAGATAAACAACTGATGCTGTTTCAACTTCTGAATTTTTATTATAACACACTTAAACTTATTTTTAAACTTGAATAATGCAAGAAAATAATGAGATCCCTATTCCCAGAGTATTATTATCTTTGGCTAATATGGGAAGAAAAGGTAATAGAGATAGAAGTGGGCAATAACAGAGGTTTTATTACTGTCTCCACACCCAACAACAAATACAAACATTTATTAAGTGCTATCTTCTTGATTTGTACTCTTAGACATCAGGAATAAGTATATAAAAAAGCAAAATGTGCTTTCCTCATAATCTCTGACCTTTGGAATTTTGATTTAATCAACTTGATTTCTAAATTGATTTTTTAATTATTATTACATGAAGACAAAAAGAAACAAAAAACAGCTTCTGCCCCCATCTTCACTCCAATTATACATACTCCATATAAAACAATCACCACCAAATATTAATTGAAATGAGCTGAGAAATATATAAACAAGTGAAACATTAACAATAGGTGTTTCATATTTATACCTTGTCAAATTATTCTAAAGCTGCATTTGGAAGAATACATACATAGGAATACAAATTAAAAAAAAAAACAACTCTTACGGCCACAGATAATTCCACTTTTTTTGAGACAGAGTTTCACTCTTGTTGCCCAGGCTGGAGTGCAATGGTGCAATCTCGGCTCACCGCAACCTCCGCCTCCTGCATTCAAGTGATTCTCCTGCTTCAGTCTCTGGAGTAGCTGGGATTACAGGCATGTGCCACCACACCTGGCTAATTTTGTATTTTTAGTAGAGATGGGGTTTTTTCATGTTGGTCAGCCTGGTATTGAACTCCTGACCTCAGGTGATCCACCTGCCTTGGCCTCCTAAAGTGCTGGGATTACAGGCGTGAGCCAGCGTGCCCGGCCAATTCCACATTTTAATTTGTTTAATAACAGGACTTATTTTGTTGGGTTAGGGGTTTTTCTAGAGTTTCTGTTATACTTATAATAAGTTAATTATTTTTGGAAGAAAAACATACATACTGTTGAAAATATGCTTACTTATCTTAATTTTTTTTTGTTTTATTAGTATGATCTAATTTGAAGACAGTCTTTCTTTTACTAGTGACTTAGTACCACTATTTTGGCTCCCATATCTTGCTCTGTCTTACTCTTTAAATCTTCAAACAACCTTTTCAGAGATGGTGCATGAGAATTAAAGTTTCTGCAATCTTGGATATATTTTTATATTTTCACTAGATAAAGGATTTGCAGTCTGTGATAATTGTTCTCAGTACTTTGAAAATATGTTTACACTATTTATAGTATCTGTGCTGCTTCTGAGATGTTTAATACCAATATCAAATTTTTTCTTTGTAGATATTCTACTTGCACTTCCCTGAAAATGACCGTTTTGTAATCAATAATGTTCTAAAATTTCACAAAGAGGTATCTTGTTCAAATTCACTTTACACTCTGTAAAACCTTGAACTCTGAATATTTGTCTATTATTTTAATAAATTTTCTTCATTGTATTATTTCTTTTCCATTTCTTAGCAATTCTTGTTAGATAATGTGAGACATCCAAAATTGATCATCAATATTATTTACCCTCTCTTGTAATTTTCATCTCCTTGATTTTTATCTCTATATTCTGAGAGAGTTCCTTGATTTTATATTTCATATCTTCTTTTAATGTTTTAGTTTAATTAAGCATACCCTTAATTTTCAATAAATCTTTACTGTTTTCAGATTACATTTGTTTCATTAGTCTGTTCTTATTTTATGGTTATCTTGAAGAATTTCCTAATTTGTTTTCTTTTTCCTCTGTTGTCTTGTTTAAGAGAGATTAAGCTTTTAATCTGACTCAATTGTTTTTTTCATTTCCCATTCACATTTTTGAGTACATAGTAGATTGATTGAATATAGGCAGTTTTCATTCGTTTCCTTGCCTAATTGTGGGTGTATTTTAAAACAATCTGTCCTTTGACCAGGAAGACTGAAAAAAAGTGGGTTATGTTGACAAAGCCTTCAAGTAAGGGTTGCAAAAAGCAGATAGGTTTTGCTATACTAGGTGTTCAGGAAATACACAAGAATGAGAGGGAAGTGTAGCCACTGGCATCATGGTTCCTTAGAGAATACTATAATGAACTCCTCCAAATCCATTCTAAAGTTTCCTCCAAATCCATTCTAAAGATTCCTCCAAATTCATTCTTTGACCTTGTGCCTCCTGGAGTCTCACTGAAGACCTCCGAGGCTGAATGGATTCCACTTCCATTAAAGCTTCGGACTGTACCAGACAGGTTCCTCTATCTGGCTTATGGTTATGCTTATATTACTGATAAGACGTAAAGACATATGAAATCACATGAAATGTCATAGATAACATGATAACTTTTTAAATACTTGCACAGCTATTATGAACACAATGGGCTGATCTAAGGTGTGTGATTTGGATCTCAGAGTTTGTATAAATAGTGAAGCCCAAGCCTTCTTGATCAGATTCCAAGTCCTATGCCCTTCTAATATAACAAACTGAAAGATAAATTCCTTTAACTAAGACAGAAATGGTAATGAGGAACATATAAACGGGCACGTTTAACATGAATCAACCATGGTGCTAATTGAAAAATTAAGTGTACTTGATGTAACAACAGCTCAGGATTCTTCTGATGATCTAATTACAAGAGCTTAACTTGAGTCAGTTCATGTTAAAAACAACAATGGAAATCTTTTCCTCCAAATACACACACACACAAACACACACACACACACACACGAATAAGAGTGGTAGAATCAGCCTCAGGAATAGATACCAACAACTTCATCATCATCAAGGCTTTCTATCCAGCATGCCTGTTTCTCTCTGAATTCCTCTACAGACAGCCGGAAGCATGTTCACAGACAGGCTCCAGGCCTGCATCCACGCAACTTCTAAAAATGAGAAAAAGGAGATTTTTTACTATGGTTCAATTCGCCTATGGAAAGAACACCCTGCTCTTGGAAAAGAGTTTCTCACAGTCAGATGAATTACTGCCTTTAGTAGAATAACTCCAAGCAGATGGAGGTTCTGCTTTGAATCTCTCAGGTAGAGCAAAATAGACAGTAGAATCACCAAAGTCATTGGCAATATAAGCAGGGCTGGAATTTGAACCTAGATTTTTTTCTTGGATGGTAGAGTCCAGTTCCTTAAAATCACTCATGTGGGCATAGTCATTGTGATGGACTCAATATCTATGCCCTCCTCTCCCAATTCATATGTTGAAGCCTTAACATCCAATGTGATGGTGTTTGATGATGGGTTCTTTAAGAAGTAATTAGGGTTAGATGAGTGAGGTCATGAAGGTGGGTACTGATCCAATAGGACTGGAGTCCTTATTAAAAAGACATCAGAGAGATTGTTCTCTTCCTCTCTCCATTTTGAGAGAACACAGCAAGACAGTGGCTATTTGTAAGCCAGGAAGAGAGGCCTCTCCAGATCTGACCATGCTGGCACCCTGATCTCAGACTTCCAGCCTCCAGAAATGGAAGAAAATCAGTGTCTATTGTTTAAGCCACACTGTCTATAGTATTTTATTATGGGGGCCAAAGCAGAGGAAGGTACTCACAAAACATTGAGAGTTAACGAGAACTTTACTTGACATTTAAATAAATTTTCCCATTTAACTAATGAGACTATAGCAAGGAGCAATTATGTAAATTTTCCCAAGTCACTGTAATAGATGGTTAACAGAACTGAAATTACATATCTAGCCCTTTGATACATTTCCTGTGTCATAGTTCAACTAGAAATGTTTAATAAGTCTATCCTTTCTAGAAACTGATATTTTATCCTGTATTAAATAATATTACCAATAATAACAGCTGATGTTTCATGTTGGCTGTAAATTTATGCCAGACAATAATACAATTATCTAAACTATCTCATTTAATTCTAATAATAACCCTGTGAGACACACAATTTTTCCCATTTCACAGATGCCTTAAGATAATACATGAAAGATATTTATAATATTAGTATTAAATAAAAGAGACCTTGGAGTTAAGTAATCTTTTTACATGAGAAGAATATCCATTCAGGAATTGAGTTTTGTGACTCTCATTTTTTTTATTTTTTAAGGACTTAATGTAGCCTGACATATAGCTGGTTTCTTAAAACTTCTGTATGAATGAATGAATAAATGAATAAATCAATGAAGTAAATTATGAAAGCATGACACCAGACAATTGTAGGTTTTGCTTTTGGACATATTATATGTTTTATTTTAGGCCACATCCTCTATAAACAGAATCAAACAACAGCAATCCACTTATGAGTAGAAAATAAGTCAAATCATTCTACATTTTTATGTCGAAGTCAGCCTTACTGCAGACGCTAGCTTCCAGTGTGACGAAATACACTTTGTTTCATTAAATTTAACTTTTCCAAAACATTTCTAAATGTGCATGCTTGGGGCCAGCTCTAATATCTCTTTGAACTGATAATAGCACTTTCTAGTGTGTGTATATATATATATATATATATATATATTTTTTTTTTTTTTCCCCACAATCTACACGAGAAAGAAAGCCAGATGAATCTTTTACTATTTCACAAGGGTGATATGAGGAGTAGAAAAACAGTTCCCAAAACTCTCAACCCCGTTTTAATAAAAAAGATACATTTTTCCTTTTATAAAAGCGGGATAAATTGTACATAAAATAAAGTTTACCATTTTAACTTTTTTTTAGTGTCAGTTCAGTGTCATTAAATACGTTCACACTATTGTGCACACATCACCACAACCCATCTCCAGGACTTTATCATCTTCCCAGCTGAACTCCCTATCCACTAAATAACTCTCCATTCCCCACGAAGGTACTTTTTAAGAGAAACCTAATTTGTGAGCCCTGTAAAACTAAGGAAAATGAAATTACATGGTAATGAAGCAAATGTCAGTTCTAAATTCAACCCATCTATATATGTCATATGAGGAACCAACTGAAAATAAGTATTTTCCTTTCATACTATATAATTCCTATATTGGATTTACTTTATTTCCATGCTTAAAAATTTTGTGTCTATGATTTTACCTGTTACAGGTAATCTGAGTAAAGATTAGTACAAAAATCAAGAGCAATTTTCAGGATACATAAGAGGAACATAGCTTATTATATAATTAAATATCTATTACATGCCATGGTCTGAATATTTATGTCTACCCAAAACTCACATGTTAAAATCCTAACCCCCAAGGTAATGGTATTAAGTGGGGGCCTCTGGGAGGTGATCACAAAAAGGTAATCCTATCCTCATAGGATTAGTCCTCTATAAAAGAGGCCCATGGGATCTTGTTTGTCACCATGTGAGGACACAACCAGAAGGTGCCTTCTATGAAACAGGAAACAGGTCCTTAGCAGACACCAAATCTGCCTGCATTTTCATCTTAGACTTTCCACCCTCCAGAACTGTAAAATGTTGTTCACAAGCCACCCAGTCTATCACATTTTGATACAGCAACCCAAATTGACTAAGACATAATAGAAAAGTAAATAAAAGAAATAAAAATAATGGTGTATTATTCATACAGTGAAGGACACAGTGGTGTGGAAGGAGAACTACTCTCGATAATGGGAATGTACCTGATTAGAATAGGACTTCTTGGTAATAAAAGATAGTTCAATAAATATGGTATAGTCTTGATTCTAGTAGGGAACATCTTAAAATTATGGAGTAAAAGATGACCTGGAAATAAATTGACTCTATTAAATAACTTTCTATCATGTGATGTAAAACATATATATATTAAGTACTATTAAAATATATAAAAGTTTTTGACTCTATTAAATAACTTTCTATCATGTGATGTAAAGCATATGTATATATATATATTTTTTTCAAGTACTATTAAAATCTATGAAAGTTTTGGCCAAATGTGGTGGCTCATGCCTGTAATCCCAGCATTTTGGTAGGTCAAGGTGGGGGATCACGAGGTCAGGAATTTGAGACCAGACTGGCCAATATGGTGAAACCCTGTCTCTACTAAAAACACAAAATTAGCAAGGTGTGGTGGCGCACGCCTGTAGTCCCAGCTACTCAGGAGGCTGAGGCAAAAGAATCGCTTGAACCCAGGAGGCGGAGGTTGCAGTGAGCTGAGATTGAGCCACTGCACTCCAGCCACGGTGACAGAGCGAGACTCCGTCTCAAAAAACAAACAAACAAAAAACAAAAAACAAAACAAAAAAAAGAACGCTTCCAGCCAAAATTTTATATATTTTAGTAGTACTAGAATATCCCTTATACCTTTTTAAATAAATACTCCTGTTTTTAGAAATGTGGTCAGATAACTCCATTAGCCAGTGAATAAAATTCCCTGAACAAACCTGAAATTCAAAATTTAGATGGTTAAGTAGAATAAGGCATCATTTTGCGTTGACTTTGCAATTACTACGTACATGGAGTTGAAGTTTCTTTTTATTAATGTCTATTTCCACTTCACTAAAATGAAAAAAGAAATGTTGATTTTATTTATGTAGTGTCATGACCTGTTTGGATAAACATTATTGAAATTATTGCCTTGAATTACTGAAAACCTCTTGCAGCCTAGGCACTTTTTTTCCCTCTCTGTTTTTTTTTTTCTCCTGGGTTCCCCATCAAGCTCTTTTGCATTTCATTTAGGTAGTAAACGCAGTTGAGCTGCATCATTTAGTAACTCTTATTTCACCCTCCATAAACTGCTCTTTCTGCCTTCAAGGGTACAATAGCATAGCATTAGTAGTAGGCTTTTTTTTTTTATTATTTTTTTAGAAGATCTAAAATGGCTTAGGTTTGAAAAACTAAGCAAGTTGCCTGCAAATGTATTTTCTAGTCCGTTTATTACATCTGCAATAATAAATTTCCACATTTGGTAATTCTCAGTAATAAAAGATTTGTGTAAGCATATAAGACATTTAGACCAGTGGAAGGACTTTTTTCACATTATATGACTGACATCACTGTAAGTGGTCTAGTATTAATATGCCCCAGGATTTAATGAGCTCCCTAAAAAAACTTGCAAAAGAAATAAATGTGTTTTGATTTATGAAGGTTCATATGGCCATTTTTATTAGCTTTCCAGCCTTGTGGTCAGATGTATTTTATGACAGCAACAAGCATTCACAATAACCTGCCATCTGTAACAGCGGGTTTAGCTTTTCTTTCTTTAGATACATAAACACTACAGTTAATACCCAGCCCTGGCAATGTAGTTGTTTCAAATATGCCTTTAGCCTGGCCCCTAAAGATAACCCATTATAAAATTTGCAAGGAGTATGTTCAATAAAACTGGGCTATATTTTAGTGTTTCTCTGAATTTATATTACAAAAGAAAACAATCTTTGACCTCTGCTTTTTTAAAAAAATGTTTTCTGGGCTTCAGAATAGACTCAGTTCGATTTTGTAGTATCATGAGAAGTATATCAATTTTGTCATTTAATTACTCTTTTTATGAACAATAATATTCTCCTTTGTGTTTTCTTCAGCATACTGCTGCTTGATTATTTTTCGTTGTCCTGGGAAACTGGCAATCTTAAATATTTATTCAGCTAAAATATTTCAAAGTAAAGTGGATACCTAAATTTATACACACACACACACACACACACACACACACACACACACATGCATATATATATATATATACATATATATAATTAATTGGAAAATAGTCAATTTGAATTAATTATTTGGGGGAAGAAATTCTGGATATTTAAACATTTATTTTGAATACATGGCAAACAATAAATCATACTGCTTTTTTGGTATTTCTTGGAAGAAAGGAATTAATGCATGGACATATTAATTTTTGACTCAGACTTTTGAATTGTTTACCTAAACATAAAAAGAAATATGTTTTTTTTTTGTATAAAGAAACAAACTTCTCTTCCCATTTTTGTTGAGGAAAATTTAAGAAAAAGATTCATATTAAAGTTTTTACTACCTCTCAGCTCTAAAAAAATATCTGTGTTCAGGAGTCTATAAAGCTACATGGTATATAAACTATAAAAGTATTCAGGGGATTATTTAGTAATAAATCATTTGAATAGAGTAAAAATTCTAATACTTGTTAATAGATAAAATAACTAAAAATTCAAATTAAAAATGATGGTTTTAGGCTATTTTCTATAACTTAGACGATAATGATAGTGATTGCTAATATATCACATATGAAACATACATTTTCTAATTTAATCTAGTGTCTGAATCCCTGGTGTAAAATTACTGAATTGGAATCAATTTCACTCTCCTCTACCATTCTTTCACCCACTGGAGTCCACTTAGGGAAAGAGAAACTCCCCTAGATATTTTTAATCCAGGGAATTTTCATATATGATTTGGTTATGAATGTGTTGGAAGAGCCAAAGGAGAAAAGGGAAAAAGGAGTTATTACCAAACATCATGAAGCTTCCAATGTTTGGATGGAAACCCGGTGCCCACAGAGACCACTAATTTGCTAGAGAGTCTAGTATAGTTGCTAGTGGAAAAGCATCTGCAATGAGCAGAAAACAGGGGGCCACTCTCCTGCTGAGCCTCCAGACCCCATCACTCATCACGTTCAGTTACAGACACTGGCATCACAAGTAGCAGAAAAATATTTCCCTTCTTTCTCCTTCCATTTGCCTGATAAGCCTCCCATTGACAAGCCCCCTTAGAAAGGCAGCTCAAAGGAATGTGTGGAGAGAGTTTAGTTATTGGTGGTGTGCTATTTTGTTTACTTGTTTAGTTTTGATTTTTGGTGGGTTTACAACTCCAATGAAACAGGAAACAAAAGTAGAGGGAGAATGTAAAGCCGACAGACGAGAGTCACAACTCAGAACAAGTGGTGCTGTGCCTATCACAATGTCGGAAACACGGTCAGAGCATAAAGATCATGTTTAAATAAATACATGAAGGCTAATTGAAGGAGTGACTGGATACATGGATAAATACTGAGGGCTGGGCATGGTGGTGGCTCGTGCTTGTAATCCCAGCTTTGTGAGCCGAACTTTCATGTCCTAAGAAAGTTGTTTACAATGATGACATGACTGAGAACTGTGTCCTCAAGTTCCGCCATACCTCCATTCCTTTGCATCACCTTTTACAGTGTTCTATTGTAAATCAGGCTGCATTGTGACATTTTGGCATACATTTTTCTCTATCTGCAGACCGTGAGCCTTTGTGGGCCTGATAGTCCTTTGCAGGTTGGGCACTGTGGCTGGCTTCAGTGGAGTCTTAGAGTTTATTGAATCAAGCTGCCATTGCTTTTGAGGATCTGTGAGAAAAAAAGAATGGAGAATGGATATTGATGTTTCTCCCTGGCAGGGTCTGCAAGTGTGAACGCCAGGCTTCGTGGCAGGAGCTTTCAAAATGACCCAAGAAAAGATTTCCAAAATGGGATTCATGCTTGAGCATTAAAGCTAGTAATTATTAGCTTACAATGACTGTCTACAGATATGTACTCCATTTGACACTGCTTTTGGAAAAATATAATCTATTCAAGTACTCTGCATGATGATTCGGCAATCAAAATATTAAGATCCTGTGATAAAAGATTCATAATCAAGTGTTCAAAAATAATTTCATGAAGACAGTGTCCTTTTATATTTCCAAGTAATGGAAATATTTACCTTTGTATTCAGCCATATGTTTTATTCACAAATAAATTACATATGTATAAATCACAAGGATTTTAGTTTCATAGCTCAGTGTAAACTGGAAAACAAACAATATTCATAAAGAAAAACCAGTACATGCACAAGAAGTTCTTATCTCCAACTATAATTCTGTAACTAATGACTGTTCTAACATTAGCCCTTGGCATTTAAATAGCATTCAAATGGGGAAACAATATAGAGAATGATGGAATTCAGAAATCGGTTTTTGCTTTGGGACATGAAAAATTGCTATTAAAGACCAGTAATAATATTAGCTTAATAGTACCCCTCTGTTTTAATTTAAGTAAATGTTGTATTGACATACAGTACTCACAGAAAAACTTCTATCAATTGTACCCAGGAGGCACCATGATTTTTCACCAAATTGATACTTCCATGCAGCCAGCACCTGAATCAAGAAATGGAACTTTTTCTGCATCCCCTGAGGATCACTCATGGCTTTGGCTGTTTTCCATTTACTATCTACACCACAAAGTAAACACCATCCTGATTTGTAACATAATAGATGCATTGTTCCTTTTTTTTTTTTTTTTTTCTTGAGACAAGAGTCTCACTCTGTCACCCAGGCTGGAGTGCAATGGCGCGATCTTGGCTCACTGTAACCTCTGCCTCCTGGGTTCAAGCGATTCTCCTGCCTCAGCTTCCTGAGTAGCTGGGATTACAGATGCGCACCACCATGCCTAGCTAAGTTTTGTATTTTTAGTAGAGACGGGGTTTCATCATGTTGGTTAGGCTGGTCTCGAACTCCTGACCTCTTGATCCTCCCACCTCGGCCACCCAAAATGCTGGGATTACAGGAGTGAGCCACCGTGCCCAGCCAATAGATGCGTTTTTACAATTTTTAGTTTATATAAATGGAACCACACAGTGTCTAGCTTGCTTTGTTCAAAGTTTGTGAAAACCATCGATTCTGTTACATGTAAGTGTAGCTAGTTTGTTATTGCTGAATACTATTCCATTTAAGAATATCCTACTATTTAATCATTCCACCATTGATGAATATCAGGGTGTTTTTCCTTTTCTTTCTTTTTTTTCTGTTAAAATGTTCAAAAATTACATGTAATGTTTGCACAACTTTGTGAACATACTAAAAAATGCTTAATTGTACACTCAATGGGTAAACTATGGGATCTGAATATATTTAACTGTTAAAAAATAGTAGTTGTATCAAATGGTATTTCTAGTTCTAGATCCCTGAGGAATCGCCACACTGACTTCCACAATGGTTGAACTAGTTTACAGTCCCACCAACAGTGTAAAGGTGTTCCTGTTTCTCCACATCCTCTCCAGCACCTGTTGTTTCCTGACTTTTTAATGATTGCCATTCTAACTGGTGTGAGATGATATCTCATAGTGGTTTTGATTTGCATTTCTCTGATGGCCAGTGATGATGAGCATTTCTTCATGTGTTTTTTGGCTGCATAAATGTCTTCTTTTGAGAAGTGTCTGTTCATGTCCTTCGCCCACTTTTTGATGGGGTTGTTTGTTTTTTTCTTGTAAATTTGTTTGAGTTCATTGTAGATTCTGGATATTAGCCCTTTGTCAGATGAGTAGGTTGCGAAAATTTTCTCCCATGTTGTAGGTTGCCTGTTCACTCTGATGGTAGTTTCTACCATTTGACCCAGCCATCCCATTACTGGGTATATACCCAAAGGACTATAAATCATGCTGCTATAAAGACACATGCACACGTATGTTTATTGCGGCACTATTCACAATAGCAAAGACTTGGAACCAACCCAAATGTCCAACAATGATAGACTGGATTAAGAAAATGTGGCACATATACACCATGGAATACTATGCAGCCATAAAAAATGATGAGTTCATATCCTTTGTAGGGACATGGATGAAATTGGAAACCATCATTCTCAGTAAACTATCGCAAGAACAAAAAACCAAACACCGCATATTCTCACTCATAGGTGGGAATTGAACAATGAGATCACATGGACACAGGAAGGGGAATATCACACTCTGGGGACTGTGGTGGGGTCGGGGGAGGGGGGAGGGATAGCATTGGGAGATATACCTAATGCTAGATGACACATTAGTGGGTGCAGCGCACCAGCATGGCACATGTATACATATGTAACTAACCTGCACAATGTGCACATGTACCCTAAAACTTAGAGTATAATAAAAAAAAAAAAAAATAGTAGTTGTAAAGATTTTAATCCACATCCCTTGTTTCATTTAGGTGGGGGTGTATACTCAAGAATAGAATTGAAGCCTGTCAGATATGTATAGGTCCAAATTGTTTTTTAAAATGGATATGCCTACTTAGCTATGCACCAGCAGTGTAAGAGCTCTACCTGTTCATATGTTCATTGATAAACCATATTTACTGACTTTTCCATTTTAGACATTCTGGTGTGTGTTTTGATAGAATTTCATTTTGGTTTTAATTTGCATTTTCAAACACATAATTAATATGGGTTCATTTTCATTGTCATATGGTTATATTCTTTGAAGTATCTCAAGTGGAAATGATTTCAATAATTATATATTATGTGTGACTATTTAATTCATATTTTTTCTTTTTTAGATACCTTTTTATTACATTAAGAAAGCTCCCTGAAATGACTACTTTGTTAATAGCAGTATTTCTGTTAAGAAAATAGGATTTTTTCATTCTTCATATGAATGTGATGAATTACATTAATTGCTATTCAAATAGTTAAAACACCTGTCCATTATGGCAATATATGCTCCAATTCCTTATGGTAAATTACTGATTTTCTTTATCACTAGACTTGATTTATTAATATTTCATTCAAAGTTTTAACATCTATATCCATGAGTAGGTTGGATGTACAGATGGTTGTCACCATTGTTGTATGTTCTTTGTTAGGATTTGATATTCAGTTTAAAATTGTGACGTAAAATTAGGAAATAGTTCCCTCTGTTTCTATTCTCTGCAAGAATTTGTAAAAATTGGTGATACTGCTTTTTAAAATATTTAGTAGAATCCATTGACAAAGTTGTTTGGGCTTCAAATTTTCATGGTAAGAAAGTTTTTAATAAGATTTAATTTCATTAGCAGATAACAAATTACTCAGAATTCTATTTGTTTCTTTGTTAATTTATGTTTTTCAGGAAATTTGTCCATTTCATCTGCACTTTCAAAATATTGGTTCAAAGTTGATATTTTCTTAGTATCTATAGTGATGCTGTGTTTTTTGGGTAATCTTTCTATTTTGGATTTGAACAATATTGGTAAGGTTTACCAATTTAATATATGTTTTTAAACTGTACTGGACTTTTTGTTCTGTATTGTATGCTTTTTATTTTTTTTTATGCTTTTTATTATTTTGTTTTTACTGTTTGAAAGTTGTTCTCTTTTTTCCTTTGTAGCATCTTGAAATTAAATCTTAGATCACTGCTTTGAAGACTTTCTATCTTTGTCTACGAATTTCTCTCAAGAGATCTTTAAGGCTTTATTCAACTCCCCAACTCCAAAGCGATTCTTTAGCTACATTTAATGGGTTTCAATATATCATATTTTCATTATCAGTCAGGACAAAATATCTTCTAATTTTATTTGTGACTCTTTTACAATTTTGTCCTATTATTTAGAATAAGTTGCTGCATTTCCAAGCTGTTGGTGATTTTCTTTCTTTTTTAAAATTGATTTTTCTCACTGATGCCAAATAGTGTTCACTGAATGATTTCAATCCTTTGTAATTTGTTAAGACTTGCTTTATACACCAACAAATGGCCAACTGTGGAAAATGTCATGCATGTTCTTGAAAATATGGACACTCACTTTTTAAAGTTATTCTGATAATCACATAAATTAATTACATTTGGTTCTACATTTGTCAAGTTATTAGTTTCATACTATTATTTCTTTCTGTTTTTTGTTTGTTTGTTTGTTTTTGAGACGGAGCCTCGCTCTGTCACCAGCTGGAGAGCAGTGGTGTGGTCTCGGCTCACTGCAACCTTCACCTCCCGGGTTCAAGCGATTCTCCTTTCCCAGCCTCCCGAGTAGCTGGGATTACAGGCACATGCCACCATGCCCGGCTAATTTTCATATTTTTAGCAGAGATGGGTTTCACCATGTTGGCCAGGATGGTCTCAATCTCTGGACTTCGTTATCTTCCTGCCTTGGCCTCCCGAAGTGCTAGGGTTACAGGTGTGAGCCACCAGGCCTGGCCTCATATTATTATTTCTTATTTCTTATTTTATTTATTTTATCTATGTTTCTCGTGATCTTTTTAATAATTGTTTCATTTTTTCTGTTTTCTGATATATTAATTAAACGTGTATAAACACATTTACTATTCTTTAAGTAATTATGAAATATATTATTGATTTCTTTAGCCTAGTCTTTCAGGGATGGACTATATTTTTATTTGTATCCACATTAAATTACTCTATACATCTGGTAGCTTAGCTTAGAACTGTTTCAAATTTTTAAATGCTAGCTCACAAAGTTTATTATCTGAATCTTGTAGAGTTTATTCAAATTGACTACTACCCCATTTAATTTCTTACTTTAGAATTTTTTTGTTATTCTTGTTTATTTTAAATAAAAATTTTGTAAATAGTATAAAGTCAGTTACAAATAATAGGAAACTATCCTTACTGCTTTAATCTGAAAGGTTAGTGATGGTGAGAGATGGGTCACAGAAACTGATAAATTTCTAGGCAGTTCATCTCTGATGGTCTCCTCTCTGTTATCTTTTTGAGTCAGGTTAATTTCTCAGCTGCTTTCTGCAGACTCACATACTCACTGGCATGCTGTGGCCAGAGTATATTGCAATGAAAATGAACAAACATGGCCCAAAGTCCTTATGACATTTCAGGTCCAGTGCTCACCACCAGCTCATGAAATTGATGTTAGTAACCTTTGGTTGAGTCTCTGCTTGGCTCCAGTGGCTCCTCAGTTCATTTTTGATATAATCAGCTATGACAGGAGGCCATATTCACCAGGTACATGCAGGATTATCAGGACTTTGCAGAAGGGGTGAGTGATATTTCAGGATCTTGTAAGATATTGTGGAGAAGCAGTTAATGAGGACATTATATTTGTTTGTTAAACTTTATGTTAAGATAGGATTATTTTCATACTATATAAAGGGTTTAGAATCTCTCACTTTGGGCTGTCATATGTTTACATTTATATATTTCAATATTATCAAACCTGTAAATTTGATACTAAAATTGTCATTAGTAATAAAATATCATTTAATAGAATGTAATTTATTATGCTCACCAAAAAAGATTTTACTATCTACATAAATGAGGCTAAATATTAAAAACAATTGAACTCCTGGAGGAAGAGAGTAGGATGGTTACCAGAGGCTGAGAAAGGGTAGTGGGCGGATGTGGGGGAAGTGGGGATAGTGAATGGGTGAAAAATAATTGTTAGAACAAATAAGATCTAGTATTTGCTAGCACAACAGGATGACTATAGTCAATAATAACTTAATTGTATGTTTTAAAATAGGAGTATAATTGGATTGTTTGTGACACAAAGATAAACGCTTGAAATAGTGGATACCCCATTTACCCTGATGTGATTATTTATTACACATTGTATGCCTATATAAAAATATCTCCTATACCCATTAATATATACACCTAATATGTGCCCACAAAAATTTAAAAACAAAAAAGAAGTGTAAGATATATGAAAATGAATTCCCGGAATCATTTCAATACCTGTTTGACTATGTTTCTTCTTTGAGGGCATTCACTTTAGTATCTTATGTCTTGCTATTAATGTCATCCTATTCAGGGACTAGAAACATTTATTTGATTTAATATAAATTGTTATATGTGTAATATCCACCTATGAATAATAAGGATTAATAACATCACATTTATTAGATACTTATTCTTCTTTGGAACAGTAAGATTTATGTGAGAAATGACTGCATTTAGAGACATCTGAAATTTCTTACTTTCGTTCTAAATTAAACACACCTTGGACAGTCTATAACCTACAATATTCTAGGACAGACAGGTAGCTGCTAATCTATACATTCAGTCCATAAATCTAGACTTTGTTTATTCCTAATTTTAATCAGAAGAACATTTCAAAGAAGATAAATAATAAATAACATTACTATGATAATGTTTACTGATAGAACCTATTGTGTTAAACTAAATTATCATATGTGGTCATTCTTTAAAATAGATAATTTAATTCTCCTTGTACCCAATTGTAATTTCTAAGTGGCTGTCCCTTGCTTCTGACATTGGAAGATTCATCAGGTGAGTAAATTTTAATAAACATGATTAACAGTTTTTCACAACTGCTTCTGATTAGGCTTATTTATATAAGCATATAAGCATCTAGGTTGAGTTTTGTGTTAAGTACAAGTACTGGTCCCAAGCAAAAAAGTAAAGTAGGCAGAGTTTATTTACAGTATTTTACCACCTTACTTCGTAGATTCTTATGTACTTTTTTAAAATTTCTAACTTAAAAAGCTCAGTTCTCATTTACTTTTCTTTTCCTGGACTCTCTCTGTAAGTTAGCTTCAGGGTCAGTATAGGGTTAGATAGCACAGATATAATCTTAGTTTTTACCTGGAGATAATTATTTAACTATTCTAAACTCAGGTTCCACAACTATGTAACCCTGGAAAAAGTATTTCAGCTCTCTACTACCTTTTAGAAAATGGGCATTATAATAGTTTAAAAAAACAAGTTTATAATGGGGATTGAATGAGATAATGTGTATTAAGTTTTTAACATTGTTGCCTGCAATGAAATAATTATTCAATGAATGTCTATTGCTGTAACATTGTGGTGAGTAAACCACTCTAACAAATAGCCTCAAGTATGTAGCTGCTCAAACACAAAATAAATGTATTCTCTCAAATAACAGTTCCGACTGGATGTTACAGTTTTAAAAAGGGGGCTTCGCTACTTGCGGTTGATCACTAAATGAAGCAAATCAGCCTTTCTCCTTTTTTCCCTACTATCTGAATTCTACACCTTTTCCTCCTTCGTCCTTTGATGATGATGGTTGTGATGATGATGATGATCATGATGATGATGGTGAATATGATGATGATGATGCCTCTTTGGAGGCATGTTATCTTTGGAGTTTGCCTTCCAGAATTCCATCTTCCTTGGAGCACTACTAATCTGATAATCCTGTCAAACTAAATTAGGCTTGCTTCATGATAGTGCTATGTCATTTGTTTCAGTTTTCATTTTTAAAATGAAGCCCAATTATTATGACATAAATGAGTAACAGATATGGCTGAACATCAACTGGGAAGCGCCAGCCGGAGAGACACTTAGAGAAGAAAGATGCTACCCAGTCATATGGTATAAGCAGCTCCCTATCTGCGTGGCTCTATTTTAGTTCCACTTCTCCAGGACAGCTATGCAACTGTTTAGTCATTCTTCTCTATTTTTTTTAGATGATCATACTTTTAGGTTGGTGCAAAAGCAATTGCAATTTTTGCCATGATTTGCAAGTTTTATTATACAATGGAGTGGAGATTTAAAGCAAATTTTAATGTGTTAATAAAGCTGTCAAAAGAATAGTCAGTAATTTATTCATTAGTCATTAATTTAGTTATTATTTATCTGAAAAAATAAAAATAGAACCTCTGCAAGTTTCGCACTACCAAATCTGTTAAGCTACTGCACATTTACCCACATATTCTGACTTCTCCATGTGACAATGGATGAGTGCATTGTATTCCGACCTCAGACCTTTTCCACACTGGAATCTGCCCCCCTCCTGAGGGACAGATGTGCTCAACTGCTCCTGAATCCCTTTTGTGCATGTGTCTTTGTAACATGAGATGGGAGGAGGGCTCTTTAGAGCACAGAGCTCAGAGCAAGGACCCTCTTGCCTATATTTAAGGGAGGTACTGCCTGCATAATTATATTGTTTTCTCTTTACTGAATCGGTTCCACCAGCTTAGAAACTTGCTGTAATTAATTTCATCTTAACCCACAGAAAAACCAACTCTTCCTTTTCACCTAACTTCTAAGATATGTTCTTCTTTGAATTTCCTCCTTCCTTAGAGGCTGATCCTTCTCAGCCTCTTTAGCTGCTTGCTAGACATATTCTGGCCCATTCTTTCATTTCAATCTATGTGCGGTAGTGGTTTTTTCTGTCTTTCTGGAAAGGCCCACATAGCTCTTGATAACACAAACAAGGGATGCACATCCTCTCCGTGCATGCGGCAAATGATCACTGAATCATTGGCTAGATCCCTGGTGCTCAAATATGAACCATCTCAAGATATTCTTAACTTTACTGATACCTGGATATGTTCCTCCGAAATTATACTACATCAGGGGTGCTACTCAGCTGCTGCCAAAGATCCACAGATGATACTAATTTATAGCAAATTCACAGGGTTGAGAACCAGTGAATTCATTGTGAGATTTATACTCATAGCCAGTTTTAGATATGATTGGTTAAATAAGTTATGATGTTCTGAAAAGACTGTTCCTTAAAAAGAAAAACAAACAAAAAACATTAAAACAGCAACAAAATACCTCACTATCCTACCAATTGGCTGACCCTCAAAATTTCTGTCATTAGTTGAAGGGAAGCCACCCTGAAGCTTCCTCATTTAAACAATCAGCAACAACTGCATTTTTTTTTGTTTTACAAATTTACAAATTCTCGAAGAAATAATTTGGTCTAATATAGGTCAGATATTCATCCCTATTCAATCAGCTACGAGTAGAAAATTGAACTCACAAACCAAAACAGGCTCTTGTGTGCAACTGTCTTAAGAAAACATTTATAATAAGTAGGCTTAATGGAATCATCAAACACAAAATTTTAAAGGAACTGATTTCAGTTGGTTTATTACTTTAATGTACAGAAGAAAAATGTATTTGTTTTGCTCTGTGTGGATTTTGTTTACCTATATTTAAACTTTGTATATGGTTTCACAGAAATTCCCTGATGGCATTCACTATTTTCAAATTAAAAACTTTGGAAATAGTCATATTTCCTTAGATTGAAAGCCTATTACTCATTAATGAACTTAATCCACTGCAATGTATAGTCACGTCGAAATAATTTATGATTCTAGAGTTTACAAATTTATACTTTAGGTATAAGGTCTATCACAGTGTGTAGCATGAAAATAACATTTCATAAATGTTATTTCTCTTTGATCAAAGTTACACAATGACCAATTCTTTAGGGCTACATTAAATCCTAAAGGTCCTGCTATTTCAGGACTCATTCAAATACATTTTAGTATGTTCTCTTTCTTATGTATTATTTACACAAGATAAAATTGAAGAAGTAGCAAATCAAATTCTAAATAAAGTTGTTTCAGAAGTACAATGTGTACAGAATAATACTGTGTCAGCAATGTTTTCTTAGGCCATTGTTTCTTAATGAGAGAATAGAAAATATGAAAAGAAAATTTCAAAGAGCTGTTCTGTTTTAGAAACCATGCCATTGGCTCCCTTATTAAATGACAGCTTGAGTATTTGAAAGCTAACCAATGTTTGTTTTCAGGAATGTGAGTTGACAGGAAAAATGCATATCACAAATATGGCTTGTATGATATTTTCTCTTTTACCTAGAATAAAATTGGATAAAATAAGCCACATAGAAGTTTTTATATTTCTGACAATGAACCATACCCATGTTTCTTAGAGAGAAAAACTATCTATTCCTTTGTCCAAAGGCAGAAAAATCTCACATTGAGACAGCTTATCCAAATTCCCTGTCACACTATTAGAATGGAATTAAAGTACTAAAACTTGAATAGAATTGGATGACTAGATGCTTAAGTGAATTGTTCTTTCTTAAGCAGCCTCATTTTAGCTCCCAACCAGTGCATATAAATCGAAGTCATTTAAATAAATATTTTAAATTATAATGTCCCCACAGTAATCTTTAAAAACTTAATAGAGTTTTTTAAGTTGGGAAACGTAAAACTAACAGGAAAGTCATGTTAATGCATTTACTATCTATATACTGTTTATTCTGTCAGGCAATATTTATATGAGAGTTAAAAGTATTTCAGGGTAAAAGAGGACAGTATATACCATACAAGTGGCAAAGAGTCACAAATATTTTAATTCTAAATTAATTTTATGATGTTAAACAGAATTTTTAAAAATAGCACTGAAAAAAATTTCTAAATTATTTGCATGTGAAGTCCTCATTTAAATCATTTAATCACCATCTCTGTTGGTAAGTGATATTAAAGGGAAATATGTTTATAATAAAAGTTATTTGACCAGAACATCAAGAGATTTTCATTGACTTTAAAAATATCTATTTTCGGAAACAGGTAATGTGGCTACAATGAAAATTGTCTACAGGAGTAATGGGCAGTTTTGGCATTTTCTGGAACAGTTAATATTTTCAAGTATAACCATATATTCTAGACCAAAACCTCATTTCAGAAAGATACAATGTTTACAGGCAAATTTATTGAAAATAAAAGTATTGAAAAAAAGAAAATGCTCACATGATCTTAAGCAACTGGATAGAATTTGATGGGAAAAAAAGACAATGGAATGAAATATAAACTAAAAATGTAAACAAATACAAAGAGCTCTAATCTTATCTTCAGTGTAGGTTGTTTCACTAATAATAGGTCAGCAAAATGTCTTTATTTGGGAATGAAATAAAATATATGTTTCATATTTTGGAGATATTTTATTGCACCAATGGAAACAATTTCCAGTGTCAGTTAAAGAGTATTTCTTGTACTTTTATGCTCAAGATACAAAATGGAGGTTGAACATGATTTAATATTGTCATAAATTATAAAAATCAAACTCTATAATTTAAATTTCTTTTATTCTAGCAACCCTAACAAGAGAAAATTGATTTGTGCAGCATGTGACTAAGCTGATCTCATTTCTCTGCATTTAATCCATTCTGCCAATCTATCATCTTTTAAGTGGGACATTTTATCCATTTACATTTAAGGTTAATTTGATCTGTTGAGGTTTTGTTCTTTATTAAAAATTTTTTTCTGATGGGATTATTTAAAAAGACCCATCTTCAAGTTCTGAGGTTCTTTCTTCTGATTCATCCAGTCAATTATTGAAGCTTTCTCATGTATTTTACAATTTCTTCAATGAATTTTTCATTTCTATAATTTCTATGCGTGTGTTTTTTTTTCTTTTTCTTTTTAAAAATGTATCTGTCTGGTAAATTTCCCATTCATATTCTGAGTTCATTTTCTGATTTTTCTTATACTGGTTTTCGGATTTCTCTTGCATCTCATTTAACTTCTTCAAAATCAATATTTTGAATTGTTTGACTGGCATTTGGAGGATTCCTTTTTGGTTAGGAACTATTGCTGGAGAATTATTGTGTTCCTTTGAGGGTGTCATTTTACTTGCTTTTTCATGCTTCCTGTATCTTGCATAGATTTCTGTATATCTTGAGCAATAATCACTTCTTATTTTTTAATTTACCTTTGTTGATAGGTGTGGAATCTTTTTGTTGAATACATGACTGTGATGTTGGTTTTGAGGGGCTGTGTGGCTTTGCATCTGATTGCACTCAGTGGTGCAGAATCTGTATGATTTCCTTGGCTATAAACAGCCTTAGTGATATCCGTGGCTTCCTTGGTGTATTAGGGTACAGTTATTGGTGGAGAGGTGTGGTGAAGTCATGCTGGGGACTGAAATGCCTGATGGCTTCTGCAGGTTTCAGTGGTAGCAGTGGTGGACTAAGCATGTCTATCCTTGTGACCTGGGGCAGCATATGCTAGTACCTGTACTGACATTTCCAGGCAGGCGAGTTCCTAGGCTTTTGGGTATCTTTCTCAGATGCTGGATATAGTAGTGATGTATTGGGTGGGTGAGCAGGCCCTTGATTTCTTGGGCAGCTGGGGTGGTGTGACTGATGGTGGTAGCTGTGGTAGTGAGATGCACTCTTGGTTCCCAAGTGCTGTGCTCTTACGTTGGGAGTGGTTGCAATGAGCTGTGTGGGCTGGCTTCCTGAGCAGTATGTAGCACTTGCAGGTAGAATCCAGATGAGGTGGTAGCATCAGGTAGCATGAGGAGGTTTATGTCTGGTGCTTGGAGAAATGCTTAGGTGCTTCAGGCAGTTGACTGGGCTGTGGCACTCCCAGGAGCCTGGATCCCACACTATAATTATATTTTAATTGCATAACTTGAATTTTATTGATCTAGCCTCCTACTTTTCCATGAGCATGGATCCTGTATTCCAGGTATAGTACTTGTATCTCCTGAATATTTCACACTATATGTACCTTCATGTCTTTGAGAAATCACAAAAACATTCATTATCATTTTTTTCTACTTCGCAAACACCATTTCATTCTTTGAACCTGTACCCAGTATTACTGTCTTTATTGAGCCTCTTTTAATCTATTCAAGCAAAACTGATCTCTTCTCCATTCCTTCAATGGTATGGCTTTACTTAGTCTCTATGACATTACAGTGCTCCAACTATGTTATATTTTCATTTGTTTTCATGATTTTAACTTCCAAAGAGCCAGTTTTTAATTTTTGAAATAGCATCCTTTCCTCAGGTACAAGAATTGTCTTATGTACTGGAAGATTATAATGACAACATTTGAATTTTTATTTTTCTCATATTTCCTCCGCATATTTTTTCCTGTGGTTTACTATAATACATGGCTGTCATGTTAAATATTTTCTCAAATTTTGAGTCACTCATATTTAGGAGTGAGTCCCTTGGAATGCTGACTGGAAAGTTGGATGCATGAGTAAGATTTGTTTAACAGTTTCTCTGTAAGACCCCCAGTCATTTTGCTACAGAAACCTCAGTGATCACTCGAGAGGGGACTGTTTTCTTCAGTAAAGTATTATCCAGTTTTCAGTGTGATCACTGTGCAAGGAAATGAGTCTGAGACTTTAAACACTCAAATTGTAATTTTTCCTTAATCTCTATATTAAGCCTGCAGCCTCAAAATTGAGAGCCTTCCTGGCCAATTCATGCAAAGAACAATTTTTCCATTGGTCAGTGCAGGGAGGAGTAGACTTCCCATCTGACTGTACTTATGTGTAGGGAGGACTGGGGAGAAGTAGGAGAGGATAGACTTTGGAGAAACCAAATTGGGTTGGGTGGCAGGAGGATGAGGGATGAAATACTACCTATTGGGTACAATATATGCTATTTGGGTGATGGGTACACTAAAAGCCCAGACTTCACTTTTCTACAATATATCCTTGTAACACAATTGCACTTGTACCCCTAAATCTATAAAAAAATTGAAAAGGAATCGGGAGATAGAAATGCTCCAGACTCAGACTTTCAACCAATATTCCCTTGTTTTAACTCTGTTTATCACTCTACACTCCAACTTTCCAATTTTTCAAAGGTGACTAGCACTGTGAACTCTTATGCCTTTCTAGGCATTGGATATGAACATCTATTTGTTTCTGGCATCCTTTATTGAGGATACTGTTCAGTTTTACCCATTATATAATTACCATTTTTTCCAACATATTTTATTTTTTTATTAAAGTGTTCGCCCTTGTGAACATTATTTTCATTTATTAGAATATATTTAATGGTGTTTCCCAAAGGAGATAAGATAAACACATGTGTTCACGTTGCTGTGTTTTAGCTAAAAATCATTTAATTCAAATTCAACTAGCTTTTTATTTATTTTCCATTGTTTAGTTTGTTTCATGGCATTGGTGGTAGTGAACATAATCATAATCCCAAAATATTTTACTTTGAGATTGGCTTGTCATTGACTTTGTGATGAAATAATATAGTAAAACCCAGTTATTATGCTAATATGAGAAAATGGAAAAATACCCAGAGTTGTCTGTTTAGTAATTATTTTTCAAAAAGTGCATGGTTTAAACAATTAATTTAATCTTAACTGAAGCCCCAAATAAATGCAATGATATTGTTTAAATAGCTTGTATTATGTAAATGTTGGTATTTAATTTTGTTGATATTCAACTCCACTCTATGAAAACCTGGAAGGTAGGGGCTACAGCTAAGGACCTCAAGGTATGCATTAGTGTTAAGAAGAATGAAATGTATTAGTACAACATGTAGCTCATTCTTCTTTTAATTTGTTTTTTCTAACTAACCAAGTATGTTTTCCCAAGGAACAAAGTGTGCTCATAATTGTCAAACGCTTCTTTGCACCGGTTTACTTTGATTCTCCTGAATAGCATGGTATGGAGGAAATTTGGGCATCAAGGATTCTGGTTCTGACATTGTCACTAAGAAACCTATCACTTCAAAAAAATTACTAATTTCTTTAAAGTTGTTATTTTGTAATGGAGGAAAGATGATCACTCCTTGCAGCCTTCATTGAGGAGAATGAATAAAATATACTTGAACCTTCAGTTTTAAGTAAAAAAATAAGGCTTTCTAATAACTTAGGAATGTAAAATTTTGGAAACTTATTTCAAAGGTTTAAATAAATTTCTGACAGACTTTTTCATCCTTGATGGCAATTTGTTTTTGGGAAAACTAGTTATGTCTCTTAGTTAAATAAAAGTAAAGCTATGGCATACGAGTTTTTTTGTAACTCCGTGAATACGAAAGTTTTTTTTATTTTGAGGAGGGAACACATGCACTGAGGCTTCAGTGGGCAGAGGATAAGGAAGTGAAGAGAATGGCAGAACACCTGTCCTACGTGATTTGAACTCATATCCATTTCCGTCTTGCTATCTCCATAAGCGCGTCCCGTATACATCTCAATATTAACATGACTGCAGTTGAATTCCTGATACCACTTTCATACTAATACCTTGTTAATGTATTATTAGTTAATGACATTAATGTATTATTAGTTAATGGCAACTCCAATCCTTTATTTGCTTAGAGGGGAAAAATTTGAAATCATTCTTGAGTTTTAACTTTTTTTTTTACAAACCGCATATCCAACCATTTGAACAATCTTGCTGATTTTAGTTTTAACAGATACCCAAAATCGGACCACATTTCACCTCCTGCACTGCTCTTGCCTATTTGCAAACTACTGTCTTCTTTTACTTTCATTTGTGCAATTGCCTGCTAGCTTCTGCTGTTTCTACCTTGTCTCCTACAGTGTATTTCAAAATAGGAGCTGTCATGATCATTAAAAAAAAAAGTACAGAGACTATAGAGTAGATTCTTTTTTCTCTGTTCCTCCCCAGTAGTCCAATTAGAACCCTGGAAATAACACAGAAGCATCCAAAGATTAAAACTGAAAGGGTGAAAGCTAAAGGGAATCGAATTAGGAACTCCAGGACTGGAAGAGCAGCATAACTACAGGGCATCCTATGACCTTACCTTATGTGTCTTACGCTTTTTCCCAACATGGAAGGTAACCAGGGTTCAACATCTGCAGACTTCCTCCACAACTTAGCAAAAGAAGGCAGCCTAGGTGGGCTCATTTCTCCCCAGGATCAAACAGAAGTCCTCCCAACAACATCAGGGAAACATTGCAGCCCTGTGGATAAGCACTCTCTTCAACTGAGTTTAAAACTCCCCTTCCATGCTGAGAGACACCAGGCAGCTGCGATTTACCAGCAAGGGAGAGGCTTCCAGGGAACAAGCATCTGGCCAGGGAAGTCTCTCTGCAAGGGTCAGCTGGAAGCTCGCTTCCCCGACTGGAGACATCAGAGTGACTGCTGATGGGTATGAAGTTTCTTTGGGGGTGGAAAAATGATCTAAAATTAGCTTGTGGTGATGGTTGCACAACTCTGCGAAGATACAAAAAGCCACTGAATTGCTACTGTAAATGAATGAAGCTTAGCGTATGTGAATTATAGCTCAATAAACCTGTTTAAAAAAACACAATGACATATTAGCCTATCAAAATGGGTAAAAAACCAGTGATAACACCAAATGCTGCTGATAAACTGTGACTCATAAATTGACAGTGGGGATATAAAATGGTATAGCCACTCTGAAAACAGCTTGGCAGTTCCTTATAAAATTAAACATGCCTTTAACCATATAGTCAGACAATTGGACTCTTGGGCCTTATTCCAAAGAAATTAAAATTCATGTTCACACACATGTCTGTAAATGAATGTTCATAGCAGCTTTGCTCATATAGTCCCAAACTAGAAACCACCCAGATGTGCTGCAATGGGTGAAGGATTAAACAAACTGAGGTGCGTCCACATAACAGAATATTATTCATCAATACAAAGGAACGAACTACTGATACATGTAACAACTTGGATGGATTTCAAGAAAATTATGCTGAGTAAAAAAAATCCAGCCTGAAAAATTTACATTCTGTAAGATTCCATGTAAACAATAGTTTTGAGTTGACAAAATGATATAAATGGAAAACAAATTAGTGGTTGCTGGGGTTGGGGAGAGGAATGGGTGAGGCATAATGAAGATTGGTGTTCTTATAAAGGGATAGTACAAGGAATCCTTGGGGTGATGAAACTGTTCTATATCTTGGTTGTGATGCTGAATACCCAAACCTAAACATGTAATAACATTACACAGAATGACACACAGCAATACACTCACATGAATAAGTGCAATGAAACTAGGAAAATAGAATAAGATCTGTGATTTTATGTGAGATATTATCCTGGTCATGATACTATACCATAGCTTTGCAGGACGTTAATATTAGAAGAACTGGAAAAGGGAATACCAGATCTCTCTGTACTGTTTCCTACAACTGCATGCTTATCTATTATTATCTGAAAAATACAAAGTTTAATCTTAAAAAATAAGTCAAATCTAAGTTATTTTTTTGGCTGAAAAAGCCCTAAATGGTTTCCCATTTCACTTAGAATAAACAGCCATATCCTTGCAATGACCTAACAGAGCCCTCTATGGTCTGGCTCTATCTTCGCTCATGTTCTACTAATCACCTTCTTGTTTACACAAGTGCAATGACTGTGGGCTCCTTGCTATTGCTCAAACAAATTAAATTTGCACAGCCTGTTATCTCTGATTGAAATGCTTTTCTTCCATATATTCACATAACTGTTTTCTAATTGAAGCCTTTAATCAAATCTCACTATTCAATATGAACTATGCAAAATCATAATATTGAAATTACAACCTCCCCACTCCTTGTGTATAGGGCTTGCCTGTGGGATTCTCTTGCCACCCTCATCCCCCTTACTCATCCATTGCCATGGCAACCAACCATGTGCAGCTGTACACTAACAGCACTGCCCATCTGAACCTTTTTACTCTGGTGGTTGTTCTCCACTTCCTCATAAGATGCCAGCAGATCCCAACTCAACTGCACATGTGCAAGTTTGAATGTGCAGGACATTACATCTCATGGACCACCCCTTGCAATGTGTGATGGAAGACAGTGGATGAGAATTTCCTTTCTCCATCCCGTATATGGACATAACTATTGAGAGGGCACCTGTCAGATAGGGTTGGATTTCTTTTCTTCAAGGTCTTACCCTTCCCATTCCTTGGACACACTTGCCAAAATAAATGACTGCATGAAATCACTTAAACTGGTTATCCTTTCTTAGGTAAAAATGGCTAAGAAGTCCTAGATCTCTCAATCCTCATCCAGGCCTAACTGTTTTTTCCATTTTGCTTTTCATATTCTAATACTAGATATGATTGACTGGCTTTTCATTTCAACCTCTATCTGCTTTTCTCTGCTAGAATGCAAGTTCCATGAGAGTAGAGATTTTTGTTTTGTTCATCAGTATATCCTAAGTATTTACAAAAGTGCCTGACATTGGCTGGGCGCAGTGGCTCACGCCTGTAATCCTAGCACTTTGGGAGGCCAAGGTGGGCAGATCACAAAGTCAGGAGTTCAGGACCAGCCTGGCCAACATGGTGAAAACCCATCTGAAATAAAAATACAAAAATTAGCTGGGCACGGTGGTGCGTGCCTGCAGTCCCAGTTACTTGGGAGGCTGAAGCAGGAGAATTGTTTGAACCCAGGAGGCGGAGGTTGCAGTGAGTCCAGATTGCACCACTGCACTCCAGCCTGGGCAACAGGACAAGACTCCGTCTCCGAAAAAAAAAATACCTGACATCACGTGAATTTTACTTGTATTTGTTCAACAGAGTAACTAGATTTGAGCCTCTCATTTCTAAAGGAAGAGGACAGGTTTTTGATGAACATCCTTAAAAAATCTGACATGACTCTATGAATAAACAGCTACATCGAGGCTATAATTATTAGGGGAGATACAGAATCGGGAAGAAGTCACGCACTGATGATGTTCTCCTGCAGGTCTTCTCTGGCACCATTGTTAGAACACCTGGAGACAACACATTTTATATGGATATTGGCATTCTCCAAATAGATGCGGGAACACATGGCCTCAAAGGGAGTCAGCAAAAGAAAATCGTGAAAAACTGGAAGTTGGCACAAGACAAGGGCAACAGAGATAATGGGATGTAATTGAGAGAGATGAAATCTAGTAAACAACCAGCATAGTAGTTCAAGACAATATGAAAGCAAATATGCTGTTGCTCTCATTCAGGTGAAGTATAACTTCCCGAGTTTCGGTGGCAGTTTCAGAAAGTTACACCACTCTTCATTTTAAAGAAAGTGCTCACTTATTAATAGCCTCAATCAACTTGAACACCCCAAAACCTGGGAATACATAAAAAGCTCCCTAACCAGTCAGAGAAAGAGATTTTATCCAAGATTCAAAAATAACAGAAAGTGAACGTGATTGCTAAATTTTTCAACCTTAGGAAAGAAATGTTCTCACAGACCAGCGACTATCTGTGGTAAAATAAACAGGGTATTCGAAACTCCAAGGGAAAGAAAGACACAGGCAAGGAAGAAGAGAGGGATGGAGAGCCAAGGCGAGAAGGGCTAACAGCATTGGCTGGGAAAACAACCAGACATACAGGAAGAAGCTAGATACCCATTTGTTAGAAGCTCATGACTGAGATAAGGAAAAATAACAACAGAAAAGGTCAAGAGAGAGGAGAAAGCAAAAAAGTTAAACGAGAGTGGCCTTCGGGTGGCCCCCAGGGAAAGTGGCATTGAAGGATAGCACTCTTCCATTTTCCTGTCAATATCAATGTTTCCCATCAATATCCAGTTCGTATTCTAAACGTGAAGAGAGATTGCTGTTGGAGAATAATGTTGAGGTTGTGGAGAGTGGCCAGGAAAGGACACGCTAAGTAAATTCTCATCTCAGGAACCTGAGGGCTACTCGCATTTCTGGGGGGCTGAGGCTGGAGGCCTGCCTGCCTGGAGACTGATGCAGAGTGGAGCCTTCCCTGAGCTACTGAGACAAATGGCAACATGCTGAGTTCATTCCTTGTTTCCCTGTTGCATGCCGACCAAATCCAAACTTCTTTGTCCTTCACTGCCCTCTGTGGTTTGGCTCTAACCTGTATTTTCAAAACTAACTCCTACTCTTTTCTTAAAGTTACCTTAAGATTTTGCCTGACAATCAACTGACCATTCCCAGAATAAAGTCAATACTTCCCTTGTTAGTGTTGTGTTCATAGAATTCCTGTGCCAAATGAAATATTTTCCCCAATGGTCTCTCTCTACCAAAATTGTAGCTTCCCCTTGAAGGCCAGGGCCAATGGCATGAAGCATCTGTCCTGAACACTCAGCTGGAAGTGCTCTGATCATTGTCCAAGTGTCTTTCGCACTCTATTTGCCTCCTGAATGTGGAACTCCTTACAGATGATTTTTGTGATTATTTGGGAATGTCTTTTTATATTTATTACATTATTAGCTCCTTGAAAGCAAAATTATGCAATTTACTTCTCAAAAACTTAGAGATCCTTTATTATCATCTGCCAGGCTTTCATCTTTGTAAATTCACAGTTTTCTGCCTTTAAACTAGATTGTCATTTTGGGAGGAAATATTCTGATATTATGTCATGGAACAGACGAGCATTATCAATGGATGCTAAGACTGGTAAGTGAACAAATGATAAAGCAGAGAATCATTCCACAATATCAGGATATTTCATCCCAAAATGGTAACCTAGTAAATGAAGAAAAATGATGAATTTACATTGATAGATACCAACTTGACCAGGTTATCAATTTTAATATAACATAATTTGACATTGGTAAATACTATCATATTTCAACTATATATGCTAGTTATCCATTACTAATTTGATGATGTAGCTCACCATTTTAGTCAAATGTTTGCCACTGCGCTGCACACTGACATCAGAAAGCTTAAAATCAGAGGTGAACATTTATATCCTGTGAGATAGAAAACTGGTGTGTGTCCACGTTTGCATGTTTTCATCTGTTTACAGAAAGTACACAGTGTGATGACCGCACTTAAAATTGATGGTAAAAGTAATTTTTTTAAAAACCCAGAAGTTTATGTTTCTCTTAACATGTTAATTACTAAGTAGCATGTTATTATAGTTACTACCTCGGTTAGCAGAGCACCTGTAATATGAACAGATGACTGTGTATTCAGGGTAGCAGGACCTATGACAGTATTCCTCATGTTTTTGTGATTGAACGTAGTGCAGAAATCCTCAGGAATATATATATACACTTTTAAGTTTATATGTCAGCTATGCAAGAAAGACAAACTTTGATTGTTATCCTACAAAAAATTCCATTGAAGAACCTAAGTTCATGCTTCACAGGATTACTTTTCTTCACATCTGTGGAAAAACACATTGGCTTCCAGTGCACAAGGCTGCATTGCTTTCTCTAACTCCACCACCATTTTTTCTCTTTTCCTCCTGCTGCTTCATTGACTTACATTTTCTATTATTCTGCTATGATTTTCCATGACTTCCATGGAAAAGCATTTCAGTGGCTTGCTAACACTGTCCTCAGCTACCCTGAAGTGCACAAACTTGCTCTGCTTCATTTTTTCCCACCTATCATTTCTGAGAAAGTGAAAGATAAATACAACCAGATTAGTGATATTCCATTCTTTTTAAATGTGGTTTGCCCTCATAATTTTTGTTGATGTACTATTACTTATGAGCTCTGTTTTATAAATTTTGTTCAATTATCTACCAAGCAATATCCATATCCCTTGTCTTTAAATATTTGTAATGATAATGAAATCTGATAACTACATTCCAGTAAAGTCTCAAAAGAAGGAAAGTCATGGGAGATGTTAACGTGTTAATCTTGTTTAAGCATAGCAAGTAATTAGGCTATCTTCAGCTTAGATTGGATAATCCCATTAATCAATTTTTCTTAGCTGGGTCTGTACTATTATCCTTCCATATTAAGAAGTTTGGGAAATATGACATAATCATCTCAAGAAGTTGCAAATGAAGAAGTTTTCATTTTGTCAATAGAAGAGCTAACATTATATGTGTGTAACAAACTTACAAAAAAAGTAAAGACAAATAAAAAGCAAATGTCAATTTCCTTACCTTTTATGGTAAGAGTTTATTATCCCAACAGATTACCCATATTTGTAAGTTATTCAATTTATTATTATAGATATTCCTTATATTTGAATGAAATACTGTCCAGCTTAAGCATATAATTAAAAAACAAATTTTTCTCTATAATTTTTGAATACTTTGACTACATCTGCACACATATGTCAATGTACAATTAAATAGCATTGATACATATTTATTTCTAATTATGTAATATGTAACTATATTACATAAATTTACTATACAGTATATAAGATTTAATATATTAATATATTAATGCATGTGTGAGTGTATGTATACAACAGATTATATTTAATACATTTTAAACACAAAAGGGACCTCAGAGTCTAATAACTGATATGCCACCAAGACTCAGAAGGAAACAGAATTCCTCATTTTGTCTCCATCACTCTGTCAGCTTGTCTCTTATTCTTGTTCTCTCTCCTGTTTGTCGTCTATCTAACTTACGTGCATTCTCTGCCTCCCTTTCCCACCTGTCTTTTCTTCTCTCTGTTCATTGGGGAAAGCGTGCCCAGTTAGTCTGTTTCTTCAGTTGCAACTCACATTTCTTCAGTTGTAACATGAAACGGAGTCTGATGAGCTTCCTTTAACCCTGCTTCCAATTTCCCTGAAGAGAAAATTTACCTTGTCCAGCTGGAATTAGTGCACCAGTTTTTTCCAATAAACTGAAGTTAGTGAGGGGTAGTTTTACAGAGGATCAGCAAAGCTCTTGTTTGTCACCTGGGAAAGCCCTTTGTGTGCAGGGCTCAGACTGAGTGGATCCCCAAAAGCATCCAAGTCAGTTCATCTACATGAACTGACTTTTCTCTGCGTTGAAGTATTTTTGTGTTATGCCAACAGCAGACAACACAATTATTCTGTTGAAATTATTGCTGTCTTAAAAGTCTTGAGTTGTTCATTTTTCTATTAGTATACTAATAGTGGTTCTTTCAAATTCAAATTTCTGAAAATAATTTTATGAAATTCTGGACGAAATTTTCTCTCTTTCTCAGTATATTTTATTTTAAAACCATTTCTTTACTTTTACATTATCCTTAAGACCTGTTTTGCAATTTTGGGAACTTTTTAGTCTTCTAGACTGTATTTTTCTTGTACTTACCGTTAATATCAACAAGAAAAATAATAAGAACTTTAAAAACTGTATTTGCTAAATTTTTACCCCATGCCAGGCAGTGGTCTCCATGCTTTCTCTGTGTTAATTAATTTAATTAGTACAACATTGTGAGTTGGATGAAATTATTATCTCTTAAAGAAAATTTCTTTTCATATGATCTTACTGTGAATATAGGTTTCCACTGATTTCTCAAATCTACTGAACTTATAGAGTTCTGTATCAGAGGCCATATAATAAATCCTAGTGTTTTCTCCAAACCAGTATAAAAAAAAGCAATGTTCAATTTCATAGTTGAGCTGTTTGGTATTGAAGGTAATGTACTGAAAGTCCTAGGGGACAAAAACTAGCATGTCTTTCTGTGTTCAAGCTTTGCTACATGGCATAATATTTATAATTACAAGAATTTGAAGACTTAGAACACAATCATTTTATTTTCATTGACCACTGCTATTTTGTTGCTCTGCTATCCAAGTTATTTTTCCACTTCAAGAGATCAATGAATATTTTCACTAGGGCCCATGGTAGGGCAGAAGGAACAGTCTGTCAGATTATTCTCTCTGGGTCAAAAATTTATTCCATCTTGTTATAAAGTTCCGGTGGTCAAATCTAACTTCTCTGTCAATACAAAAGCCAAGAGAGTTTGGCTTCATACAAAAAAGCCAAAATTAAAACTTCTTAAAATTAATGAAGTGTCCTAAAGGGGAAAAATAGGGGAAAAATCTTTTTTCTTCTCTTTTATTGAACAACCAGTTAAAACTAGTTCAGATATTAACAGACACTAAAATTAAGCATTCAAAACAGAAACTCTTCCTGAGACCCGCAGGTTTCTTGGTTAATAGATTGTGCAATTTCAGGCCATTTTTATTCCTATATAATTTAGCTTTATTATTATGTTTAAAATGTGAGAATTTGGAAAAGTTAGTAAAAAGAAAAAATAATGAAAGCACTCTCTTTCTGTGATGGGGTCAGGGAAGATTGTGGCGTACTAAGGTAAACATTGTCAAATAATAATACTGCTCTTTGATTGATGCAGTTTTAAGCTTGAGTACAGAATTGGTGTTTTGTTCTGTTGCTTATTCAAAATAATAACAATACTCTCAGCATATTTTCAACTGAACAGGAATGACATATCCTTTCCATATAACACAAGAGCAAAGTCCTTGCAGTGATTATCTAGCATGTACAGTTCATTCTATTCACTGTCTACAGTTGATTAAAGGTATCAGACTTGTTAAGTTATGGATCAACTTTATCTATCTGTCTATCTATTTATCTATGAGTAGTGATGCAAAACTTTATTCCAGAAAGACAAGTAGCCTCAGTAATTGTGGTTTGTGGCCCCATTGATATTAATCAGTTTTTTTCCCCAGTCATGTTCAGCAATCTTGTTCTTCTATAAAAACCCAACTTTTAAAAATATTCTTTGAGCTTATTAGAGCATTTTGCTTATTCCATCCATTAAGTAGTTGAAATGTATTAATGAGTTGAAAGAGATTATATTTTGGCCAGGTGTGGTGGCTTATGCCTTTAACCCCAGCCACTTTGGGAGGGCGAGGTGGGTGGATCATTTGAGGCCAGGAGTTTGAGACCAGCCTGGCCAACATGGTGAAACCCTGCCTCTACTAAAAATACAAATAAATAAATAAATAATTAAAAAATAAAATTAACTGGGCATGGTGGTGGCCGCCTGTAATCCTGGCTACTTAGGAGGCTGAGGCGGGAGAATCACTTGAACAGAGTAGGAGAAGGTTGCAGTCAGCCGAGATCGTGCCACTGCACTGAGCAACAGAATGAGACTCCGTCTCCAAAAATAAATAAAAAGAGACAATTTTTATTTTGCTTTATTTTATTTATGGTCTGATTCTTTGATGATCTCCAATGGCAAATAAGTGATGGAGGTTCTTTGGTAGGTGAGGCAGGACCGAAAAGCTAGTTTGCTAGTTTTTGTGTTAGTTTATGTATCTGTTTACTTGTGAGCTCAAATCAATTAAGAAATCCATGCTGATTGGAAAGGAGAACAGCTCTTTGAGATCTGAACCAGTGCTTTCTGCGTTTTCTTTATCCCTTTTTAATGTATGCATTTATTTTTAGTAAGATCTTATTTTCATTGAATATAAAAGATTTATTTTACACGCACAGTGTTGAGTTTGGTAATTGAACACAATCATGCAGTTATTCCAGTAACCAGGGGATCAGTCCAGTTTCCTCACTCTTACTCTAAAATGTCTCTTTGCTTCATTTTGCAGCTGATCTATACTCCCTACCCCTGGATTTAGGAAACTACTGACCTACTTTCTGTTATAGACTCTTTTCCTCTAGAATTTCGTATAAATGCAATCATACTATACATAGTCTTTTGTGTTTGTCTTTTTTCTATTAGCATAATGTTGTTTTATGTATTAATATTTATCTATAGTTATGAATATTACATTATATTGAAAAACTCCAACAAATTCATCTTTTAATGAGAACATAGTTTATTTTCTCTTGGGTAAAATTTTAAAAGAGGGATCTTTTGGTCACATAGAAAGTGTATGATGAATTTTGTAAGACCTTGGTGTACTGTTTTCCAAAGTGGCTGTAACGTTCTTCGTCTGCACATGGACTATATCACATCCCCAGGTGCTCTGCACCCTCACCAATTTTTGGTATTGCCAATTTTTTCACCTGTAGCAGTTCTAATGATTGAGAGTGTATCATATTGAGGTTTACTTTGCATGTCTCTGATCACGAATGATGTTTAACATCTATTCATGTGCCTGTTGGCACTTGTATATTTGTTATCCGGAATGGTTGTTGAAATATTTAGAACCTTTTTTTCATATAGGTTGTCTTACTATTTAACTGCAATCGTTCTTCGTATTTGCAAGATAGTAGCCTTTTATAACCTGATGTATGTTCCACACGTTTGTCTTTAGTCGGCCTTTGCCTCTTAAGTTTTCTTAATTCTGAATTTCAAAAAGAAAGGGTGGTTTTTAAATATTTATTAAACACATTGTAAACATTTTTTTCTTTTATGGTTTATTTTGAAAAGTCTTGTAGAAGAAATTATGATCTAAACCAATGTTAGGTAAAGTTTAATGGGTTAGCTCTTCCATCTAGTTCTAGGAAACATTTTGAGTTATTTTATGAGTATGTTCGTATGTATGGTGTGAGGTCAATGTTTTTTCCATGTTATTTGTTTTTAACAGATACACAGTTGTTCCAGGAATATTTGATTAAAAGGCTGTATTAGTCAGCGTTCTCTAGAAGGGCAGGACTAATAGGATAGAAGTATATATGAAAAGGAGCTTGAAAAAGAGTATTGACTCACATGATCACAAGGTGGAGTCCCACAATAGGCCCTCTGCAAGCTGAGGAGCAAGGAAGTTAGTTCTGGTTCCAAAACCTCAAAAGTAGGGAAGCTAAGAGTGCAGCCTTTAATCTGTGGCCAAAGGCCTGAAAGCCGCTGGCAAACCAGTGGCATAGGTCCAAGAGCGCAAGAATTGAAGAATTTGGAGTCTGATTTTGGAGGGCAGGAAGCATCCAGCATGGGAGAAAGATGTAGGCCAGAAGACTGAGGCCAGTCTAGTCCTTCCATGTTCCTCTGCCTGCTTTTATCCAGCTGCAATGGCAGCTCATTAGAAGGTGCCAGGGTGGGTTTACCTCTCCCAGTCCACTGACTCAAATGTTAATCTCCTTTGGCAAGGCCCTCACAGGCAGACACACCCAGGAACAATACTTTGCATCCTTCAATCCAATCAACTTAATACTCAATATTAACCATAACAGACTACCTTTTCCCGTTTAATGACCTTGGCATATTTGTCAAGAATCCTTTGGCCATATAAGTAGCAGTTGATTTTTGGAATTCCCAGTATGTTTCATTGATCTAAAGGTTAATCTTTATATCAATACAGTATTTTGATATGTATAAATTTATACTGTTTTCAAATAAAGTTATATAAGCTCCCTACACATGTTTTCCTTGTTCACAATTATTTATCCATTATAACCCTTCTGCCTTTTATTTAAATTTTAAAATCAGAGTGTCTGTTTCTTCACAAAATAGTTTTGTGAATTTTGACTGATAGTACATTTAATCTTTAGATTGATTTAGGGAGGATTATTATGTGATACACTTCACAGTATTTGATATTTTTATGTTGAGTGATTAAAAAAATTCATTAAATATATTTCTGAGTGTTTCACGCCAGTGTTACTAAGCACATTGATGCTATTAGAAATGGAAAATAATTTTTACACTTTACTTTTTTATTTTTAGTAGATAAATACAGGATTGAGGTTTGCATGTGTACCTTGCACCTTGCAGCCGTAAAAAATTCACTTATTTCTAGACAATTTTTTTTTATTCTTTAGGATTTTCTACATGTCTTAGAACAATCATATTTCTTTTCAATTTTTTCATTGTTTGTCTTATTTTGCTTTGTTTAATCATTTTGGCTAGAAACTCCAGAACCATGTTAAATGCAAGTGATATTAAAAACCTTTATTTTCCCTATTTAGTCAAAAACCATTAAGGCTTTTAAGCATGACACCAGCTGTAAGTTTCTGGCTAATGAGTTTGAAGAATGTGTCTTCTATTCCTACCTTATTAACAATTTCTATCATAAAAGTGACAGATTTTATCAAATACTTATTCTGCATCTATTAAAATGGTCACATTTTCTCCTTTATTAATATCCTATTTATATTCTAGATTAATGTTAGCATATAATGAGTTACAAAGTGTTCTTTCAAATTCTTATTTCTGAAAGATTTTGTTAGAAATGTTCTAATTTATCCTTTAAATATTATAGAATTCACCAGTGAAGGCATGTTTCTTTGTGAAAAGTTTTAAAATGTGAAATCAAATCTTTTAATTTACATAGATGTATTAATATTACCTTTTTCATCTTGAGTGACTTTTGATAGTTTGTTTCTTTCAAGGAATGTATTTCAAAGAATTTTCCTAATTTATTGTCATAGTGTTGCTTCAGATATTTTCTTCTTATCCTATTTAAATATCCGCAGTGCCTGTATTGATGTCTCCTCCCTCATTTCTGATATTTGTAATCAGTTTCTTCCTTTTTCTTGATCAGTTTGTCTGTAAGTTTGTCTACTTCATTGATAATATCAAAGAACCAAATTTTGGTTTCATTAAATTCACTGTTTTTTGATGGCCAGAAAATTAAATTATGATTAGTTTTATTGATATTGATACTTTTTTTCTGCTTTGTTTAGGTTTTGTGTTATCTTCTTTTTCTAGTTTCCTAAGGTGAGGGCTTAGACCATTTATTTGCAACGTTTTTTCTATTTTAACATAGATGTTTAATGTTAGGCATTTTCCTCTAAGCACTACTTAGAATTCTGAGCTAGCTCTGTGTGTGTGTGTGTGTGTGTGTGTGTGTGTGTGTGTGTGTGTGTGTGTGTGTTGTTTTTGTTTGCTTGTCTTTCAGCACTTTAAAGATGATGTTACATTTTCTTCTTGCCTCCATTTTTTTGTAATGTAAAGTCAGACTTTAATGAGACTTTTGGTGTTTATTCTCATCTGTGTTCATCTACAATATTCTACTTGAGAACTTCTGTCTTTCATCAAATTTGACAAACTTTTGGCATATATAAGGGTTCATTTATTCTTCCTTTCTGTTACTTCCATTTATCATGGATAAGTACATTCTATGAACTCTTTTTTTTCCAGAAATTATTTTTTCCTGTTAATGACCAATAAATAGGTAAAATCCACAAATTAAATCATAATAAAAAGTTCTATTAATTTTGAATTATGGAGAAGTTTTAGAGAAATTAAAATGCCTGTACATTGCTGGTGAAAGTATTTAACCATGGTGATCAGTTTGTATTGTGAATACATTTGCACAGTCTCTATCCCATCCTTCAATTTACTAAAGTAAGCCCTCTGATAAGCCTAAAATTTTATTCATGTTAAACCACAGTTCTATTCAAATTTTAATGTTTTAGGGCTAGTGGTTTTGTTTGTTTGTTTCTGTTTTTTGCATTTTACCTAAAATTTTTTTGCTAAACCAAGATCATAAATCTGGACTCCTATACTTTATTTCTAGGAGATTTATAGTTTTAGATTTTTTATTATGTTTTAACATATTTCAAATAAATATTTATGTCTGGTTTCGGTATTAAATATAGGTCAGGTATTATTTTTTGTATACCTTTTCCCGAATTAGATTGCTTTGGTAATTTTGTCACAAATAATTGACCCTAAAATTCTGTATATATCCCTTGACTATATATTTTGTGTCCCTAATCTATTCATTGATCTTTATATCAGTATCAATAATTTGGTTACTTTACTTCTGAATTAATTCTTAAATAATAACTTGTCATACATTTTTGTCAATTTGAGATCTTAGCACATAGCAGCTGCCCTTTGGACACCCCTGCGGCCCCAGAGCAGGTAGTCATGTCCACATTCCAGCACCTTGCACATGTAGGAGCCAAGGTGGACAAAAACGATCCTGCCTTCCAAATATTGGAAATATGTTTCTGATTACTGATTGCTGCTTCTGATCATAGTGCTGCAGAGAAAGAGGAGAGGCCATTAGATTTACACGTCTTCCTATTGTTGCCAACGCCACCTGTTCTTACTAAACTTACTGATGGGGGATTTAAAGAGCCAGAACCTTCATGACTCTTCCCTTTTACTTTTTTTTCCTCCTTATGTGAGCCAGACATTGAAGACTAGATATACAGGAGAAATCAGAACATCACTCTGCTTACCCAGAGAAAGTCTTAACTTCAGAAAAAACCTGAGAAAACTTATATAATTTTATAGCTCAGGCTAGTCCTCAGCACAGAGACAGCCTACAACAATCAAAAGAACCAAAACAAAAACAAACCAAGAAAGCCCTGGGGAAGGGGAATAATGTGATGTTCATAGTTAGCACATTATTAGATTCAAATGTCTAGTTTTCAACAAAAAATCACAAGGCATAAGCAAGAAGTAAGCAAGAAAGTATAAGAAAGTATGTCCACTCAAAGACAAAAGACAAACCAACAGAAACTTTACTTGAAAAAAAAGACCCTTTGTGCTACAAAGGAAGCAATGAACAGTGAAAAGACAACTTAGGAACTCCTGTAACTCAAGAAACAATCAAATCAAAAAATAGGCAAAGAACTTGAGTAGACATTTCTCCAAAGAAGCTGTACAAATGGCCAAAACCCATAAAAATATACTCAACAGCACTAATCAAATTAGGGAAATCAAAATCAAAATCACAGTGCCATATCATCTCACACCTGTTGGCATGGACATTATAAAAACCACTGAAAAGGACACAATGACAAAGATAGAGAAATTGGAACCCTTATAACTGTTGAAAGGAATGTAAAATAATAAAGCCATTATGATAATTCTATTTTTAATAATTTAAACATGATCCAGCAATCCTAATTCTGAGTATTTCTTTAAAAATCATTGAAAATAGGATAGTGAAGAGTTATTTGCACATCTCTGTTTATTTCAGCACTATTTACAATAACCAAGAGGTAGAAGCAAACTAAATGGCCATCAACAGATAATGGATAATGAAAATATGGTATATATCCACACAAAGCATTATTATTCAGCCATAAAAAAGAAGGAAATCCTGTCATATGTTGCAATATGGATGACCCTTGAGGACATTAAGCCAGGCACAAAAAAGCAAAGACTGGGTGATTCCCCTTATATGAGATATATAAAATGGTCAAACTCTCAGAAATGGAATGTAGAATGGTAGTTTCCAGGGGCTGGGGGCAGTGGGAAAACTGGAGTTGTTTAATAGATAGAGAGTTTGGGAAGATAAAAAACTTCTAAAGGTCTGTTGCCCAATAACGTGCAAATAGTTAACAGTAATGTACACATAAGGTTATGATAGTAAATTTTACGTGTTTTTGACCACAGTAAAAGCATCAATTATGTAATTCTTCTACATTTGTTCTTTTTTTTCTGAGACTGTTGACAACTACAGAGTGTTTTACATTTCTATATACAATTTAAATCAGCTTGTCGGTTTTTCTAACAACAAATCTTGGTATTTTTATTGAAATTCACCAAATTATAGATTAATTTGGGGTTATTTAATATTTTTAAATATAGAGTCTTCACTTGATATTTATGATATATTTCTGTATTTATTGTATTACGTTTTCTTTAATATCTCTCAGCAAAGTTTCATAGTTTTAATGTAAGGGCTTTGTATAATGTACATTAATTTTACTGTGTAACTATTTCTTTGCTATTATAAAATAATGCAGCTTTGTTTATTTGTGTAGCAGAAGATTGAGGTATATTGTTGTTTGGTTTTTTGTTAGGTTGCTTATCTCAGTGAATTGGAGTTATTTTCCATGCCTGGCAATAAAAACGATGAGGTACATATTTCATCAAGTTTGGTTTTAGCAGATATCAATCCAGCACTTTTCTTATGATTGAGTTTACCTAAGCTAGCACAACACTGAACTTACCCAGGACTGATGCACATATATCTAAAGGTGGTGTCATTGCATTTATAAACTTTTGAGTTTGGAGAAGACAAGACATTGCTTTCAAATTGATCTTCAACCACAGAAGCATGTAGGTACTACAAACCAGCAGAATTTATGAGACGGAATCATTTTTCTGTTTCAGCACTACCTCAATTGCACATTTCTGACCAACGAACATTGTGTATACCTATGTGGTCGGGGAAGGGGAAAATGCCAGAGGTATTGTCAGGTTGTGAAACTGTAGCTGCGTTTAGGCATTTTCCAGAATAAAATTCATCCTCTCATCTACACTGTGATCGGTATCTCAGCTGCAGATCTTCAGCTTCTCAAAGTGCCCCAGTCTGTGGTAGGCATTCTCCTTAGCCAGCCTATATGCACACCCAGTAAACTGATCCCAAGACACTCACCTTCATATATGAAGAATTCCTGGATCTAAAAATCAGTTCTCCTATGCCTCCTTTCATGTTGTACTCTTCAACAGTCCTATAGATAAATATGATGTTTCGGTGTATCCTTATGGTGATTAGTATTAATAAGAAAAAAATCTTCATTATTTTACATCTAACAGGAAACTATTGATATGGTTTGGCTGTGTCCCTATCCAAATTTCATCTTGAATTGTATTAATAGTTTCCATAATCCCCATGTGTCCTGGGAGAGACCAAGTGGAGATAATTGAATCATGGGGTCTTTTTCCCCCATCCTGTTCTTGTGACAGTGAGTGAGTTTTCACGATATCTGATGTTTTTATAATGGGCTTCCCCCTTCGCTGCACACTTATTCTTCTCCTTTCTGCTGCCATGTGAAGAAGGACACATTTGCTTCTTCCACCATGATTGTACGTTTCCTGAGGCCTCCCCAGCCCTGCAGAACTGTGAGTCAATTAAACCTCTTTTCTTCATGAATTATCCAATCTCCAGCAGTTCTTTATAGCAGCATGAGAAAGGACTAATATACCTGTCTTATTTATACTTAGTGTATTTTTTAACAACAAGGTCTTTTTTTTAATTTGAATAAGTACAGAAGCATAAAAAATGAGTTGAGAATATAATATATCCAAAAATTCAGTCATGTTAATTTTTTTAAGTTCCCAAAAGCCATTCAGTTATTTAGTAAGTACTTTTGCCATGTTAGTTACTCTCTGTATTCTACATACTTTATTTTTTATGATACCCACAAAACTCTATAAACATTTAACTTTGGTTTTATAGACAGTGAAACTGAGGAACAAGGATTAAAGAAGGGTCTTAATATTCCACAGCTAGAAATGGTCAAATTCAGGATTCATGCTTAGACCACTGACATCAGAACAGGTGCTACAAAAGGAAAGGACTTACTGATGGCTCACTGTGCCAGAGGTTATTGCTTCTCTTTTCATAATTTATCCTTTTGGCCATGGTTAGAGACACAGTACATGTAACTATCAAAATTAGTTCTACATTGATCTCTTACAGGTAAGAATTTTTGATTTATATCTTTAAATTCTAAATTTATAAAATATTCTTTAAAGGAATAGTTTTTTAATGTATTGTCAATAATACCTCTCTTCAAATGTGATATTCAGAATAAAAATTGTCCAATAGTTTGTAATATTCCTCGGTTATTTGTAAAGCATTATCAATATTCAGTGATAGTGTTACATATTATTTATCTGTTGTGTCCATTTTTTCATAGTTTTGTTCAAAATCTTCATTTGTGGCAAGATATTAATGTCTGCAAATGTGGAGAAGCTAAGACTGTATTCACCCTCTCAGAGAAATCAGAAAGTTTACTCAAAATATTTGCTTAGGTTACAGTAGTGGGACTAATAGAGCGCAGGAATTCTCCAAATCTAGGACTTTTCTATACCTAGCAGAGTATTTTATAAAATGAAATCTGCATTGTTGACAAGTTCCAGTCAGAAAACATTACCAGACACTGTTCAAGGTAAAAAGCATCAATAGCATTGATTTGCCATAATAAATTCAGGTCAGCAAATGTTAAAAAAAATAATGTGACTGAATTAACCAATGTTACCGTGACTCACAAAGACTCTGACATTACATTTGTCATTGAATAAAGGGTGCAATTTGGAATGCAGCCTTCTCTCTACATATGCAACACACATTTTCATCAATTTAATGGCATTGTGGAATTGGTTTGATTTTGTCAGTGCATTCAGGGACCTGTCTTCCGCACAATGGAAAACCCATTTACTTTCTCCTTTGATGCACTTATTTAATGCCAGGTAATCATTGTACCTCTGTTTTGAGGTCTTTCTCAAGAGTATGTTCCATTATTGATATATTTAGTCACCGAAGAAGAGTATCTTAAGCATAAATCAAAAATATGTACACACAAATATTTCAGAAGTTTGAGTTCTTTGTTCTCTATTTTTAAAAATTTTAATCTACTAACATGCTGTCATCAACTATATCAAAGACAGATCGAAACAGGCTTGGAAAAGTCTTCAGCATGCAAATAAAATGCAATGTTGAATTTGCAAAAAAAGATTTCTTTTTCATATTTTAACATAGAGAAGCAACTCTCATTTTTGGAATGTATAAAATGGGGTCCTAGAGATATATGATTCCATTCACCTCAAAAGTATTTTAAAATTGAGGCTTTGAATTTCCATTTTGTATTATTTGAAAAAAATATTTTATGTGAATTGAATGGATAGTTGAACAGTAGATAAACTTTTGAAAGTTGAGTATTTAATGCTTTAAAATATTTTTATCCCTAACAAATATAAGTTGTGCTTCTTATTTAAATTCATCTGATATTTGGAATTTATTTACCTCCTAAAATCCAATTATTTTTACCATTTATATCTTTTGATAGCCAAATTAATATTTTCTCTCTATATATATTTTTTATTTTTAAGAGATCTTTTGTTGTATTTTCCCAGCACTAACTTGGAGATGAGCTAAAGAGTCATATGGTAATATTAATACAATTGTTGTTTCTACTACAATTTAATATTTTACTTGTAATTTAATAATTAATGCAGTTTTGTATGATATAGCACAATACCTTGATGCTGTCTGTACAATTCATTTGAATGAGCTCTCAAACTAGTCAGTTTATGTATCAGTCACAATTCTTTCCAAAAGATAGCAGATACCTTGACTAACTAAACAACTAAAGAGATTTTCCAAAGATATCAATTAGCTCACAAAAGCAATAGAAAGCTAGAAAATTGTGCTTGAAACTCAGGAAGAAAGAGAGAAAGAGAAAGAAGGAAGGAAGGAACTAAGGGGGAGGGAAGGAAAGCAGGGAGAAAGAAAGAAAGAAAGACAGCTAGACTTGGTCACAGACATAGTCTGAAACAGCCAAACTCGTGAGCTGAGTACAGTCTACTTAAACTATTGTTGACAACAGCAATGGGCTTTCAACACTGAAGATGACACTGTGGATAATTACTTGCTGTGCTAATCTTTGTGTCCCCTCTCAAAATTCAAAGTTCTTGAAAAGACATTCAAGTTTTAAAGACCACATCACGATTGAATGTCTTAGCTACAAGCACACCAAGACGCACACAATCAGGAATTGCCTTGAATCAGGACAGATATTCATATGATTGATAACATTTTGAAAAAAGAAAGGAAACCATAGCTTATATTTAAAAATATTTTCAATGACTCTGTAAATATGTCTTTCCATGTAGATACTGTCCACCATTTTCCAAAAACACCAATTTGTTTCCCAGTGTCACTGCGTTTAATATATACATGATTGCATGGAAAAGAGTTAATCATTAAAAGTTTTAATGTTCAACACATAAAAGCAACTATTATGTGTTGGCTTGGGGCATAAGAGTTTGCTATAGTCATGTAATGTGTAAGTATAAAGCTAGTTTTTTGTTTGTTTGTTTTTTTGAGATGGAGTCCAGCTCTGTTGCCCAGGCTGGAGTGCAGTGGTGCAATCTCGGCTCACTGCTGCCTCCACCTCCCAGGTTCAAGCAATTCTCCTGCGTCAGCCTCCTGAGTAGCTGGGATTACAGGTGCCCACCACCATGACCAGCTAATTTTTGTATTTTTAGTAGAGACGGGGTTTCACTGTGTTGGCCAGGCTGGTCTTGAACTCCTGACCTCATGATCCACCCACCTCGGCCTCCCAAAGTGCTGAGATTACAAGCGTGAGCCACCGTACCCACTAAAGCTAGTTATGTATAGTTAATTGTCACAATGTATGTTAAACTCCAACAAAAGCGGCAAATCTAATAAATATAAAGTGAATTCAGCCCAAAACATCCATTGATCCATTATAATTTGCTACATATCAAATTTTCATTAGACTTGAAGGTTTTTGTTTTAGATTCTCTCTTTTTGCCTGTTATATAACCTTATGTAAACTACCTTATAATTCTTATAGCTGTAGAACAAAGCTCATTATGTGATGAGTATGGATTTTCTTCTTTTTTTTCAGGTATATGATACCTATTCTTGTCTATTGAAAAAATTTTATTGATTGTTGAATTATTTAGTAGTGAGGGCATATCCAGGCCTTTTGTGAGAAAAACTATATGAGAAATGAAAGCCCTGGGTTATGCCGGTTGTGTGGAGTTAGACTGGCATACAATTAAGACACGTTAAAGCATGAGGATGCTGCATAATCTAGAAATAGTAAGAGTGGCTATAAACAGGTAAGCCATGTAATTTTCCTTTGATTCACAACATAGCAGAGGAAAATAAGGAATGAATCTTAAATTCTATATAGGAGAAGTAAAAGAAAGCCCTGCTAACTCAAGATAAAGCACAAACAGCCTTTGTAATTCCAGAAATTTATTCGGTTTGTAAAATTATAATTTTCTGAAGTTAAAATAATTGAATAATTTTCTGAATAACAGTTTTAAACAAGGAAGCTCAAGAGGAGCTACTTCTCATCATAATAATGCATATACTGTTTGCCACAAAACATGATTTTGTGCCGGAGTCCAACAAAATTATAAAATTCTAAGCTATTCCTAATAGCTGAGCTAACACACAGCATTACTCAGAGATGTTTAATGTCATTGCTTTGTTGTCTATTATGTCTAGTTATATGTAGCTTCTACAGAGAAATTTCTGCTATATGTTCCTCCCTTTCATGGTGTAATTAGTTCTGTGTTTTTAACCTTTTTCTTATACTGTGTCGTGCTTACTGAAGAGGTTGCTCTCTAAAAGCCAAGACCGTTTGCTTTTTGAGATTTTGATTTTTGTCCTGGTCCTTATCTCTATCGAGTATTTTCACTGAAAAGTCATGACTGGGATTGAAACTACAGGAAGCTGAAAACCCGAGATTAAAAAGCATGACTCTCAGCTTAAAATTTTTTACATATAAAAGTAGTTCTGGAAAAAAGATGACATGGAAACGTGCAATGGGCTGGGAGGAGAGACTAGATGATTGAAAGGCTTTTTATTTTAAAATTTCCATTTAGGGCACAAATCTCTAACGTGTGTGCCCAAACAGCAAAATTCAGAGCAACATGGTATAGTGAGTATATCAATATATAAAACAAGCAGTGGGTATTCTTTTGAAAAATCATGAGTTTTTAAATTGAAAGCCTATGCATTCATAATGAAAATAAATATACATTGACTCCTCTTGTCTCTTAAAGTCTATACACATATATATGTGTGTGTCCATGTATAAACTCCCCAAAATTATCATAACTCTTGTCTAAAAACACTTGTGATTATTGTAGCTGGTGGTGTTACTTCTGGTACTGCTGTTTTGTTCTTTTAAAAAAAAATCCCTCCTACCATCAATATTCAGGAGCCAATGCAGTCTCTCAATAGTTATTATTATTATTATTTTGGGTGTGCCTGAATTCCCCAGTAATTAAAATGTTGCCTTTTTCCAATATTATCATCTCTTCAAATATTTTCTCTAGAACCTCTCAGATAAAGACTGTGGCAGAGGATGATCCTATTTAGGGTTCTACATTATTTTTTCACTCCTTTATCAGCCCCCATTTATCACAGTTTGATGATTTACAAACATGTTCTACTTTATTCTCCACAAAAATAGTTCGAGGTGGTATTTTCCACTTTCATAATATGTGAAATTTTCACTGGTGAAGGAACTTCGTGAATACAGGTGTGTGAACATGACGGTGCTAGCAATAGATTGGAGATAGAGAATTTGTATATTTTTACCATTCTCTTAAATTGTATTTGAAAGTTCCCTTTACTTTATCGTGTGTACAATGTGTGCCTCTGTCAAAGTTTATCTCTTCTAATTTTACAATAGTGTAACATTCAGTCTGTAATTTTCTGTGATTACCCATTGATTTATATGAAACGATGTGGGTGAACAATATCAATAAAATAACTGAAATTAATAAATGGTTTCAAAGTTTTCTCCCATGGATATAGACAGACATTAAGGTAGGAATCATTTAGGTATTTTATCATTGTTATCATTTTATTTGGGCTTCCAAGTTCCCCTGTCCATTCTTGGAATGAAACATAATGATAATTCTTTCGAAACACAGGTGTGCAAGTATGAACAGAAAGTTCCTCTGAAAATAATGTACCAGAATTAATTTACTGAAAGAATTAGGGAATTTGAATTAAAGTGTAGCTCGCTGCCAGCATGGTATTCTTGGGGCAAATGGGAAATGGGTTAAAAGACCCAGTTACAATCCTTTTGCTACCAGAAACTTACTGGATATTTATGGATACTTGATCTAAACATGCTGAGCTTCGAGTTCTTCATCAGTCAAAACAGATTATAAAATGTTTGCATTTGTAGGTATATTTTAACACTTGTAGGGCTCATTAAAAAATGAAATGCATAATTATATCACCAAAATATTCTCCATTGTATCTAGAAAGCCTAGAAGATTTACAATTTCTTCCAAAGAAAATGTATAGGTGTTATTTTCCTCTGTATTAAATGCTGTGACTTGTGACACCAAAGGAATTTATTGATATAATTAATAATTTTCACCATTATTCTCTAGTCTCTATGGAATAGTATATATTGCATGTACTGATTACTTCTAGTCATTTTAGTGGTCAAATAAAAAAAATATATATATACTTACCATGCTAAGGCAGCACAAAAATTGAATATAAAATGGTCAACTAAAGCTAGAGAAGCCAGAAGAGGGAACGAGAATTAAAAAGTAACAAAGAACAAGCTCAACAAACAGAAAACAGCTGCAAGTATGGTAGATATTAGTCCAATGATATAAATAAGTACTCTAAATCTAAATATTAAGTAAGGGATAGTTATGTTCATATCAATAAACAATGTAAAAACCAATCCAACATACCAGATTTCCAATCACTGTATAAATAATATATGTTTAGCTTTTGAGGCATAGGACTCTGCTTATTAATTATTTAAGTTACATAATCAAACATTTATACTTATGTAACACTTATGTAATAATCCTCATTAGAAAAATTAGAAAAACAAGACTGATAGATGGATTTGCATTTTTGTGGTGGGTATATGGCTGGGTTACATTACTCAGGATCATCTTGAAACAAGTTTTCATTAGATATTAAGATTTCCGGTCGGGCATGGTGGCTCACGCCTGTAATCCCAGCACTTTGGGAGGCCGAAGCGGGCAGATCACTTGAGGTGGGGAGTTTGAGACGAGCCTGGCCAACATGGTGAAACCTCGTCTCTACTAAAAATACAAAAGTTAGCCAAGTGTGGTGGTGCATGTCTGTAATCCTAGCTACTCAGGAGGCCGAGGCACAAGAATTGCTTGAACCCGGAAGGCAGAGGTCACTGTGAGCTGAGATCGTGCCACTGCACTCCCAGCCTGGGTGACAGAGCGAGACTCCATCTCAAAAAACAAACAAACAAACAAAACAAAAAAAATTCCAATTTACTTCACTATTTGCCTTATTATAAAGATAGTATGACATAAAAAATTATCTTCTAACATGATCCTTAATCATTTTCCCTGCATACAATACTTCTTTAGCTGTTTATTTATTTAAATGTTGCATTTACATAATGCCAAATATCAAATGAATTGTTCTTATACACATGTGGCCTTCGTTTCTGTCCACAAGTATAAAGAAGCATGTATCTCCCTCTATTTCTCATCTATCTCATGCTAGTAGAATTTATGTTGGTATAATTTGAGAATATTAAATCATAATACTATCTTTTAAAAATTTTCCGTATGTGGTATATATGATTAAAGAAAATTTAAGTAAGAAAATACAGAACACAGGAGGATGGAAAGTCAATTTATGAGCTTGTGTTGTATTTGTATACATTTATGGGGTATAAGTGTAATTTTGTTACATACAGTGGTGAATTCCAAGCTATTGGGATATCCGTCACCTGAATAAGGTACATTTTAGCCATTAGGTAATTTTCATCTCTCACCCCTGCACCCTCCTCCCACCACCTCACCCTCCTGAGTCTCCACTGTCTATCATCCTACACTCTACATCCATGTATACACATTATGTAGCTCTCATTTTTAAGCAAGAATGTAGGGTATTTGTCTTTCTGTGTCTGACTTGCCTCACTTAAGATAATCGCAAAAACCTTTAGGAGACACCATACTGTAGACAAGTCAGGACTCAGGTATTAATTCTGCATTTTCACCTGTTGTCTATGGGCAGGAAAAAGGACAAAGATTTCTCGGCTGTCTGGTGTGACTGAATCTGCCTGCCCCAAGGTCTCTGGGTGGGAGAAGAGAGTCTCAGGCCCAGAGGCTAAATAAAGTATCTCTCCTGGCCACTTATTTTTGGCATAAGTTCCCTACTGATCTCTTACATTGGTGTCAGACTCTCCTGAGTTGTCCAAGGGAGGAATGTGCTTACCTGGGCCACATGCTGTTGCTGAGTTGTACTTAGACTCTATCAATCTGAGTGTCCTTCTTTTGCTGGGTGGGAGAGGTAAGATACCCTGCCATTGTGTTGTTTCTTCTGTCTTGGGATCCTAACCAATTTGTATTTTTCTCACTGCCTTTCAGAGTTCTTCTTAATGCCTCCTGCATCATTTCCAAGGGTTATACCTGTGCTCAGCAGGATGAGTATGGAGAAACAGATCTCAGGTAGGATTAAAGTCCATCATTTCTTTGTTTCTTTTATTCTTCTTCTAAAAAAAGGAAAAAAATCTCCATTATTTTTTGAATAGTACACAATTTATATGCATTTTTGTGTGTGTGTGTGTGCGCGTGCGCACATGCGTGCACATTTCTAAGAGGGCAGCCTATAAATCACCCATCACTACTGTCTTTATATATTTTACTCATGCTGTTTTCAGTAATTTTAGATCTTCATGTGTTGGTGAAATGCTGTGTGGACCATAAGGCTTATAGCATTTTATCTTTCTGTGAATGAAAACTTTATAACAAAATAAATTATTCCCTTTACCTGCTCAACACTTTAATTTTGAGAATCACTTTTTAAAAAATTACTCTGAGTTCAATTTCCAACAGTTTGTTATCCACGTGATTTGGACACGTTGCTCAATCTTTTGCTGCTTCAGTTTATAACATAATGAGTCCAGGCTTTGGAACCAGTGTCACGCGGGTAACAATGCTGTTGTCTTTTCGTATTGTGTAATTTTGCACAATGTGCTTTATCTCTCTTCGTATCTACCTGTCATATTTAAAGTAAAAATTGTAATAGTATCTATCACATTGTTTGTTTTGATGAGTTAGTATGTGAAATTACCTGTTACATGGTGAGCTTTTTATATATGTTACTGATTGCTAATAAAGCATGGTTACTACTTCTACTTTTCAGGGTCTTTTGCTTTGTTTTGTTTTAGTCAGCATCTATGATCTAATAACTATGCTTTTTGTTTACTATATTTGTTAATTTATTTGTATAAACTTACACAAGAATTCAAATAGATACTACTTAAAGAGAAGGTTACATTTTATTTCTAATCAGCTCTGATTTAATTTATTGCTAGTGTTTAGAATTCATAATCTACTCGTTCTTAATTTCCTTCTTTATTCTTTAATTAATTTTAGCAATAAAACCTTTGGCCTCTAAATTTAATACATCCAAGCTCTGTGAATATTTAAAAAAAAAGATATATCTACTCTGGTGGTTAATTGAAATCTAACATAAACAAGAACATGACCTTCAGTGGGGAGTTGAAGGGAAAAAAATGAACACATTTCACATTGTAATGCAGATAACTGAGTACTAAGTACGTGATAGGCATTGCGCTAACCCAGTCACATACATTATTTTATGTATTCTCCAGAAAACTTTGGTAGTACGTAATGTCACTACTAATAGGTTGAGCACTTACTCTCTTTTACCTTCTGTAAACTCCCAAAGAAGCTTGTGTAAAGCCCATTTTTCACATTAATAGTAATTATTTGCTTTCGTGATTTTCCCCCATTCGTGAGCTTCTCAAGAGCAGCATCCAGCCCATTTTAATTTTTCTGTCCTGGGCACATAGCACACTGCCTAGCACAGGTTTTGTTAAATGAGTAAATTAACCAATTGTCTGCCTTTTAAAAGTTAAGTAGTCTATCAGCAGCCTTCCTAGTGAGAATTCTTCACAGAGACTATATGTTCTATTGTATAGAATCAAAGCATTATTGCTGAGATTTAGCTTAAGAGGTGAGTCAAGTTGTATTTTAAAATCATAAACACTGGGCTGGGCTGCTAATTGTTGAGTGTTAATTCACTTAATTGTGATAGAAGCATAAGTGATTAATATATTTGCTTTTATTGCATTCACTATCAAGGAATAGTTACATGTTGAAAAAAGTGGGGAGAAAGTATGGACTTGGCTACAGAAAGAAATGAATTGTAATAATCACTCTACTATTTTATAACCATGTGACATAAGCTTTGGCAGGCTGCTAAAAGGAATGAACGTTAAATGAATTTGATGTTCTTTTGAATCTTCCATGTGTGTTTGGAAGAAGGGGTTGCTCAGAGCACCATGCTCACTTGGAAAAAGATGGGCTCATTAGGACTTCTTCACATTTTCTTTATTATAACTGTGTGCATTTGGGAGTGAATATATGTGTGTGGGTCTTGCTGTGACTTTCTCTTTTGGGGAAAGAATGAGGGATGATGTAGGATTTGTCTGAGAATGCAAGGAGAATTCACAGCAGTGACACTGTATGTGAGTAAACTTCATGCTTTGTATAGATGCCAAGTCTCCTATTATCTTGCCTCTAGATTAAGTTTTGCCTTTGAGATTCTGTCTTCTGACATCAGAATTGCATGAAAGTTTAACTAGGAAGCTAGTTTGTCATTAGTTCTTATTTTAGTTTTCTATATATATGTAGAAAACTTGAGAAAGTAGTATCAAATTCATCCAGACTGACATTTTTCGCAATTTTTTAGTGACATAAAAGAGCATATATGAACACTACGTTTGGTTATTTTCAATAACATTTCCTTACGTCTTTACCTTCCAAATGTCTTTGGCACATGTTTAAATACAGATACCACAAATTCTCCTAAAAGATGTGTTTCTGAAGCACAGAACTTGATGAACACATATTTTAGAAATCGGTATAAATTTGTGCTTAAATTTGAGGCAAGGAGTCCTCATATTAACAAGCTTTGTTCAAATGTATACAATAGTGCATTCTTTGAGAAATGATACATCTTTACATTTTCAAGTGTTTTTGGTTGTTCTTGAATTATCATTTTGGGAAAATTATTTTTTTTATCCAAAGTTGTATTTGCTGTTTAAAAAGCTCTCTATTTTGCATGAAAATTATAACTTTCGTGATGTATGAAAACTTGTAAAGCTGTCATTCTGAAAAATATAATGATCATGAGAAACTTGATGTTAAATATATACATTTGGGGAACATTGACAATTTGTTATGTTCTGTATATAATAAATCAGTCTATAGGTTTAAATATAAATCATATTTCATTTGCATTCACAAAACTAGAAAGCTATAATTTCTTTTATAAATTTTACAGTGGAATCATTTGCTGATTAATTTAATAAATATTGGTAAGCCCATTTCTAACGTTAGATTTGGCATAGTTTATATAGGAGAAAAATATTTTAAGCCATTTTATTAGCAATACACATTTAAATATCTCACTGGTACTTTTCTTATACTCCCATCTAAGTAATTAAAGTGCTTACAGAACATAGAAGGATAGTCTCCTATAGCTCTGGATTGATATAACTACAGATGCAAACTCAGTCATTTACTTGGGCAAACTATCCTCTGAAAAACTTAGGAAAAATTCATTTTCCATTTGAATATTATATAGCTGTGGAACATGTGTAAACAATACATTTGGTTCCAAATACAAGGTCACAAGGAGTGCGGTGATGTCCTCTTCTGTCCAGGTTTGTTTTTCACAGCAAGATAGAAAGAAGAAATGGCCAGGCTATTGGCAACATGAGAGCCCTTGGCAACAGCTCCATTGGAACGATAAAGTGGCATTTTCTATGATTGGTGACTGGGTCTTCAGCAATCACATGGGCATACCTGACAAAGGAGTCCTTGTGCAATGAATGCAAGATTCTGTCCACGTCTTCATGTTTCTACATCCTGCTCAGTTAGCAGAGATTGGCTGAGGCCACTTGAATGGAGAAAGTAACACAACAGGGACAAAGAAGGACATGTGGAGACAACCACAAGCTCTGGGTGGCGCTATGTCATCTGCTAAAAAACTCTTAGCTTTTCCTTAGGCTGCAGCATATCACAGAAACCTAACTATAGTGGCTTAGCTGAAAGAGAATTGATCTTTCCCACAAAGCAAACTGTCAACCCAGCAGTCTGAGATGTTCTTACCATACCAAGATCCATCGATAGTTTTGCTTTTGATAATTTGCTTGTGACTTTTATCATCTGTCTCAAGATGGTTTCGTATCTTCAGGTGAAAAGGTAAAAATGTATAAATAAAAAAATAAAGGAACAAAAACTTAAGTTTTTTGGAAGCTCTTCTAGGGTCTTGTTACTTTCTAACAGTGGGAACTGCTATCTCCAGGTGCAGGTGATTCTGGAAGTATTTTATATGAGAGATAGTGCCACCTAAAGCAAAACTTGGATTCAATTAAAAAGAAAAGAGAATGCAACCAGCACTGTCTGACTCAATCATATCAGAAGGCTGGAAGCCTTGTGGCTCTCATTAATCAGAAGTCAGGCCAGTCTAATCATATGCAATGAATTTGCATCTGTCTATATCCTAGACCACTGTATACTGAGGAAGTAAAATGTCCTTTATTATCCACATTGGAAATGGAGACTTTTGATGTAATAGAAAAAAGTCTCAACATTAACTGGTATTATATTTTCAGTAAAATAAAATGGTAATAGAAATTACTTTTCTATATTAGGCAATTATATTTAAAAATGTAATAATTGATTAGAATGACTATAAAACAAGGACCCATCATTAAAGACTTCGAAAAATATGATGCATTTAGGGACTTAATAATGTCCTGAGGTTTGAGAGAATTGCAATGTTCTTACTTGTTTTTCTTTCTCCCAATGATATAATATCAGTAGAATATGATTCACCCTACACTCAATGTCTGAATGTATAAAGGTGTCCTTTCACATTTAACACAACTGTGACAGCTGTCTGGCAATTGTGGGAAATAATGATGTAGAAGACTTTGAAAACTGGCTTGGGCATCAACCGAAGTCATTTGTCATCTCGAGATTTCATTCCTGCTAAAATGTCCATGAAAATTACAGGAATCAATTTATCTTGCTTAGAGTAATATATAGAAATAATTTCCTAGTTAGAAAAACTATGAAATTATTGAAAATGTGTCAGAAAAATAGATTTGATTAAGAAAACTGTTTGACAAAATTCACTTGATTGAGAAAACTATCATTTATGGAATATGGTGACCACTATAAAGTATCTTAGTTAATCTCTGAAAAAAATGTGTTAGCATGTAATGTATATGTATCGATATTGTATGCAAACAGTGCTAGGCACACTTTTTGCTATTCTCCTGTGTGAAAACTATGCTATCCTCCTACAGCCCTACTTCCAGGCACCAATAGTCCATAAGCTATCCAAGATTCCCAGTTACAGACAGCTAATTTTGAAAGTCAACAAGGAGAGCATTTGCTCATTAATTCTGCCAACTGCGATGTGGAAATAACCAAGGAAGCAAAAGAATTTGTATACACAGAAATACCCAAAAGGCTCCCCCTTCATGTCCCTTGTGGAGACACTCTTCCAATTTCAGTTAAGGAAGTGAGTACAGTTATAAACATGTTTATATGAATGACTTAACAGACCTTAGCACCTTGTTATTATAAACTAGGCCACATCCACTTCTATAGGCCCTTTCAGACCTTTTACACAGCCCAAATACAATGGGCATTCATTTACTGTACGCAGAGAAAAATAAATAAATACATGGATATACACACACGCCTATTCAGTAGTAATATATATCACTTGTTACTTTGTGCTTTAGTGTATAATACATCCCTTAGAGCTAGTTGTTTCTCTAAATAATTATTGACTCCATTGGAGTTACACGTACTGAAAATAAACTTTTTTTCTGAGATGTTCCTACTTGTGCTTGCCTGAGAAGCTCTGTGAAATCCTGTTCAATTGTCCTCTGTGCTCCAGTTCGTCCTGTGATTTTAAGTACTCATCCCCAGTTTACCACTTTTTTTTTGCCATTTAAATGTATAGTTGACATGACTATGTGGATGAGATTTTTTTTATGCAGCATACATGTACATTTAAAAGAGTACTTTATACAGCTTTCTGGAGAAAAATTAAGTCCTCTCCTTCACTTTCACACTTTTGATATGTAAAAAAGCAAATATATTCAAATGCATTGTTCTATAAAGCATCATTTCTTAAATTAGAAAAAAGTTTTTAGAGAAATGATTTCTTAAATTGCTTAAATCTACTTTTTTATATGAAGTAATAGCTAAAATTTAGTTCAGCAGCTTATGTACAAACAAATGGTAAGAAGATTTTAATCCAAGTTTGACAACACTGAAGAAAAAACAGAGGCTGTGAATTAGTCAGCCCAGTCGGCCATAGCAAAATAGTATAGCCTGAGTAGCTTAAACAACAGACATTTACAATGCACCCTTCTGGAGGCTGGGAAGTTCTGTTCATACTGAGGGCTCTTTCCTGGCTTGCAGACAGCCTCCTTCTTGCTGTGTTCTCACATGACCCACAGCAAGAGCGCTCTGACCTCTTTCTCTTCCTATATAAGGACACTAATCCTATCATGGGAGCCCCATTTTATAGCCTCTTTTAAACCTAACTACCTCCCAAAGGAGGCAACACCATGCAAACATACCTAACACGCTGGTGGTTAGGGCTTCAGCATATGCATTTGAGAGGAACACAACTATTCAGTTTATAACAGGCTGTTCACATATTTCTAAATCGATCCACCACTTTACTTCTTCAGGCACTCTATACATCAGTAACTTTGATTATTTAATGTTTCCCCCTTCAGAGAGATCATTCAAGTCTTCTTTCCCACCTTTGTCCATAGTCTCTTTATAATTTTATACCCCAAAATTGTATATAATCTCTCATGAGATACCCATCACAATCTTAGAAGGAATATAGGTCACTGTGTCGTGCAGACTTTAATATGACCCTCACAACAGCTGCCTCTCCGTGTTCAAACTATTGAATGATTCTCTATTCTCCAGTGTGGGTAGAATCTGTGACTTGCCTCTTGTTACTAGAATAGGGCAAAGGTGATGAGATGCCACTCTCATGATTAGAATACATTATATAGGACTCTATGCTAGCTGACACATTCTCTCTTCCTGGATGGCTTTGAAGGAGGAAGCTGCTATGAACCTGGCAACCACGTGGAAGTAAATTCTTTCAGCAACCTGAAGGTGCTTGGAAGGGAATCCTTCCCCAGTTGAGCTTCTCATCGAATCACAGCCCAGCCGCCCCTTGGATGCAGCCTAGTGAGAGCCCAGCTAAGCCGTGCCTGGATTCCTGACTCATGAAAACTGCTAGATGATAAATGTACATTTCCTTAAGATGCTAAATTTGGTTATTGGTTAACACTGCAATTGAAAACTAATACATGCATAGTTAATTATACCCATTTTCAGTAGAAGAAACTATCACCAAACAGCAGTCAGACCCTAGAAAAGGATGGCTAAGTTGATAGAGAGGGAAAAAAAAAAGATTTAAATCTTCATCTAACTCTAGAGTAAAACATTTTGTATGTCACCATCTCACCATCACATTTTTCCTTTAAATAGAATTTCTTCTAAGTGACAGAGAAGGCTGCTGTTTCTGGACAGTATATTCTTTAATTCTCTGTGGTGGGCATTAACAGTCTTATACTTGTAGCAACATAGATGTGTTTTCTGAGAAGAAGCCATAGAAACACTAATCCTACCTCCAGGACAAGGCATGACAGAGAAAAACTCAGCACACCCCAGGTGGCTCCTCAGTGTTGACATCATGCGGGTGTGGGAGCCCCCATGATGGGAATAGCTGGGAGACAGTAAGCACTACCCTCTTTCCCTCCTTAACCTCACCTCCTCCACCTCTACCCATAGTCACGCCCACTTCTCTAAAGAGAGAGCAGATGTCCAGTAATAATAATATTGCATAAATATTTGACAGTACAAATATATTTAGAAGGCACAGTAACCCAGGATATGTTTATAAACTTAAGATCAGAGTTTCATATTTGACCTCCTACAGAGGAGGGGAGGCCACTCATGGGACACCTTCCTGCTGCAAATGAAATGACAATCATACTGCAGTTTCAAGATGTCTGTGTTATTTGACGTTTCTTAGAAAAAGAGAAAAGAGTCTACGTGCAGGGAGGATAATCTGGCACTTGTTTTCCAACAAAATATTATAATGCAGCAAACGGGTCTCTAATATATATCTAGAAAGTTGTAATATATGATGTGCTTGAGAAGTCAAAAAATATTGTGTGTTTTTTTAATCTTTGTTAAGTTTCTTTACTATCACTTCTGAGTGAGGCTGTAAGACAGGGTATAGTGAGGGAAATTCTTCAGCTCCTGATTCTCTATACGTCAGGCAGGAACTCTAGAGAGAAGGGCATTTCAAAAAGCAATAGCTCTAGTAATTCAAGATATTTTACAACCTATTACATAATTATGTCTTCAAATATTTATAAAGACCAGAATCCTTGCTACGAAATAGATGGCGGAGATGATTTATGACTATCCTTTTACTTCACTGCTGAAGACTAAACAACAATCTTTTGCTGTGGATAGTCACTGTCCATTATCAATTTCACACACACACACTCTCACACACACACTGACACACAAGTTTATCAACTAAGCTGCAAGTAAGTCTAGAAAAGAAAGCAAAGGGAAGAGAAAAGGTTGTTCTACTTGCTTCTTCCCTGCCAGGTCCATATACTCTTTGAAAATCTGTTGTACTACATCAAAGATGGCTGGTGCAGTAGGAAATTAACCTGCATCTCTTTGGTTCATGTTGTGGAAGGCTGTGGTTCATTCCAGCAAAAATGTTACATCTTGCTGTTATTCCTGCTCTCCTAATCATCTGCCCAGGAATCTGTGCTGCATAATAACTTTATGTACAAATCAAGACATATGGTGCAGAAAACGAATTACTGTATCAATATTTCACTTTGTTGTCAGTGATGCAATCTTTGTGGCAGTTCTACAACTGTAGCTTAGTAGCGATGCCAGCATGTGAAATACTGTCAGTGGTGATATGCCCAATTTACAGGGCTTCAACCTATTGCCATGTTTTAGGGAATGGTGTTTCTGTTGTGCTTATGAAGTCCTCTAACCTCTAGATGGGTGCTAACTGACCTCTTAAACAGTCATTCTTCATCATGATCAAGCCTAATTAGGAGCCATATGCTCCCACGGTTTACAAACCATGGATATGCAACTTAATATAAAACCTACTAAAAACACAGGCTCTAAATGAAAATTATTGTTTAACAATGCAAACATATGCCTATAACTCAAAAAAAAGCTGTTGGCATGATTAGAGGGACAGTTGGGATATATATAGGTGGAAAGTGGATGGTGATGATGGTGGTAAGCTGTAAACATTTACTGGGGACTTACTATAATCTGGATAATGTTCTAATATTTTCTACAAAGATTATCTCATTAAATGTCTAAGATGATCTAAAGATAAGCATTATTATGAGCATCTATTTAACAGGTGAAGAGACTAAGGAAAGGGGTTTATATGTCTTGCCCCAAATCTACTGAATTGCAAAGGTGGGATTTAAATACAGTTTTTCTGAAACTAGAATTGATGTCATTAAGCAATGATATATCACTTTCATCTCTACTGAGGTTACATATTGTAGCAGTATGCCACATCTTATCAAATTATCAAATTGAAAAAACTTTTTGCAGTTTATCCAATTGAAAAAATGCATAATTAAAATAATTATAATGCACATAAATTTTGATCAAGAAATTCCTTTTGTGGACATTTAAAAAATATAGATGTGTGTAAATCCTTGCGCATGGTCATAGTAAGAGGCTGGAGACAACATAGAATTCTATCAGTATTTTAGCAGGTAAATAATTATGATAAATTAGTATAATAAAATAAGAGACATTCAGAAGATTAAGGTAAATTTATTCTGACAAGGTGAGGTTGCTATATTAATCAGTCAAAAATCAAGATGTAAAACAATGTTTATTTTATGTGCTTAAAGACAGATGCAAAAAATGCTGAATAAATAAGATCTTTGGATTAGAATTCGGGGTATTAGAGTCAGAATGGGAAGGAGATGGATTTTCATACCTACTCTGTGTGCTTTTGAGTTTCTTTCACAAGCAAAAGCCAACATAATGAAAATAAAGTACATGTGGTAATAGGTAAATGTGCAGAAAGGATAGCATGGCAGATATCATGTCCACTCACAGTGAATTATTTTTGCAGGTGTAGACTATACTTCCTCCTCTTGAAATTGTGACGTAGAGGCAAACATGGCAGGAGAGCGGATGGTATCATGTAAGAAGAGAGGACAGCAGGGAAATAGTTGATGCTAGTGGTTATAGGACAGCAACCTAGCAAGCTAGCTACGTTGAGGCCTACCAATGAACCAGTGTTTCATGAGAGAATTTATTATTCATTAATTTTCTGTAACTCTCAGGGCTCTCACCTCTATTTTATTTCAAGGACCGACATGCTTCATAATCACCTCAAGTGCAGAAAAATGAAGGAAATTGTCTAACGCGTGACGCCACAGGATAGTGGCTGAGACGGAAGTAAACTGCTGGGTTTCAGATTTCACATCTGTTTCTTTCTTGCACTGTATTGGGAGAATGCTTCACTTCCTTGAATAGGAAGAGAGAATGGGGAGGGAGATACCAAAGAACATACCACAAACAGAAATAAAGCTGTGTGCCAGACATGATGCTATGGCCCAAGTTCCCCATGGAATTTTCTAGGCATAAAACTGCTTTCAACAGAAAACACAACCCCGGTTAAAGGTGCCCCAGGCTTTTACTCATGCTTGGTTCACTTTGATGGTGCATGAATAAAATGTGCGAATAAGTTTCTGAGTGCACAGAGGCCATCTGCCACAATGACAGGTTTCAGCCTTTATTGTTTGAAACTTTCTTAGGCCTTAGCTCAGTGTAATATCAGGAAGGGAGCTTTCAGAAAGGGCCACATGCTTTGACTTTTATAATAAGCTTTCCAACCTGGATTGACAAGCTGCCGTTTGTGAATTTTAGGAGATCTGTAACAGGGAAATTATGCGTTAGAAAACAAGATCTGACTAAAATTGCCTCGTAGGGAAAACTGACTCTGCCTTTTCTCCCATTATCTTCAGCCAAACTGGAAAAGGAAGACTTATCACATGCAGATGTGTCTGCACACCCACATGTACATGCCATCATTCTGACTTTTTAAAAGGAGAGAAAGAAATAGAAAACCAAGATTTCAGGGGATGTCTAACCTGGAAATTAAAATGCCAGAAAATGATGACCTATCTACATGCTGACTTTCCCTTGGTCAAAAATATCTCCTCTGACACTGTTCAGCTTATATAACTTTTCTCTTACATTCATATCGCTCCATTGATTGGGGATGTCTTTTATAAAAAACATAATTTTAGATACTGTTTTATTTTAAAATATATAAATGTATACATGCATATAATTTATATAGATGCTGTAAATATATAGGTATATAATTCATACATAATTTAACATAATTCATATATATTATATAATTATGTGTGTGTGTGTATAATTATAGTCCTTCTTGTGGAGAGCTTAACAGCCATATAAGAGGTGATAATTATAATACAATGCAGTGAGTTGCTAGACTCTGCACATAATATGTCATGGAACTGGAGGAATAATTGATACTGCTTGTGATCACTGGATGGAACTCTAAAACTATGTCCACATATAATATTTGTAGTTAGAGAAACATCAAGTCTGGAGTCAGACAATCTTTGTTTTTAGTTTCTGCTATCTTCTTTCATCACAGAGAAGTTATTAAACTTCTAACCCTCAGTTTTAGTAAATCTGGCATAACAGATACAATAGGTATGGTAATTAACTCTGCATGTATGTGCTGTTGAGAGTTATTGCAAACCCGAACATTTTGCTACAACGTGCTGTTGAGGATGGCATTTATATAAATATTTTAAGAAATCTGGTAAATGAGGAATACAGAAAAAAATCACTGTGATTTCTGACACGTTATGAACAGAAAAGAAAGATAAAATTAAATACAAATTTTTAAAAGCTACTCTATTGCTTTTGTTTCTCCCTGTATTCCTGTTTTATACACCTCCTGCTTCCAGGGTCCAAAGTCAGACTAATAAAATTTGCACTTTCACATACATTATAGGTTAAATAGGCTGGCCTGGGAATATAGGTAACATTTGTAAAAATATTTCTTGAAGGAAGCGTGATCTAAATTCTAAGCAACAGAAGAGTTTTTTAAAGCAGAAACTGTTGGTCATTCAGGACTGTCTGCACTTATTTTTTTTTATTATTATTTTAACCATAAAGCCCATTGTGTAGGTTTTTGTTTGTTTTGAGACAGGGTCTTGCTCTGTCGCTCAGGCTGGATTGCAGTGGCCCAATCTCAGCTAACTGCAGCTTCAACCTCCTGGGGCTCAAGGGATCCTCCCACAAGAGCCTCCTGAGTAGCTGGGACTACAGGCATGCATCAACACACCTGGCTAATTTTTTATGTGTTTTTTGTTTGTTTTGTAGAGATGAGGTTTTGCCATGTTGCCCAGGCTGGTCTCAAACTCCTGGGCTCAAGTGGTCTGCCTACCTCCGCCTCCCAAAGTGTTGGGATTACATGCATGAGCGACTGCACCTGGTCCCACTTGGTAGTTTTATTATCTTTGGATACTTTGACATATTGTAGTATGAACAATATAGTATATAGAATCCTTATCCAGTTCAATCATAATATTTCGTTTCCAGGTACCTCCAATTAGTTGTTTCTCCTTTCCATCTCACAATATAGAAATATGAAGCTAATTTTTGGAGATTCTTAGGTTAAAATACTCTGTTATTACTTAATTTTACTTAAAAAATCTCATTTGCAGTAAAATAATTATGAATTTAAAAATATATTTATATAATTTATGATTAATATTTAATGTCTCAATAATATGCTATTATGACTATAAGAACCTTCCTAATATATTACTGGTTTTATTGTATTTGATAGAACTGCCAATTTTCAGCTATGTATACACCCACACATATATATGTATATATGATTAGGGAGATAACATTTTTTATTAAAATTGAGTCTGACAGTGGAAACATTCTGTTTTAATGAAATAATGATCAGAATAGCAGCCACTTCAAGTTAAATCAATATTAAATTCTTCAACAGAATCAGTTCAGTAACAATTTAAAGTTGCAGAATCTTTCTATGCTGGCAGAAACTAGAGCCATCAGTTATGTCTTATCAGGTAACTTTCTAAATCGTCCAGATCATGAGCTTAGGTTGAATGCACTTTTCCCCTTAAGTAGCCAAATCACTTCCTATCTGGTTTAATTACCACTGATAATCAATGCATAGCTGCTGCTTTGCTGAAGAATTTAGAGAAGTTATAAAGAGACAAGGATAGGCAAGCACAGGAGGTTTTTATAGTAGCTATACTAACATGATGGATAAATTTCATGATACATTTGACCAAACACATAGAATGTATACCACCAAGGGTGAATCTGAATGTAAACTATGGTCTTTGGGTGATTATGATGTTTCCATGTAGATTCATTGGTTGTAACAAATGTATCACTTTGGTAGGGGATATTGATAATGGCAGAGGCTGTGCATGAGTGGGAACAGGAAGTATATAGGAAATTTCTCGTACCTTTCTCTCAAATTTGCTGTGAACCTAGAAGTGCTCTACAAATAAAGTCTTCAGAAATACAAAAATAGTAAATTAATTAATAAATAATTTTTAACTGTTTTACTTGGCTATACAAGGGTTAGGTATTTAATAAGATTATCTGCACTTATTAACTGAGATATTTTTAGAACAATTAGTTTCTGAGTAAAGAGTAGTAATACTTTACCTAGGTGAATGTAGAAGTGTTTTGAATTTTACAAAGCACTTACATGAAGTTACAGTCATTTCGAAAACTGTTTCTGGTTGGGTGCCGTGGCTCACACCTGCAATCTCAGCACTTTGGGAGGCCGAGGCAGGAGGTACACATCAGCCCAGGAGTTCAAAATGGCAAGACCCCTATCTATACAAAATTAAAAAAAATAAAATTAGCCAGCTGTGGTGGCATGTGCCTATAGTCCCAGCTACTCGGAAGGCTGAGATGGGAAAATTTTTTGAGCCCAGGAGTTCGAGGCTGCAGTGAGCTATGAAAACGCCACTGTACTCAAGCCTGAGAGACAGAGTGAGAATTTGTCTCTTTAAAAAATAATGATAATAATAGTAAATAAAATGAATAATAAACACTTTTTTAAGTCTGATCTTGAAGACTGATGCTAATATAAGGAAAGTTATATATTGAGTCTGTAATTGTGCCTCAGCAAGTTCAGCTTAATAGGTCCTCAGTAAGGTCAGCTTATTAATATCGCTCAGGTGTAGATTTATGTTATTCACACTTGTAATTACAAGTATAACTAAAAAACGAAATGCAAATATATGTTAAATTGAGAAGTATTAGTGTTGTCAACATTGAATACTCATGTACCTGCCCTGCCTCTCTATCCCTGCAAAAAATCAAATTAAGTAAAAGTAAAATCGGAAATTTATTTGAGAACTTGTGATCACATCACATGTCTTAAATACCTGTTTTCTCACCTGCGAACACAGTCAGATAAACACGTCTCTACACAGACATCGGTTTCCTTGGGCCAGAATAGATTTCCCCTTGGGCTGTGCTTGGAAGTTGAAAACTTGTTCACATGACTTTTTTTCCTAACGTATTTCCTACATTATACACTCTTTGAATTTGTTAAGTTTGCAATGGCACATTTTTAGGTAAGTTGTAGAGATCTGCTAGGCTGTTTTCCACTGTGCTCCCCTACTTTCGTCTTTCAATCTACCATTCTCATTGCTTTTTCACAGTTTTACAGTTAAGCTTCTTGAAAAGTGTCTGAATTACCTCTGTTGACTGCTGGCAAGTTTTTATTGCTGGTAAAGTCATGGGATATTTTTCATGGTTCCATCCATAGGGCAGATTTTTTTTTCTTCTTTTTTTTTGAGACAGAGTCTCGCTCTGTTGCCCAGGCTGGAGTGCAGTGGTGCGATTTCGGCTCACTGCAAGCTCTGCCTCCCGGGTTCACACCATTCTCCTGCCTCAGTGTCCAGAGTAGCTGGGACTACAGGCACCCGCCACTACGCCCGGCGAATTTTTTGTATTTTTTAGTAGAGACGGGGTTTCACCATGTTAGCCAGGATAGTCTTGATCTCCTGACCTTGTGACCCACATAGGGCAGATTTTTGTCCTCGCTGTGCTTGAACTTGTAGATCCTTTGGTTTCTCTGAAGACCCCTGACCACTCTTTACTGCACCAAGGTGTCGGGGGCGTTCACTTTCATGTAGGAAAGAGGCTTCTTATTTACGTTACAGAAAACTAGCATAAGTGAAGAAAGACTTTGGAATGTGGGTATTCATTTTCAGGGGCTCACTAACATTTACAGGATGGTGAAGCAGAAGGAAATATAAGCAGACAGAAACAACAGAGGATAGTAAGGAAAAAAATAAGGAAAAGGAAGAATTAAGTGAGGAAGGGAAGAAGAAGGGAAGGAAGGAAGGAAAGGAAGGAAAGAAGGAAGGAAGGAAGGAAGAGAGAGCAAGAGAGAGACAGATTAATTCATGGAAGTCACATGAGAATATTCTACCTTGGTTTTTCCTGGGAAGTTAAACTAAATAAAAGGATTAGCTTTGGGATGGTGGCTGCAGAACTGATTATAAATGCTTTCTATAGACAGGTGTGGAGGAAAAATGTTGGAGGATTCAATAAGAAGGTTATTTTTAAGTGGAAGTGATAGGAAATCTAATGGGGTGTTTCAGAAACCCTGGAAGGCTAACTATGAAGAGTTATATTATTAAATAGTTGAACAATATTCAAACTTCCAAGCAGTGAGGGAAATCGAAATTAAAATAGTAATGAAATACCATTTCCACATATCTAATTGGCAACAATTTAAAAAGAACAATATTATTGTGGAGGATGGCGGCATTATGGTATTATCGTACTGTTGTCATTGGAAATGTAAACTGTTCCATTTTATAAATAGCTCTTCTGTTATACACATTAAAAATGAATTTATTTCTTTTTTTCTTTTTTAATTTTATTATTATTATACTTTAAGTTTTAGGGTGCATGTGCACAACGTGCAGGTTAGTTACATATGTATACATGTGCCATGTTGGTGTGCTGCACCCAGTAACTCGTCATTTAGCATTAGGTATATCTCCTAATGCAATCCCTCCCCCCTCCCCCCACCCCACAACAGGCCCCAGTGTGTGATGTTCCTCTTCCTGTGTCCATGTGTTCTTGTTGTTCAATTCCCACCTATGAGTGAGAACACGTGGTGTTTGGTTTTTTGTCCTTGTGATAGTTTGCTGAGGATGATGGTTTCCCAGCTTCATCCATGTCCCTACAAAGGACATGAACTCATCATTTTTTATGGCTGCATAGTATTCCATGGTGTATATGTGCCACATTTTCTTAATCCAGTCTATCATTGATGGACATTTGGGTTGGTTCCAAGTCTTTGCTATTGTGAATAGTGCTGCAATAAACATACGTGTGCATGTGTCTTTATAACAGCATGATTTATAATCCTTTGGGTATATACCCGGTAATGGGATGGCTGGGTCAAATGGTATTTCTAGTTCTAGATCCCTGAGGAATCACCACACTGACTTCCACAATGGTTGAACTGGTTTACAGTCCCACCAACAGTGTAAAAGTGTTCCTATTTCTCCACATCCTCTCCAGCATCTGTTGTTTCCTGACGTTTTAATGATTGCCATTCTAACTGGTGTGAGATGGTATCTCATTGTGGTTTTGATTTGCATTTCTCTGATGGCCAGTGATGGTGAGCATTTTTTCATGTGTTTTTCGGCTGCATAAATGTCTTCTTTTGAGAAGTTTCTGTTCATATCCTTCGCCCATTTTTTGATGGGGTTGTTTGTTTTTTTCTTGTAAATTTGTTTGAGTTCATTGTAGATTTTGTATATTAGCCCTTTGTCAGATGAGTAGGTTGCGAAAATGTTCTCCCATTCTGTAGGTTGCCTGTTCACTCTGATGGTAGTTTCTTTTGCTGTGCAGAAGCTCTTTAGTTTAATTAGATCCCATTTGTCAATTTTGGCTTTTGTTGTCATTGCTTTTGGTGTTTTAGACATGAAGTCCTTGCCCATGCCTATGTCCTGAATGGTATTGCCTAGGTTTTCTTCTAGGGTTTTTATTTCATTCCAACAATTCCACTTCTGATAATCTAATCCATATTAATATCAGCACATGTACTTAAGGATCTTTGCATCAACATGTTATTTATAAGCTAGTGCAGTGGCACACACCTGTAGGACAGTCAGTTGAGAGGCTGAGGTAAGAGGATTGTTTGAGCTCAAGAGTTCAAGGCCAGCCTGAGCAACATAGCAAGACCTCCTCTCTAATTAAAGAAACATAATTAGAGTCACAAATATATAACCAAATAATAGTCATCATGATGTTTTAGCTGGATAAATGATGATACATCTAGTGATGATATTCCAAATATAAAAACAAGTAAGGTAATATAAGTTTGTGTCAACATATAAAATTAAATGTCTGCATTTATTTATCAAGTAAGAAAGGCTATACAATGAAACTACTTATCAAGTGACATTAGTGCAAATTGTCTATCAAATCATTATAGTAATCTCTAAATTTGTTTAAAGTAAATTTTAATTGAATATTTATTTGAGGCAAATCTCTCTAATAATATACTGTCCTTTACTGAGCTACAGTTTAATATATGAAATACTACTAATTTTTAAATGCTTTGACAGTAAATTGATTGTCATTGGTCACATCAAATGATCTGTTTTAAGATCAATATATACTCTCTCATCTTCTCGTATTTTAATTGTAGTAAACCAGTTTTACCCCTTTGAAGACTTGACTCACATATTTTATGTCCATTATCAACCTTATTCAAGATTAATGGGAATGTCCTTCTGACTTCATATATCACTTATTAAGTGACCACATGGTGAAATGTAAGAGTGCGAACTCTGTTGTGGAGCCACACCTCTACGTTTAAACTGATAAACCCCTCCCTGCTTCTATTCATGTATTTCATTATACATAAAATGAAAATAATAACAACCTGCTTTTGTAGTTCTCAAATAATGTGATTTAACTTCATTATGAAGACTGCCTCAGAACAATGGCTGTATCTGCTCTAACTCAATATTATTGCTTGTTCCTGGTGACTATCCATAATTTTTAAATAAATGTATGAGACATAATAGATGTACATACTTCTGGGGTACATGTGATATTTTGATACAAGCATACAATGTGCAGTGATGAAATCAGGGCAATTTGGATATCCATCACTTCAAATATTTATCATTTATTCGTGTTGGGAACACTTCAAATCCACCTCTCTAGTTATTTTGAAATATACAAAAAATAATTGTTAACTACAGATTTCCCTATTGTGCTATGGGATACTAGATCTTATTCCTTCTTTCTAAATGTATTTTCATAACTGTGAATAAACCCTTCTTTATACTCCCTTGCCCAATACACTTCTCAGCCTCTAGTAACCATCATTCTACTCTCTACCTCCAAGAAACCAGTTTTTTTAGCTTTCACAAATGAGTGAGAGCATGCAATATTTGTCTTTCTGTGCTTGGCTTATTTCACTTAACATTATCCTTAGATTTTAATCATCTAGACCTCTTAAATGGAGAACAGAACTTAAGGACAAGGATTCTCTGTCTCCCATGGCAACCTCCAAATATAGGCAGAAGTGCCTGCTATGCAGAATAACCTGCAAAACCCCTCACTTGTTCCCCTTTCCTCTTCTGATCATCTCAGAGTTCAGCATGCATTTTCCATTAAGCACCCAAGCAACAGCAACCCTGAGGAGCACTGACCAATGGTGGGTGCCACCATCCAGGGGCTGCTCACTCTGATACCAGCATTACCGTCAGTCTCAATGGTCTCCAGACCTTGTGCCTGGACCTGTTCTTCCCAGGGGGATCTTGAGGACCTACGTGGATGTGTGGGTTATGTGAAAGGTTGATTGTCAGGTGCTAAATCTTGAAAGAGGGGCCAAGTGGCACTGAGTGTGTGAGGGAGAAAGACCAATCAGACCAAAAGTTTAAACATTCTAACTTTTCAGTTGCACTGAAAATCTGTGCTGCATAAATCCATAACATAGCAATAAAAAATTTGGAAATTACATTTCCATCTATGTATGTATGTATGTTATCTGTCTATCTATCTATCTATCTATCTATCTATCTATCTATCTATCTATCTATCTATCTACCTATCCATCCATCCAGTCTTTGTGTGTGTGTGTGTGTAATCTTACATAGTTGCATAAACAATACATATAAAAAGGGGACCATTAATTCAAGGTAGCAAAATTTCAAGTAATTTTTATTTTTGTCTTAATAAAATTGAGAACATTTATTTTTTAATGAATTTGGATCACATATATGATAGTAAAATATAAAGGAGCTGAATGGCTAGTGAGGGGAGTACAGAGATGGAAAGCCCAGTCCCCATTCTGGCCTGAAGAGAATGAAGCTGCCCATCTGCAGATGGACCTTGTGGGTTTATGTTGTGAGTGCCTCAAAGGCATAGTTAGAATTTATGAAGCAATTGCTATGTCCAGGCACTGTTGTAAGGGCCTCATGGGCATATTTGGTCATTTAATTCTTGCAGCATCCCTACTGCTCAGATCAAAGAAGGCTTTATGAGCACCACCTCCTATATCATGAAGAATTGTGCCAAGTTGTGTGCCTAACAGAATTGCAAGTGCTACCAAAATATTTTCATAGGAAGTAACAATTAAAAGAAAAAGCAGAAAAGATACTAAACATATTTTTTCAGAATCAAACACTCTATACAAATTGGACAGAGAATAAATAGACTTAAAATACCTGTAATTAAAAAGGCAAAGACATAATTTATAATCTACAAATAGGACTCAAAAAGAGAAAAAAATCAGTAATCTGATGGAAATAGAAACAAAATTCATAGAAAAAATTGTGTCTCTGGCTTTTGAATTCAGACTGTTCAAATTTTTGTTACACAAAATGCAGATTTTACCTTAGTTATTGTAATAAAAATTTTAAATCAAATAAAGTAACAATTTATTAGAATATTTTGAAAGTTAAAACAATCCTCAGTTTTAATGTGTTTTTTTTTCTTTTCAATTTTGCATTGCCAGAAGCATGGTAACTCATTAATAAAACTTGGAAGTTGATAATTTTGATGATTAGACTAATTTTATATATATATATATATTTATTTATTTATTTAAGATGGAGTCTCGTTCTTTTGCCTAGACTGGAGTGCAGTGGCACATTCTTGCCTCACTGCAACCTCTGCCTCCCAGGTTCAAGAGATTCTCCTGCCTCAGCCTCCTGAGTAGTTGAAAAGACAGGCACCTGCCACTACACCTGGCTAATTTTGGATTTTTTTTTTTTTTTTTTTTAAGCAGAGATGGGGTTTCACCATGTTGGCCAGGCTAGTCTCCAATTCCTGACCTCAGGCGATCTGCCTGCCTCTGCCTCCCAAGATGCCACAATTACAGGTGTGAGCCATCGTGCCTGGCCTAGGTTAAAATTTAAGCCAAAAATAACTAAAACACAGTGATCAAGTATATAAACAAATTAGGCGGATTTAAAATTTTAATTTTAGTATCAAATTGGCAAATAAAAATAATAGTAATGACTAGATTAATAATGTTTTGCTTGGCTAAATTTTAGTACTGAAATAATTTGATTCTTGTATTTTGTAACAAGTATGGATATAATACTATTTTTAATGAGTTATGATATATATATTCCAACTATCCCAGATATTCTATGTTGTTTCCTGTTTGTTCTAAAAGAAGTTGTAGCAGTGAGTTTTAACTTTGGCTTATATTTTTATAATTACTCCCAATTTTATTTAACTCAAGAGTGCATGATATAGTATGTATACTGTGTGAAATTTAAATGATTCATTTTTCTTGTAGAAAATATATGCTTATCTATATTTTTTATCTATGTCTATTCTATATCTATATATCTATATTTATGTGGATCTATCATTTATTGAACAAGAGATCAGAAAAAGGGTAGCACACACATATTCCCATGTGAAAAACTATACATTGGGTACAATGTAAACTACTCATTTGACAGATGCACTAAAATTTCAGAATTCACCGCTATGTAATTCATCCATGTAACAAAAATCCACTTGTACCCCAAAAGCTATTGAAATAAATAAAATTAAAAAGAATGCATAAATGTGCTCCATATCCTTGATAAAACTTTCTGACCGACTTGTGGATTTATTAGTTGCTGTTGTTTGTTTGCTTTAAATGTTTACCATTCTGATGAGTGTGGATAGAGACCACTTCACACCATCGCAGCTCATGAGGCTGAGTTAACAGTTTTCATCTATTCATTATTTTTTTCAAAGTTGTTTTTTCTGAACTGCTTGTCTAAGTTTCTGGTATATTTTTGGTGAGGATCTGTCTTTTCTGAAATTGGTGTTTAGCTCTCTATATAGTCTAGATTCAAGCCTTTTGTTGTTAATATGTATTGCAGATACATACCAACATGTGGCTGGATTTTTCACTCTTGGAATTATGATGAACTAAAATTTTAATATAGTCCAATTTATCTATTATTAATTTATGGTTAAAGCCTTTTATGTGGTGCTTAATTAGTGCTTAAGAAATTCTCTTGATGTTAATTTCATAAATTTTCCTTTGTTAACCACAAGAAGTATGGTTGTAAATTTCACAGTTAAATTGATTATCTACCTAGAAATGACTTTTGTGAATAATGTAACTTTCTGCTTTCTTTTCCTTTTATCTTCTCCTCTGTTTCTTCCATCTCCTCCTGTTTCTTCTTCTTTTTCTAATGAATAGAGTTATGCATTCATCAAGCAGCGTTTAGTGAAAACACCCTTATTTTCACATTGTTCTTCAGTGCCACATTTGTAACATATCATAAGACTATGTAATACGTGCCTGTGTCTGGAATCTCCTGTTCCACTTGACCCTTTGTCTATTCTTGTGCTGTTTCCTTAGAGTTTTAATTACTCTAGATGTATTATAGTCTGTTAACATTTGGTGAAGTGAGATCTGTTTGTTTTCACAATTGGCTTTGTTGTCCTTGGCTAGTATTGGGGGAGATGCCAGTGCTCCCCCAGTTCTCAGTTTTAAAGTTCTGTAGTGCTTAATAAAATATCGTATTCACAATTTTACAGGCTTAAGGGCAAAATTCCCCTGTACGTCCTTTACTAACAACTTGGCCGAAAATCTCTATTCGTAACTAAATGGATTAAGTAGCTGTCCAAGTCAGAACTTTTCTCCATATGTTTCTGTTAACAATTAATCTTTATGTCAAGTTGGCTTTTGCTTTTACTTGATAATTCCATTAATATTTTGGCAAAGTCATTACCTTTCTTTTATGTTATTAAATGTATTAAGGTTAAGACTTTACTGAAACATATATGGTGTTTTTCATTTGTGGTTTTTTATAAATATTGCCTTTTCTAATTTATCGGACAGATTTGTGGGGAGCTATGGTTTGTGAATGGTGTTTTTTTTATCGCTTCTCAGCCTTTTGGCTAAGATCAAGTGTAAATGGTGTTTTATTTCAGAGAACATAAACCATATCATAACTGTACTGTAAAAGAGAGAGGTTATTCTGGTGAAAATGTTTTAAGATGCAAAAATAAGAACATATGTAGACTCATATTACTATTTATCTCAAACTACATTTAATGTGCCAAAATACCCCAGCGTTCATTTAAGCATTCAGCTCTGCGTGTCGTATATGAGTGGCTCTGCCTAAGTGGAGAGTGAAGGGAGGGTTTCTAAATGAACAAGCTGGAAAATTTCTTCTCGTGAGTTTCTTGGTAATTAACACAAGCTATTCATCTCCTGTTTATGCTTACTCTTTACACAATTCCATGTTTCCCTTCAACATTTAATTCAGTAAAATAATAAACTCACTTCATTCTCTTAAAGAAACATAAATATATAAAAATAATATAAATAACAAATAATAAAATATAGTTAAAATAATAAAAATGAATAAATTGTAAACATCATAAAATGGTACAGAACAATGTGTTTTCAATATTGTGATTTCACTGAAATAGAATTGCAGAACTTATGCCTTAAAAACATTAGTTATCTAAACCTGTATGCAAATAAATAAATATTTACGTAATGCCAAATTTTCAGAATTATGTGTATAAAGTAAATAATGAGGATAGCGCTTTCCCTTAGCCCATTACTTAAAATGGAAACCTGTGCCCCTCCACACCTCTGCTTTCAGGTCTCTGAATCTTCCCTCACCTCTTCTATTACATCTCTCTCCATTGCTGTTTCCCACTTTAGTGTTCCACACAATTCCAAATTTACCTCCTGTTTGTGGCCTTCCCAAACCACTCTTCCTCCACCCCGTCGGACTGCCAAGAAAACTGGGATCATAGCAGTTTCACTCATTCAGATGCTGCAAATGCCTGGGAAAGCTTCTACACAGAGGGTCAGGATAGGCCTCATTGAGAAGGTGACATTTGGTCATTTTTTTGAAAGAAGTAAGAAGACGAGTTGGAGAGACAGTTGAATACCTGTAATGAGAACAACAACAACAACTCAGAGGCCTTAGGGGTGGGGAGTTGTCTGTTGAAATAACAGCAAAGATTCCAGTGACCCTGGGAAACACGCAGTGAGGGGTCCAGCAGGTGGAGAGGAGGCAGAGTGGTACCAGGTTCTGCCAGACTCATATAATGGTATAACTCTGCATAAGATGAGAAATACTGAAGATGTCTAACAGAGGAATGACATGAGCCAACTTATGCTTTATGGGAGGCACTCAATAAATATCAAATTAAATTGAACTGAGTTGGTTTTGAGAAAAAAGTAGCTGCAAACTGGACGGTTTAGCAACTTCTCAGACACTATACATACAAAAAATAAAAAAGGGATTATTGAGAAATATATTTAGGATGATGGGAATAAGGTTAATTAACATGAAATAGTGATTGGAGTTTAGGATGTTCACTTTTTTTGAGAATCTAAAAGTAATTTCTAAAGAGAACTTCAACTGAAAGTGCACACACACCCATACACTTGTGCACACATTTTTTAAAATTTTTATTTTATATTTTATTTGAGATGGGGTCTTGTTTTGCCCAGGCTGGAGTGCAGTGGGGCTGTCTGGAATCATCGCAGTCTCGTCCTCCCTGGCTCAAGTGATCCTCCCACCTCACCCGCCCAAGTAGCTGGGATTACCGGCACGAGCCACCATGCCCAGCTAATTATTATTGTATCTTTTGTAGAGATAGGGTTTCACCATATTGCCCAGGCTTGTCTGGAACTCCTGGGCTGAAGTGATCTGCCTGCCTTGGCCTCCCAAAGTGCTAGGATTATAGGTGTGAGCCACCATGCCTAGCCCACACAACTTTAATTTGAAAGTTAAGGTTGTCAATAGTTTACAAAATTTTTTTCAATTAGTAGTTGAACTATCTAAGAACAGACCCATGTTCACAGTGCCAATTGAGGGATTTTTTTTTAAAGAATATATTGCAGTGAATAATAGACACAAGCTGTTGATGACAATACCGCAAAGGTTTGAATATTTCAAGGATGGTTAAAAAAAGGCAAAATGAATAGTATAATATTTTTGCCAAATTCTTACCACAAGACATGATGTATCAGAATTATATGCATATGTTTAAATATTTAACAGATTTTATTTATTCACAGGATTTGTTGCTGATATAAATAAAAGACAATATTTTAATTAATTTGGATAGAAAGTTGAGAGTTTTCTATCATCAAAACTTGTCATTTGGTTTTTAATACCTACTTTTAATTCATTTCTAAGGGACAGATTTAAGATACCACAAGCACTCCTGCTGTCTGCCATAGCAGCTGCTAGTTATTTCCAGGAAATGACATTAGTATAGCATATGAACAAGAAAATAAACAAAAACAGAATCAGGCTTCTATAAGGAACACTAGGGAGAAAAATCAATGTTTCTTTAAAGGAAAAAAAAAAACCGTGAAATTTGAGAAAGAGTATTTTTCTTTTCAAGCTTCTCAGAGAGCATTTAGCCAGAAACGAAAACAAGACACAACAGTACAAAAACTTAAGCATTTTACCTATTATCTGTAAAATACCTGTGGAAGAAAGTAACAAAAAAGACATAGAAGAAATCTGAATTATCAGAGACAAGTGGATATATTGTCTTAAAAGTTATTTGAGGTCACTAGGAAATAATTTAGAAAAATAAAAAATACTGAGTTTCCTAATATGGGGGACTTGTAAAGTAACCTGGGACTAGCCTCTTTATGAGGACAGCTAGAGATGCTGAGATACACACACACACACACACACACACACACACACACACACAGAGCTAAAAGTCATCTTATTCTCTTTTATTGTATATTGTGTAATAGCAACATAAATTTTCTAATGCATCTAGCAACCTATGAGAATAAAGGTAAATTCTCTCTGGAAAAAAGTCTAACATCATAAATGAACTGAAATTATAAGCTGTACAATTTTTATAAGTTTATAATTTCTATTTATGTTTCTATGTATTTATAGATAGCACAATTTCTGATATGTGTGTATATATATATATATATATATTTGTGTTCATGTTATAAATACGTAGTGCCTATATATAGATACAAACAAAATGTAATTGAAAACCATGATAATTAATGAGTACTAAAAGTAGAACCACAGTACTCCCAGACAATATCCAGGTAGTGGCACCGTCTAACACAGACTTTAAATAAGCTATGAATAACAATGTTGATAACCTCAAGGCAAGATTGAGAAAAAAAAAACTATGAGGACACACATATTTAAATTTCTGTTGCCAGAGACAAAACAAATATGCAAAGAAAAATGAGAGAAAAAATAAAGATTACTTTCAAAAGAACATCAGTCAGAGTATCAATTGACAATTCAACAGTGACAATAAGAGACAAGAAAAGAAATAAAGTCAGTTTTTCATATGCTTAAATTGTTAAACCTTAACAATTAAGGTTCTGGAATTTAATATCCACTTAGTCAATAACTAAGGTGAAATGAAGACATTTTTGAACCAAGAAATCTGATATAATTCATCACCAGTGATCCCATATTAAGGGAAATTGTGGAGGTCCTGTTTCAGGTATGAGAAAAGTAATGTCATTTATAAGATTTATACATGCACATATATGCATAGATATAAGTGTGAAATATATGTTGATAATAGCATATGTTTTAGCATGGGGTAAATTTATTTAAAGAATTCTAAGGTGTTTTATTGTGCAGGGGATAGTTAAAAATAAGACTTATATTAGACTTCGACTTGTTAGAAAGGTATGTTGTAAATACTGGGTAACCATTAAAATTATTGTAAATATATGCTTATGATTGAAATAAAATGATAAAAATGCAAAGTCAGGTCAGAAATGAAGGTATGAATGAAGATTTAAAAATTGGAAGAATCACATCTGGAATAAGAATAAAACAAATAGTAAAATGGAAGTTAAATTCAAATTTATAAATAATCATATCAAATATAACTGGAATATATTCTCCAATAAAAACAAGATTATCCAACTTGATCATGTAAAAGAACTATAATATGCTGCTTACAGGCAACACATAAAACATACTGTAACAGTTTGTACATGGATAGAAAAACATACCATACATAGAGCAACCAAAATATACCTGATGTCATTGTATTAATATCAAATAATACTTTATGGGAAATAGGATTACCAATGATAAGAAAGATAATTCATAAAGATAAAATTTTCAATTCACAAGGAAGCTGTAAAATTGCCTATCTATATGCACTAATAAAGTAATAACATCTATCTAGACTAATAAAGAAGAAAAGAGAGAAGAATCCAATAGACACAATAAAAAATTAGAAAGGGGATATCACCACTGACTGCACAGAAATACAAACAACCATCAGAGAATACTTTAAAGAGCTGTATGCATGTAAATTAGAAAATCTAGGAAAATGGGTATATTCCTGGGCACATGCATCCTTCCAGGACTGAACCAGGAAGAAGGTGAATCCCTGAATAGACTAATAACAAGTTCCAAAATTGAGGCAGTAATAAATAACTTATCAACCAAAAAAAGCCAAGGACCAGATGGATTTACAACTGAATACTTCCAGAAATGCAAAGAGGAGCTGCTACCATTCCTTCTAAAACTATTCCAAATAATGGAAAAGGAGGGTCTACTCCCTAACTCATTCTATGAGATCAGCATCATCCTGATACCAAAACCAGGCAGAGATACAACAAAAAAAGAAAACTTCAGGCCAATATTCCTCATGAACATTGATGCAAAAATTCTCTATAAAATACTGGCAAACCGAATCCAGCGGCACATTAAAAAGCTTATCTACCACGATCAAGTTGGTTTCATTTCTTAGATGCAAGACTGGTTCAACATATGTAAATTAATAAACGTAATTCATAATTCATCACATAAACAGAACTAAAGACAAAAAGTATATGGTTATCTCAATAGATGCAGAAAAGGCCTTAAAATATAAATTCAATATGCTTTCATGTTAAAAACTCTCAACAAACTAGGTATTGAAGGAATATACCTCAAAATAATAAGAGTCATTTATGATATACCCACAGCCAATATCATACTGAATGGGCAAAAGCTGGAAGCATTCCGCTTGAAAACCAGCACAAGACAAGGATGCCCTCTCTCACTACTCCTATTCAATATAGTGTTGGAAGTTCTAGCCAGGGAAATCAGGCAAGAGAAAGAAACTAAGGGTATTCAAATAGGAATGGAGGAAGTCAAAATGTCTTTTTTTGCAGATCCTATATCTAGAAAACCCCATTGTCTCAGCCCAGAAGCATCTTAAGCTGATAAACAACTTGGTATATTTCTTTTCAGGTTTTCAGGTTTGTCTAGGATCAGATGGTTGTACATGAGCAATCTTATTTCTGAGTTTTCTATTCTGTTCCAATGCTCTATGTGTCTGTTTTTGTACCAGTACCATACTGTTTTGGTTATTATAGCCTTATAGCATATTTTGAAGTTTGGTAGGGTAATGCCTCCAGCTTTGTTCTTTTTGCTTAGGATTGTCTTGGCTATACAGGCCTTTTTTGGTTCCATATGAATTTAAAAATAGACTGTTCTAAGTCTCTGAAGAACATCAATGGTAGTTTAATGGGAATAGCATTGAATCTATATATTACTTTGGGTAGTATGGCCATTTTCACTATATTGATTCTTCCTATCCATGAGCGTGGAATATTTTTCTATTTGTTTGTGTCCTGTCTTGTTTCCTTGAGCAGAAGTTTGTAGTTCTCCTTGAAGAGGTCCTTCACTTCCCTTGTTAACTGTATTCCTAGGTAGTATTCTCTTTGTAGCAATAGTGAATGGGAGTCCATTCATGATTTGGCTCTCTGCTTGCCTGTTGTTTGTGTAAAGGAATGCTTGTACCTCTGTGTTGCAGGAAGTCAGGGACCCTGAATGGAGAGACCGGCTGAAGCCATGGCAGAAGAACATAAATTATGAAGATTTCATGGACATTTATTAGTTCCCCAAATTAATACTTTTATAATTTCTTAGGCCTGTCTTTACTGCAATCTCTGAACATAAATTGTGAAGATTTCATGGACACTTATCACTTCCCCAATCAATACTCTTGTGATTTCCTATGCCTGTCTTTACTCTAATCTCTTAATCCTGTCATCTTCATAAGCTGAGGAGGATGTATCTCGCCTCAGGACCCTGTGATGATTGCGTTAACTGCACAAATTGTTTGTAGAGCATGTGTGTTTGAACAATATGAAATCTGGGCACCTTGAAAAAAGAACAGGGTAACAGCAATGTTCAGGGAACAAGAGAGATAACCTTAAACTCTGACTGCCGGTGTGCCAGGCAGAACAGAGCCATATTTCTCTTCTTTCAAAAGCAAATGGGAGAAATATCGCTGAATTATTTTTCTCAGCAAGGAACATCCCTGAGAAAGAGAATGCATCCCTGAAGGTAGGCCTCTGAAATGGCCGCTTCAGGGGCAGCTGTCTTTTACAGTCGCAGCTGTAGGGATGAAATAAGCCCCAGTCTCCCGTAGCGCTCCCAGGCTTATTAGGACGAGGAAATTCCCACCTAATAAATTTTGGTCAGACGGGTTGTCTGCTCTCAAACCCTGTCTCCTGATAAGACGTTATCAATGACAATGTGTGCCCGAAACTTCATTAGCAATTTTAATTTCGCCCCAGTCCTGTGGTCCTGTGATCTCGCCCTGCCTCCATTTGCCTTGTGTGATGTCTTATTACCTTGTGAAGCATGTGATCTCTGTGACCCACACCCTATTCGTACACTCCCTCCCCTTTTGAAAATCACTAATAAAAACTTGCTGGTTTTATGGCTCAGGGGGCATCACGGAACCTGCCGACATGTGATGTCTCCCCCGGCCACCCAGCTTTAAAATTTCTCTCTTTTGTATGCTGTCCCTTTATTTCTCAGACCAGCCGACACTTAGGGAAAGTAGAAAAGAACCTACGTGAAATATCGGGGTGAATTTCATCCGATACTTCTGCACATTAATTTTGTATCCTGAGACTTTGCAAGAACAGAAAACCAAACACCACATATTTTCCCATATAAGTGGGAGCTGAACAATTGGATCACACGGACACAGGAAGGGGTACAACACACTCTGGGGCCTGTTAGGGGGTGGGGTTGGGGGAAAGAGAGCATTAGGAAAAATAACTAATGCATGCTGGGCTTAACACCCAGGTAATGTGTTGATAGGTGCAACAAACCACTATGGCATACGTCTACCTATGTAACAGACCTTCACTTCCTGCATATGTACCCCAAAACTAAAAATAAAAGTTTGAGGAGAAAAAGAAAATATGCTTATATCTATAATGTATAAAGAACCTCTAAAATTTGAAAATAAATATACTGAGTAAAACATATAAACATCTAGCTTGTTGTTCCCCTCTATGAGTTCATGAGTCCATGTGTTCTCATCATTTAGCTCCCACTTTTAAGTGAGAACATGCAGTATTTTGTTTTCTGTTCTTGAGTTAGTTTACTAACGATAATGACCTCAGTTCTATCCATGTTCCTGCAAAGGATATGAGCTCATTTTTTTTTTTCCTTTGGTGGATGCATAGTATTTCATGGTGCATATGTACCACATTTTCTTTATCCAATCTGTCACTGAGGGACATTTAGGTTGATTCCATATCTTTGCTATCGTGAATAGTGCTGCAATGAACATATAGGCCCATGTGTCTTTATAATAGAATGATTTATATTCCTTTGGGTATATACCCAGCAATGGGATTGACACATAGAGGGAAACAATAAATACTGGTGCCTTTTGGAGGGTGGAGGGTGGGAGAAGGCAGAGGATCAAGGAAAATAATTAATGGGCACTAGGCTTAATACTTGGGTGAAATAACATATACAACAAACCCCCATGACACAAGTTTACCTATGTAACAAACATGCATTTGTATCCCTGAACTGAAAATATAAGTTTAAAAAATGCAGTTAACAGGAAAGTAAATGCAAGTGACCCTTAAACTTAGAAATATTTGACTTGTTTAGAAAAAGCTGATCTCATAGGAGCAGAGTAGAGTGGTGGTTACCAGTTACTGAGGAAATTGTGGGGAAGAAGGGGTGGGAACATGTTGGTCAAAGGATACATATTTGCAGTTAGATAGGAGGGATAAGTTCAAGAGATTTAATTGTACAGCACCATGACCATAGTTAACAACATATTGTATTCTTGAAATATTCTGAGAGAGTGGATGTAAGTGTTCTTATAATTACATGAGGTGATGCTCATGTTAATTAGCTAGATTTAGTCATTCTGCAATGTACATATGCACTTCAAAAGGTCGTGTACATGGCATAAAATTTATCTGTCAATGTAAAAATTATAAATAAATTGTCCATTTAACTTGTAGAAATTTTTTGAAAACTCAAAAAAAATTCAACTTGCTTATAAGAATATTCAAAATAAAGTTATGCCAATATACAATTTCTTCCTTATAATATTGCATAAAATGCATAAGATTGAAAACATCGTCAATTCTCAAATTCATTTTGGAAGTGCCTATTATCAAGAAATTCCTTGCAGAAATAAAAGTGCTATAAGTCCTATGGAGTAGATTTAGCGATATGTATCCAGATTGAATATACATGTACATTTTTATCTCAGCAATGGAATTTCTAGAAATCAACTCAAAGAAATTGTGAAAATATGGTAATATACACGTTCAAATGTCTTTAATGCAATGTCATTGGTGATGGAAAAATCCTGAGGATAAGGGACTCAAGGATATTGTGGTGTATCCACACAAATGAGTATTCAGGTGTTGAAAGGAATAATGGATCATCAGAATATATGGTTAAGTGAAGATAGCGTGGTGAAGAAAGTCTAGTATATAATGTGCTCATGTATGAAAAAAGCAGTGATATGAATATAATGACTATTTTATATATAAAACACACATGTATAATTAGCTATGTTAATGTTTGAAGGATACAGGAAAAACTAATAAGTGTGTAGAAACTAACTGCATATCAAATTATTGGCTTAATTGCACTTAGTGTAATTTTGTTATTTTAATAAACAATAATTTGACTGCATATAAGGACAAAAACCCTGAATATAAATCTTAAACTGTTTTTAGTAATTATTTTGCTAGTATTTATACTAATAATAATATTTTAAAATAATTACACACATAACAAAATAAGGCAAATGTGTAATTATGTTAATTTTGTTAGAAATTGAAAATTTTAGTGTGAAAAAATACAGTATAAAATCATAAAAGACTGAAAAAGCCCCCTGTAGTCCTAAACTGTAATTGCAAGTGTCATTATAAAACTGTAATATATTTATTTTTAAAGATAAAATGTATTATTTAAATTAACTGCTGAAGTGCCCTATGAATGATGACAAAGCATTGAGCACCTCTAATGCCAGGAATAGACTCATGAAATATTATCCCAATAAATGGAATTGTTTTGAAGCAGTGGATGCTTCCAGGTCTGCACAAAAATGTACACTGTCAGCGTAGAACATCATGTCATATGAGCAAACAATCCATCAAAGATCACCAAAGGTGTGGCAAAATCAACAGACAAAACAGGGGATCCTGGTTTAACAAGACACTACTGAACACATTTGGAGTAGCTAGACCATCAAAAAGTACAATACCTTCAATTTCAATTCAATTTCTTTAAACGCATTAAACATGACATGGTTTATGATGACATAATTCTCCATAAATATTAAGGTTCAACTTACCAAGTCATTATCTGAAAATCATATGAAAGAAATGTTAGCAAATATTTCTCCAGTTTCTTCACAAACTGTACCCAGATCTATAGTCAACGAAGAACGCCAGAATTCTAATGTAACTGTTTAACAATGTTCAATTAAATTATATTTCAGTGTAATGGTCACAGATGGCTGTTAAATACATACATAATACATAATAAAATACAATACATAATACATAATAAAATACATAATAAATACATAATAAAAGGAATAAAATACATAATAAAGGTAAAAAGATACAGTGAACTTTAGAGTGGATGTGCTCATCTCAATGGCTAAACACACTGTATAATGTTCATATAAAAAGTGAAAATAACCAAACATTCTATGTTTATAATGCACTATATTAGAAAGTATAAAATAACAGCCATTAATTATTCTTGCCAGACAGCAAGATCCAAAATATGGAAAATTAACCTAGGTTCTTCATGAAATAAATTTTTAGACAACATTGAGGGTTGGGATCAGGGACTTAAGAAACATAGGTAGTAAACACAGTGTATGGATGTGCGCCATTCATGCAAGAATGGGGGCGGGAGGGTGTCACAGAAGAGAGAAGCTGGAAGGAGATGCAGAAACATAGGTACTTCATCTTCACAATATGGCACCACATAACAGGAAGGAATATTGTTTTTTAAAAATAATATTTTCAATAGGTTTTTGGGGAACAGGTGGTGTTTGTTACATGAATATGTTTTTTAGTGGTGATTTCTGAGATTTTGGTGCACCCACCATCTGAGCAGTGTACACTCTATCCAGTGTGTAGTCTTTTATCCCTCACCACCCCCTACCCTTTCCCCTGAGTCCTCATAGTCTAATGTATCATTCTTAAGCCTTTGCATCCTCATAGCTTAGCTCTCACATGAATGACAACATTCAGTGTTAGGTTTTCCATTCCTGAGTTACTTCACTTAGAATTATAGTTTCCAATTCCATCCAGGTTGCTCTAAATGCCATGGTTTAATTCCCTTTTATGGCTGAGTAGTATTCCATGGTGTGTGTGTGTGTGTGTGTGTGTGTGTGTGTGTATACATATATACATATATGTGTGTGTGTGTGTATATATATACATATATATGTGTGTGTGTGTATATATATATCTCCTAAAAATTAGTATTAAAAACCTCCCAAAACAAAACAAAAAATTAATTAATTCCATCTAGGTTGCTCTAAATGCCATGGTTTAATTCCCTTTTATGGCTGAGTAGTATTCCATGGTGTGTGTGTGTGTGTGTGTATATATACATATATATGTGTGTGTGTGTGTGTATATATATATGTGTGTGTGTGTGTATATATATATATATCCTAAAAATTAGTATTAAAAACCTCCCCAAACAAAAAATTAATTAATTAATTCCATCTAGGTTGCTCTAAATGCCATGGTTTAATTCCCTTTTATGGCTGAGTAGTATTCCATGGTGTGTGTGTGTGTGTGTGTGTATATATATACATATATACATATGTGTGTGTGTATATATATATACACATATATACATATATGTGTGTGTGTGTGTGTGTATATATATATCCTAAAAATTAGTATTAAAAACCTCCCAAAACAAAAAAAAATTAATTAATGGGCTTAAGACTCAAAGAGGTGCTTTAAAAATGTATGCTCAAATGATGATAAACATGTAGAAGAGTGCTTAGCTTCATTAATATTAAGGTAATTAAAATTAAAATTAAATCTGGTACCTTTCAAAGAACTATATAATGAGTAGCCCAGAGCAGGATTGTTATCCCTGTATCGTCCCCTACAGGTTTTGGATTGGCTGAAGCCTTTGTAATTGGGTTAATGATGTCTTCAGATATGGTTTTTGATAGCTCGTTCTGCTCAAGCGTGAGGTCTAAATTTTAAGATGATACCGTTGGATGGAAGCAGGTGACATCTTCTCATTGCCAGGCCGAACCCTCTTTTGAGAGTGAAGGACATCAGTCACATGGACCAAAGACCCACAGGAACAAAAGGAAAATTATAAGACATTGGCAGATGGGTTATTTTTAATCTAATTCAAAACTCAGTGGCTATGAATGAGAACATATATTTGAAGTGAAGGAGGAAGAGCCATGCATATTTTTCTAGGTAAAGAACTGAAGTGTCTCTCTCAGTTTCATTTGCATTCAGCTTTAAGTTTCATGATTGACACTCACTGGCTTACCTGTTTGACTTCTGTTTCTGTAGGATGTGTGGCCTACAAAACATATGTTTTCTTTCTGAGGATTTTCTTCTTTAATTTTTTTATTTTTAATTTTTGTAGGTACATAGTAAATATATATATATGTATGTATATATATATGTATGTATATATATATGTATGTGTGTGTATATATATATATATATGCTTATGGGGTACATGAGATGTTTTGATATACGTATGCAACGTGAAATAATCACATTATGGAGAATGGGGTATCCATCCCCTCAAGTGTTTATCCTTTGTGTTATAAGCACTCCAGTTACACTCTTATTTTTAAATGTACAATTAAGTTATTATTGACTATAGTCACTGTATTATGTTATCAAATAGTAGGTCTTATTCATTCTTTCTATTTTTTGTACCCTTTATCCATCCCCATCTCCTCTTTCTGTGAATATTTTAAGAGCAGATTCTTAACCCATTTATGCCTGAGGTTGAAATTTTTTGAATTTTTGCAATCAGACCATGAGCAGTAAGATATAAATAACTCCCACATGCTTAGCGTTCCAATAATGCAACACTAGGCATAAAAATTAATTCTATGAGATTCTAACTTTCCCTTTCTTCCCTTAAATTATACCTTTTCTACTCATGAAAATGATTTCATTCGTATCCAAACAATTGGTTATTTGGACTTTATTAAAACCAATGAACACGAGTTCTTAGTTTCAGTTTCTATTTATATTTCTATTTATAGAAATTTATATTTCTACTACTATGTAAATGACAAAAATGTCCAACTTTAAGGACGTAACATTTTTGTCATATATTTTCTTGTAAGGATCCTTTACATTTAAATCTACAGTCAACTTGGAATTAATGAGATGCTTTTTAACTAAAATCATTAATTTTATAACTGAGGTTCAAACTAAAATATTATTTATAGTAATAAAATTCCTTTCTGACAATTTCTATTGTAAAATATCAAACATTCTATTTCCTTGTAACATTGTGGCTCCAGGCTCTGTGTTTGTCCAGTTTTCTCACATTCTGAAAGCCCCTGTCCAAAGGTGCTAAAGGAATCAGGCACAGGGCACACGGAGAAACTGCATGCATTCTGGTGTCTTGGAGCTCAGGTGAGTGTCAGGAAATAAGTAAAAGGCTTTCACATTTTTGTGTATTTAGTAGAGACTGGGTTTCACCATGTTGGCCAGGCTGGTCTCTAACTCCTGACTTCAGGTGATCTGCCTGCCTTGGCCTGCCAAAGTGCTGGGATTACAGGCGTGAGCCACTGTGGCCAGCCTAATGGTGGACTCTTTCTTCCTTTATATACCACTAAGTTATCCTGGCTCATAGTCTTTATCGTATACATTTTATGACTTTAATACTATTTTGAGGATCATTTGAATATACTTTTATAAGCTTTTGACAGAGCAGTCAATACCAATATATCATGCAGATATCCATAATTATGGAATTAAAGAAGAAGATTTTTATTTCAGATTTGGGATAAAAATGTTACAAAAATACCTTAGAATAGTGAAGACTAAGTACCATTTTATAGATACTAGCTTTTCTGTTTCTTCAAAATTGAATCATGAATTTTTAACATCATGGACAAAGCCATATCAATTTATGGCCTAAAGCATGCATAAAAGATAAGTAAAAATTATGCCGGCTTTTCATATTAAAAAGTCTGTATTTCGCAGTCTCCACACAGGTATTTTTTTTCTTGTTTTATGTATGATTTAATTTAAATGGCAAAGTGAAACTTTTTAGATGCTTGTTTTTTCCTCACACTTCATGAAAGCAGCATTCTCTTTCATCCGTCATTTCACTGGAGTTGTTTGTTTGCTTTTTAGTATATAGTTGGCATGTGTGCACCCTCCCTTCAGAGGGATGTCGGTAACATTTTTCAAAGGAGACAAAGAATGCTTTTTTTTTTTAAAAAAAAGATATTGCTCATAGAGAAGGTACATCTGAATTATTGATAGGTTCACTCATTCAAGAGTTGGCCAGGGCGACTGTGGTTCCAGCCTCCGCTGGGTCCTGCCTCGTCCTCCACTGCCAGTTGTTCTCCATCCTGCCAGAAATGCCAGCCTTGTTCTTTGCTCCTTTTTCCTGCAGGGCAATTTTTGGAAGCTTGCCTGCTTACTGACACAAAACAATAATCCAAACAGAGGACAAAATCCAGTGGAAATTTTTCACGAAGGGGTCTGGTAAGGGATTAATACTAACTGCAGGGATGACATGGAGAGAGTAAAACAAAGCTTCTCTTAATAAGTAGTCACAAAAATGGCTGCAGAACCTTTCTCAGAATTCTTTTCCTAAGATATACGAATTAATGAAATCATTGAGTCATTGTACTATAAGTTCTGTTTTTGGGATTTGTTGTTGTTGTTGTTTATTTTTTCATTCTCTACCAGGAAGTTAAGTAAAATATTTATAAAGGCAGAGAGAGGAAGAGAGACACAGAGTGGCAGCAGTGATTTTGGTCTTTTGATGAAAAACATCAGCTACAGCATGCAACAGGATTTCCTGTAGTTGATGTTTCACTATGTCAGTAGATAGGTACACAGCCTTATTAAAAAATATTTTTAATGGAAAGTATTTCCTGAGATTTTGGTCTATTTTTGACTCATGGATGAGGCTGAAGGTTGGGAGAGGTTAAAATGCTCTTTGTCAGCTTTTATTTTCCCAAATGCTCATTGTCATCAAGTTTGTATATTTTCCTCTGGAATGCTGGAGAAAGGGGGAGGGCATCATACCTCTGTGTCAAAGAGTGGTGATACAATGACAAAGATTCTTTCTTTTCTCTGATCTTATGAGGCCGAGGGAAAGAAAAATATGCCACAACTAATGATTGTGAGGTACAGTAAAATTTAATTTAATCTCACTGTATTTTCAAAAGTGCATAGAAATGTTTAACCATCTCTATTACCGTGAAACTAATCAAATGATAACCACCATCTTCATTTGTTTTCCTATGATTATCTTCTCCTTACCTATCTGAAATAACGTATCTTCAGTAAATATGAGTATGCTTTTAAAATTTTGTTGCATATGATTTGCTATTATTTTCTTTAGGATCTATGTGTCAAAGTTAATATACAACACTGGTAAGATTCAGCCTTTTCAAGGAACTCCAATTTTGTAAATTGTCAGTTGAGCATAAAAAATATTAAACTGTAGTTTGTAAAATGTGTGATAAAGTGCGTAGAGGTAAAATGTGAATACTTCAAAAATAAGGGATTATTGCATGAATAGAGAATTTGATAGATACATATGCAATAAACAAAGGAGAATAAAGTGCTAATTGTAGAAATTAGTTGTGTAAATCAGTATTCACTATATACTTCCTTAATATTTTGTTACAATGTCTTCATAATGAAATGTAAGAAATACTTATATTGTCTACTGAATAATGACATATTACCTTGTCATAGATATTTAGACATGGGACACTGAATAAATTGTATTAAATTGTCATAAATGAGGCACTTACTATAACCTTCTTTAGTAATATTTCAGCTAACAACTGAGGGCCCAGGAAGATTGTAGATTTTTTTAATGACCACGTCAGAGGTGAAAAAACAGCCCATTTTATGTGGAGAATTTTTAACCCCAAGCAACTTCACTCTGTGAATAGAAAATAGAAATAGAAAAACTTAATCATGTGGCATTCACCATTCTGAGAAAACTTCCTGAGGGGATTTTGAAGTAATATACTTGCCTGGGGACTTGGGTACTCTGATTCATAAAAATCTTCCCTAGATTTCTGGTCCCAGCCTAGTTTGGACAAACTCTCATCCATAAAAGATAAAGCTTTGACTGCATGGAATTTTAAACTATTATAACTTTAATTGCCTGTGATTTCCAAGGAATTTACAAATAAAAATGTGGAAAATGTATATTCTGGTATCCAAAACAAGGTTTAATTAGGAAATCTTAAATTTCTAAAATGTGCTTTGATATTTATATGTTTGAGTATCTCATACACACACAATAATTTACAAAAATATGTAAAATGATTATCCCAAAAGTCAGTGAACACAGTGACCAGCTTTAAGGCAATTATCATGAATTTAAAAAAAGTTTCCAAGCCGTGTTCTGTGAATATATAAACTATCTTTCTGATGGGCAATGTAGTGGCAATGGTATGGCCTCTGTGCAATCTTGCAGAATGCTGAAAAGAAATATGTTGGCTTTAGGAGTTCTTTGTGTTGTGAGATACCCACCAACAAGGTGCATTGCCATTGCTAGGGGCTTTCAAGAGAAATGTCACTCCTCACAGCAAGTGATGAGATTTGACATATGGCATCAAAGCATCATTAAAACTACACCTGCTGCAGAAGAGGCTGTGTCTTTCAAGAGATTCTCAAGCAGAAAAGGTTACGTTGAAAATCCAAAAGGCTAAGACTTATTTCTTTTCTTTGCAGACAATTAAATGCTCTAAAGAAAAAAGTAAATTGCACAAAATTATGTAATGAAAAATGCTACTTTTACAACATATTGTTAATTTTTTTTTACATATTTGTGGTGCTCAGGGTTTTATTTCCATACACGTATACAATGTGTAATGATAAAATCGAGATAATTAGCATATTCATCACCTGAAACATTTATCATTTCTCTGTGTTGGGAGCATTTAGAATACTCTCTTCCAGCTATTTGAAAATGTAAAATACAGTTTAAAAGCTTCTGTACAGCAAAGGAAACAACAAAGTGAAGAGACAATCCACAAAATGGGAAATAATATTTACAAACTACCCATCTGAGAAGGGATTGATAATCAGAATATATAAGGAGCTCAAACGATACTATAGAAAAAAAACTGAACCATGCAATTAAAAATTGGACAAAAGATTTTAATAGACATAGAATCTCAAAAGAAGACATACAAATGGCAAACAGGCAAATGAAAATGTGCTAAACATCCTTGATCATCAGAGAAATGCAAATCAAGATTACAATGACATATCATCTCACCTTGGTTTAAATGGCTTTTATCCAAAAGATAGACAATAACAAATGCTGATGATATGGAACCTACGACAACCACTGTGGAGAACAGTTTGGAAGTTCCTCAAAAAACTAAATATTGAGCTAATATATGATCCAGCAATCTCACAGCTGGGTATACACTCAAAGGAAATCAGTATATTGAAGAGATACATGCACTCACATGTTTGTTGCAGCTCTGTTCACAATAGCCAGAATTTGGAAGCAACCTAAGTTTCCATCAGCAGATGAATGGATTAAAAAAATGTGGTACCTATACACAATGGAGTGCTACTCACCATAAAAAGAATGAGATTCAGTCATTTGCAACAACATGGATGAACTGGAGGTCATTATATTAAGTGAAATAAGCCAGACACAGAAAGACAAATATCACAGGTTCTTACTAATTTGTGGGATCTAAAAACCAAAACAATTGAACTCATGGAGATTGAGAGTAGAAGAATGGTTACCAGAGGCTGGGCATGATAGTGGTGGAGGTGGGTGGAGGGAAGTAGAGGATGGGTGGGGATGGTTATGGGTACAAAAGTAGTTAGAGTGAATGAATAAGGCCTAGTATTTGCTAGCACAACAGGGCTACTATAGTCAATAATAATTTAACCGTACATTTAAAAGTAATTAAGAGAGTATAATTAGATTGTTTGTAACACAAAATATATAAATGCTGGGGAGGGTGAATACCCCATTCTCCATGATGTGATTATTTCTCATTGCATGTCTGTATCAAACCATCTCACATACCGCATAAATATATGCACTTCCTGTGTACCCACAAAAAATAAAATTGAAGAAAGAAAATTTACAATAAATTGTTAACTGTATTCACCATAGTTCTATAGGAGACTGGAATTTATTCTTCATAGCTAGCTGTAACTTTGTATCCATTACCTAACCTCTCCATATTCTTGTGCCCCTCTTTCCAGTTTATAATAACCACAATTCTACTCTCTACTTCCATGAGCTCAACATTTTCTGTTCCACCATATAAGCGGGAACATACAGCATTTATTTTTCTGTGCTTGACTTAATTCACTTAACGTAATGTTTTCTGGCTCATTTATGTTTCCCCAAATGACAGGATTTCATTATTTATGAGAGAATAGTATTTAACACTGTGTACATACCACATTTTCTTTATCCATTCATCTGTTGATGGATAGTTTGATTGATTCTGTATCTTGGCTATTGTGAATACTGCTGCAATAAACATGGGGCTGCAGATATCTCTTCAATATACAGAATTCCTCTCCTTTTTTTTTTTTTTTTTTTTTTTTTTTTTTTTTTTTTTGGTGGAGTCTCGCTCTGTTGCCCAGGCTGGAGTGCAATGGCCCTATCTTGGCTCAATGCAGCCCCCACCTCCCGAGCTCAAAAGATTCTCCCACCTCAACCTCCCAAGTAGCTGGGATTACAGGAGTGCACCACCACACCTGATGAATTTTTGTGTTTTTGGTAGAGGCGGGGTTTTACCATGTTGGCCAAGCTGGTCTCAAACTCCTGACATCAAGTGATCTGCCTGCCTTGGCCTCCCAAAGTGCTCGGATTACAGGTGTGAGCCACTGCGCCTGGCCATGAATTCCTCTCCTCTGGATATATACCCCATAGTGGGAGAAATCCAGCATACTTATTTTTTTTTAGCTTTATGAATGTTATGTTTTCTTTTCATCACTAGAACATGCAGTAAAACCTCATATGACTTATTCCCAACTATTGATTTCTGTGAGAAAGATGTCATTTTGAAATAGCATTCAAGGGCCTGAAAATGTCTGGTTATGCTATTTGGGCAAAATCTACATTTTCTACATTTTAAGAGCTTTTAACCGGTGTTCCTTATCATGCTTCCAATTATGGAAAAGAAGGCAGTATAATATATTGATCATTAATGATATGACAATGGTTTACATGTTTTATCTTCTATTAACCTCCTACCTAGTAATGTATATAGATAAAGAAACTATGTCAGAGTGGTTAAATAATTTATCCAGTCTCACACACCTAAAGGGGTAGAGATGGAACTTATGTCCAGGTTTGCCAGATGCACAGAGCTTATTCTTGCTACTGTATGCTATGTTATCTAGCTTGTTCAAGATTAGACTATGTGTATTAGATAAAGGAAATCGTTTGTCTTTAAGCTTAAATATCTTAAAGTGAAGTTTGCAGGATAAGGCATGTTCAAAAAAAGAAAAAGAAACAATTTAGTATCTGTTATGCATTATATAACTAGCACTGACAGTATGCACTGCCTCCGTCAAATGGAGAGATAGCACAAGAATGGGTTACTCAGGAAAGGCTCTTAGGGGAAGGTACTTGATATAGGTTAGAAGAATTGAAAAGATTTAAGTGAAAAGCTCACAGGACACAGTAGTAATGGAAATACTGTGAGCAACAAACACAGACATTTTCGCCTTCGATAGAAGCAGTTAACTGAGCTCCTGAGATGGCTTCTGTCTATGCTAACTATAGACAAAAATATACTTAATCTTTCTCTATGTTGCCAGCGTGACAGATTATCATTATATCAACCTCTCTGCGTGGAGAAAACACGTAATTTACAGAAACAATAAATAGTTTCATAGTAAAATTGTTATGTCATTACCAAGCTTTCACCATTGTTAGCTGTGCTTTGACTGTGACTGCTCCAAAATTCAGGTGTTGCCAATGTAATTGTATTAAGAGGCGGGGCGTTTAAGAGGTGACTAGGCTAAGAGAGCTCCTTCCCTTGTGAATGGAATGGAGGTCTCTATGAAAGAGGCTTTATACAATGTTAGACTAGTTTGCCTTTCTGCCACCTGTCATGTGAGGACCCAGTGCTCCTTCTGCCAGGGGAGGATGCATTGTTAAACGTGGCACCTTGGAAGCAGAGAAGAGGTCCTTACCCAGCAACTGAACCTGCCATGCTCTTGATTTTGGACTTGACAGTCTCCAGAACTGAGATAAATAGATTTATGTTTTTTTTTATAAATTTACCCAGTCTATGGTATTTCTGCTACAGCAGCATAAATAGACATAGGCAGTTAGAAAATACGTGTATCAGTAAGGGAAAATGCATTTTCTACAAACAAAAAGTAACATAATTGTTCCATGTGAAATCAAGTTTAAATTTTCTACATCTTAGGAAGAATGAAGGATGCCTTTTAAAATATGGCCAAAATTGTAAGTGGCAGACTATGAAGAGAAAAGGTAAATTGAAATATCAACTCAATTGAAAAGCATACCCCAAATTCTATACTTCAGAGCATATATGGAGAAAATACTATCATCGGTTCATTGAAAGTAGGGTTATTTGAGGACACACACAGTTTCAATTTACTCTGTATTCCATCATTTAAACATATGTCTGGAGTGTTTACTACGTGCAGATAATATGCTAAGTACTAGACACAAAATGATGAGTGAAAATAGACACATTCCCTGATCACTACATGCAAATGTAGGTGGATGACAGAAATGAAATGTTAAAATCTTGCAAGCAAATCCAAAATTTAAAACTGTGAAAAGTTTTTGGAAGCATTGCCAAAGAAAGCCAGAGGAACCTGATTTAGTGTGGGTCAGATTGGATTTAAATTAAAATTCAAGAGAGATGATACTGAAGAGACAGAACACATGAAGACACTGATTTATGATAAAGAAATGGACATTTAAAGAAATTGAAGAGAATCTTTGTGGGAGCCGAAGAGGTGATAGGGAGAGGGAAGCATTTTCCAGCTCCAGAGGCCAGTGGGGCCAGGTCATACGCTTCATCAGACAGGTTAAAAATGATGTAATTACATTGACATAATAGACGGCTTTTGAATAGATGGTTAATATCATCAGATTTTGCTTTTGTTTATTTATATTTTTTTAAAGCAATCACTCTGGCTCAAGTATGGAGAATGGACTGGAGGGTGGCAGAAGGCTAATTGTGGCACAGATGGTGAGACCTAAGGGCTGATTGGGGTGAACGGAATGGTGGATAAGCAGAAGGTATGGGTTCAAGAGATAAACCCAAGAGCTTCTCCTTTCTGGGAAAAAGGCAAAGAGCAGACACTTCTACCTCCCTCTCTCAGGGAGAGGGAAGGACAGGACCTGAGAGAGCAAATGTGGAAACCCTGGGGAGGTAAGGGTGAGTAGGCCCTGAGGGAAGAAGGCAGCTTGGGGTAGAGAAGGGTCCTTACTCTGGGTGTGGAGGGCTTTGAGGAGAGTACTTGCTCAGGTAGTGTTTCTATTTCTTCTCCTCCACAGTAACTAGTTGGAACTTTGTTCAATCACCAATGAGAAGAGAAAAGAGCAGAGTGCATACCCGTGAGGGCCCCAGTGCCTGCAACAGACATAGTAGCAATGAAGGGAGGCAGAGGCCCTTCACAGCTTCCTCCTGTCTCCTGACAGGCCAGGAGATTGAGCCAGCAAGGAAATATAGAGCCAGCAAGGAAATGTAGAGCCAGCAAGGAAAGTAAAGGACACGAAAGGTCAGTGCCTAGGACAACGCAAGAAGGAAGGAGAGCTTTTTCTAGTTCCGGTATTCCCTTTGACTGAAATCAAGAACCATCAAATTCAGGCTGTGGCACCATAAGGGCCACTGCCTGAAACACCAGTGCTATGCCTTTAATTCGTAAAGATTGACAAAGTGAGGCATTGAGATTTGTCCTTCCCCATCTCCCCATTCCCTGTCACCACCCTCGTGAATATGTAAATAAGTAACATGGCTGACTCCTGAAAGGAAAAACTACGATCACATATACAAAAAACAAACAAACCCACTAAAATATGAATATCTTAGCAACGCATTCTAGTATTTAAAAAGTAGACAGTAAATCAAATATTCTATAAAAATCAATAACATATACTAGATTAAAATAAAATATGAATTCGTTAATATTTTGAAATAAGCCTTTATTACCTGTGACACAATGTAGGGTATGTTAACAAGAAGTGAATACAAATATTTATATTTTTTTAAAAAGCCAAATACAAATAGTATGTATTTGTTAAATAATTAAATTGATGTCGTAACAGAAAATATAGAGCCGGAGACTGTGTTTGTGAATGTATCTCACATGTCATCAGAGAGAAATAAGTGAAATTATAAAAGAAAAATGTTAAGAGTGATAAAGGCTGGAATTGTGAACATTAGCCATTAGCATCTAAAAACAGGATTTCTTGAATTTAAAGAAAATTGTATGGAGGTAACATTTGAAGAAATAATAATTGCCATAATTAGACAAATAGAGACTTCAGAAGCAAAAAGCACAGGGCTCTGTAAAAAAAAAAAAAAAATAGACAACAACAAATTGAAAAAAAAGAGAAAACTAGCAATAGAAAGATATATTCACAGAGTAGAAAGAATCACATAACCCCAATTTCTTAGTTCTGAGTCTGGCATTAAGAAGACAGTAAAGTAGTATTTCTAGTAAGTAAGAAAGAATTTTGAAGCCAGATATTCATGCCTAGCCAAATTATATCTAGAAATGTCAGAATGAAATAATATATTTTCAAGCAAAATCACAGAAAATTTATCCCACCCAGACATGCCTGAAAAATACTCCTGAACAAAAAACTAATGAGCTCAGTTATCTACTCAAGATCTGAGAAAAAAAGAGATCCAGAACTAGCTAAAAATATAAAGAGATAACTTGAACTATTCTTGAAAATTTTCTGTAAGTTTTAAATTATATAAAATTTTTTTAAAATCATGTAATGTGAAATAACTGCATGCAAACATTTTAAAAATCTCCCTAAACGGTATAAATGAAATTATAAATAAATAAACATGGCTTGGTCATGAATGGGAAAATTTTATGTTTTAAATTTAATTTTTAAATTTAATGCTGTTACTTTCTTTTAAATTAATGTCTGAATGTAAGGCATTTAAAATATTTTTGGCAGAGTATTTTGAAATATTCAATAAAACAATTTAAAAATTGATTTGGAAAGTAAATAATACCAAATGGTCAGTGCTGTTTTGAAAATAAAGATTAAAATTGGAGACATATAATCACTTACTATAGTATAATAACTAAAATATTTTGCACTGATACAGAAGCAGATCTGGAAATTAAATATATGACAGAAATGGCACCACAAGACGATAGAGAACAAGCAGCTTGCTGGTAGTTGGTGTTAAAAATGAGACAAAATTTGGAGATCAAGCTGGAAATGTATACTACGCTGTATAGATTCCAGGTAGACTGAATTCTGAAAGATGAATAAAATTTTAAACTCTGTAGAAGCTTATTTCTGTGGCTTTGTGGTAGAAAATACCTTAAAACCTACTAAGATCGAGCAAATATTTTGTATCTATTTCTTCTTTAATAGTAATATTTTTTGTTAAAATGAAGGTGCATTGGATAAATTTCCAGATGGGAGGTTTTTTATAATGTCTAAAGCTAATAAGAATCTTATTACCTATTACCTAGGAGATTTTAAAAAATGGGGTAAAAGTGCAAATAAAAACTCACAGATGAGGAGCTATACTGTTTGTTGTAATTAGCTTAAAATAAAATATGGTCATTAGAATGACAAAAATTTGAAAGATGGATAAAACTGAATATTGATAAGCATGTGCAAAAATAGGTATCTTATGCACTGCTAGTAAAAGAATAAAGTAGCACTGATATTTTGTAGGACAATTTTGAGGAACATAGTTAAATTAAATCTGCACATACTGTCCCACCTATTAAATCCCATCTGGTGTGTTGATCCATGAAGAACTCTTCCACAGATTCAAAATATGTATTATTAGGATGAGCATAAGAATAGTTTTGGAAGGCAAAGAGTTGCTAGTAACTTACTTGTCCACCACTGGAAAAATGAATAAAACAGTGAGGCAGACACATTCTGAGGAAGCAAGAAACTAGATGTTCACAGAGAAATATTATGACTTTTCAAAAGGAGGTTCAATTAAAAGAAGAAACGAGATAACAATTATACCTCTAAATGTTATATTGAACTTGCACAAAAATTAAGAAATTCCAATATACAAACATTCAAAGGATATGTGCTAAATGCATTAAAATAACTGACAACCATGATGGCAGCCAGCCAATGGAATTAGAGATAAGGAGAAAAATAAATAAAGCACAACATCTGAGGGACTTTGTATGGGCTAATGATCATAGTATAGCAGGAATTCAGAACCGTATGATTATGTGATATTTAAAAAGAACAAAAATGCTTCCACGTATTCACAACAAAGCAAAGATTTGCAAAGTTAGAGAAGCAAGGAAAAGAGACATTTTTATTTGTTTATTTATTTTATTTTTGAGACAAAGTCTCGCTCTGTTGCCCACGCTGGAGTGTAGGGGCGTGATCTTGGCTCACTGCAGCCTCGGCCTCCTTGGTTCAAGCAATTATCCTGTCTCAGCCTCCTGAATAGCTGGGACTACAGGTGCACACCACCATGCCCGGCTAATTTTTGTATTTTTTAGTTGGGGTTCCTCCAGGTTGGCCAGGCTGGTCTCGAACTCCTGACCTCAAGTAATCCACCCATCTCAGCCTCCCAAAGTGCTGGGATTACAGGCATGAGCCACCATGCCTGGCCAAAATACATTTTTAATAGAGAATATCCTGCACTGTCTGAGGCTGCTCAGAAGTTGATTAGGATCAGCGCTGATCAGGAGCCAGAGAATTTATAAACATTAGAACTATCAGTTAAATTAACAAGATCAACCTCCATGAATTTATGGGGTTTGGGTATTTTTGGAATAGTCTGAGTAATAATGGGAAAATGGGCAAGCTTTTGTGCAGTGCTGATAGGAAGGAAAAGACACATATTTTAGTGGTAAATGTTCCTGTTACCTCAAATTTGTTTTTGCTTTTCACAAATGTTCCTGAGAGTGTAAGGTGGTGAAATGGATGAGAATTTCAGAAACAAAGCATCAGCATGTGCAATAGTTCTGTGGAGAAATTTAAGACAAAAACATAGAAAGCCACAGTGGTAGGACAATGAGGATAAAGAAGCATGACAAAACTGGACACAGTTCAGGTCATATGACTATGGTCATGGCTATTTCTACTGAAGTGTTTGGTTATTATAAAACTGGGAAATGTATGTTGTGTTGGTATTCATTTTGATTGTTAAACTTGATTGCTGTCACCCTTCACCATTGTGACTATTGTCAACACAAAAAGGCCACAGTATAACCCATATCAAGTCCCAAAATAATGGAAATAAAATAAAAAGTCAGTTAGAGATTTAGTCTAACAGAAGCATAGAGTAGATCTAAATAAAAGCATTCAAAGTGTCCTCAAAGGGATATAATATGTTGTAAGCCTAGGAAATTTAGCCAAAATTTAATAGAAAACACTAACTTATCTAATAAAAAATGCAAAGAGAAATTTTTCTAAAAAAGAAATCATTACAAAGATAGAATTCACAGAGCCAACATTGGTAGTACTGTGGAAGAAAATAGGGATAAAGACTTGATCTTTCTGGTTGCAGAGATCAATTCATCTTTCTTGGAGTCAGATGCATTTGGATGTTATAACTTAATGCCTGTAAATATTTGGATTGCAGCCTACTCCTCCCACTGGCCCATTTTATGTTTAAAGTCGTTAAAGAGGACTCTGATAATTTGCCTACATATGTAGATGTTAGAGAGAGAATGTGCTGGGCAAATAGGATGACTGCTTTATTGTTAGGTCTATTTATCTTTGTAACAGATTGAAAGGCATTTTTAATTTAGACATCAATCTTGAGTCTTGGCTAATGTGACTCTCTCCTGAAGAAACAGGGCTATAGTGCGGCTGCTGACTCAATCAAGTTTCTCAGCTCTCTGGGATAAGGCCAGACTGTGACTCCCAGCAAATAAATTTGGATAATTGCGTTATGGCAGTTCTCCTGGGAGACAGCCACCACTTTTTTCCTCACCTCTCTCAGTTGACATCTGCTGGCATTGGAATACGCAGCACATTTTCTCATCTTCAAGAACTCTTACAAGAATTAATGACAGAACAATAATTATGGAACAGATATTTATTCTAAATTCAGGCTATTCACCTAAAATTACCTAAAATATTGCAGTCAACATCATTTAGAAGAGTAAAAGAAAATGACGTTAAGTAACTTGATTAAGCTCATAAATTAATTGTTCTACTGGAAAGAAAACAGTTCTGATGTCACTAATATTTTTTATCATGAAAACATATATTGTTCAATTATGCTTCTAGCCAAAGTGGAGTAACAGAAACTAGATTTACCCCTCTGCTTGAAACAATCTAAAACAAAAAAGTATAAAATATATAAAACAATGGTATGCAACACACTGGATGCAGTGACCCCTAGAAGCAGACAATAAAAAAGGCAAGTCCTAGAATTGCCACAGTTACTGCTTTGAGAGTTTCCCAGTTTGAGGGCAAAGAGGGTGTATTAGTTTTCTTTGGCTGCCGCAATCATTCCCACAAAATAAATGGCTTAAAGAACTTAAATTTATTATCTTACATTTCAGTGTTTTAAAAGTTCAGTCTGGCCCTTAGAGCTATAATCAAGGTGTCAGCAAATCTGCATTCCTTTCTGGAGGTCCCTCTAGAAAGTTTGTTTCCCTGCCTTTCCCAGCTTCTGCAGCCTTCTCACATTCCTTGGCTTGTGCTCCTTTTATCTTCAAAAACCACAACTGTGGGTCCAGTCATTCCCACACTGCATCACTCTGACCTTCTTTTCTGCCTTTGTTCTTTTATAAAGACTTTCGAAATTACAAGACTTCCACCCAGAAAATCCAGATGATGTCACCCTCATAAAGTCAGTTTTCAGGAACCTTATTTCCATCTACAAACGTAATTCTCATTTGCTGTGTATTGTAATGTATTCACAGGCTTTATAGATTAGGACATGGGCATCTCTAGAGAGCATCATTATTCTGCCTACAGCAGAGAGAAAACACAAGCAGAGCCTTCAGCTTCTGCAAGTTCAGGAGATGTAAGCTGAGAATCTAAGGAGGACAAAGTATCTTAGAGTTCACAGCATAGGTGATGTATAAGAGAAAACCACAAGGAAAGAATTCTGGATGTCAGCAGAGAGCTTCCCTTAGCTATTACGCTGATTAATACATGTGAGTATACTGCAGGGTGCTGGAGAAAGAGCCACTCTGAAGTGTGAGACCTGACATTCATCACAGAAAACCTGAGGCAGGAAACATTGCCTCATCAGAGTATCTGAAGAGTAAGACTTAAAATACTTGGATAATTTGATAGAATACACAGAAGGGTTTTTCCCTCAGTAATGGAGAATAATTAGCCCTCTATTGACAAGTACTGGGATCCCATTGAACAAATCTCGAAAGCAAGACCTAGAAATATCATACAGTTTTGATATGGTTAGGCTTTCTGTCCCCACTCAAATCTCATTTTGAATTGTAGTTCCCATAATCCCCATGTGTTGTGGGAGGGACCCTGTGGGAGGTAATTGAATCATGGAGGTGGTTTCTGCCATGCTGTTCTCATGATAGTGAGTGAGTTCTCTTCAGATCTGATGGTTTTATAAGGGGCTTTCCCATTTGCCTGGCATTCATTTCTCTCTCCTGCTGCCATGTGAAGAAGGACGTGTTTGCTTCCCCTTCTGCAATGATTTTAAGTTTCCTGAGGCATCCCCAGCCCTGCAGATCTGTGAGTCAATTAAACCTTTCTTTTATAAATTACTCAGTCTCAGGTATGTCTTTGTAGCAGCATGAGAATGAACTAATACAAGTATCTTTTCTTTACCTTTTTTTTTTTTTTTTTTCCTGAGCCAGGGTCTCTCTCATTCTTTCACCCAAGCTGGGGTGCAGTGGTGTGATATCAGCTTACAGCAGCCTCTGCCTCCCAGGGTTGAGAGATACTCCTGCCTCAGCCACCTGAATAGCTGTGACTACTGGGACATGCCACCACACCAGGCTAATTTTTGTATTTGTTGTTTGTCCAGGCTGTTCTTGACCTCCTGAGCTCAAAAGATCCTCCCGCCTCAGCCTCCCAAGGTACTGGGATTACAGGCCTGATCCATCACGCCTGGCCCAATATCATTCAGTTTCTAATTAATTCCACGCTAATTAAGTTCAAGTGTGTTTATAGGAACATAACATGGGTATCACTCAATAAAGTAATATTCAAAATGTATGATATTTAATCATACATTAAACTACAGTGGGTAGTAGAGAAAAAACTACAATGGGTAAAATAAAAAAATATAATGAATATAATTGATGTCATGTTAGATGTACAAAAAGAAAAGATTAATAAGCTTGGAAACATAGCAATAGAAACTTTAAAATTAAACACCGAGTAAAAAGAGTGCGAAAAATGAACAGAGCCTCAGTGAATATCAGGATAACTTCAAGCAGGCTAATACACATTAAATTGCGTTCTCAGAAAAAGGGTGATGTAAAAAAAAATTGGAGAAAGAATGGCTGAAATTTTTCAACTTTGATAAAACTATAAAGTTGCATAACAAACACTCAGTGAGCCCCAAGCACATGAAAAAGGAAGAAAATTATACCAAAGCAAGTCTTAATCAAATTGGTGCCAACTGATAAAGATACGCTTAAAAGCAGACATAGGAAAAGAACAACTAGAGAAACAAAAATATAAAGTTGTCAGTTTTCCTTGTTTGTTTGTTCACTTATATTTTGGTATCAAAATGACAAAGAGGTAGTGAAGTAGTATCTTTAAAGTACTAAGAAAATGCTTAGAATGTTATACTCAATAAAAATGTATTTTGAAAATGATAATGAAATAATAACATATTTATACACACTGAAAGAATTAATCACCAACAAGCCACTCTAAAAGAAGTGCCAGAGAATGCCCTTTAGGCAGAAAGAAAATCATTGCAGATAAAATATGTATCTACCACAGCAGTGAAAAATATAAAAAAAAGATAAAATGTGGGAATAAATATAAATATTTTTCTTGTTCAAATTTCTTTAAAAGGTAATTGACTGCTTAAACAAAAATCATATTTTAATGTATGTGTTTATAATGTATATAAAAGCAAAATGTATGATAACAATAAGTTAAAAGCTGGGGTGGAAAAAATAGTGTGTTGGAAAATTCTCATACAATCCACAAGTAGTATAAGCCTTTGAATACAGACAGTGATTAGTGAAAAATGGCTACTTTAACTGTTTATCTACAACCATCTGATCTTCAACAAAACTCACAAAAACAAGCAATGGGGAAATGATTTCCTATTTAGTAAATGGTGTTTGGAAAATTGCCTAGCCATATGCAGAAAATTGAAACTGGGCCCATTCCTTACACCTTGTACAAAAACGAACTCTAGATGGATTAAAGACTTAAATGTAAAACCCAAAACTATAAGAAGAAAAACCTAGGCAATACCATTCAGGACATAGCCACAGGCAAAGATTTCATGATAAAATCACCAAAAGCAGTTGGGATAAAAGCAAAAATTGACCAATGGGATCTAATTAAACTAAAAAACTTCTACACAGCAAAATAAACTAATCTCAGCACTTTGGGAGGCCGAGGTGGGCAGATCACAAGGTCAGGAGATCGAGACCATCCTGGTTAATATGGTGAAACTCTGTCTCTACTAAACACACAAAAAATTAGCCGGGCATGGTGGCGGGTGCCTGTAGTCCCAGCTACTTGGGAGGCTGAGGCAGGAGAATGGTGTGAATCCGGGAGGCAGAGCTTGCAGTGAGCTGAGATCATGTCACTGCACTCCAGCCTGGGCAACAGAGTGAGACTCTGTCTCAAAAAAAAAAAGAAAAAAAAAAGAGAGAGAGAAACTATCATCAGAGTAAACAGACAACCTACAGAATGGGAGAAATTTTTTGCAATCTATCCATCTGACAAAGGTCTAATACAGGGAACTTAAGCAAATTTACAAAAAACAAAACAAAACAAAACATTAAAATGTGGACAAAGAACATGAACAGACACTTCTCAAAACATTTATGCGGCCAACAAACATATGAAAAAAAGCTCAATATCACTGATCATTAGAGAAATGCAAATCAAAACCACAATAAGATACCATCTCATGCCGGTCAGAATGGCTATTATTAAGAAGTCAAGAAACAACAGATGCTGGCAAGGTTGTGGAGAAATAGGAATGCTTTTACACTGTTGGTGGGAATGTAAATTAATTTAATCATTGTGGAAGATGGTGTGGCAATTCCTCAAAGATCTAGAGCCACAAATACCATTTGACCCAGTAATCCCATTACTGAGTATATACCCAAAGGAATATAAATCATTCTATTACAAAGATATATGCATGCAGATGTTAATTGCAGCACTATTCACCATAGGAAAGACTTGGAATAAACCAAATGCCCATCAGTGATAGACTGGTTAAAGAAAATGTGGTACATATACACCATGGAATACTATGCAACCATAAAAAATGAGATCATGTCCTTTGTAGCATGGATGGAGCTGGAAGCCATTATCCTCAGCAAACTGAAGCAGGAACAGAAAACCAAACACTGCATGTTCTCACTTATAAGTGGGAATTGAACAATGAGAACACATGGACGGAGAGAGGGGAACAACACACACTGGGGCCTGGTGTGGGGTAGGGTCGGGGGAGGGAGAACATTAGGAAAAATAGCTAATGCATGTTGGGCTTAATACCTAGATGATGGGTTTATAGGTGCATCAAATCACCAATGCACACGTTTACCTATGTAACAAACCTGCACATCCTGCATGTGTACTCTGTAACTTAAAAATAAATATTTCTTTAAAAATGCTACTTTAACCTTTGCCTGGAGAGAGAATATATGATAATAGGTTGTCCTTTTATTGTGAATTAATAAATTTAATTTCACTTTTAAAATAATGAATTTGTTTAATTTTTTATCTCTAAGAAGTTCATTTTTATTGGGTGATACTACCATGGAAGCAAATTTGTCAAAGCAACACATGCTCAACTTGTAAGATATCCGTTTGACAGCTTATTGTCGTTTCTCTCAGGTAGCTTTGCAGTTTGCACCATTTTTCTTCCTCTTGCTTTTCTTCCTCCTTATTCATGTTATTCCAATTTGTTATATGTAGCACATCTCCACTGGTATATAATCAACATATGGACAGGACTTTGTCTATTTTATTTACTGCTATATCCCCACCTATAATAAGGCCTGGCTTATATTAGTTATTCAACAGATATTTGCATTACCTTTTATGCCTGCATTTTATTATTACTGAGTAAATTAGTTCATTAAATGCTTTTCTTTTTCAAAAATTGATCTCTAAATAACCTTGGAAAACATAGAAGTCAGACTGATTAACATCAATTACTTTTTTTTTTTCAGTCACGTAGCCTGTTGCTGTCTAGGCCTACATCTCTTCATTGAGGTGTAATTCACAATAACTATTTCTCTCTTATTTATGGTGATGAGATGTGGGAAAAGAGTTTTCCATTTTTTTGCAAAGATGTACATAATCATCCCCCAAGAGATTGTTTCATCAGAACTTGGCTGACAGCTCCAGGTTTGTGAGTGAGATGTAAATCATCATATGTCCAGGTTAGCTGTGTCTCTCCTTTACAGCCTTTCTACCAAAATCTTTCAAATGGTGCTTCTGGAGGCTGCTGCTTTTTTCTGAAGATTTCCTCTCCTCTTCTCTTTCCATGGTTCCTTTTATTTTGCTTTTGTTGAGGCTCCTTTTTTGACTTGAGAACAAGAATCTTCAGTGAATCAATAATTTTTTCTTTTAAATCTCAAGTCCAATCCCTCTACAGAAAGGAGGAGGTATAAGATGTAACTCAAAATAGATGGAAGAGAGGAGCTCAAGAAATCCCCTATTTCTGGGTATTAACTACTTTCTTCTATAATATCATAATACATGCATTTCTAATTTGGTAGAATTATTTTAATGTAAAAGTGGTACATCCATTCTTTCTCTGATGTCATTTTTCTGAAAGCCACTTGTCCTACATTATGCTGTCAATAAAATCACAAAGTCTTCGCCAACCAAAGTTTCATAATCTTGGATTTGTCTTGGTTGTGGGGGTAAGGTTAGAGGTAAGCTGCAGAAACAAAGATAACATTGTGACCCACTTAATCATCTCCAGTCTATGATTTCAAATCTCTTTATTTTTTAATTTATTTTTGTTGTTGTTCTTTTGAGATGAAGTTTCACTCTTGTTGCCCAGGCTGGAGTGCAATGGTGTGATCTCGGCTCACTGCCATCTCTGCCTCCAGTGTTCAAGTGATTCTCCTGCCTCAACCTCCTGAGTAGCTGGGATTACAGGCATGTCTCACCATGCCCAGCTAATTTTGTATTTTTAGTAGATCCGGGGTTTCTCCATGTTGGTCAAGCTGGTCTCAAAATCCTGATGTCAGGTGATCTGCCCGCCTCAGCCTCCCAAAGTCCTGGGATTACAAGTGTGAGCCACTGCACCCAGCCTTCAAATCTCTTTATAAACATCATTGGCAATCATTTTCACTTGGTTTTACAAAAGAGGTTTTCTTCCGTTTCCCACCTATATGTAATTAATTTATACCTTTTCATAATGCTTCTCAAATATATTTTATTAGGAATGATTTTCTTTTCACTTTTGCAATATAATTATATTTTTCAAATCCTAATGCATTTGTCCTTCTGGAAGACTGCCGAATACTCTGTCCTCCTTAGTAGTTTGTCCTTTTTGTAACCAACCCCCCCATTGTAGTCTCTTTATCAGAGTTTCTCTATATTGGTTTGTTTTCTTGGTGTACTTGATTGATCCACTAGCTCAGTTGCTTATTTCAAATGACAAGATTATCAGTTTGGGTAACATGTATTTTTCTTTGCATTTCTTTATTCTAGAATCTTACATTGTTCTCTTAACCATGCCTAGCATTTGTCAAAAGAGGTACTGGAAAAGAGAATGAGGCTCAATTAAGGTATTCACATTATCACAAAGAAAAAAAAACATGTAATTTTAGATTGTGGTTACCATACATAATATATAATGCATTTCAGCTCAATAAACACATATTTCTCTGAATATATCCTGATAAGACATATTATTATGCATTTAAAATTCTTTCAATGTAAAGGTAATGGATTCAAACAGCATGGATATAATGCCTCTATCTCAATCATGATAGATATTTCATTTTAATGTAATTTCTTTCCCTCCAAGATACTACAATTGAAAATAAAATGAGTGGGTGACAGCTGTTTCTCTCTTACTTCTCCAATGCTCCTTTGCCATTCCAGCTGAGCAATCTCATAAAAATGTCAGCTCTCCACTGGCAAAGCATGCTGCACCTGCCTGCCATGTGCTTAGTGACTACTAACATTTATATATCGCTGTATTTCAAGTCAAATAAATTGATAAAATGCAACTCAAAAACGCACCACATTGCATCGCTAATGCTTTTTAAGTAGAAATGTTTTCTTTCCCAGTCCTAATGCAAAGGGGCCATTTCTTATTCTATTCAGTGAAAACAAGACCACTTCAATATTTAATTTGGAAAATGGCACTAAAAATATTAAAATAAGATATATGCACTTAAGCAGACAAGCCAAGACTCTTTAGCTACTTTAGTATTGTGTACTGCTGCCACAGAATATGCTAAACCTGCTAAGATTTTATTCTCTACTAAGGCTCCTACAAGCTAATAATCTGTGAATTCATTCAATTTCCATTAGAGATGTAAGAAGCTGCAGGTGATATTGGGAAAGTAGCATTAGCACACTGATGTATGCAAATGGTGCTTTGGAGGTGCCTTTCATTTTCATGAAAATTTTACTTACCATCTGACTTTTTTTTTAGACTCTGCTTGCTTTCATGTAACAAATGTTTTACAGTCAATTTATCAGAATTATATGAGAAAAAACTTCTAAATTGCCCTTAAGAAAAAATCTTTCCAAAATAATAAGAAAGACATATTCTTAAAAACTAATAAAATAGATAACAATGAAGTTAATTTAATGAAGTCTAATTTTTTAAAAAAGTTAAATAGATAGTTTACACTAAGATTTTAAGTCTGTGCTTTGACTCCCTTATATATTGGGATATTAACTCCTTGTGAGATGTATAGTTTCAAATATTTTCTTCTATTATGTAATTCTGTTTTCACTTTGTTGATTGTTTCTTTTGCTGTGTGGAAGATTTTTAGTTTGCTGTCACCCCATTAGTCTATTTTTGTTTTTGCTGCCTAGGTTTGTGATGACATATTCAAAAAATTCTTGCCCAGACCAACTGCATGAAGCATTGTCCTTGTGTTTCTTCTAGTGCTATCATAGTTTCAGGTCTTACATTTAATTTCTTACTCCACTTCTAGTTGACTTTTATAGGCAAAGAGATAAGGTTTAATTTAATTCTTCTGCATGTAGATATCTAGTTTTCTCAAAAATTTTATTAAAGAAACTCTCCTTTTCCCAGTGTGCATTCTTCGTATTTTTGTCAAAAAACAATTGGCTGTAAATGCAGTTTATTCTGGGCTCTCTGTCTTGTTACATTGGTCTATGTAGCTGTTTTTATGCCAATACCATGCTATTTTTGTTACTATAATTTGTTGTCTATTTTGAAGTCAGATAGTGTGATACCACTAGCTTTTGCAAAAATAATAATAATGATAATAATAACCTAATTAAAAAATAGGCAAAAGACCTGAATAGACATTTCTTAAAAGAAAATGTACAAATGGCCAACAGATAAGTAAAAAATACTCAACTTCACAAATCAAAAACGACAATGAAATACTACCTCATCCCAGTTCAAATAGCTATTATTAAAAGACAAAAGATATATATTGACAACAATATGGAGAAAAGGGAACAGTTATACACAGTTGATGGGAATGAAAATTAGTACAGTCATTATGAACAACTCTCTTTCTAAAAACATGAAAAATAGAAAGTACTCTATGGTTCTGCAATCCCGCTATTGGGTATATTTGCAAAGGACATGAAATCGGATGCCCCAAATAACTGCTTTCTCATGTTTATTGTAATACTATTCACAGTAGCTGAGATATGGAATTAACCTAAAGGTCCATCAGTGGGTGACGGATAAAGAAAATATATAATATATACACAATGGCATATTATTCAGCCTGAAAGAAAATGCAATTCTACCATTTGTAAACACATAGATGAACCTGGAAGACATTATGTTACGGAAAATAAGACAAGCAAAGAAATACAAATACCACATGATCTTTCACTGATACATGAAATTGAAAAAAAGTTCATTTCATTGAAGTAGAGAGGAAAATGATGGTTCCCAGAGGCTGGGGTTTTTAGAGGAAATGAGATAGGGAGATATTGGTCATGGAATACATAGGTACAGTTAGACAGAAGTAATACATTTCAGATCTCTGTACAGCAAGGTGACTATAGATAATGACAATATATAATATTCTTTAAAAATATAAAAAGAATGAGTGTTATATACTCTCAGCACAACAATGATAACTATGAGAGGTAATGCCTTTGTTAATTAGCTAGATTTAGTCGTTGTATATATACTTCAGGATGCCATGTTGTACACAACAAAATCATACAATGTTATTTGTCAATTAAAAAAATACATAAAAATATATTCATGCTTTATGTCTCCTGTGGAAAGCCAGAAACTTTTTTTCCTTAAAGATTGGCATATTATTTCACAGAAAGGCTGCTGAATGCATTTGGGTGTCTCATCATATTATTCGTACACAGTCAGGATGTGTGAATTTTGTTAGTTTTCCTTTGCAGTCTTTTCTTCTTTTTTAATAAATGTCAAGTCAATATCTCCACGTAGACATCCCCACCAAATTCTAAACCAGAGAACACATACGCAGGGGGCTGAAAGAGAAAATAAATGAAGAAGGCTCCGGTGAGAATGGCCATACTCTTCCTGGTGGGACATGTGCTATTTAGTATTTTCATAAAGGGACAAACACCCAGTGTGGAAAATTTCCATTTCATATGTCAACATTGATAGATTAGTAATAACTGCCTGGAGATGCACTTTAAGATGGATTCTGAGTCTGTGTCCACAATCAGAGAGAAATAATGGCCAGATCAATTTACTAGTCTGTCAAACTTTATAAGCTATAGTAAAACAAATTTTATTTTATTCTACATACAGTTGCCAAATGATATATGCATTACTTTTATATGAATGGAAAATTTCCAGTAAATTACATTTCTAGAATTATCAGAAACTGAAGTACCATAGGCCCTGGTTTAGTTTGCAGGTTCTATCATGTATTAATCTTTACACTTAATTTGAAGTCTACCCCTTGTCAAAATAGAGAAAATGACTCAAATTTAAGTAAGTATTTATGGTGTGATCATTTTAATGCACATGTTTTAAATGTTTATTTTATAAATTTTTTATTTTAAAATAGAATCAATAATTAGTTGATGTTACTCCATGTTATTTTTTAAATATTAGCTTTCTTTTACTTAAACATAATAGATATTTTTAGTGTTGAGAAGGAGATTTTCAGTGTGATGTAACCAGTAAATATTTTTTAAACAATTCTTTGTTGAGGACTGATGAAGATAAATTATAATAATAATTTTTCTTACCATAAAGTAAGAAATGTACAGTTAGCCTTCCTTATCTCTTGGCCCTTCATTTGCATCCATATGTTCAACCAACCATGGGTAACAAATATTCAAAAAATAATTAAAAACAATACAACAATTAAAAAAACAAATTAAACCGATATAGTATCACAACTATTTATACATTATTTATATTGTATTAGGTATTATAAGTAATCTAGAGATGATTTAAAGTATATGAGAGGATGTATGTAGGTTATGTTCAAATATTATGCTATTTTACATAACACTTAAGTATATGCAGATTTTTATATCCTTATTTTGGGGTATTCCTGGAAATACTTCTCCCATGATACTACTGAAGGGTTACTGTATAATTTTTATAAGCTGGATGCATTTTACATTGTTTCTGTAAGACTGCATTATTTCAATGTCAGAATCAGTTATATTTCAAATAACTACATCATCCTGGCAATGAAGTTATGATTAATACAAGCTTTGGGAGTAATTATTAATTTTTCATTTAACTAAATCAAGGATATATAGAGGCATAAGAATAATTCTTGGAGACTCTTGTATATTTGTTAAATAGGGAAATTACCTATCCTAAATAGTTTGTAAGGTTAGGCTTGAGTGTGCTTTATAGCTAAACAAAGAGAGATAATAGACTGAATAATATGTTTATTATCAAATTATTTGGCTGTTATTACATTTTCATTACTGTATATATTAAGATAGTAGAAATAAGTTTAGGACATTTTCAAAAAGCTTTATTACATTTACAAATTATCTTCCTGAAGTGAGTCTACTTCTTAATTTATCAAAAGTTTCTATTAGTTATTCATAAAGCCATAAATATTAGCTTAGATACATATATAGTTTAAATTCTATTTGCTCACTGTTCTGGCAATCTGTTATAATTGTATGCTTACTATATGGTGTCCCTTATGTTTATCAAGTGATAATGTATTATCATAAAATATAATAATTTTTTCTTACTCAGCATTTTAAAAACCTTCTTCTCTGATATAGAGTGGATGATGCTGAATACCTAAGTTAGGAGAGGCTACATAAAGACCGCCAAGGATGTGTGTGTGTATGTGCGTATATGTGTGTGCACATATGTGTGCATGTGAATATGTGTGTGTGTGTGTTTCATGGGTGTATGTGCTTTCAGATCAATCAAATATAGGATAACATTCATTCACCACAAAAGTGTTTTCTATTATATGGAAAATCAGAAGGAATAATCAATTTAATAGTGTTTTAATACCAAAGAGGCTCTCTATAAGTTTAATTTAAACGTGTCTTTTATACTGTTACATTTTTATTATCTTTCAGGGCTTATCAAAGTATTATCTATTAATAATTTCCCATAATCCATATAAAATATTACTTTTTATTTTAATTAACTTTTTGTAAACTTTGCATTGTCTTTTAGGTTATTTGTCTTACACATTCATGTCACTGTAAATATCTCAAGGTCAAGACCAAGATTACTTACTTGTATGTCTTCTAGTATTGCTGCAAAGTGTTTTACACAAAGGTGGCATTCATGGATTTTTATCAAAGTAAATAATAACTATTAATGCAAAATAAAATTTTGTTTACAAGACTGTAAATGCCTGTAAGTAACTTTATAAAAAATGACCATTTCTTTGATAGTTCGGAAGGAAAAGGTCTATATGTTGGTGTGTATTTGTGGCTGTGTGTTTGTTACTATTTATTTTTCTACATATAGTACAAGTGACTGACTGGAATGCTGATCTGAATCAACTACCCGTCTGTTAGAAGATTTTAGATAGGTTGTATTGAAGCTTTAATTTTAAAGCTGACAATTTCAGTTTAATATGGAAGTCCATACTTATATTCTGGTGAAATAAATGCACCAAATGGTGTGTAAAACCCAAAATTAATCAGAAGAATACATTTGGCAATGAGAGTAATGACCCCACAGATTGCTACAATTCAAAAACTTTAACAATCTACTTCTTCCCTTGGACATATGTAATGCAAATGTTTGGGAAATTACAATAGTTTGTGAGTGCCAAAGCTTAATAAATGAAGATTGTCAGATTTTAACTGGTCTATAATTTTTCCAAATGACAATCCATGTTTACAGCTCAGTTTTCTCAGAGGAAAGCAGTAATCTCTTTAAAAAAATATTTATCTTGGAAGAGGAGTCCTCTTGGATGATAAATGTTCTTTCTGTAAAAATACCTGTGATTTGACATAGGTCAAATTTTGCACTTCTCAATTTTTTTTTCAGTGAGTGATACCTTGACAAAATATACTCAAAACTGTAATGTAAGGCTCATCATACTAGAAGTGAAGACACTGTGTTTCTGGGGTTGCCTTTATTTACATGTTATCTCTTATACATTCAAAGTTCTAAGTCTATTCTTTTCCTTTCAACTTTTATTTTAGGTTCAGGGCGTACATGTGCAGGTTTGTTGCATGGATAAATTGTGTGTCGCTGGGGTTTGGTGTACAAATGATCCTGTGATCCAGGTAGTGAGCATAGTACCTGACAGTTTTCCAACCCTCGCCCCCCTCCCAACCTCCCCCCTCTATTTGTCTCCAGTGTCTACTGTTCTTATCTTTGTGTCCATGAGTACCCAATATTTAGCCCCCACTTAAAAATGAGAACATGTGGTATTTGGTTTTCTCTTCCTGTGTTAATTCGCTTAGGATGATGACATCCAGCTGCATCTATGTTGCTGCACAGGACATGATCTCATTCTTTTTTATGCTAAGCCATTTTCTTTCATGTCCTAAATAAAATATTTGATTAGAGAAGGCACCATACAGTGGTGATTAGTACTACAGTCTTTGGACTTCAAAGTATTGAACTCAAATCGGCTGTTACTTTACATGAGACAAACTTAGTCTCACAATCCTTATTAATTTTTTAAAAATTTTCTTTCTTTGATAGTCATCACAATAATAACTACAAAATGTTTACTGTGTGCATGCAGTGAGGCAATGTGAGAACTAAATACACCCAAATTAATGCTATTATTATTATTCCATGTAATGAATTCCTCTTCCAACTAGATCATTTCATGAGGATACCTATTTTGGGCAATTATTAACAACCATCTGGGCAAGAAGCTAGGCAATGTTTAGTGTAAGCTTCCTTAAGCCCTAATCAAAACATTGAAAAAAATCTGTGGTATGACTGGAAATTCAAAAATAGAAGTGGATTTTGGTCATCTTCAAAAACATCAAGTCAATTTCAGATTTGCTTCACAGTCATCACGTCTGTCCCTTGTATATAGGGACAGTTTCCCGTAGCATAAAACCACAAAGTTAGTGACTGACAGCCCTTGCATGGCACATGGATAACAGTGTATTTCAGATTTAAAATGATATCATCCTCCTGAACTTTGCATTAAAACTTGTGGTGATCCACATGGAATTGACACCAGCAATCGCTGATCCATTCTTTCACCTTCTAAGCAAAAAGTCTTGACTTCTTTTCTGGGTTGGAAAATGTAGGCTTTGACTATTACTATATTTGCCTGAATATAGAGATCAAGTGGTGTGAAAAAAATTTTCCAAGATAATTTTTGAAGGTGGAAGTGTCATGCACTGTTCTTTTATGGTACTTAGAAAGGAATTTTTGTGACACTGCAGTTGAAATGTTTTCATGAGGGTCTGGGACTTTCTGTATATTTTCTCTTTCTGTTCTTCTCTGGAATTTTGCAAATTCTAAGATTGTTATAGAAATGGATTTAGCCTCCATCTTCGCATTTGTGATAAATGAACCCATATTTTGAGGATGATTTTGCACATGTGTCTCAGACAAAGCTCTTTTATATGGCTGATCTGTAATCAGAAACTTTCCAGCTTGGGCTATGATATTTGAGGGGAGAAGATGATAAAAAGTCAAGATGATTTAAAGAAGACAAATGCTCCATGTTTTCTTTTTTCCCCGTCACACATTGCCTAGTAGACAGAGAGCTCCAGCTATCACCTTTAGAATCCCGACATCATGTCTACATGAGACTACAGGCCGCTTGCTGCCAATGGCTGAGCCTGGGTGAGGGTCTAAGCCGGGCTCTTTCTGGGAAGATATGACCTCACCTTGCTGATCTTTTCTTAGACTGCCTATTAGTCTAGGACACTTCCACCTAAAATGTGTTTCTTTCCCTCAGAGTCAGATTAAATCATGGTCTGATGACTCTTTCCTTTTCTCTGTCCCCACTCCATTTATTCTCACAGGAATTTCTCCTGATGAAACCCTTGCAAATGTAATTCCATTTTTGTGTCTGCACCTTAGAAGACTGGAGAAATAACATAGCTTATCTCTTTATCGTTCAGCTCTGAATAAGGGTTTAGATCATCATACTCTTCAGTTGATGGTCCATTAAAATTTTTGGTCCCTGGCCTGGTGCGGGGGCTCACTCCTAGAATCCCAGCGCTTTGGGTGTCTGAGGTGGGTGGACCCCTTGAGGTCATGAGTTTGAGGCCAGCCTGACCAACAAGGCAAAACCCCATCTCTACTAAAAATCCAAAAATAACATAGCTGGGCGTGGTTCCATGCACCTGTAGTCCCAGCTACTCAGGAGGCTGGGACAGGAGAATCGCTTGAACCCAGGAGGCGGAGGTTGTAGTGAGCTGAGATCATACACTGCACTCCAGCTTGGGTGACAGAGTGAGACTCCATCTCTAAATAAAATAAAATAAAAATAAATAAATAAATAAAATTATTGGTTCCTGCAAGTCTCCATTATAATTGGATTTATGTATTAATTTTTATTTCCCTTAAAACCATTCTGGTTCCCCACCACTATATACTGCTGTCATTTTGTTGTACTTAATCTCTTAGTTTGCTTATGCTCTTTCTAAAAGTGTATTTTAGTCATGTGTTTGTTTTTCTTTCCAACTATTTTTCAATTTTAGTTTTCTAAGAAATCATGTGTTATATAAACTCATTGTATTTCAGTTTCACTTTATATTTTTCAGACATATCCATGCTGTAATATATATTTCTAAGTGCTTGCTTTCTCATATGTCCAGAATGTACACAAACCAACTACTGTCTATCTTTTTTCTTTTTCTCCAGTAGGACAATCAAGTTGCCTTCAAATTCCAAGAACTAAAATTACTGTTGTAATAAAAATGTTTGTACTTGTTCCTTTATAAACAGGAGTCAGAAATTGTTGAGATACATTCTCTGGAGCACAATTTCTAGTTCATAGGCTCTGCATACACACTCTTATTATCCTCCTGAACTGTGCCCCACTTTACACTGCTGCCAGCTTGCCACTAGGATTACAATGTCAGCACATCTCTACCCTAGAACTCTAATTAGGGAAAGCGATTACTCATTGAAATTTTAATTTTTTTTCTAATCACCCCCAATTTTAAGCATTTTTTATATGCTTGTGGCTTTGTGTGTTACTGTTTCTAAAATTACCTGCTCATATTTTGTGTTCATTTTTTTTTCTAACTGGGTTGCGAAGTTATGTATTTATACTAGTAACCCTTTTAATATAGTGCTAATATCATGTCTTCTTTTAATATACACCTATTATCCTTAAGCATTATGAAATAAACCTTACCAAACGTGTTATGCCTTCTAGCCTTCTATAGTTTTTGTGTTTCTTTAACAAATATACCTAAGTCAATATGATTCTCTTCCGTGTGTGTGTTTTTTTTTAATTAATTTATTATTATTATTATTTTTACCAGTCCCCTTTTTCCATTAACATTCATGTATAGCATATTCAGCATTAAATCCACTGGAGTGCACCCTTGCATGTGGTGTTCAAAGAAAACTTTTTTCATTTTTGATACAAAGAGATAATATTTCCCTAACAGACCACTGAACAATGTATAATTTTATCATTATGTTGTCATATCACCTCTACCATATAGAATGTTTCCATGTTAACTGTGTCAGTCTGGCTTTTATCTCTTCATGTTGTTACATCTTCTCATCACTAATACTTCTTTTATTATAATTGCCTTGTAACATATGCTGGTATCTGGTGGGTCAAACACCTTGCCTTCCTTTACTTTTTATTTTATGATTTTTTTTTTTTTTTTTTTTTTAGACAGAATCTCACTCTGTTGCCCAGGCTGGAGTGCAGTGGCACAATCTCGGCTCACTACAACCTCCACTTCCTGGGCTCAAGCGATCTACCAGCCTCAGACTTGAGTAGCTGGGATTACAGGTGCGCATCACCATGCCCAGCTAATTTTTGTATTTTTATTAGAGATGGGGTTTCACCATGTTGGCCAGGCTGGTGTACTTTGAACTCCTGACCTCAGGTAATCCACCCACCTTGGCCTCCCAAAGGGCTTGGATTACAGGAGTGAGCCACTGTGCCTGGCTGCCTTCCTTTATTCTTAATTTTTAATGGTTAGTTTCACAGCAGTGGACTTTTGTTTTCCTCATAACACTTGCTTTGTCTTATCAAATGCCTATTCTATATTGCTTAAGTATTTGTTCTTTCATTTTTTAATATGGTACAAGGCATATCCTTACATTGAACCCTTCTTGGAATCCCTGAAATAAACTTTAGTTTATATTTTGTATATTTTAATACAAAATTGGAATATTCTATGGAGTACTGTTTGGGGAATTTTTGGGTCTATCTTCATACATAGAGTGAGCCTATAATTTATTTCCAAGGTTTTGTAGTTTTCTGATCTTAGAAATATGATTATACCAGTGTCATTAAATGATCTGGCCAATTCTCCTTTGTTTCTATTTTCTGGAAAATCATCAAAAAATAAGAATTAGTCATTCTTTGAGTGTTTGCCTAAAATCACATGGAAGCCTCATTGAGATGGGGATGTTTGAGCAAAGCCTTGAACAATTCTTAGGGAGTTCACTAAGTACATATACAGAGGATGAACTTTTTATGCAGAAGATGGGAAAAGTAGCTAGTGGGAAGGTCACAATTCCAGAGGGACCTTAATGTAATCAGTGAAGACCAAGAAGATTAATGTGGCTGGAGCTTAGTGGGTAGGAACAGCAGTATTTTATGGGGTGTGTGTGTGGAGGTGGGGTGGGGGGTGTTCTAGGACCTGCAAATCCTAGAATGCATATTACATAAGGCATTCTAGGATATTGGGATATGTTAGCTTTTATTTTGCATTACATCGGGGTGTGTGCATAGGGACTTTTTTTGAGGAATTGCTTAGCTATTGCTTTGAATCACCATGGAAAAAGGGACAACTCTTGGCCAGTAATTATAACAGTATAGGAGAGGAGAGATAGTGGATCAGATTAGCCTTGTAGTCACACAAGTGGTGTGAAGGGTTTAAATTCTGGATATATTTTGAAGGCAGTGCTTCCAGGATTTCTGAAGAATCTATATATGATATATGAGAAAAATAGAGGAGAAATGAGGGATACGGGGGAGCGTTCTGGTGGAATGGGTTTGGTGAAATAAAGAAGAGTTCAATGTTTGAAATTTGAAATTTGGAGATAATAATTTTGATATTTGGCCATAGACAAAATTGAAGCAGAAGCTGGTCCACAAAGACATATTTATGGAAGCTATTCCAGACATAATAGAGAGTAAACACAAGGATTCTGATGTGGACTTGTGTGTGGGTGGAGGGAGTAGCCATTTAGGCAAATTTGTCATAATCAAGATAGCTCTGTGTCACCCCTAGCAGGGTGAATTGGGGGCACCATAGCAGGAGATAACATCAGAGGGATGGTATGGTATGGCAGATTATGAAGAAACGTCATGATTATGAACTAAGGTGATGTAGCTGGAGTTGGAATTTTTTAATCATGAAGTATGAAGGACAGAACAGAGATTTGGTCAGCAAACAAACATTAACACAGAGAAAGTAGACAAGATGGAGATCAGAAGGAAATGAAGAAACATCTTACTTAATTGGATGCAATAAAGACTTCCTCTTGACCAAGGTAGAGGTAATTCCTTAAATTTAGAATTGACGCTACCTTAGACTTCTTCCCGTATTAGCTGATAACTGTTCCACAGATCTATAAACATATTAATAAAGTTATCTGTAGGGTCCAACAATATTCTCAGATGAAAGATAATTTGTAGAAGAATTTTATTTTCATTTCCTGATTGTTTGCCATTTACAGTGACAGAGTCAGCTTCTGAATGAATGGAAATGTCTCAAAGATCATGCATATGGATACTGTTTCTTTTCCTTAATGTTGCCCATTATTTTCCCATTAAAGAGCAAACACTTGGCAGACCATTTTTATTAATCATCAAAGTAAATAATATTCTTTTGATTACATGCTGAAAAAATACTGCAGGAATGCAGGTGGCTAATTGGGGTGCTTCGATGATGTATTCAAATTAAAAACTAGTTAGTTCTCTGCTTCCTCTAATCCTGCTGCTTTGAATAACCTGTGTAAGACGATAACAAACCAAATTATTTGGCCTCATATTACAAATGTTATCATCTGGAAACATTCAAAGAATGTGTTATTATTTCATCTTTCTTATCAGATAAGAATATATTCACCCAACATGAAGTCTCTAAACCCAAGATTATATTGATTACTCTGAAAATATCACTCTACTTTAAAGGTACATCTATTTAAAAAATGTACAATGAAAGGGATTTTGTACTTTTGTACTTCTTGAATTCAGTTTAAAATTATATATATATATATATAATTATATATATAATTTTAAACTGAGTTTAAGAAGTACAAAAATCATATATATAGATAATTACATATATATATATATATATATATATATATATATATATATATATATATATACGTAATTCATGGTGCAGATAAGTTGTTTGGCCATTTTTCAACTAGTATAAATCAAGACATCTGAGTTCTTGAGACTTCTTTTCTTCCTTCCTTTCTTTCTTTTCTTCCTTCTCTCCTTCCTTCCTTTCTTCCTTCCTTCATTCTTCTTTTCTTTCAAAAAATTTTTAACGGATACTCTTTCTATGTGTGTTATGTTGTAATGGTTTCAATTGCAAGAGCACCAAAAGCCCTTCCAAGTGCCTTAAACCATTAAGGCAGTTAATTGTATCACATACTTGGAAGTCAATGTCAAAGCAGGATTCAAGTGATTCAATGATAACATCAAGGATCACAGTGTTTTCTGTCTCTGTCCTCATTCATCATTGTTGTCAGGTCTTCTATAGGACTCTCTTGCTTGTTGCTGGGAGATTACTGTTTTATCCAGTCTTGTAATTGCTGACAATTCATGCATTCAGTTTATCTATATTTAACTTAATTAGCAATATAGCTTAGTTTATACCTACTATCTTTCCATTATTGTTTCAACTCATTCCTTCATTCAAAGGCTAACCCTGAAAACACTCAGGTAAATAGTTATCTCTTTTTTGGGTGCCATATAACTTTTTCTAGATATCAATTATAGAATATCTCATTATGCTTCTTAACATATTAGTTAGTCTATTTCACTAGTAGACTATGGGTTCACTTGTGCAGAACCATGTCATGTTCTGATTACAGTTGCAACCCCCACACAGCGCGTTGAACCTTGCAAGGTGGTCATCTTGCAGCTCTCTCCATCAGGTACCTGCAATATATTTTCAAGAACTATCCTCAGCTTCACTGTTGTATCTTAAAGGGTCAAAGCAATTACATTTCATGCATTGCACTCAGCAAAGCAATTTCATTTTCCTTAGCTTGAAGAATCCATGATTTGATTCATGATTTTTTGTTTGAAATGTTTATTGGCTTAGGGTGTGCATGGGACCTAGTTGGATATAAAGAGCAAATTGGCATCTGCCATGTAGATGAATCTCAAAAATATCATGTTGAACATAAGACATTGATATTATAAAGTCATAGTGCATGATTCACTTATAATTAAATTTTTGAATAGCAAAAATGATCTATTGCAATAAAATAAGACATATTACTTAATCTATAGTAATAAAATAAAGTAATAATAAGTTGTTTCCTGTTTAAGGAATTGATTAGAAGGACTAGATGTAAAGTTTCTGGAATGATTGAAATGTTCTATATCTTAATTGGGATGGTAGTAACATGGGTTTATGCATATATTAAGTTTCATCATATTAAACACTTGAAATATCTACATAGTATTCAACTTACCTCTCAACAGCTGTACCAAACATGTCTCATAGTGAATTCTGGAAGTATCACTATTAAATTTAGGAATAAGACAAGGTGGTTATTATACCTACTATTCTATATTGTACTAGCAGTTCTTAACCATGCATATTTTTTACATCCTCATCATTTAATACCTTATAAATCTGTCTGATGTAGTTGTAACCAGTCTTTCAAAGATCTAAATTATTGTTCAAATTAGTATTGCTTTAAAGTGACAAACGGACCTTGAAAACATATCTGCAAAAGTGAATGGATAGAGTAACCATTTTTTCTGTTGCATATTACGTTTTTAAAAATCTTTTTCTATGTCTTAACACACTAGAAATATCTTTGAATGTAATCTATATTTAGTTCTCAATGGATGCAGGGTCAATATTTGCTTCAGAATATCAAGTAGCCAAAGAATTTTTCACTCTCACTATGTGGTTTACACTCTACCTAGCAACATCGTGGGAATAAATGAAAGAATCAATTAAAGTGATACAAAGGTGGGTTTACAAATCTAACAAGAACACTGGATTCATGTCATGATAAAATTATGATCTTATAGAAAAGCTCTTCATTAAATATACCAAGTGCATCTGTAAGAATGGCTTCAAAAATTAATCTAAAAATTGCTGCAAGTTACTAAATGCATGTGGTGATCTGATTGGGGAATGGAACGGGAGATTACTAAGAGTATATAGCTGTAAGTGTTCAGTAGAGCAATAACTTTTTAATTCTCTATCCATTCAACACTCAAGTAGAGGCACTCGATATGTCAGGGCCAGTGAGCTTTTGGGGGCCTGTTGTGAGAATTTTGGCATTAAATTGAGCTTACTCTGAATGAGATTAAAAGTTGTGTCAAGATGAATCATTGATGCCTTCTTCATTAATTTCAGGCCTGGATCCACTTTAGTCAGAACTTAGTTACTTGGATAATTTCTATTCCAGCCAACTATACTCTAAGACTGAATTCTTGGGTTAAATAATCAATGCTTATAAATTATTATTCTCCCATTTACATCAGAATATGGCTTACCTCAGAAGATTGACTGCCTTGCTTGGATATCAGTAATGTTTTACTTTCCTCTCCTCTGAGTTACATGCAGGGCTCTGCTGCTAGTTCACAGTGGGGATGGATTGTGATCCTTTGAAGAAGCTGACCCTGCTTCTTGATAATAGGTCATAAAAAGACCTGTTAACATAAGATCTTGTTATCTTGCTCTAGAGGGAAAACTTAGTAAACTATGTCTTTTATTTTCTTACATTTTGCCTTTACATTATTTTCTTAAATTAGATTTTTCTTAAATTTTATTTTCTTAAGTTCTGTCAGTTTTCACTATATTTAAAACAATCATATGATATATTCTTAGAGCTGTAATATGAAAAAGGGCGTGGGAGAACTCTGACATTTGTAGCTTCCTTTCTCTCAATGGAAATTTACAGATAAAGAATAGCCTGTGCTGTATAACGTCTAAATTATAAGTTCAGACCAAGCGTGGTGGTTCAGGCCAAGCGTGGTGGCTCACGCCTGTAATCCTAGCATTTTGGGAGGCCAAGGCAGGTGGATCCCCTGAGGTCAGGAGTTTGAGATCAGCCTGGCCAACATGGTGAAACCCATCTCTACTAAAAATACAAAAATCTGCTGGGTGTGGTGGTGCGTGCCTGTAATCCTAGCTACTCAGGAGGCTGAGGCAGGAGAATCGCTGGAACCCAGGAGGCAAAGGTCGCAGTGAGCCAAGATTGTATCACTGCACTCCAGCCTGGATGACAGAGCAAGACTCCATCTTAATACGTATATGTTCAGACAAATCATGAGGACAACAAGCATTAAAACAAAGCAAAACAAAACACTTCTAAAGTGCCTCATGCTTTTTTTTTTTTTTTTGCCAGAACCTGAACCTGGAATTCAGGTTTTAGTAAATGATGAAAAACTGATTTTTTTTCACTGGAAATTGATAGAAGCCACAGGTCAGAATTGCCCGTTTGATCTCCATGCCCACGAGTTGAGGCTGCAGGCCTGCACTGAAACTCCTGTGTAATTTAATATTTGCAGAAGCTGTCCTCTTTAGAATATTAATACTGCACATGAGGTCGTGAGGCTTCCAGAGCCACACAGAAGCCCTTGCATGTTTTTAACAAAGCTTTTAAGAGCTTACCAAAAATAAAAAGTGGGTATTTTTGGATGAAGAAACTTGATGTTAAATAGCAGATGAGGCTACTAGGTGTGTTCATAGAAACCCAGTAATATATTATCTATTTCCTGATTACAAAAGTGCACTGATTTGACACTCAGAAAGATAGACTTCGTCTAACTCCATTAACTGTAAAATAAAATATAATGTTTATCTTAAAGATTTCCTGTGTGTAGGATGTCTCTTAGATAATGATATCGTTATGCTTGGTGTTAGGGTCTTGAGTTTTATTTCTGGCTTACTTGTTGACTGTTACTTTATTTTAAATAAGTCTGTATCATTTGTCATTCCATTTTCTCCAGTGAGCGTCACCATAAATTAAATGTCTCATTTTTTTCTTCCTCCCCAACCACAGTCCCTAACCTGGTTTCCATTCAAACATTCTATCTCTGTCATTGACTAATGCGTTCTCACATAATCCATGCCCAGGGCCTCAGTGCCGCTTTTGAAGCAGTTCTAGGTATTTTACATATCTAATCAACAATAAATTATATTGGTTATTTCTTTAAACTTGTTCCTCTTCCTATATTTATCTCTTCTTCCTTCTTATACCCACTCATCTCATCACCTTGGATCTAAATTATTGTAATTGATTAATTTTTTATTATTTTATGCATCGTGTTACTTATACAGCACTGTGGTAAACACTTGGCTCTTCTGCTTTGTACCAACTGACATTGCTCCTAAAGCCTACTATCATGTGATTTTGATATGCTATATAAATATATTTTCCTTGTCTTATTGTTTTCTTACTTCCTCACCTTCTTTGGACACCTCAAAAGCTCCTGTATCTAATATACTCATCACTCTTTTCTTCTTTGCTGTATTTTATAATTTTTGAAAATAATAGGCTAATGTTGAAAAAGGACTTTAATTAGATAATTTAATGCTTATTGTGGCATCTTGGGATCAAATGGGATCAAATTCTCATCACAGATGTACAGGGCTCCAAATTCTTACCAAGTACAACACTTATTAGTGTTAGCAGAGGATTTGAGGAAGGAGCAGGGAGAGATTTTAACAGCGTAAAACTCTCAGAGGCCTTTGATACTTAAGATGCAGCTTCCAGCTTCAGATGCAAAAGTGTGGCCCCTTTTGCACACTGAAATGTGTTCTGGCTATGGGAGGATGAGTGTTCATCAAGAACCAGCCTAGTGCTGAGTCTGGGGCCCATCACTTGGCATATTTTGCTGGTCGTGCAGCCCAAGCTTATCTACATGGCCTGACTCCTAGGAGCATGCTAAAGGGAGAGTGGGTGAGCCTCACAGGGATTCCCATTTTATCAGTGAACTCCTTTAGAATTGCCATCTCATGGTAAACTAAAAAGCAGACTCACTTTTAGAAATTTACGCAATTCTTTTTAAATTTTCTTCATGTGCCGCCTTAAGACCTGCACTGTGTTGGTCTGCTCCCACTGCCATCCATAATGTACAGATTTGTATCCATTAAACGAGCCAGGCAAAGAGGTAGAACCTCCTAATATCATGCCTAGAGTGGGATTTAGTACATAACAACACCAACCCATGGTAACTTCTTCATCTGCTAGTTAGTAAAATCCTATCAGACAATATTACACAATGTATTACTCAAAGGTCAAACTTTCTACAGTTATCCTTGAGGTAGGAGGTAATTTTCAAGGCCAGCTGTTAACTATTTTCTTTCCATAATTTTTAAAATAAATTTTAATTTTGTATGTTTAAGGTATGTAACACGATGTTATGAGATACTGATAGTAGGAAGGTTACCATAATGAAGCAAATTAACATATGTGTCATCTCACATAGTAACCTATTTTGTTTGTCTTTGTGTCAAGAGCAGGTAAAATCTACTCATTTAGTGTGAATTCCACATACAGTACAATTGTATTTCCTGTAGTCCTCCTGCTGTGTGCTAGCCCTTTAGACCTGTCCCTCCTAGGGATCCGCTATTTTTTAACCTAGGACTTATATCTCCCCATTTCCCCACATCCCCGTACCTGTTAAGTACTGTTTTGTTCTCTATCTCTATATACTTGATTTTTAAATTTTAGATTTGACATATAAATGAAGTCATGCAATGTTTTTATTTCTGTGCCTGGCTTATTTCATTTAGCACAATGTCCTCCAGGCTCATCCATGTTGTGCAAATGGCAAGATCTCATTCTTTTTTAGAACTCAATAATATATACCCCAGTTTTGTTAGCCACTTGTCCCAAGAAGAACACTTAGATTGTTTCTATAGCTTGGCTACTGCCAGGGACGTTATCCTCAAACCAGTTAGGATGTTAGGTTGCCTAGGTGTGGTAGCAGTTACACAGATTTCCTGTACTTGAGCCCAAGGTTAGGTGTGGGGAAGACTAGTATAGAGGAGTAACTCTATCACTTATTATCAAAGACACCATAGGCAATTTAACTTACCTGTGTCAGAATTTACTAAATATACAATTTAATATAATTTATAAATTAATAAAATTGAGATAACTGTGTACATTATAGGTGCTTTCAATAATTAAATAATGTGCAAAGTGCAGTAAAGAACAATGACACTTAAGAAATCTTAGCCATTTTAAAAGTATATTCATATGGGTGGACAATAATTTACCTTTTCAGGCTACTAGTGTTTCTCTCTGCTTATTATTTTTCGTTTATTTATTTGTCATTTATCTTAGTCAATGGACCTACTTTTACAAACATAAATGTATTGGAAGACCATTATACAAAAGAGATGAAAATAAATCGGTTCTTGCTTTGCTAGAAGCCCAGGGCCAGGGTTAGTTGTTGCCTGGGTCAGGGAGAAGGGATGGGAGCTGCATGTAGTCAGAGATCCCAATTCTTCCTAAGGGTGGGGGTCTCACAGCGCTCTCCAGAGGTGTCTCTATTGAGGAATCCATGGATGTACAGTTGTCCCTCAGTATCCTCAGGGGACTGGTTCCGGAACTCACAAGACTACCACAATCCACAAATGCTCAAGTCCGTTACATAAAATGGTATACTACTGTATTTGCATATAATCTATGCACACACCCCCATATACTTTAAATCTCTCCAGATTACTTATAATATTAATACCTAAATACAAAGTAAATGTTCTATAAACAGTTGTTATACTGTATTTTTAATATTTTTACTTCTTTATTGTATTTTTTTAATTGTATTTTTAAAAAATATTTTTTCTCCGTGGTTGTTTGAATTCGAAGATGTGGAACCCATAGATACTGAGGACTGGACACGGAAGACCAATATTATTTATAAGCTCTGCTCATAGCAACTGCTCCTGCCTCATCTCTGCTCTCACATTCTCAGCTCACTTTATTCAGACATATTGATGATCTTACTGTTTTGCGAACGCTCAAGGTGCATCTCTGTCCTATGTCATTCACTGACCTCTTGTTCTTTGTTAATCAGTCTTTGTAGGATGGGTCCATACTTGTCATTAGGTTTCAGCAGAGCGGTCATCTGAGAAAGGCCAACTCAAGCCCATTGGCAGAAGCTACCACCACGTTTCAAAACATACTAACCATGTCTTTTCCCATTTTACTTATAGGATGGCTCTTACCCTCTCCTGAAATGATCTAGTTTGTTTACTGCCTACGTCTCCTCAGCTCCATGTATTCCAGCACTAGCACTAAAAACAGTGGCTGAAATGTAGTAGGTATTCAGTAAATATTTTGGTAAGAATGAATGATAATTTATTGGGCAACAACTATATGCTAGGCACTGTTTCTGGTGCCGAGATAGACTGGTAATCAAAACAGTCACTATTGTCCTCATACAGCTCAAAGACTGGTTGAATAAAAATCGTGGTGGAGAAACTGCAATGTGTAGAAAGTATATCACACAAGACAGGCATTTGTTGTTTGTTGTTTTCCAAACTGACAACTGATTCTGCCTAGATAGAAACTGGCCAGCTACCAGAAGAGGGGAGAAATAATGAAATGCCCAATAATCTTTAAACAAGATAAAAATGTATAAGTATCTGAAAGTATTAGCATACGTTGAAACAAATTTCCTGATTAGAACACATAATTCTGTATTAAGGAAAATGTGACATAGTAATTTGTATTATTTATTATGTATCTGTGTCAAAATAGTCTGAAATAAAATATTATATAAATTAAATGAATAATATATTTTTTCTAACTAAAGCTATGTAAATTTATCTGATAATTTATCACTGTTTTTTCCCTTATTCATTGTTTGTGTGCATGTTTGTGTGCATGTGTGTGTGTATGTGTGTGTGTGTGTGTGTGTTCATTAACATGATCTTAATGAGAAAAGAAATGGTTGTCTTCCATAAAACGATGCTCTTGCCTGGAGAAAGACTAAACATTCAGACAACTACTAAAGCATCTATGATGAAACAGAAGTGGAAATTTTCAAACAGAGCCCAAATATTTAGCGATTACTCTTCATTAGTAATTAAATTGAAAAAGTAGATTGTTAACAACAGTGTCTAATGCATATATTAAAATTTTAGCTCCCATAGGATTATCTATCACCACTTTCTGAGAAAAAAAAATCTCCACTGCATGTTCTTTGCCGTTTTCTTTTTTCTTTTTTTGAGACGGAGTCTTGCTCTGTCACCCAGGCTGGAGTGCAGTGATATAATCTAGGCTCACTGCAACCTCTGCTTGCCAGATTCAAGCAATTCTCCTGCCTCAGCCTCCTGAGTAGCTGGGATTACAGGCACATGCCACCATGCGTGGCTAATTTTTGTATTTTTAGTAGAGACGGGGTTTCACCATGTTGGTCAGGCTGTTCTCGAACTGCTGACCTCATGATCTGCCCGCCTCAGTCTCCCAAAGTGCTGGGATTACAGGTGTTAGCCACCATGACCGGCCTATTTGTCATTTTCTTGTAATAACATGCAGCCACTCTTTTCTGCACACTTTCCCTTAGCATTTATTATTTTCTGCTGTAATTTCCTGTTTAATCATCTTGCTCACCTAATGGCTGTGTTCCTAAGTACAGAGAAAAGTGGGGATTATCTCTTTTGAGATTTAGGGAGCTGAATCTTAGGTGAATTACTTCTACCAGGATTAATTTGAGCATTTATCTGGCAACATGGAACTTTTCAAAGTTGAAGTCAGGACAATAGAAATGGACAATAGTGAGTACAGCTTTAATATTTTAAAATTGTTGGCTGTTACCTAGATATGACTGAAAAGATGTATTTCTTCTGTACTGGAGTGAGATTTAAATGTTTTCTGTATTTCTCAGTCCCTTAAATGATAGTTAAAGTAAAGGAATCAATTGCGTTATTAGGGAGATGAATTAAATTTTGTAGATTTTGAAAATAAATATCAAATGGTTATGCTGTTACTTTTCTAACAGGAGTTGTATATAAAGTGGAATTTTAAGTGATATTTATAGTGGACATTTAATTATATAATGGTGTTCAATTATTAAGCTTTGGTAAGATATCATCAAACTAATTAATTTAGCATCATTTGCATACTGCCTTAAATTAAAATTCATATGTTGGTAATTAATTCTTTGACGAGCGGTTTAAAAAGTTAGTCCACGGAAGTTTGGTTCAATTTTAGAGGATCTCTGAACTGTTGAAATTTGATGAAAATTTTCCACTGTGAATATCCGGGGGAGATGGTGATGCTTCAGAATTTCAAAGAGTTTCATAGTCCCCCCAGTTAATACACAACTTTAAACACATATACATAGATAAGCAAAATAAAATTGAGAATTAGAAAAATAACATTTCCAAGCAATTTGATAGTTACAAAAATATTTTGTTAATTATTTTATCTGCATCCATGTATTTTAAACTAAATGTTGTACTTCCTTAACTTTTTGCCTAATGTGTGCTAATAATAGTAATTTACTATTTTAATAATTTATGTATTCATTACTTTATATAAATGGCTCACTCAGTAGTTTCTGTATGTCAAACACTCTTTTCTAGAAGGTACAAGTAAATAGTTTGTGGTCTCAAAGAGCACAAATTCTGAGGGCAGAGACAACTGATAAGCCAATAACCCCTGTTCAGAATGATATGCACACAATCACAGCTATGCTGAGTGCAGGGTAAGCAAGTTTTGTAAAATGAGAAATATTTAAGACTTTTTTTATGTTAGGTAGAAAATGGTGGGTAGAGAGGAGAAATAAAGGAAGAATATTCTAGGAAGAGCATGTGACCTACCCTGGAGCGCTCTTTGGATTGCGTCACTCAGGCTGGCCAGAGTCCCCTGCAGGGATGCTCCACAGGGCAGGCTTAAGCCGCCTAAGAGGCTGCCTTGGCCGACCATCAGTCATCTCGCTTCCCGGTTAGGGAACCAAGAAATGGAGCAGGATGAGCCACAGACAAAACCTCTCAGACAACTCTCAGAGTTGTAGAAGGAAGGGCTTTATTCAGCTGGGAGCATCGACAAGCTACTGCCTTAAAATCCGAGCTCCCCGAATGCACGATTTCTGTCCCTTTTAAGGGCTCACAACACTAAAGATTTCACATGAAAGGGTGGTGATTGATTTGAGCAAGCAGGCAGTACGTGACAGGGGCTGCATGCACGGGTGATCAGAGAGAAACAGAACAGGGCAGGGAGTTTCACAATGTTTTTTATACAACGTCTGGAATCTACGAATAACATCCGTGTCTAAGTTACGAGTTGATTTTTAACTACTAGGTTTAGGCCAGGCAGGCCCAGGCCTAGTTTCGGGCCTGGCGCCGGGCTGCCTGTCTTTGGTTTTACTTCCTTGTTGTTTCTTCTTAAAACAGGTACTGAGTATAGAACAATATAAAACAATATGAGAGGGTCTCTCTCTTCCCTCACAAGCAATAGGGATTTCAAAATAAAAACTGATGGTTTCCAGTAAATGAAAGACTTTGAATACATGTTGGTTTTTTGACAAATCAAAACAGAAAAAAAAAAGTTGAAAAACTGAAGGGTGGAAATTGCAAGTACTAACAAATACCAATTTGTGTCTATGATCATTTCAAGAGGTAAGAACTGTGCTAATGATGACTGTCATACATAGGGGCAAATAGATGCTGAAAACTGATGATTTAGGAAAATGCTTCGGTTCAGTTGTCTGGAATACTCTATCTATGAGAATTGCTTGCTGTGACTGGACTTCATTATACCAACAAACTCCCTGTGTATGGTCATTGCACAAATCTACTTGTAGAATACACAATACTTAATAAAAATATATTATCTACAATATTTGTTTTTTATACGAATTTTTGTCAAAACTTTTACAAAACTCTTTACAAATTATTAAAACACATAATGATCATTATGACCAGCTTTGACTCCATTTTTGGTTGTTGATTATTGCAGGTCCATTGTAATCATGCTATCTCAGTACAAAAATTTTTCTTAATGTCCATATCTCTATTAAATCTTAACAATTTGGAATCAGATAGTTTTGTGACTAAGACATCTATATTACGACAATGATTCTTATGACCAGCTGTGACTCTACTTTTTCAGATATGTGTTTTAATAATTTTGTATGGAGTTGCATGAAACAAAATAAATTATAAATACATTCTTTTTCTACTTTAAAAATGTAATACAATATAATATAAATGTAATAATTTTTGAACTAGATACTGACCAAATATTTTTACTTCATTGCTCTGTAGAAGCAATCAGACAAAAGTTCTGTCTCCCTCGGACTTCAATCATCAAGTAAATTTGTCAGCTAACATCTGAACCAACATTTCAACAGTGAGGAAAGAGAATAAATTGAGGAATCCTGGGTTTATCTTCAACATAAACATGTAACACTCTAGGCTATAATACAGTTTTATGTTTTAAATGCTATCTATGCCTTTCCACAAAGCATAGTACTACATATTCTATATGAAAATCACCAATTTTCAAATGTCATAAAATGTGAACTGCTGTCACAAAAACAAAAACAAACAAACAAAAAACAGAATTTTGCCCTTAAAAATGTTTTGGGATTATTGCAAGTCTGTCATAATTTTGCTCTTTCAGTACTAAAACTAGTCTCAATGTTCTTATATTTCTATTAAATCCTAACATGTCGGAACCAGATAGTTTTGTGGCTAAGACGTCTGTGTTGCAATAATCACCATTAGGACCAGCTGTGACTCCTTATAACTAAATCTACAAAGTTATACATTATCTTCATTGGAAGATTTCAATTTTATTAGTTATGTCTCATCTCATGTTTACAAAAGAAAATTATTAAACTTTCTTTACTTATTTTAGTTACACACTTTATATAATGATCATAAAAACTTAAAGGTGACCATTTCTGCAACTTTTAGCTTGTTTACAGGTCTTTCAATAATATTTCAGCTCTTTGCAGTAAATATAGCCTTGGATAAAACACTTTGCAAAGTGCCAAATTTCTATGATGTTTCTATTCATGTTGTCAGTGAATATATTTACTTATATCTAAGACTTATAATATTGGTTGCTAAAAGCCCAATTCTACAATATATGCATTGAACTCTGTAATCTTTTTTATAAAGTTTTAGCTTTGTTTTCAAGAGTAAATGTTTCTCATGTATTCTATAATGGCAATCCCCTTTGAGAGTAACTGAATGTCAATGTTGGGATCTGTCTCCTTGCTCTGCCATCTTTTTCCTTCACGTTAAAAGTTTTCTGTCATTTCGAATAGCATTCTTCAAGCAATTGATCCAATCTCTTTAGCCGGCCAAACACAAAAACAATACAAAATGAAATAAAATACCACATAATTAAAATTTAAATACTTACTGAAAAGTAGCAAGTGAGACACAGGAAACACATTTCATGCATTCTCTCTATGCAATGCACAGCTGTCTGTCTAATATACACCTCAAGCTCAGATCGATCCTTTTTATTTTAGAACTATATTTTTATTTCCACTTGGATATGTCATAGACACTTTAAACTCAATACATCCAGATATTTTCTCCAAACTTAATCTTAATTTCATGAATGTTTACAAGCAAAAGGAAAACAATCTAGTTAGCTGCAGTATCCAGAATCTTGGAAACATTTTCGACATCTCCCATGGCAAGTTGCTTTGCAGGCAAATGAGTGCCACCAATTATTTCATAGATACAAGCTTCTCTCTGACTCCACTGCTACCATCTTAGAGGAGACACTGTATTTAGTTCTGAATATCCTTTCAATAGATCAATCTGCACACATTCCTTCTTGTTTCTGTTAATTTTCTGACAATTCAGTTATGGTGATTTTTAAATATATTAATGTACCTTTTATTATTTTTTATTATTTTTTGTCATATGAACGTCCACAGGTCCTGGTGTGACTGTATCACATAAGGGACAGGTTAATTCTACTTTTAGCATTTCTACTAATAGATGCATCACCATTATTATGAAGCCAATATTACCATCTAACTTCTCTGCATAAAAATAATTTCAAAGAGTACTCATTGCTTTTATGATAAAATTCAACATCGTGATTGTGGCCTAACAGACTCTGTATATTCTGTTCTTTTAAACATCAGCCTCAGCTTTACGAATTCACCATTTTTAATTCCCTCACCATTATCACTTTTATTAACTCAAATATTTTTTTCACCTACTGGTCTTCAGGCTATCCTCTGCATTTAATGTTTCCATCCCAATAATTGCTTAGTAGTATCTACTTATTCTTCATGTCTCAAATGAAATCTGATGCTTTTCAGAAGGGTTTTCTTGGACACATAACACTATGTGTGTTGTTTTTTTTTTTTTGCCAGTTACATCATTTTCTTTAAATCCATATTTTTTGTTAATAATTCAAACTTTAAAATAACATTTTACATTAGCAGATAGTGTATTTGAAATCAAAAGAAAAGTAAGGCTACTTGCTTAGAAATATGTTGTAGGGAAAATCTATGAAGGAATAAGTGACAGTTATCACTTTCATGACTGTAGCTGAACAACTATGATAAAACCTTTGTAGTATGGGAGAAGGAATAATGCAAGCTCCATTGAAACATAGCTGCCCTGAAGGAGAGTTGGCATATATATTCAGAGATAATGCTCGAAGAGGCAAATGGAGTTTCTTGGCAGTGATTAAAAGATAAACTATAGAAATGAAGGACAGCTCAGTTTTTTTCAGGGGCTAGAAAAAAGTGACTATAAAAGAAATCAAAGGAGCATTTACTGATGGGATGGGATTGTTCTATATCGTGATGGTGGCAGTCGTAATAATCTATACGTGTAAAATTTATAGAACTGAACATTAAAAAACCACATTTGAATGTATAATTTTAAATATGAAATAAAATGGCATATATATATATATACACATATATATGTTATTGCCAATATGTAAATATATGTCATTCACATTGATCTCAACATGTTTATGAATGACCAGATGGATCTGGCGCTTCCTTAACTTACCATTCATTCTTCACTTGAGATACCAATTCTTTGACATAGAAACTCACACAGACGGGGCGGGGCCAAGATGGCCGACTAGAGGCAGCTGGGTTTGGAGTCTCCCATTGAAAAAAAAAACATAATAAGCAGGTGAATCCTTCACTGGCAACCAAGGTATCCAGGTTCTCTAGTCAAAATAGAAGGCTGGCGTGACACACAGGGGAACCCCCCTCAACACACACACACACACACACACACACACACACACACACACACACACCCCCCAACCCAAGGGAGGCGGTGAATGAGCATGCTACCCATTCAGGGAAACTGTGCTTTTTTCATAGAATGGTGCCACCCATAGATCGGAAGGGCCCACTCATGAACCCATGAAACCATCATTCTCAGCAAACTATTGCAAGGACAAAAAAAAAAACAAACCGCATGTTCTCACTCATAGGTGGGAATTGAACAGTTAGAACACTTGGACACAGGAAGGGGAACATCACACACCGTGGCCTGTTGTGGGATAGGGGGGAGGGGGGAGGGATAGCATTAGGAGATATACCTAATGTAAATGACGAGTTAATGGGTGCAGCACACCAACATGGCACATGTATACATATATAAGAAACCTGCATGTTGTGCACATGTACCCTAGAACTTAAAGTATAATAATAATAATAAAATCCTCAATAAAATAGTGGCAACCTGAATCCAGCAGCACATCAGAAAACTTATCCATCACGATCAAGTCGGCTTCATCCCTGGGATGCAAGGCTGGTTCATGGTACTCAAATCAATAAATTATGTAATCCATTACATAGACAGAACCAATGACAAAAACCACATGATTGTCTCAACAGATGCAGAAAAGGCCTTTGATAATATTCAACATCCCTTCATGTTAAAAACTCTCAACAAACTAGGTATTGATGGAACATATCTCAAAATAATGAGTTATTTATGAAAAACCCACAGCTAATATCATATTGAATGGGCAAAAGCTGAAAGCATTCCCTTTGAAAACTGGCACAAGAAAAGGATGCCCTCTCTCACCACTCCTATTCAATATAGTATTGGAAGTTCTGGCCAGGGCAATCAGGCAAGAGAAAGAAATAAAGGATATTCAAGTAGGGAGAGAGAAATCCAAGTTGTCTCTGTTTGCAGATGACATGATTTTATATTTAGAAAACCCCGGCGTGGTGGCTCACGCCTGTAATCCAGGCACTTTGGGAGGCCGAGGTGGGCAGATCATGAGGTCAGGAGATCAAGACCATCCTGGCTAACGTGGTGAAACCTCGTCTCTACTAAAAAATACAAAAAATTAGCCAGGCGTGGTGGCGGGTGCCTGTAGTCCCAGCTACTCGGGAGGCTGAGGCAGGAGAATGGCGTGAACCCGAGAGGCGGAGTTTGCAGTTAGCAGAGATCACGCCACTGCACTCCAGCCTGGGCAACAAGAAAGAAAAGAAAACCCTGTGATCTCAGCCAAAAAACTTCTTGAACTGATATGCAGCTTCAGCAGGATACAAAATCAATGTGCACTAATCACAAGCATTCCTTTACACCAACAATAGACAGACAGCCAAATCATGAATGAATTCCCATTCACAGTTGCCGCAAACAGAATAAAATACCTAAGAATACAGCTAATGATGGATGTGAATGACCTCTTCAAAGAGAATTACAAACCACTGCTCAAGGAAATAAGACAGGACACCAACGAATAGAAAAACATTCCATCCTCATGGATAGGAAGAATCAATATCGTGAAAATGGCCATAGTGCCCAAAGTAATTTATAGATTTAATGCTATTCCCATCAAACTACCCTTGATATTTTTCAAAGAGTTAGGAAAAACTATTTTGAATTTTATATGGAATCAAAGAAGTCCCCGTATAGTCCAGACAATCCTAAGCAAAAAGACCAATGCTGGCGGCATCACGCTACCTGACTTCAAACTATACTACAAGGCTACAGTAACCAGATGCCATGATACTGGTACCAACACATATCTCAGAAATAACACCACGCATCTACAGCCATCTGATATTCGACAAACCTGACAAAAACAAGCAATGGGGAAAGGATCTCCTATTCAGTAAATGGTGCTGGGAAAACTGGCTAGCCATATGCGGAAGACTGAAACTGGACCCCTTCCTTAAACCTTATCCAAAACTTATCTCAAGATGGATTAAAGACTTAAACGTAAAACTCAAAACCATAAGAACCCCCAAAGAAAACCTAGGCAATACCATTCAGGACATAGGCATGGGCAAAGACTTCATGAAAAAAACTCCAAAAGCAATTGCAACAAAAGCCAAAATGGGATCTAATTAAACTAAAGAGCTTCTGCACAGCAAAATATATTACCATTAGAGAGAATAGGCATCCTACAGAATGGGAGAAAATTTTTGGAATCTATCCATCTGACAAAGGTCTGATATCCAGAATTTACAAAGAACTTACAAAGAAAAAAATAACCCCATCAAAAAATGGGCAAGGATATGAACAGACACTTCTCAGAAGACATTTACGTGGCCAAAAAACATGAAAAAGAACTCATTATCACTGATCATCAGAGAAATGCAAATCAAAACCCCAATGAGATACCATCTCACACCAGTCAGAATGGTGATTTTTAAAAGTCAGGAAGCAATAGATGCTGGTGAGGATACAGAGAAATAGAAACGCTTTTACACTGTTGGGTGGGAATGTAAATTATTTCAACCACTGTGGAAGACATTATGGTAATACATCAAGGATCTAGAACCAGAAATACCATTTGACCCAGCAATCTCATTACTGGGTATATACCCAAAGGTATATAAATCATTCTGTTATAAAGACACATGCACATGTGTGTTTGCTGGAGCACTGTTTACAATAGCAAAGACATGGAACCAAACCAAATGTCAATAAATGATAGACTGAATAAAGAAAATGTGGTACATCTACACAATGGAATACTATGTAGCCATAAAAAGGAATGAGATCATGTCCCTTGTAGGTACATGGATGGAACTGGAAGTCATTATCCTCAGCAAACTGAAGCAGGAACAGAAAACCAAACACTGCATGTTCTCACTCATAAATGGGAGTTGAACATTGAGAACACATGGAAACAGAGAGGGGATCAACACACACCAGGGCCTGTTGGGGGTGGAGATTGAGGGGAGGGAACTTAGAGGACAGAGAAATAGGTGCCGCAAACCACCATGGCACACTTACACCTATGTAACAAACCTGCACATTCTGCACATCTATCCCATTTTTTTTAGAATAAATAACAAAAAAAGAAATTTTCACAGACTATTGAATGGTTAATTATCTCTCCTCTCAATTCCATTTGTTGTTGTGCATACCTTTAATAAAATGTTTACATTTTAGTAAAATTATCTACCTGTAATGTGTACTTCTCACTCTGAGTCAGAGATGGTTGATAGGTTTCAAGTTACTTGTAAAGCCGGCTTGGTTGAGATTTTGTGGATTTGGTTTCAAAAGTCATGTTTTAAGATTGATTAAAGATTTATTTCTAGGTAGGTGCAGATCACATAAAAATTAAAAATAAATGCCAGTACTCCAAATGCCTCAGACCAATTATTCTCCTCTCAGTTATTAAAACAGAAAGACACCAAATCTGAAAATTTTTAGATTGCTATGCATTTACACTTCTATAATGTATTATTTTATATATACATATTATTATTATACATATTTTATATATATTTTATAATGTACATCTTATCAATGCTATGAACACATATGCTATTTTACATGTTAATAATGAAATAATAGTAGTAAATGTAACATCTGATGTTTAACAGTAACACCATGGTTTTCACACATTTTTATACTTCTAGTGTTACTTTTGTAATTCATCATTTATTTATATGTCAACGATTCAGAAATAGAGACTTTCTCAAAGTCCTGTGTTTGCTAAAATGTAGTTTTAGATTTTATCTTCCACCTTTTTATCCATTGGGAATAAGGAGGATTACACATTTTTCAACCATTATTTTTCAAGTTCCTACCAAGTGTAGACCCCTCATTAAACAATGGGGATTTGTAATGAACTAAAGTTATATAACAGTTCATCTCATGAGATTATAGTGTATGGAAGGGGTAGTTTTACAATTAAACCGAAAATATATAATGTGTGATTACGGCCAACGTTAGAAAAGATGTTTCTAAGTGATTGGTGAAATGTTACATTTTTCCTCCCAGGGCTTTGCAAATTTTACTCAACAGTAATGGACTGAGCTTTTTTGGCAAAAATGTTACATATTAGCAAGCAGTTGGCATGGGTGTCACTAGAATTTCTCTAGTACCCCTGAATTATACTAAAAATATACTAAAATTATTCTAAACAAATGCAACTTTGTGTAAGTTCACTTAGAAAACACCAAATCCAAGCAAATTCAGCTATTATAATAAGATACAGGATATATATGCAGCTTGAGGGAATTATGTGTGTTTGCAATTTTTCCTATTGTAACTATTCTCTCTAGTTTTTTTTCTCATTTTTTGGCTAAACAAAATTATTCAAAAATCTTCTTTGGGATAATTGAAAGCAGGATGTGCTCTTATAGAATTAGTGTCTGTTAGTGTAGGCAATGAAATTTGGTACAGCATCCTCAAAACTCAAAGGCCTTCAGCTACAGCTGAACTGTTGATGCACCTTTCAGAATACCGCACTTACTTCATTGTGCTTTTACAGATGACGACCAGACTACATTAAATTTTGCACATAATGCAACAGAGGAAATAGCAATGAAAGTAGTTTAAGCACCATTTCGTTAAATAGCATTTTGTTTGTGAGTGGGTCTTACATCAACAAAAATGGGAACTAGACAATTCTAACATTTTTCTGAGCAATGAGTTTGTCATTTAATAGATATTTGAAAACTGTGATGATTTTTATTTGCACTCAATGGATTTATTTCAAATGAATTGGAAACAGAATAGGTACATACCAGTCAGCAAAACTATTTTAAAGCAACTGCTTCCTCAAATGCAAGGTAACTGGATTATTGAAATTTCAAATATACTTAAGTTTTAAGCTTATTCTATATTATAAAATATATATATACACATAAGTTACTTTTCTTCCTTGCTGTCCATACTGCATTGAAATATCATTGCTAGAATTAAGTGTCTCCTCGCAGAAGTATATGAGACAATATGAGGCAAATGTACTGGTGAGTCTGCTGAAAACTCACAACATTAAGTAAGACGTAGCATACGGTGAGCATAATATAAAATTGCAGTTCCAAGTTCAGCTAGTGATAGAGGATTTTTTCAACAATAATGCATTTTCAGCATTTAAAGAAATCATTAAAGTTTACAAAATATACCCAATACAATATTGAAAGCAAATTTTGAGTAAAACGCATCCAGTGTCATAGAAGCAAACATTGTTTCCATTTGCCTACATCTGGAATTGCCTTATGTTTACAAAATCAAGTGAATGTCTTCACACATTTTTTAATCTTACAAGATCTTTTGCACCAACAACAAATTAAACATTCTCAATGTATGCATTTTACAAGCATAACCATTAGCATCTGACTGACAGGCAAGCTGTGTTTATAGCTGCTTTTAAGGAACCATTTACCATTGTCTATTATAATCCTGATTGCTGAACAAATGCCATTTTAAGGTAGGGTGACAAATACAGGCATTTCCATTTTTGCCTCATTATCATTTACTAGAACTGTGGTTTGAAAGAATTTTCTTGTGATAATGTCATTGCAAAATAGGATTCTATTTTGTCCATTTAGCAAATAGTTTTATTTTGATGACCCTGGAACACTCTATTAAATGATAGGTGACTTTCGTCAACTGCTTAACAAATCATACTTATTCCAGCACTTGAATTTATGCCGTTGCAGTATCATCTAAATGAGGATTTCTCTATCATGATTCTGTTGACATTTGGGGCTGAATATTGCATTGCTGTTGGTGCTGTCTCGTGTTGTCAGCATCCCTGGCCTCTATGTAACAGATAGTAGTGGCAGCACCATCATCAACTGTGATAACCGCAAATGTCTCCAGATATTGCCCATAGTTCTCTGGGGATAAAACCTTCTTCAGATGAGAACTACTCATTTGAATAGTCAGTAATAATATAAACAGGAGGTGGGAGGAATTAATGTCCACATTAATGGACATAATGATGGGGAGGTGTCTTCCCATCAGGAGGCACGGGGGTCAGGGACACACTTGAGTTGGCAGTCTGTCCCTTAGCAGAGCTTGAGCACTGTGCTGGGAGATCTACCGCTCTCTTCAGAGCTGGCAGGCAGGAACATTTAAGTCTGCTGAAGCTGCGCCCACAGCCGCCCCTTCCCCCAGGTGCTCTGTCCCAGGGAGATGAGAGTTTTACCTATAAGCCCCTGACTGGGGCTGCTCCCTTTCTTTCAGAGATGCCCTGTCGAGAGAGGAGAAATCTAGAGAGGCAGTCTGGCTACAGCGACTTTGCCGTGCTGCGGTGGGTTCCACACCCAGTTTGAACTTCCTGGTGGTTTTGTTTACACTGTGAGGGGAAAATCGCCTACTCAAGCCTCAGTAAAGGCGGACGCCCTTCCGCCAATGAGCTCCAGCATCCCAGGTCGACTTCAGACTGCTGTGCTGGCAGCAAGAATTTCAAGACAGTGGATCTTAGCTTGCTGGGCTCCGTTGAAGTGGGATCCTCTGAGCAAGACCATTTGGCTCCCTGGCTTCAGCCCGTTTTCCAGGGGAGTGAATGGTTCTGTCTTGCTGGTGTTTCAGGCACCACTGTAGTACAAAGAAAAACTCTGGCAGCCAGCTTAGTGTCTGCCCAAACAGCCACCCAGTTTTGTGCTTGATATCCCGGGCTCTGGTGGCGTAGGCACTTGAGGGAGTCTCCTGTTCTGTGGGTTGTGAAGACCATGGGAAAGCATAGTATCTGGTCAGGATGGCACCGTCCCTCATGGCACAGTCCCTCATGGCTTCCCTTGGCTAGGGGAGGGAGTTCTCCAACCCCTTTGTGCTTGCAGGGTGAGGCGATGCCCCTCCCTGCTTCGGCTCGCCCTCTGTGGCTGCACCCACTGTCTAACCATTCCCAATGAGACGAAAGGGGTACCTCAACTGGAAATGCAGAAATCACCTGCCTTCTGTATTGGTCTCGCTGGGATATGCAGACTAGAGCTGTTCCTATTCAGCCATCTTGCCCTGGATCCCAGTATTCTCTTCTTAAGTTCGTTATAGCCGTACTCTAATTTTCCTGAGGCTATTTGGAAAATAAACTACAGCTCTTGAGGATGAAAGCTTTATTTTGAAATATATTCCTCCTGTGGATACAAAACAGTGATTTTGTAATATAAACATTCTAGAAAACAGAGTAAAACGATAAGAGAGGTTACTTTAGCGATGGCTCATGCCTGTAATCTCAGCAATGTGGGAGGCCAAGGCCAGTGGATTACCTGAGGTCAGGAGTTCAAGACCAGCCTGGGCAACATGGTAAAACCCCGTTTCTACAAAAAATACAAAAAATTAGCTGGGTGTGGTGGGCGCCTGTAAACCCAGCTACTCAAGAGGCTGAGACAGGAAAACTGCTTGAACCCAGGAGGCAGAGGTTGTAGTCAGCCGAGATCGCGTCATTGCACTCCAGCCTGGGAAACAAGAGGAAAACTCTGTTTCAAAAAAATTAAAACAAAAACAAATACTTTAGCAAATCCCAATTGATATTTCTCAACTTCGATGCCAGCAGATTGTTTTCTTTTAGTGGTAAGCATGACTGTTTCACCCTTTATATTGTGACTTAAATAAAACACACTCTGCATGTTAGTTGACATAATATGATAATTCTTTCTTTGGGGGTTTAAACCAAAGATAAGCTGGTGTAAAGGTATAGCAGGAAGAACATTCAACTAACAGCACAAATTACCGTTCTAACCTTTGTACTTTCATGGACAAAACATTTTACTCTGAACAACTATTTAATTTTTTCTAGTTTATTTGTATTATTTCAGAGAAAAAGAATAAAACAAATGAAAAATTTCAAGCAATAAAATCATTTTATTTCTGATAGCTAGCATCTACCCTTGTTAAAACCAAATGAGACTTTACCATTCATCTTCTTTATTAACATGTTTTTCTTTTCAGGCAATATGACCCCCAGCTTTGTTTTAGAAAATATTTTATTCAATTCCCAGACTTTGTTCAAGTTTTTCTAATTGACTACAAAATATGCTTATCAGATAGTTTACCTGGTCCAGACTTACATTTCCTCATTTTTTTTCTCTTGTAAGTTTCTTAATTCATCAGAGTTTCTTTTTTGTTGTTGTTGTTTCGGGGAATAACTTTTGAAGACACAGGACACTTGTCCATCCTGGATGTTCTGCCTTCACATTTCATTGTTTGCTTGCTGTTTTTGATGTTAATTGTGTTCCTTTCCTTTATATCTTTGATTCTAGAAGATATAACTGGTGTAATGGACTGAATGGAATCATTCTGGCTAGAATATGGCATAATGTTTTGTTCTCTTCTTTGTCGGAAGATACACCATGCCTGCTTTACCCACTATTAATGATGAAAGAATTGACTCCTGGGTCAGGCTTTCATTCCCCCTTTCTAAAGTAATAATTTCCATTTTCTTTTTATCGAACAGTAAGCTATGTATTAATTCATATGAAGCATCACACTGTACAAGTTCCCTAGGAAACAGTCACATGACTGTTTTAACACCAATTAGTAACATTCTTGAATCAACCATCTGCATTAGTGTTTATGATTTACCTTTCTAATGCTATTATTTATTTTACAATTTCAGCTGGCATTTTTCAGTCATATGAATCTTTTTCTCATTAGGTGAGTCTATTTGCTTACACAGGATTAATGTGTAAACTCCTCTTTAATTATGCATTTTTAAAGGAAGGACTTGTTTTAATATCTTCCTCAAATATTATAGTGAGGATTTTTTGTATTTGAATATCACTATGAATTTATGAATTTTAATTGACTCAATGCTTACAACACATTAGAATGATTATTCTTGATTTTTCATATAGTTATAACTTTATCCAGTGGCAAATCCTTCAAGTTGGCAGAATCCAGTTAATTATCAAAAGGTGCCTTCTTTTTTGGTACCACCTTGTCCTGGGCTCTTCTGGTTCTTTCCCTGACTCAGATCAGAATTCAAGCATTTCTTCAGGCTCAGGTTCCTATTGCACACAGTTGTTATTAGAAGCTATCATTTGAGCTCTTGAAATTATCATTATTACTAAGGTAATGTTTATTTTTAGGCCATTTCAATGAAATATTCAAAGATCATGAATTTATATTGACAGTAGCCGTTCAGTTTCATTTCACTTAAACTTCACTGTATTTTTCAAAAATGTTTTCCTTTTGTTATACATGTGTTACAGAGCAGTGACTAATAGCAACCCCAGTACCTAAATTGGCTGTCAAAACCAAATCTTTATTTCTGGCTCATGTTATTAGAGGCCACAAGGAAGCTGTAGCTCTGCGTGACTCGTGGCTCTTGGCCCAATTGGCTCAAAATGTTTTCTTATTGCAAACCACCGACTGAAGGAGCTGTCCTGTGGTTGGGATATGACAAAGAATATTGCATCACCTAGCCCCATATGGAAGAGGCATGGTAATGTGCTCCTGCTACAAGGTGATCAGACTAATCACATGACAAGGGGAGCAGAATGATGTATCATACTATTACAGAGAAAAGCCAATAACCAGCAGTAATACTCCAATTGGCTACAGCTTGTCTTCATTGTCACAAATATTTGCATTCATCTACTCACAATATAAATTAAATTCACTCCCCAAGACTCACCTAAAAATTTGTGTAAACCTGACCTAAGGGCTTGAATTCAGAATCTTACAATCCAAATTACGTGATGATGCAGCTTTCATTTTTAAATCTAGAATGGAGAAGACTACTTTCCTTACCAGAGATTACCTTACACATGTTGAAAATGGGTCACTATTCTGGACCCTGCACTTCTGAGGAACGAACTCTGAACTTCCTCTGGCTAGACATTTCTATAAAGGATAAGAAGGCCGTGTGTACAAGGGGACGTTGTGGCCTGAAACCTATGTTCTCCCTTCTACTCCGCACTTCTGTTACTGGGTCATCGCATTCCCTATCCAAATGCCTTGAACATGCGTCCAGGGCCTGCACAACCCTCCCAGTACCATCCTAGTCAGGTTCTACCATCCTGCCTGCCTGTCTCTCCCAAAGCCCAACCAGTGGTCAAGAGGCAACTGTGTGGGGGAAGAAGAAAAGAACAGATTGTTATTTGGCACATCCACATGTGTGTACTCAAGGACCCTCCTGGGGCAGGATAGATCTTGAGTTGGAAAAAACAAAGGGCGGGGGTGACAAACCAAGGGCAAAGGGGAATTCTCATGCATTAGCCCATGGGGTGAAGTGCTTTGTAGGAGATTAATAATGCTGAATTTTATCTTCATTTTCTTTTTGTTTGTCTTCTGCTATCATTGGACTCCTTTTATTTTTTCTTAATTTTACTTTAAGTTTTGGGATACGTGTGCAGAAAGTGCAGGTTTTTACAAAGGTAGACATATGCCATGATGGTTTGCTGCACCTATCAAGCCGTCATCTAGGTTTAAAGCCCCATGTGTCATTTTCTAGGTCACCACAAAAAAATTATAGTTATATATGTATATAAATTTTGGCAAAAAGAATGTATCCTGACAGTTCAATTTATAACATTTAAACTCATATATATGTATACACACACACACATATATACATGTATATATGTATACATGTATACATATATACATGTATACATACATATATACATACAAGTATATATACATATATACATGTATATATAATATATATTATATATGTGTATATATACATATATACATGTATATATAATATATATTATATATGTGTATATATATATACACACACACACACACACAACACAAAGCTCTATTTATTGTCTTTCCTTGCTAGGCTTGATTTAGGAGCAGAACCTCTCCCTTTCATCCAACATGCTATGGTAAAACACGAATGGGATAAGTGAAACAATCCCTGACATGAACAGATGAAAAGCAGGAGGCACTTGGAAGTCACTGATCTAGAGCAACTCTGAAATTCCCCTGGAATAATGGGACAAGACTTAGTTCTTTGCTGTACTCTCAATAATTCCAATATGTTCCATAGCACACCTGAACAGGGCACAGGAGAATGTGCCCTTTGACTTTCTCAGACTGATGCCTGACCATAGAAAGCTGGGGGCCAAGAGACATCTTACTTTTAGAATAGTCAGTCTTTTTTGAGATTGTTTTGTTTCTTTGGGGCCTTGTTCCTGGTTTTATGTCTAAAAAGTACATGTCATCTGAAACTAATAAATTTATTAATAAACGGAATGACTGACATGATCTGGGTTTGGCTTTTGCCCACCAAGTGTGTCTTAATTTGAGAATCACTTTTTACAAGGGATGAGTTACATCGTTCAATGTAGTGTGCCTGGGAATTTCCACAGTCTCCTTTTTCCATTCAGACCTACTTTCAAACAGATTCTTACATTTTTATAAACTCATTTATTTCTCGTAGTAACTGATTACATTGTTTTCATAGGCTCTCCACTCCAATTCCTACATAAAACGTGGAAAAAACCTGGAGGCCATTATTCATAGCAAACTCACACAGGATCAGAAAATCAAATACCGCATATTCTCACCTATAAGTGGGAGCTAAATGATGAGAACACATGGACACATAGAGGGGAACAACACACCCTGGTGCCTTTGGGATGGTGGAGGGTGGGAGGAGGGAGAGGATCAGGAAAAATAACTAATGGGAACTAGACTTAATACCTGGTGATTAAATAACCTGTACAGCAAACCTGCATGACACAAGTTAATCAATGTAACACACGTGCATTTATACCCCTGAACTTAAAAAGAAAGAAAAAAAACTTAGGCTGCCTTTTTTCCCTTTGTCTTGTTTTCTTTATAGTTTTATGTAATGTGTTCAAAACTTGATTCTAGATATACTGACAATATTTTGGATGCCCTTCTGAAGTGAATGTAGCAATTAGTAAACAATTTGCTTCCAGAACTCTGCTAAATTCTGTTTCAACATCCACATACTTCTAGCACTTTTTTTGCTTCATCATTACTTTTGTGCATGTAAAATTTAAAATTTTCTCTCTGATCGTATTTCTCATCATTTTTTTGTAATTCTACATTTAAAACTGTTCGAAGCCCATCAATAATGATTATGATGCCTACAATATCTTCTCCATTTCTCTTTGATTCGAATTCATCCTAAAATGGTTTTATTCAAAAAGGATTCCTGGAGTTATTCGTAGTAGTGGATGTGACAGTTACATGTGTAGTTGAACACTACTTATATGCAATATTCTTGGTTCGCATTTTCTGTCCTTTTTCTGTCCTATTGTTACTTATGTATACTTCATGGATTTATAGGCATTATTGGATTACAAGATCTGCAACATTAAAATATCTGTGGGGGATCCTGAGACCAGAGGGGATCTTTTACCCATTTTAGAGGACTATTTTTTTCTAATTAATTAATCATTTATTTTCTTTCTTTCTTTGATGGTCAGTGTTTTCACCAATATATATCTTATCATTATTTATTTTGTACCAAATATCAGAGATTACTGGGTTGAACTCATCTGAAGATTCAGTTTGGATTTTAACTCAGAACAAAACCTTCTTTTATATCAACGAGAGCTTTATTTCTTGATTTGGTACATAAGGTGTTATGAAATACCTTCATTTATATTATTCTTTCTAGTAGTTTAATCCTTGATAATTTCTCTTTGCATCCGTTGAAGTTGCTTAAGCTTTTCTCCATGTCTACAAATTGATTATTAGCTGTGTCTATTATTTTTTCTCAGTGGCTCCGTCGTGTTTAAAAGTAAGGTGTTGTCTAAACTTCATTTTATATCCTTTTTTTAACTACAGTATTAGAATCCTTGTGAAATAAATCATAGTTTTGTTAAGTACTGGTTGAATGATATTGGGAGAATTTTTCTTACAGACTTCCAAATAACTAATATTCATGAGGTACGCCATTTACCGACCTTAAATTAAGTGAATTGTTTCGTAGTCATTCTGATCATCTTAGTCACAGTCCAAAAGTCTGTGCAGAGCATATCTATTTTTATGTTATGTAAGAGAAAAAATATACCTGAAATTAATTACCTATGTTTTCTAAAAGTAACATTTTATTGCTTTAGTGATTTCTTCCTTAATGGATATTTTGGAGGCCTAGAATGTGACAAGGATTATGCTGAATTTGGAGAAAAACAAACTCATGACTTTAATTGATGATGTTTAATACTAAATAGCATTTGGTAGGATAAAAATGTGTGGATGATACAGAATATTGCATGAGTTACTTAAAACTCATACAATATAATTTAAATTAGGTAATGTTAAGGATATTGTCACCTGTATTAAAAAGACACATGGCTATTATTAATCAAATGAAGGCCAGTTTATATTTTAATATTTGATTTATTATGTATAGTTATACTTGGAAATATGAACAGATTAGACTTTGGATTGAAAGAAAGAGGATGTCAACTATAAGGAAAAAACTAACAATTCGATTTGGCAATATTTTAATGTCTATTTCCAGAAAGTATGAGAAAACTAGGAAGTATGCTGAAGTGAAAGTAATTTTCATTCTTAGATCTAAGCTTCAAGGAACAGTCTGACTACACAAAGAAGAAACATTGAGCAGAAAATTCTTCTTGAGAATTCTGTTGACTACAGTTTTTTTAGTTCACATTTATAAATATTTATTCACATCTTTTAATCCCTGCAGTTTCTGAAATTCTTGACTATTTTCTGTCATGGAAAGTTATAGTTCATCCTTTACCTGTGTGTCTGTATTTCTTTTGTGCTTTAAATAAAACAAGAGAGTTGGCAGTTTTGGGGTATTTAGACATAGTTATGTTGGAAGAATAAATGGGACTTTTTTTCTCTGTGTTATTGTTTATAGATCTCTAATGGAATATTGTTGTTAGGGCAGTAGTAACAATCAGTCACAGTATTTTCTAAATATTATTTAATAATGACTGGGACAAGTGGGCCATGCTATGCTTCCTAGTTGCAAAAGCCAAAGTGATATATGAACGAAAAATGACAATTTACTTTAAAAATGGTTAGCTTTATTAAACTTTATTTTGTTTACTTCTTAACATATTGAATGACATTTGCAAACACATTTACATAATTGTCTCTACTACAGATAGTTTTATATATGTTCCACATTTTTTAGTAATTTTCTAACAATTACATGTCTAAAATATGTGTCGACATATTTAACATATATATACTCAGTGCCTGCCAATGGGCAGGGGCCATGAAAAAGCTTAACTTAAGAAGAGAAAATACAATTACTCAGCTCTTAGAGTTTATAAGCTTTGAATGAATATGGAGAAGTAAATATTAATTGTAATTAAAGTCAAATACTGAATATGCTCCATGTTCTATATGTACACAAATTGCTTTATGTTTATCGGTATAGCAGTGTTTAACTTTGTAAAGAAACCCAGCCACATAGGGAAGAAGAGGTCCTTGTTTTTGTTTGTACACAATTTTGTACAGTTGGAATATTTTCATATGCATATGTGACTAATAAAACCACAATAAACTGGCTAGTCCTCAAAATTAATACCATAAATACAGTTTGGAAGATGCCATGACATCAGAAATACCAATTCCTCTTGAAACACCAGCAATTCAGTCAGAGACTTCTCAGAGGCAAAGCTCTCTGTGTGTCAGATGAAACCGTGAATCAGGAGCAGGAGATGGGAAGAGAACACAAAGTGATGTGTATTTGCATTGGGCTGGGGAGGAGAGCTAGAAAAGGGAGCACTTCATGTAGAAACGAGACCTTCAGGATCCAGGAGAGAGGGAAAACAATAGCAGGCAAGGGAGAGACATGTGCACTGTGCAATTGTGTGTATGCACCATTGTGTGAATGGTGCAAATAAGTAAAACTGCAGGCTACTGACTTTCATGAATATATATGTAAACAGTCTTAATGGAATATTAACAAATAGATTTCAGAAACATTTAAATATGACGATACACAAGGACTATTTCGGAATTTATTGTAAGAATTTAAGGCTGGTTGAATATTTGACAATAAATCAATGTGTTCCATCATCTGAAAAGGCCAAAAAGAAGGAAAATTGCATGATCAGATCAATTGATGCAAAAAAACGCATTTAAAAAATTCAAACTCACGTTTATGAAAAGACTCTCAGAAAAATAGGAATAGGGAGTTGCATTGTGAATTTTAAAACTTCATGTTTCTTGTTGGTTGCTTAATCCTCTCCACAGACTATGACTACTCTGACCAGGCACGCTGATCCCAATAAAGGCACTTGACCTCCAGTCCTCATTCTTTCTCTCTGTTCCTTGTCTTCTCTGTGGCGCTGTTTCCACTTAATGCTCCCTACTATGTAACTGCCTCTGTGTCTCTCTAGGACCTAAAAGTATAACAAGCTTTTTTTGTGGGTGTGTTCCATGCCTCTCTTGTGTCCCTTCCCTGGCCACAACTGACTGACCACACATTAAAGGACAGAAAACAGCCCGGGTGTAGTGGCCCACGCCTGTAATCCCAGCACTTTGTGAGGCCGAGGCAGGTGGATCACCTGAGGTCACAAGTTTGAGACCAGCCTGGCCAACATGGCAAAACCCCGTCTCTACTAAAAATATAAAAATTAGCTGGGCGTGGTGGTGCATGCCTGTAATCCCAGCTACTCAGGAGGCTGAGACAGGAGAATCACTTGAATCCAGGAGTCAGAGGTTGCAGAGAGCCGAGATTGCACCACTGCACTCCAGCCTGGGCGACAGAACAAGACCTGGTCTCAATAAACAAACAAACAAACAAACAAAACAAAACAAACAAAAAACCAAACAAGAAAACGGGAGTATTTCTTAGCTTGATAACTAATGCCTGCCAAAAAAAAGTCTACAGTTAATATTATAATTCATGATGAGCGACTGAGTGCTTTCCCCTAACATCAGGAATGATACAACAATGTATTGTCACATTTATTTCTAAGTGTTCCTTGTTTGCCAATTGTAAATGGTAATGCATTTTAATTCCATTTTCTGCATGTTCATGGCCAGTATATAGAAACATAATTGATTTTCTTATGGTTCTTTTGTATCCTGCAAACCTTTTGAACTCATATGTTGGGTTTATTCTAATAAGCAAATAGGGTCCTGTTTGCTTATTAAAATAAACCTAACACGGATCCTTCTGCTTGTTAAATATTTCCCTTACAGAACATGTGTCACGGACGTATAGTTTTAGTTTGCAAAACTAAAGGTGGTAGTTCAGCTCAGATGGCTGCGGCAAAACCATGATAAATGACCCAAATGATTTTTGCAAAATTCACTTGTGACCCAGTTAGTATTGGTGGGATAGATGGCAACAGGTGAGCATTAGGAAAAAATTTCAAATCCATGTTTTTCAGAAAAACAGATAAAAAAAGAATATATAAAAGGATCACCAAAATAATAATAACACTCAATATTAGAAATCAATTTAAAAACAAATTTAATCACATTTCACATGATAAAGTTATCTATGGAATATAGCAATACAATCAAATTACTTAAAAATTTCATATACATACCCTAGAAGTGTAACTTTGGTTTTATTAATTTTATGGAAATTTGTCATTTTAAAAATATACACTTTTTCATCATATTTGCCAGTTTTGCTGGGGATTAAGTCTGCAGAACTTTTGATGCTGCAGTCCTGGAAGGGAAACCTGACGTGTATTATCTAAAATATTATTTTAATTTATATGTCTCAGCTGTGTGGCATCATCATAATTTTTGAATCATTCATAGTGCTAAATTAAAAGAAAATTCATGTAAATAATTATCTTCATAACAAAACTATCCTTGGAGAAATAGAGTGATTGGTGGGAGTGAATTTATCTCCAGAAAAGTTGCAAATGAAGTCCTGTGCCTTTATCAACACCTGTACAATGCTGGAAGTCATAGTGATAAAATTTAGATAAAAATCATTCTATTTAAAAAGAAAAGTCAAAATACATATTAAGGAATATGGTGGCATTTGACATGTTCTGCAAAGGAATTTCTAATCCCTCATTGATGATATTATTCTGATTGGTTGTCAGTCTTCACTAGTTCTATTGTGAGTATGTGTGTGTCTGTGTGTGTGCACATCATGTATTGTAGACTCTGCTGTTATAAGATTTAGTATTTACAGCGTCCTTTGTTAAGGGGACCTGACTCCACTTTATTCAAGGTGTTCTGGAATTTTGAACTATCCCTTGTCAGAAAATTAGGTGACAGATCCTGACTCTATTGTGTTAATTCAAAGAATATTTCTGTTTTCCAGAATCATCATTTTTGTTCTTTTTTCTTGATTTGTGCTTGACTTTTTTTTCCTTTTCTACTATTCCGATGATCATATAACACTTTAGTATGATGCTCATTAATTTCACTTACAGGAATGGCATGGCCACATAGTCTCAAAAAATCTATGCAGGTCAAACCAACCCATTCTGATAACTGCTCTGGCCCTGCTGGAACTACAGAAACTGCCTCTTTGTCTCTCGAGGATAAGGGCCACCCTTTGCTATCTGTCACTTGGAAGACTCCTCATCCATGTAGAATTCAGTAAAGACCACTTTGATGGTGGCCTCTTCTGCTCTCTTTTCTGGCCACTGCAGAACCAGCAATGTGAGATGCTAGAGCAGCCCCGCCAACATCCTTCTCAAAGCCTTGGTGAAGTGTGGGTGCGCCGGACCCTACAGGAGGAAAGAGTTAGTACACCTGTCCTCTTCTGATTAGTATACCTGTCCTCTACTTAGTATACCTGTCCTTGTCTCATTATTATACCTGGCCTTTTCTCATTAGTATACCTGTCCTCCTCTCCTTAGTATACCTGTTCTTCTCTCCTTAGTATACCTGATCTTCTCTCCTTAGTATACCTGTCCTCCTCTCTTAGTGTACCTGTTCTCTCCTCCTTAGTATATCTGTAACCCTAAGGTTTGAGATACTTTCTTCTACAGAAAATCGAGGAAATTCTGGTGTCTCAATGTCCATACCAATTTTGTCCAAGTTCAAGTCAACTGGCTGAGCAAACTGTTAGGGCCTTTCAGCTGCTCACACTAATACGTTGACTCCAGAATTTCTGGTTAATTCACTCGTATGAAACGTCAGCCTAACTCAACATTATGTCTCTCACCCATTCTTTCCTTGAGCCCCATTCTCTGTATGTTTTAGAATTAAAGTTTGCCAGTGAGAGTTACTCATGTGAGGTTTGGAAGATAGAAATGAACGGAACTGTTATTTTTTCAAACATAGACGTATGATGCGGTTGGATTTCAGGTCTATTTATAAGCTCTGACTTTGCAGTTATGACAATGGCAAACATCTACACAATTAGAGACTTTCTTCCCCAACTTAAGCGCCACAAGATAAAATCAAACTTGTTTTTCAACCCTTCAATTATATTAATTATATTTTCTTTTTTTCCCCCCTTTGATATGGAGTCTCCCTCGGCTGGAGTGCAGAGGTGCAATCTCGTCTCACTGCAGCCTCTGCCTCCTGGGTTCAAGCAATTCTCCCACCTCAGCCTCCAGAGTAGCTGGGACTACAGGCGCTCACCACCACGCCCGGCTAATTTTTGTATTTTAGTAGAGACGGGGTTTCACCATGTTGGCAAAGCTGGTCTCAAATTCCTGACCTCAGGTGATCCTCCCACTTCAACCTCCAAAAGTGCTGGGATTACAGGCGTGAGCCACCATGCCCGGTCTCAATTATATTTTCTAGATCTTCACTCTCCTAGATTCTTTAACTTTCATGAAGACACTACTTTTTATACAAACTACTTTTATTGTAATAATTACAGGAAATGTGTTTTCATATTCAAACCAAGCTGATACAATATATAAATAAACCAAAGAGTGTGTATCAGAAAATACGAAGGTAACTGCTTTGTTTCTTCTTTCATAGAGCCTTGTGCCTCCAAACAAGCAACAAAAAGGCCACAATCAAATTCTTTTTCTAATTAGCTCTAATTTCTTAGAGGGCTATCTGTACCTAGTCATGAAACTAATTGTTTTTTTTAACCTACCTCAAAAAACATTATTATTATTATTATTATTATTTTATTTATTTATTTTTTTTGGAGTCTCTCTCTGTCGCCCAGGCTGCAGTGCAGTGGCACGATCTCGGATCACTGCAAGCTCCACCTCCTGGGTTCACGCCATTCTCCTGCCTCAGCCTCCCAAGTAGCTGGGACTACAGGCGTCCACAACCAGTCCCGGCTAGGTTTTTGTATTTTTAGTAGAGACGGGGTTTCACCGTGTTAGCCAGGATGGTCTCTATCTCCTGACCTCGTGATCCGCCCGCCTCGGCCTCCCAACGTGCTGGGATTATAGGCTTGAGCCACCGCTCCCGGCCAAAACATTGTTATTCTTAATTTTATAAATATTTATCAAATTTTAATTGTCAGGCAATAAAAACGTCAAAGTGATGAAAACAGTGTCTTTAGACATGGAATTTATAGTCTCTGGAATAGGGGGATTTTATTCAACTTTTCAATAAACATAAGTACATACTTCAGCAAATGCTGTGACTTAGAAATAAAGATGTGACAGCCTATGGCAGAGGGATATGACTTGGTCCTTAGGTTCAGGAATATTTCCCCGACAAAATGGTTTTTGAGCTGAGATCTAAAATATGCACAGAAATTAACTGGGCTCATGGGGGATGCTGTTCAAGGCAAAACGAACTGTATTTGGAAAAGTCCTGAAGGTAGAAGAAGCATGTTGTATTCAAGGAATGGGAAGGGGATATTGAGTCATGAAATTAGCAAAACCAAGGTTGCAGTGATATTAACTGAGCTAGAGAGGAATGCAGGGGCCAGATAAGGCAGGGCCTTATAAGAACTTTGAGTTGTATTCTGAAAATAATGCGAAGTAGAGGAGTGATCTGGTCATATTTGTATTTTCCAAAGACTATTCTGGCTGCAATGTAGACACTGGATTTAAAGGAGGGAAGCAAAGCTGACCGAAGTTAGGATGGTGAGGAGGAGATTTTCATAGTTCCAGTGAGATAATGATGTCTTGTCCTACAGTTTTGCTGTCAAGGTGAAACACAAAGATATAAGATTGTTAGGACTTAGTGCTGAATTTTACATGAAAACTGACAGTGCCCTAGTTACCTTTTGCCTCTGGATTTCCCAGCTCCAGGACCAGAGATAATGTTTCACAAAAACAGGAAATATGGAAGGAGGATGTATAACTATGAGTTGCCTTTAGAAAATCTACATATTTGGGTCACTGAGCCTGGATCCCAGAGGAAGACATTTAAAGTTATAAAGTTGTGAGCCATCAAGCAGTACTTGGTAACTGAATTAGGGGTGTAGATGAAATGGCTTGGAAAGATATTGTCTAATGAGAAGAAAGAGAAGCCTGGATCTTAGATTTCAGGGATTCAAGCAACAAAAGATTCTGAGATATTTTAGACAAGAAATGAAGAAGGAATGCGAATAATATAATACAATTGAAGAGTGTAGAAAATCCTTTCAAAATATAATTTAGGTGATTAAATATAGATGAGTTGTTAACCATATATGCGTATATACACACACAAACACACAGGTACACACATGTGTGGTATGTATAAAAATCCACATTTTATGTGCTAATCAATGACTTGAATTTTTTAAAAAGGAAAAATTTTATTTTACCTCTATATACTGCCAAATTATATTGTCAATTACTTTCTGGACCTTATGAGGAATAATATAAAAGTCATAAAAATAGTGACATTCTTTTGAGACTTGATCAATCATTTAGGAAAGCAGGTAATGTTGTCTAAAATCCCTGCCTCCAGCTCTCTTATTGTGTTGCCTCTTGCCGTTTGGCACACTGCCTCCAGATGTCTTATGCTCCTAATGATACTTGTGACAAATAAGAGGAAAAGGGAAAAATTTGTTCTGCTAGAAGGTAAGATACTTTACAAATCCATAGTAATAAAAATGAGTAGTATTGGCATGAGTAAAGACAAATAGATGAAAAGGACTGAGTAAAACTGAGGGAGGAGCATATAAATATTTGGAAATTTAATGTACAATATATTTATTACCCTTAATCAATAGGGAAAATGCAGTGGTCAATGGGGGAAGGATGGAAATGATTCTCTACCTAATACCAGCTAGTGGATGAATTCTAGGTATGTTTAAGACAAAACTGTAAAAGATAAAATTATAACCTTAATAAAAAATAAAAAAAAACTTTATTAGCTACATGGGATAAATAGCATCTTAAGGAAAATTTAAAAATCACAAATATATGGCAAAAATTGATGATTATGATTAAGACAAAGTCAGAACTTAGGTGCAACAAAGGAGATAGAACAATATAAAAATAACCACACAAAAAGTCTATATGCAACATTTTGGCAAGAACAAGTATAAACAAAAATATATGCATTAAATGTTAAACATACTAGATTAATTTTGAGTAAGGTGATCTTTTAGCCTATTTTTGATTTTGCAACTATCCTTCTCAAAACATCATCCTAGTTTGGACAATAAATTATATGTTTGTTTCACTGCCTATAGTTGAAGAAATGAAAATAGATTAGAGTATGAGGATAAAATAATGAAAAAAATACTCAGCCTGATGGGAAATGCTTAATAACCATCTCTCTGAAAAAAATACACTTTTACATATTAAGTTTTTATACATTTTACTGATATAAAGAAAGCGTAGCAAACAATTTACCAAAATGATAAAACATTTTTATTGCAAATGTTTATATATTCAGTGGAGTCTCAGAGAGTACCTTTGTTGATTTTTTTTGTTTTTTGGCAAATCCTTGCATTCTTAGCAAAACAACGCTTGCAGTCCAGCCATGATTTGACAAAAAGTTGCATCCTACTTAATGAACTGTTCTCTCAATAAATTAATTGTTACTAAATCCCATATAGAGTCTGCTTTTGAACTATTCCTTCCTCTAATGCAAACTTTATTCATAAAACTGAAAGAGTTTTCAGCTTTAGCTCTGGATTTGTCGGAGCTTTACTTGTTCACTCATGATGTGCACAAATTCTCGGCTGAAGGCATTAATAATTTCAAATACTGGAAAAGTATTTTCTCATTTTCGTGTGCTCTGCATAATTACCATTACTGACACTACATATTTTTAAGGCTATCCCTCATTGCTAACATTTTATCCATCACTTTAAATTTAAACAATAAATAGAAAAGTAAATCAAATCCTAATTTGTATCACTTACCAATTCCTGTGGTGTAAATATTTTTACCACAGCTAATTTCAAGCAATTAACATGACGGCACTGAGGAAAGAGTTGAGAAACAATACACTTGTATAATATTTTCACTCTACAGATGCTATAGGCATAAACTCAAAAGCACAGAATATGGTAAAATATAATACAATGGGCTGGGCGTGGTGGCTCATGCCTGTAATCCCAGCACTTCGGGAGGCCGAGGTGGGTGGATCACGAGGTCAGGAGATCGAGACCATCCTGGCTAACATGGTGAAACCCCGTCTCTACTAAAAATACAATAAATTAGCTGGGCGTGGTGGCGGGCACCTGTAGTCCCAGCTACTTGGGAGGCTGAGGCAGGAGAATGGCGTGAACCCAGGGGGCAGAGCTTGCAGGGAGCTGAGATCGCCCCACTGCACACCAGCCTGGGCGATGGTGCGAGACTCTGTCTCAAAAAAAAAAAAAAAAAAAGGAAGTAATACAATGGTTGTGTGAAGCAATGTTTTAAGTATATTACATTATTTTAACATAGTGTTTTTATAAATTTTAATTTTTAATAGGAGCTCTGTGTAATAACTAGCTCACAAAATTCCTGAAGATTTAACCGCTAGTCCTTGTCAGACCATTTCAACCACCTCTAGTACGCTGCTGTTTACAAATATACATGTAAAACAAACCTTTCCATTTTCCCTTGAATTTCTTCTTTTTATTGTATATATTTATGGAGTGCAATGTGATGTTTTTATATATGCATACATTGTTTAGTAATTAAACTAATTAACATATTCATCACCTCATATGCTTGTCAATCTTTTTGAGGTGAGAAAATTTAAAATCTGTTTTGTTATCAATTTTCAAGTATGCAACACCATTCTATTTCTAGAGTTACCATGCTGTAGAATAGATCCTATGTTCATTGCTACATTATTCACCACAGCTAATACATGAAATCAACCTAATTGTCCATCAACAGATGAATGAATAAAGAAAATGTCAAATATATAAACAATGGAATACTACTCAGCCTTTAAAAAGAAGGAAATTCTGTCATTTGTGACAACTTGGATAAACCTGAAGAACTTTCATGTTAAATTAAATTAGCCAGGTACATTTTGACAAATACTGCATGATTTCACTTATATGTGGAAACTAAGAATTTCAAGTCAGAGAAATAGAATGGCAATTTCCAGAAGCTGGGGCAGGCGAGGGGAAATGGAGATATTGGTTAAAGGATACAAAGTTTTAGTAGACAGGAGGAGCTAGTTCTGTCCCTGAAATTCGAGTAGGACCTGTAAAGACTTATTCCTTTTATTCCATCAGAGTTTATACCTTTTCAATAACTCAAGTTCTTCACAGAAAAGTAATTATATTATGCCTAGTCACAGGACTAAACTAATTTAGTAAGGTTTGTCTTCTAGCCCTGGATTTGCCCTTGCTGGGTCTCTAACCATGAACAAGTTCTCCAGCTTCTTCCATCCATCCCTGCTTCCTCTCCACAAAGGCCTGACCCTTAGCACTGAGTCACCTTGCACCCTTGTGACGTCTAGCTGGGCTCAGGCCATGGAAAGCACCAGCAAGATATCAAGGAGCAGGAAGAGCCACAGACATGGATTTCTTCTCCAATCCATCTCTGCTTTCAGGTTTCTTTGTTTTGGCAGTGGCTATCTCCCTCTATGACAGTTCTACAGGGTAACACCTCTTCATTTTTAAGGAAACATAATGCTAATGGCAATGCAGGGAATTTGACATTTTAAAGGTAATTTTAAATGTATGATTCTAAGACTTTTAGATAAGTTCGTCGCCATGGTAGGATTCTGGCAAGAAGTACTGAAGAGGTATCAAGGTGTGAAGAGAAGCCACAGTGGGAGGGAGCAGAATGGAAAGGAGCGTGAGGAGCAATGCGTTATCTTCCCATCAGGATTCATGACTGCCCCCTTTTCCTTCTGTGTCGTCCCCTTCAGTACTCCATGATAATGGGTACTAATTTCTGAAAGTAAATATACAAGTAGAAATACTGACAAGGCCAAAAATGAAGAGATGAACACGCTGCCCTGTAGGTACTGTCACCATCCGGAGAAAGAGCAAGTGGCACAACAGCATACGTCACGCTCTCGGGAATGTCACTTTAAAAAGCGAGTGAGAAATAAAATGCAACCAAGGTGCTAAATACTGCTGCATTATCTTGAATGAAAGAGGATCATCTACACGTCATTTTCTGCAGCCCTTTCAGAATTCAATTGCCATTGTTGGGGAAACTTCTATTTCAATCAACACCTTATTTATTTACTCTACAGCTGATTCTAACCATACATGTGTACAGACTTTGCTCTGAAACCTGTCCTATCTTAAAGTAGAGTCCTATCTTAAAGTACACACTTTGCTCTGAAACCTGTCCTATCTTAAAGTAGAATTGGATCATCATCATCACATGGGCACTAACTGTGCATTAAACTAAATATTTCTCAATATTTTTGGTATATTTTATACTATTCGGTTGGTGCAAAAGTAATTACGTTTTTTTTTGCCTTGAAAAGTAATTGCCATTAAAAGTAATGGCAAAGACTGCAATTACTTTTGCATCAATCTGATAAATTATTTCTGTGTCTGTTCTAATGCATTTATAATATATTCAGAAACATTTAATGAACTGAAATTCCCTTCCAATGTCGTTTGTGATGACATTGGAAGACATTGGAATAACTCATTTGGAAAGAGTACTTTTCTTTCCCATCTCCAACTCTTGCCAGTTTCTCACCCAGACAAAGTCATTACTACTTGGAGAATTTCCCTGCCACTTCATGAACACTGTTTTCCAAGGGAGTCTAAACATGATGCAATGCATAGAAACTGTGTGTGTGTATATGTGTGTATATATATATATATATATATATATATATATATATATATATATAGTATTCCTCTTGACTGCATTTTGAGAGAAGTAACATAGAAACTGTATGTGTATATATATATATATATATATATATATATATATAAAGTATTCCTCTTGACTACATTTTGAGAGAAATAAAATGACAAAATAATTTTTTTATTTTGATATAAGTATAAACTTGCCATATAGATTTTTTCTTGCATTATTTTATTTTTTACAAAAAAACTTGTACTTATAAAAATTAGAAAAATAAAAACTAAAATGACAAAACTGAAGTCTCTAGGCATAAACCTTATTAAGACACACAAATGTGCCTTTTCGAACATTTTTAACACACACACAACACACACACACACACACACACATGCATGCCCACATTTTACAGTAATAGACTCATAATACACATACAGTTATGTGAATTGGTTTAAAAAGGCAACAGTATAACAGGTTAATTTTCCATACCAAACATAGAGACTTAGTACATTATTTTTAATAGCTTTATAAGTGTTCCATAATATGGCTTCTTTTCACTTTTAACATATGAGGAATGAAACAAAAAAGATATAAATAATTTTAAATATTCTTTACTATGTCTGCATTTCTTAAACCCTCTTAAGTCAAGGTTGATTGTACACTTTCTTTCAAAAGGTTCTTTTTTGATTGATAGCACCCCAGTGACACTGAAGAAAGATGCTTCAACTGAAGTTGTAACTGTCTTCCTCAACTCACAGTTGATGAATGGATCTGAAACCCTATGAGTCCCCATGAGAATGGTATAACCTCAAAGATGGTAGCCATTATTCTTTGCTTCTGTGACTGTCTTTTCTTCTTATTAAAACTCTTCAAGAGTATCCAGTTACACAAATATTACTTTAGACCGAGTATTTTACTCAAATAATATTTAGATAACTATAGGGTAGGTCTGTTTTAAATTTCTATCAATAAACAATATATATTTTTCATAGAAGTCAAGAATAAGAATTAAAAATATCCAAGCTAATAAACTGTTTCTTTTTTATAGCCAATTAAGTGTCTTGTTTATACTTCTTAATTTATTAATAATACCAGAATTAAGAGAATCTTCAACATAACCAAAGACAATGTGTCTTTAATAATTTCTGCCCCAATATAATAAGAGGAGTATTCATATTCTTGTGACTGCTGGGTGTTTTAATGTTTCCCTGTTTCATGGAGATTTAAACATAGCTGCTGTTTTTTACTGAACTATGTCACCTTTGATTTCATTGCACTCTTTGTAAGTTTAATTCTTTATGATGAAAAACATAATGAAAACATATAGGTGTTACTTGGGTCTACAGGCCTTGCCAGACTACATTTATATGAGTCACAATTTGTGACTATCGCATTTCTAATTGCTCTGACAATTTCTATGACAGCTTATATATAAAACCAAAGCAAAAAACTCACAAAAATTTAAAATATCTGACATCAGTGCATGAGAGCTCTGGAGAACCATGGTTAAGGGGCAGAAGCTGAAACGGTTTCACTGAAGTATTGCAGGAAGGTATGTAAAACCAAAGCCCCAAATTCGGCTTCTGAAGATTTGTTTGTTCAAATTCTAGTCATACCTGTGTCAGCCAAAGCTATTCCCATTTCTACTGCAAGAAAAGAGAAGTTTTCTTCCAGAGAAAGGCCAAGTTGACACCTAAAACCTAGAGGCAGCCTAATATCCAGATGAATATTTCCTTTGAGGCAGAAAAATTGTCTTTGTTGTGAGGTTTCAGTGAGTATTTTGACAATGGACAGAGATTTGAGAAGGTGGCTTACAAGGAAATTCAGAAAGATGGGTGGAAATAGCAAGTGATAACAATGTTGTAGAAGTAGTAATAGTAGTAGTAACATACCAGTAGTAGCAATAGTAGAGATAGCAGTAGTGGTAACTAGAATAAGAAGATGGGGAGTGTCAGGGAGTTGAAATTGTTTGTGAGTAAAGCAGAGTGAGTCAGCTTCAAAATTGCTGACACTCCCCAAAGTAAAGAAACAAAACTCAGAACTAGCCAGTCTTTTTAAATGAATGAGCTCTGTTGTCAAACACAGAATCTCCAGTACAACTTGGGCCTAAATGATGTTCTGTTTGTAGGTCTTTCTCCCCATCTCCCTCCACCTAACACATTCTCCTCTACATGCCTAAGGGATTCTAGTCTTGCTGAGCCAGGTCCTGGATTATTTAGTGACATGGATACCAAGAATGGGACAGGAGGAACAGGTGCCTAGAGGAGACAGAAGGGGAAGTACTTGGTGAAAGAGGCTAAGTCCATTAAAATAACTCAAAATGGAAAACTGGGTAAATAGCAGGCTGAAAAACTAGAATAAGGAAGTAGAGTTTTCTATAATGTTTTGGCAAGTGAGAGACTAAAGATACTGTGGAATAACAAATTTGAGTGGAGAGAACGTGGGATACATTTATTAATGAGACGAATAATTTGTATGCTACTGCATGTCCTTCTATGGACTAGAATCAAGAGCAATAGCAATTCTGAATTAATTTCAGTCTTTTTTGAAATGTGCTTTTGAAAATATGACCTAGCTCCTGTAATAAACCACAGGGACTGAGGCTTCAATGTAGTTATTTTCTTAAACAATGACACTCACGTGCTGGAAATGCTCGTGGCACTGAGATTTCTTCCTGTGCAACCTTGTGTGTTCTACATATGTTTTGGGAGGCTGAGAATTTATGTCAGGTTTAATTATACGAGGGAAAGGGATTTCACCCTCTCTGAAAGTTCAAATTATTTAAATGAATTAAAACACAGGTAAAGGAATTAGTTTTCAAAGGGAATCTGCAGATGAATTTCCTTGACTGCTTAAGAAGGTGAGGAATACAGAGAGCATGCACAGCAGGGCTTCAGCAGGCTGCTGGGGAGAGTCTCCTCAGTGAGGTCCTGACCAGCAACCAGGTAAGAAGAAAATGCCAGAATATCCACGACTGGGAAAGGAAGAACTATGAGCAGTTTCCCAGCTGTTAGAGTAGGAAGGATTCGTTGAAAATGGAGAGAAGGCTGGAGTTAGTTAGTGGAAGGAAGGAAGAGGTAAATTGATGATATTGTCTGGCTCTGTGTCCCCACCCAAACCTCATCTTGAATTGTAATCCCCACGTGTTGGCGGAGGGATCTCATAGGAGGTGATTACATCATGGGGGTGATCCCTCCATGCTGTCCTCGTGATAGCGAGTGATGGTTTTATTAGGCGCTTCTCCCCCTTTTGCTCATTCTTCTCCTTCCTGCTGCCATGTGAAGAAGGACATGTTTGCTTCCCCTTCCACTATGATCATAAGTTTCCTGAGGCCTCCCCAACCATGCTGAACTGTGACTCAATTAAACCTTTTTCCTTTATAAATTACCCAGTCTCAGGAATGTCTTTATTAGCAGTGAGAGAGTGGACTGATACAGTTGAATAGTGAGGTGAGAACAGTAAAGAGAATAATACCTGGCTTCCATGAGAGTGGCCCTTTACACAACATCAATGAAGGCAGTAGGAAGTATGGAAAGAGAGACACTTGTAGATCTGGTTCAACCAAAGTCCACCAAGCAATAATCCAGATGACTGGAGGGAGAGAAATAAAGGAAAATAGAGAAAATAAAAATGAAAAAAATAAAAGTAGTAGCACCCGTTACACACACACACACACACACACACACACACGTAAAATTGGATATTCCATCAATTACTCCTGTGGTCTTGTTGGTGTGGTTTGTATATTTGCTTATTTATTTATTTATTTGGATTGAGAGGAAATGGAGGAGGTAAGATATTCCAGGGAAAGTCCTTGCAGAACTGCAGACCACAGTTGGAGAAAACCCAGGAAATTACAACTCTTGCATCTTCAGCCATTCCAAGTAGTGCAAGTGCAAACAAGTGTCAGCATAAGACCAAGAGAGGAGACTTGAGTCTTATCTTCTTGTCTCTAGGTAATAAATCATCTTTCTCATTGGATTTATTAATGAAATCTCTGTGTGTGAGTTTTCTGTTGCTTTTATAACAAATTCCCGCATATAGTGGCTTAAAAATACAAATTTCTACCTTACTGTTCCATAGGCTAGAAGCCTGACATGTGTCAGAGTGGGGTAAAGTCAAGATGTCCCTAGGGCTATGTATTGCCTTCTGGAATCTCCAGGGAAGAATCTGTTTCGTTTCTTTCTTTGGCCTCTAGAAGCCTCCAACATCCCTTGGCTCATGGCTTCCTTGCTCCATTTGAAAGCAGTAATGTTGAGTTTCTCTGACTCATTATTTTATGGCAACAATTCCTCTTCACCAGACCTGGGATGGGACGGGTTTTTTCAATGACTCATGTGATTATATTCTCCCCATGTGTGTAATTCAGGCTAATCTTCTCATGTCAAAATTCTTACATTTAGTCACATAGTGCAATGTAACTTATTCAGTTTCCTCAGGTTAGGACATGGACATTTTGGGGGCAGACAAAGAGGGGGCATGATTCTGCCTACTACACTTTGTAAAACTTAAAATCCTGTTAGTTAAGTGAGTGAGGAGAAAAGTATTATTACATATTACTCTACCTTGAAAGTTTCTTGATGCATGAAAGACCTTACATGTATTAAAAGATTCAAATTGTATAAATGAACAATCAAGCAAACTGGGAATCACAGAAAACAATGATAGAATCAAAAGTAAATGACCTCAACCGTCACACGTATATATTTCATGCACAATTAGGTGAATCAACCTCTTCTCTGATCTCTTTCTTATGCAGTCCGGATATGAAAGTCAGTCATGAATTTGTTTCCTTAAATTTCATAAAATATTGATCCTTCTAAGATTGAGTAAATTTCTAGGTGGGCAGTCGCCATATTCACTGTTTCTGTTCTTTCCACCCTAGCCAGACAATTCAGCCTCAGAGTAGAATTTAAAACCAAAACTCTCTTTACTCTGTCCTTATCCACCAAACAGGATTTTAGAGATAGAGAGAGAATGAATTATTTCTTTGACAACATAGCATGTGTTTGTGTTTATTTTCAGATGAAATAATGATTTGAGAACTGCTACATTTATAGTTCAGTGGAACATTGAATATGTTTTAAATTGAATGTCTGTGGCTAAGAGGGTACAAACTTCTTGGAGTTGAGACACGTGATAAAATTCGTGTGATAAAATCCCTATTGTAAAAAAAATTGTGATTTTTTTACTGCGTTATCAAAATTCATCATTTTAGGTAGTTTCCAAATTCACCATAAGGCCTAACAAAAATTGAAATTGAGAAATCTGAATAAAATTAAGGCCATAATTCTCTATTTAGATTGATGGGAACATGTGTGTCAGTAGAGGTGTGCATCTGCTTTTGACAAAAGAAATTAGTTTAATTGATTTGACAAAAATAATAAAAGTTTTTTCTTCATTAAGCATTAGAGGATGCATACTCTGGTAGACACTCATCATTGAACCTTTAGTTTCAATAACAGTTTCAGTTTCTTCTTTGTCATAAGAATTCTATAAGATGGGAAGATGATATGTACGTAATTTGAAATGTGTATTGAGGAAATAGGAAAATAAATTTGAGGCTTTTTAATTAAGAAAATAGTTTTAAAAGTTAGAAACAAAGTATCTTTTTTTAAAAGTATCTTTTCCTTTTCTTTATTTGTCTGGGTTTTGTAAAAATAAAAAAGAGCTCAACTTCTTTTTTGTTTTATATGAGTTAGAAAGCGATGACCTCTACTGAGCTGTTCAACAAGGATAGTGTAGGGTAAAAAGTGAACTGTTGCTCATGTGTCTGCAAATGGAGCTCACATATGACCCAAGGTTACAATTGTCTAGAACTGTCTGTTTTTCATCTGTTTTTGGAGTTGATTTTTATAAATCCAGGACTTGGAAGGCTTTTTATTGCTTTCAGAGTATTTTTCTATCATCTTGACCTAGTGCTAACATAGTCTCTGTGGGCAGAAGAACTGGATTTCACTTTATGCAGTTGAGACAAGGAAATTAACTTAAAAATGTAGACTTACTATTATATTTTGAGCACCCTAATATTTTGACATTCCATATTCACTAGATTGTGATCTCCTTGAAAGCAGGAATTATGTCCAACTTATTTAGCTTCATATTCAATAGGGTCTATTAGAATGGGCACAACTAAACAAATATTAATATTTAATAAATATGTTGCATATTCTTTAACTAGAGCAATATTTAAATAAATCAATTTCCAGGTAAAATAAAATGTGATTGGTACTTGACCTTTATAATTTCTAAGTGGACAGTTCCCTGGTTTCTCCCATAGAGCTAATAATTTTGAAATCTGGGACTAATTTTAAATTTCTCTGGAAATTACCTTTGTGATTTCCTGTACTTAGGAAAACATGCCAATATAAATAATAGAAAACAATAACTTTCAATTAAGTTGTGAGTTATTGGAGACTATGAATGTAAAAAAAAATCTGAGATCTAAAAGAAGGCATCAGGGTACAAAGAGATACATTAGAATTTATTCATCATCTATATATTGATATTATATTTTATAATTGATTAATATTTTTAACAGAATTATCTGTAAAGAATAAAGTTTGGAACAATGAGGATTAATAGCTTATCCTTCACGATTGTAGAAATGTCATTATTGAATTTGCATTGGAAAATCCTTTACATATAATCATGTTTATCTATGTTTCTAAGTTAGTGAGTACATTCATTTTGCAATTTCTGGTTTTCAAGCAGAATCCACTGCTTATAATCAGAAAAATCATTGTGAAAATATTAATTCGGACAATGAGCTTTGGAGATATTTAGTCCTAGATCCAACATGGCCTTGTCCCTTGTTAAGGTATGTGGCCGTGGGAAATTTATTATTCTCCTTGAGTCTTAGTATCCTTCTCTTTGGAAATATAGAAAGTGATATCTATATCTCACATGTGTGGTGATTTCTGGTGTACATGAACATGCCCAGAAAAGAGTCAACAAATAATAACTATGATCTCTCTATAATTTTAAAATCAAATAATAGAATATTTTCTGTAAGAGCTTAACCTTGGAGTCAGTTAATAGTTTATGTTAAAGTGCATAATTTGTATTTTTTTTTTTTTTTTTGGAGACGGAGCCTTGCTCTTGTCACCCAGGCTGGAGTACAGTGGCAAGATCTCAGCTCACTGCAAGCTCCGCCTCCTGGATTCACGCCATTCTCTTGCCTCAGCTTCCAGAGTAGCTGGGACTACAGGTGCCCGCCACCACCCCGGCTAATTTTTTTTTTTGTATTTTTAGTAGAGACGTGGTTTCACCATGTTAGCCAGGATGGTCTCGATCTCCTGACCTCATGATGCGCCCGCCTCGGCCTCCCAAAGTGCTGAGATTACAGGCGTGAGCCACCACGCCCGGCTGGTTTATTTTAATGAGTATCTCAAAATATCTTTATAATTTTTCTTGAAACATTTTCTATTAGTAGTAAAATATAATTTATAAACATAATCATTGTGCTAGGCTATATAGATGGGTTTAATATGCATATGTTAAATGTGAAATAATATACATTTTTCAATTATAAATGTAAAAGATATACATGCATTTTTTCATTCTAGTGGTGTTTTGTGACTGGTTGTGTTTTGGCAATGAGTGTTGTGGTTTAAGATAGAAACTGCCACGTTATTTTATTCTATTTTCAGTTCTTTTTTCCTGGACATTTTAACTAAGCTACACTATTCTGCCTTCCAAATTAACATGTCAGAAAGCCATTTCTTTACTTGTGTGGAAATGATAATAATAATAATAAAAGATTACTAAATTATATTATCTATTCATGACTATTTTGTATAGTACCCCATAAGGCAAATATTCATATTCATCTATATATGAATAATTTCTCTATTATGGAATTAGTGACAAATTTTCAAACATCTTTGTTTTTGACACACAATGTATTCAATTTACATATATTTACTTAGCAAGAGAAAGTTTTATTGGTCCTGGGAAAATGAACATGAAACATTTTTTTTCTTCCTTTGTGGAGTTTAAGTGACATTTTGACATTTGATTAACCTGTTAAGTTGTCCCCTTGCTTTTCATTTCCCCTACACCATATTGACAGAATTCACATTCTAAGAATACCATAGAACATATATCCCCCATTACCCAATAATATAAATAGTTGTTATTAAACGTAAATTGAATTTCAAATGTCTTAGTTCAGCATATAAGACCTATGTGACATTTCCTTTTGTATTTCCATTAATCCCTTTGCCTATTCTTCCTGGTGCTTTAATTATTGTGTCAAAGTATGTTGTGAAATATTCCACTTGTGTCTTGGTTGGTCCCATTGATCTTCATTTGTCTTGCCCGTTATCTATGTGATACCCATCACCCAAGGTTGTGCTCAGTCATGATGTTCTTTAAGAAATCCTTCCCTGGCATCTGTAGTTTCAGCAACAATCTCATGGATGTCATCTTTTTAGATGTCATAGCAATTATGATTTGTATCATTGTTGATGCTGTAATTTATTTTTGTATGTATGTATGTGTGTCTCCTCAAACAGATCAATAATTCACTGCTTATTGTGAAGTACAAATTACTAAATAAAACTATCACAAAAATTAGCTTCACTGAAAAATTCTCTGATTTTTCAATTATCTTATTAATACAGATTAGGTGATAGAAGTGAGGTACCAATGAAGAACACAACAAACAGTCATAACAAAAATAAAATGACATTCAAATTCTCATATAATTCTCACAGTGCTTATCAATTGCGTGACTTCTTGAATTGTGCCAGTATATTTATTTTTATGATACTCAGAATAAATACATAGAAATATTTTAATAAAATAATTATTCTGAGAGAATATTATCTTAAGTCAACAGTTCATATAATTTTTTTTTTTTGAGACAGAGTTTTGATCATGTTGCCCAGGCTGGAGTGCAATGGCACAATCTTGGCTCACTGCAACCTACACCTCCTGGGTTCAAGTGGTTTGCCTGCCTCAGCCTCCCAAGTAGCTGGGATTACAGGTGCACGCCACCACTCCCAGCTAATTTTTTTTTTTTTTTGTATTTAGTATAGACAGGGTTTCACCATGTTGGTCAGGCTCATCTCGAACTCCTGACCTCAGGTGATCCACCCACTTCGGCCTCCCAAAGTGCTGGGAGTGCTGGAGTGCTGGGCCACCATGCCCAGCCTATATAATCTTTTAAAAGAAATCAAAACATGAATGTAGTTAATTTGCTAGTAGTTGTTCTTGCTTGGTCCTAGCCAAAATCTATCATTATTCTCAGTATAGCCATCAGTAATCTGTTAAAAATATCTAAATGTAGGATGAGGATGTAACTTTATATACTCAGGAGAAATTCATAAGATGACAGACAAAATAACTCAATTATGAAAAGAAAAATAATTTAGCAGAAATCCAATAAAACCTCAGTCATAATTTTTGAATTAACTTGGGAATGTTATTGGGTAGAGAAGGAAGCATTAGTATTTAGTAGTTATATTAAAAATCACTCAGCAATAAAAAGAACATGTCTTAAATAAATCAAAAAGAAAAAACTAATAACTTTTAGTCAATTAGAGTAATTAGATGGCACTGGGAAAAAAAACAAGAGAAATTTAAATGGTTACCTTTCCTCATTACTGAGCAAATTCTATTTGGTATTTTTTTATATAAAACTGTACTTTTTAAATATTCTTATCATTTCATTTATTTTAATTAAAATTGTAGAGTTATCAATTGCAATTTAATATTTCCCTTCAATTATTTTCTCTGACACATTTTAAAAATTCATTTATCACATATGTCTCAGTACAGTTAAAAGGAGGGAAAATCACCTCATCACACATTTGTTCAGTGCTTCCTGTGGGAATATGTAGTTGTTCATATAGTCATGCATGTTGCTATCTATGAATAAGTAAGCAATCCTAGTAGGTTAGGAATAGAAAAAAATTTAGATGCCATTGAATTCATTCCTTTATATTAAAGAAACTGAATTCCAGATGTTTCCACAATAGGAAATGAATCAATACTATCCAAGTATCCCAACAGAATACAGACCTAATGCATGTAAATTCTTATTTTAATTCACATACTAATAAATAGGCAGCAAGTTTGTGCAAGAGTTTTGCTAAAGATTCAGAGACCAAAAAATAGAACATTGTTCAGAATAAGGGAGCAGTCAATACAAATTTATTTCTGTTGGAAATAATGGAAAATTATTTAAGTACCTATACTAAAGCATTGGCACACACACACACACACACACACAAACAAATGAAAGAAAAAGCAATAAAACAAACAAAACAGTGTAAATGTACTAATTTTTTACATTAGTGAATTAATAATGCAATTAAAAGCTTGTAATACAAGTAGTGAAAGTTAAAGGATATTGTCTAATATTAAAATCTAACCAATAGAAAAGCAAATGTCATCTGCAGAGCTATCAATTTTTGTAATACAAAATACATTGAAAAACTAACAGCAAACATAAAATTGTGCACTAAAATTAATAGCTGAAACATGAAGATGATGTATCAATGCAAATATTTGATAAAATCAACCATAAAAAGGAAAAAAAGTAAATAAATGATTAGGTAATAAGGAAAAATCCAACTTTTATATAAGAGATGGATCTTTCATAAATCTACTACATAGTTTGGAAGTTAAAAAAATTAGGATACATATACCAAGCAAATGGACAAATAGGAAGCAGGATATCAAGTTTCCTTGAGACAAAGATAATTCAACCACTTTATAATGAGTGGTGAAATCTACAACAAAGATCCAGCACTTTTCACTAAGAAATAACATAAAACTATGAATTAAAATACATAGAAACTACAAGAAGAAATATCAGATATACTATATGAACACAAGGGCTTAACAATCTTGTTTCAGGGCACAGATATTAAAATAATAATGTATTCCACCTCCAAAACAGATAATATACTTTCCTTTCAACTGTTGGAGAACATATAAAATTTGAAAATTTTGAAATGACAAGGATAATAGGAAAATAGGAAACAAGCATATTGGAAAAATTTAAAAAGTAAACATTTTGTTCAACTATACATACAAAAACATAAGTAATATGAATAAATGAGGGCCAGGCGCAGTGTCTCACGCCTGGAAACTTATCACATTGGGAAGGTTGAAGAGGGAGAATTGCTTGAGCTCAAGAGTTTGAGGCCAGCCTGGGCACCATAGTGAGACCCCATCTCTACAAAAATCAAAAAATTAGCCAGGTATGGCAGTGCACTCTTGTATTTCTAGCTACTTGGTAGGCTGAGGTGGGAGGATCACCTGAGCCAGGGAAGTGGCGGCTGCAGTGAACCATGATTGCACCACTACCCTCCAGCCTGAGCACCAGAGTGAGACCCTATCTCATTACATTGTCTACTGCAAGAGTTCAGCCAAGAGTGCTCATCCAAGACAACAGAAGACACTGACCTTGCTCAATATAGTTATGTGTACTATGGGAGACATAAGTGTTGCTTCCTTGAAAAACCTTGCAATTCTTACATTTTCATTAAAATAAATGCAAATGCAGATAAAGCTGATGTAATAGGTGGTTTTGATATTGAAATATTAACGGATATTAACTCATTATCTCTTTTGCTTTTACTATGAACAATTCTACAATAAGCATAGTTTTAGGTATGACTACCAATTTAAATGTTAAAAAATGACAATATGTAGAAATACTGGAAGAAAACAGAGGCTTCTATGTTTTCTTTTGTAATCTTGGAAACATAACAGTTACTCTAAGAAAAGTATAGTGACTAGACTATAAAGAATAAATTATTTAATTTCAGCAAAAATAAATAAAATAAGCAAAAACAAATAAGCACTGAAAAAAATTACCAGTTCCAATTTATGCAAGAAAAGAGGAGAATGGATCATTTACTAAGAATGATTATTGAACCTATGAGGAACCATGGAGCCTTTTGTCTTTGATTTACCATGTTTGCAACCTTTGATTACCATGCAAAATTACTATTTTTTATATGAAAAATAGAAAAGGATTAATAATTTATTTATACAGAATAAAAAAGTCATGAACAACAATGAACAATTTCCATTTATATCAAGTACAAGACACATATGAGCATAATCACTCTATCATTTAATGTTATTATCGATTTTTTCACATAGCTAGTTAGAACTAGTTTAGAAATAAAAACAAAAGAAAATATTGGGAAGTATAAAAGAATATTGACATTATTTACAAATGATTAAGTTAAATCTGGAAAATTTATGAGAATGCACAAAGAAGTATTAGAAACATATAATGTAAATGTCTCTTTGTAAATAAATATCAATAGTTTTATAATATGTTAATTAGAAATTCATTATGGAACAGTTCTTATATGCTATGGAAAAAAGTCAGGAAAATGCCTAAGTAAATTTAAAAGACCTAGATATACTTAAAAAGTAACCATTAATTCAAGAAAAAATATAAGGTACTAAAACAAAAAGTTTCTTTTTTTCTTAAGTAGAAAAACTCAGCATAAGGAAAAATAGTTAACCTAGGATTTTGATGAAAATTCAAAATGAATTAAAATTATTTTACTGTCTATATGAGAGGGAGTAAGACTGTGACAGTGGCATACCAATTATTGGGAAGAAAAATAAGAGCGAGTTGTGATTTACATTAAAATGCATTATAAAGAAAACATAGTTATGTCGTTTAATACTGGCCTCATATATTGAGTTATCACTACTTATAACTCTTTCACTCCTTCCCTAAAAACATAAATATTAATACTTTTCTTTCTATGGCTTTTTGGAAGAAAGAAGTGGTCATTACAAGTCAATGCTATCACTAGAACAAGTAGAACATATTTAACGTACATAACTAAATACATTAGCAAAATCATCAAAGAACTTTAAAGCAACAAAATAATGTAAAATTTTAGATGGGCAGAGCTATGTCTTAATGAGCTGATGATTGTATAACCAACAGTTTTTTTAAAATTTTATTTTCCCCTTCAAGAAGAGTAAAATTTGGGCTCAAGCAAAATGTCAGAGCTATCGTAAGCTGCCAAGAAACAGAGAAACCAGCAGTTTTTGGGAGTTTCACTGAGACGTATGACAGATGTGAAAATTGAGGGACTTCTAATAACAACTAAATATTCCTTCATAACCTCTGTGTTTTAGGTCTTTGTGGGAAGTTGAAGAGGTAGGCTATTTTTTCTTTTTTCAAAAGTTAGATGATGATGTCTTGAAGTATTTTAGTATTCACAGAAGAAAATTAAAAGAGGACCTACACTGTAGCATCCTTCAAGTCTTCCCATCACAATTTTGCAGATTTTGAATACTTGCAATAAGAGACTGGGTAGACTGTAGAAAGTTTTCAAGGCAAGAGGCAATTTCTTTGCAGGCTTTTACGACTGAAAACAAAGGAATCTTGTGAGCTTTAAATCAAATGCCCACTAAAACAGTGCTTGAAGAACAGGGGTAAAACAGAGAATCACTAAGGCTTACTTAAGGTTTGAACCTAATGGCAATGGTTGAAATCCAACACTGGATTCAGGTGATTGTTCTCTCAATCTGTTGTCTTAATAGGCAGTTAAAGAAACAATTTCAGGTAGAAGATATTAGCATTTGAGGGGACTCTACTTCTTTTATATTCAATGGTTAGTGCACAATGAAAATTTACTAGACATAGACTATAATCAGAAAGCTTTTAAAAAATTAAAAAGGACTAGGAGAGGACCCAGAGAAGATCAAGATGTTGGAGTTGATGAACAAGTTTTTAAAATAACAAGGGTTAGTATTTTAAAAATATAATACACCATGGACAAAATAGATTAAAGAATCAAAATTGTACCAGAAAATTAAATTTGAATAGAAGTATCAAAAATCACTCTCAATACATAAAGGGAAAAAATTAATTTGAAATCCGGATGAAGTTAACAGCAAATGGCACTCACCAGAACAGAAGAATAGAAAACTCAAAGGACTGTCAGTAGAAAATACCCAAACTGAGTCACACAGATGGACAATGAATGAAAAATAGGTCCTCGCAGTGACTAAAAATATATATAATTGCATTACAATAGTAAGAAAAGAGAAAGTATAGGGCAGAAAATATAATTATAGCAATAATGGCTGAGAACTTTAGAGAACTGTTTTGAAAAATTCAACTGACTGATTCAAAGTCTCAGAAAAACAATTCTGATTAACAAAGATTGTCATAGTTGGATGTATCATAGTATAACTCAGGAAAAGGATACAAAAATATAAAATTATGAAAGAAATTAGGGGAAAATGATACAATACCTTTAAATAGATGACCAACAACTCAAAAGAAATGATAAAATCTAGGGAAAAAATGCATGATTAGAGCACTGAAAAATAACTGCAAACCAATAATTTTGTAACTGGGCAATACACACTTTATATATGCACATACAAAGATGCTTTCAGACAAAGTTTGAAGGAATTTGTCTCCAGCATACCTTCAATAAAATGAAAACTGAAAAAAATTATTCAGGCAGAATAAATGATCCCAGAGTGAAATATTTAAATCAAAGAGGGGAAAAAATTGAAGAGCAAATTGCAATTATCAATTAATATTGACTGCACATACGATAAAGGTAATGTGTTATGCAGTTTAAAATATACATGGAACAAAATTGATTACAATTATAGCATAAAATATAGAAAAGGACAAAATAAGTTAAATTTTCTAAGGCTCTAAATATATCAGGAAAGTGATAAAAATAATCATTTGTATTATTACTGCACAAATTAAGTCAATTGCATAAAAGTCATGTATGAATGCTGTAGTTTCTAGAATAGCCATCAGATGTAGGAAAAGAACAACTAGTGAATTGTTAAAAGATGAAAATAAGGTATATTAAAATTATTTTGTTAATACAGATAGACAGCTTAAGAAACACAGAACATTGCCAGGCGCAGTGGCTCATGCCTGTAATCCCAACACTTCGTGGGGCCGAGGCAGGCGGATCATGAGGTCAGGAGTTCGAGACCAGCCTGGCCAACATAGTGAACCCTCATCTCTACTAAAAATACAAAAATTAACCTAGCATGGTGGCGCGCGCCTCCAGCTACTCAGGAGCTTTGAATTATGCTAATAGATAAAAAAACAAACAAACTGACAAAGCAAACCTGAACAGTGAAAGTTCTGGCTCAGGGAAGGTGAAATACGGAATAAACAGTAAAAGAAGGAAGCCCTTGATATCCATTACAACCTGTGACCAACTTCAGAAATGAGAACTGTCTAGATTTGATTTCCTCTCTGGTTATTATTTATATTTATTACATACTTCAGTTATTTATATTTATATTATCTCTTTTTTTCTATAAATATTTGACATCAAGTTATGAAACATTAATTTTACCATTTAGTCTTTAGGTAGAAGAATACCCTGTGACTGAGCTTGCAGAGTAATTAATATAATTAACAATGGATAATGTCTGATGGCATTCTGCATCTCCTCGGTTAGGGTAAGGGCAAGAACTTCTCTTAAAAGAAAAATACTTGTATCTTTCAGTGGAAGCTTATAGCTGTTTCACTGAAATATAGAAGTTCGAATGTGTGTGGAGGATGCATGGAGAAACTGAGGAGCCAAAGGGCTGTGTTTTGCCACTTATAAATCTCTTAAATCTAAACCTACACACTTTTGCCTCCTCTACAATAAAGGAGTTGAGCTTTGTAAACATTTCTTTTGTTTTGTATGCTGTCTGGCTTTGGAGTATGATGATTGAAAGTTTAAAATCATTATACCATCCTGGTATATAAAATCCTTTTGCATTTTGAAATAGATATATTCCAGGAATATTTTTATCTTTAAACATATTAGTCTGATATATGCATAGCTATACATACTTCAGTGAAAAAGCTGAAGTATTTAGTTATTTATATACTCAAGAGGCTGTGTCTTCAATTATCTTGCTTTTGTTGTGGTCATCTTAGGTGTTGTTATAGTTTTGCCTTAATCTTTACCCTTGGACATGGAACTTAATAAGAGACCACAAATAATTGCCTGGGTTCCAAATACAGTACCTTTTACTACCATTATGTAGCAGCAACTCAATTTCCTCATGGTAATCAAGATAATTTTTTTTCTGGCCAATAGATTAACTCTTTTTTTTTTTCCCCTGCCTGTTCATTCAGTGGCACAAGGAACCCAGAATGTCCAGAACAGAATCTCATTTTACAATTCAATTGAGTCATTATTGTTTTTCCTGTTTGAAGCACCACCCAAATTGTTTTGGACACCAAGACCCCAGATCAGCAGGTTTCTAGCTAAAATAGATCTTTACTTATTAAGTAAATTGAGGCATTAATGAGTAACAAAGAAAGAAAGAAAGAAGAAAAAAAAGAAAGAAATTACCAGGCCTAGGACATTTCACTGGTGAACTCTTACCAAACACTTAAGGAAAATATAATACTTATTCTTCAAGATCATTCTTGCTTTCAAAAAATAGAAATTAAAGAAACACTTCTTACTTCATTCTATGCAGCCAAAATCACCCTAATTCCAGAATCACATAAAGACATTACAGAAAATAAAAATTACAGACCAATATCTCTAAAAAACATAGCAAATGTATTAGCAATCAAATCTTAAAATGCATAAAAATAATTGCACACCACAATTTACTAGGATTTACTCCAGATATTCAAGGCTAAACATTTAGGTATTCAAAAGTCAACTAATGTAATCGACCACATTAACAAACTAAAAAACAGTCATGTGAGTGTGTTAATTGGTACAGAAAAAGATTTATTTGTATTCAATAGCCATTCATGATAAAACCTCTCAACAAATGACATAGAAGGGAATTCCTCAATATTATAAAGAACATATACCGAAAACGTATAGCTGACATTATAGTTAATGGAAGGAAACTGCATATTTTCCCCTTATAACTAGAGCAAGGCAAGAATGGCCTCTCCTGCTATTCCTATTCAATATTACACCGAGAAGACTCCAACCTAGTGCAGTAAGATGAGGAAAAGAAATAAATATGTAAAGACTGGCAAAGATATCATGAAATTGTCTTTACTCACAGGTGACATGATTGCCTAGGCAGAAAATCTCAGCAAATGCAAAAAACATAATTAACAAACAAAAGATCTCAAAAACTCTTGGATTTAATGAGCGTGCGTAACAAGGTCGTAAGATACATGATTAACATACAAAATTTGATTGCTTCCAAAGAGTAAAGTATGAAAAGGGAAAAAACATAGAATAACTTTATACTGGAGAAACCTGACAGATATTAACTCAACCAGGTGATTAAGTTTAGCATCAACAGTGACAAGTCAGGATAAGAGCATAGATGTACTCTTGACCTGATGAAATGAAAATGGCACTTTATTTCTATGGTCTTCTTCCTAAAAACATTATCAGTCTAGTCACGAAATAAACATTAGACCAGTTCCATTTCAGGTACTTTATACAAAATTCCTCATCAATACTAAGCGTCAAGGTCATCAGAGACAACAGGAATCTGAGAAACTGTCATAGCCAAGAGGAAGTTAAGGATATATGACTATTAAATATAACATGGCACCATGGAGAGGATTGTGGACACAAGAAGAGATGATAATTTAAAAATAAGAAAATTTGAATCTAACAGGGACTTTTGTTAATGTTGTATCTTGAAAATTCATGCTTAACAAGAGAGGGTTTCCCACCCCAGTAATAACATTTGGATCAGTAGACACAGCAATTCTTGCCTCTGTTTGAAATCTTAAACAAACTCCTCTGACACTGCTGTCCCCAATTAAGAATGGTAATAGTAAAAACCCATCAATGATAAAATTAATAATGCATCAACATTAGTTCAATATTATGACAAATGTATCATACTAATGTAAGATATTAATAACAGGAAAAACAGGAACTATGTACCACCTTTTCCAGAACACATACACATATTCTAAACTTAAATATTTAATGTAAATACCAGTGAGTAGAACACACAAAAAATAAAAATAACTAGAAGAGGCAAACTTGTGTAAAAATTAAGCACTAGACTTTTAAATAAGCAATGGATCCAAACAAAATATTTTAAAATACAGCACGTATTTTCAACTAAATGAAAATGATGGTCTAGCATATAAAAACTTGTAAAACTTGACTAAGCATTGCTCAGATGTATTTTTAAAGCTTTCAAGTTATCTCAGGGAAAATAATTAGAGAAAAAGCTCAAGAATAATGTCCTTTTTATTATTTTATTATTTTTATCTATTTCCTTTTTTTTTTTTTTTTTCAGGACAGGGTCTGTCTCTGCCACCTAGGTGGTTCTCAAACTCCTAGGCTGAAGCAATTTTCCCACTTCATCCTCTCCTGTCTGGGATTACAGGCATACAGCACTGTTATTATTTGTATTCCAAGAAGCAACAACAACAACAAGAAAACCCACCAAATTAAACTAGGAAAACATAGCAGGAAGAGAATCGTAAGGATAAGAGAAAAAGAAATTAAATAGAAAACACAAAAACAATACAAAAAATTAGGAAAGTCATGTGTTAGATTTCACAAAATTGATAAAATCCAACAAAACTGATCAAGAATAGAAAAATAAATACTTTATTAGCCATGAAGTATGAGACCTCACACAAGTTTCTAGAAACATTAAAAGGTCAGATGATATAGTGAAAACTATACAATAAATTTAACAGTAGGGACACAATTACCAAAGCTTTTAAAAATTATACTTAAATCTGAGAATTTAATTTCAGATTTATACTTAAACCTGAAGTATACTTTTGTGACTTAAATGTTTTTTACCATGTGTATAAGACCAGATTTATAATCATTGCACATTAGATGTGTAAAGCTCACAGAAATTTTATTTATGTTATTTTTATTTTTGATTATACTGATAAATACATTTATGGAAATAATCATAAACTTTGAATTCAGGAAAGCAGATAGGTGGCATTAGTCAGTGGATATGTATCATAATATATTTTTTCAAACCAAAGTTATAATAAATTTGCCAGCATGATAATTAAATATAGGATATTTGGAGAAATCATTTCAGTAATATTGGAGCTAGTTAATAACTGTATGAAGACTTTAAATATAAATATATCTTACAAATAGCACTCACTGCTTTATGTATCAACTAGACAACTATTTCAGAATGCAGCCACACACATATGAAAGTCAGTCCCATTAAAGGATTCTTAACATATACATACATAGGAATTCAGAATTGTAATATTATGAATTTAATTTCAAAAGCTAAAGAAAATCACTAATATAGGATGACAATGATGAGAATAAACTACAGCTTCAATTTAATAATTTTTTAAAGTGCACCAAGAGCTACACTTAAAATGTTTGACTTTGTTTGATTTCCTTTTCTTATACTACTTCTGTCTGAAAATTGTGTATTTGTATTCACAGATACCCACAAATGCACATCTATCCACATGATTTTGTACACATACGCATTTCTTCCTCCCTTCATGTAAGTCTCCCATATGAAGTTTGCCATAAAGTCCTGTAAGTTCACCCCAAAGCTTCATTCAATTGTTTTTAATCCATTATCAAGGGATGAAAATGTCACCACTCTAATTCAGGCCCTTGTAATCTCTGTGATATACCATAGAAGATTCTTTCTATTTTTCAGGGTTTTAATCTTCAAGTTAACTTCCATAGTGTCACCGTATGTATCTTCTGAAAGTAGAAATATAACTATGTCATGTCAGACCTGGATGATTTAAAATTATTTGTTAGTTTTCTAGTATGCTCCACATAAAATTTAAGTGTTTAAAAATCCAGTATGCTTTTCAGCCTGAACGTGCATTAAAATAAAATGTTATTAATATCATCACTGCCTATAACCAGGACCCACTTTTTGTCAAGCAGACCTGATAAAGGATCTAGACATCAGAGATGTTAAAAGTTCCTAGGTGATATTGATGAGCTGAGACCCACTCTCTCAGACTCATATGAAGAGTTTTGTATTATCTGGTCCTTGTTCCATGGGGCTCATGGATCTTCATTTTCTTGTGTAAACGCTAACTTCTCCTGACCTCAATGAGCTCCCTCATGTCCCCCCCACCCTCATCACCACCCGCATATTTCTGCCTGGGAAACTCTTCTTTCTTCCCCATATTTCTTTATGGGAAACTCCTTTCCTGTTTTCACCAACTTGACCATTTTCTCAAGGCTCATCTTCTACTCCCTGTCCTTTCACTAGTCTTACCTTGTGCGTTCCCTTGTAGCTCCTCATGTCACCAGAACACCATGGTAGCTATGATTCCTTGTGCTCAAGGACTACCTAGCACTCCCATATGTCTCTGCACTTCTCACACTACTGTAAGTCTGTCCCTCTATATGCATTGTAAGTCCTTTGGCGATAGAAGACATCTGTCTAAATCAATGTAGTAACTAGTAGAGGACTATCCACATGGGAGACGTCTGTGATATACAAAATAATGGCCCTCGTCCCCAGTATGTTCACATCTTGATCCCTGGGAACTGTCAATGTGACCTTTTATGATAATTGGCATTTTGCAGCCGTGATTAATTTAAGGACCTTGCGATGCATGTTTTTCTTGGGTTATCAAGTGGACTCACAGCAATCAGAAGCGTCCTCATAAACAGGAGATGAAACGTCAGAGTCACATTAGGAATCCTGAGGCTGGAAACAGAGGTTCGAGTGATGGGAGGAAGCCACTAGGAGGCAGGGAATGCAGGCTCCCTAGAAGGAGAAAAGGCAAGGAAGCAAATTTTACCATCAGAGCCCCAGAAGAAACCAGCCCTGTCCACACCCATATCCCCAAGATTTAACTTTATTTCATAAGATCAGTTTTAGGTTACTGACCCTCAGAACTATAAAAAATTAAATTTCTGTTGTTTTAAACTGCAAAGCTTGTATTTATTTGGTAAAGAAGCAATAGAAAAGTAATACGGTACTCAGTTTATTGAATTGATGAATTGATTTTTTTTTAGTAATCACATAAATTTCTGTAAGATTTGTTATACATTGTTTACTGTCACAGAATCATGTTTTATATCTTCAAGCTCAAAGCAAGCTTTCAAACTTGAATTTAGTTCTTGCATAAATATGGATGATTGTTTCTCCATTGCTGAAGCAGTGTATTATTTCCATAATGATCTGTAAAGTAGGTGGGTTTCATGACCTAAGTGTTATTGTTGATCTTTATATATACAAGGAAAACGCAGAGTCATCGTTCATTTGTAGCTGCATTTATCTCTGGTTTTCAAGCATTTCTATAAAATAACAAGCTTAGTGTGATGGTTAATACTGAGTGTCAACTTGATTGGATGGAAGGAAGCAAAATATTAATCCTGAGTGTGTCTGTGAGGGTGTTGCCAAAGGAGATAAACATTTGAGTCAGTGTGCTGGGAAAGGCAGACCCACCCTTAATCTGGGTGGGCACCATCTAATCAGCTGCCATTGCAGCTAGGATATGAAACAGGCAGAAAAACGTGAAAAGTCTTGACTGGCTTAGCCTCCCAGCCTACATCTATCTCCTGTGCTGGATGCTTCCTGCCCTTGAACATTGAACTCCAAGTTTGTCATCTTTGGGATTCAGACTGGCTTCCTTGTTCCTCAGCTTACAGATGGCCCGGCCTGTTGTGGGACCTTGTGATTGTGTGAGTTAATACTCCTTAATAAACTCCCTTTTATTTATATGTATATATATGTGTGTGTGTGTGTGTTTGTGTGTGTATATATATTCTATTAGTTCTGTCCCTTAGAGAATCCTGACTAATACACTTAGCTTCTCCTTGTCTCTTTCTTTTGATCTTCTGTGAAGCCCTGGCTTGACTTTTCCTGGAAACTTTTCCTGTGACAGTGCATGTATCACAAGATGGCCCTGTCAAAGATACATCATATTAATTACAATATGTGATATTCAGTAGGAACCCAAACAGTACAACAGATAATGGCAAAAGATAAACAACATTTCTAAGTAAAATAAAGTTCTGAAATGCTTTGAATTGAGGCATAAATGCCTTACTGACAGTCCAAAAATGACCTATAAAATCCCGAAGCATTCACCTATCTAAAATTCTGAAAGTTATGATTTCTGTGACAACATAATTTTTATTTACTTTGCATTTTCCTGAAAAGAATTATCAAGTTCACTAAGGCAAAAATGTTATGAAAGAAATTAAATGAGCCTCAAAGCTGAGTCTCAGATCAATAGCAGGAAGTGCCCATGAAATTTATTATATATCGCTTACCAGTGTCTTCTAACCCCTGCAGAACTATTCAATCTGCTGTTACACACATACAATTTCCACAGTACTGGAATGGCAATAAATACTGCTGAAAAAATCTGATCTCTCACCAACTCATTGAGCCCCTTTCATGATTTATGTTCAATCTGGAGCCCACCAAGGAATGAAGATAATAAAAATCTAGGCCAGAGTAATAGAGTTGCCCTGACAAATTCCATGCTGCGACAGAAGCTCCTTCACATTCTCCTCTGCACAAAGAGTATGAGACTTGCCAGGCAAAAATCTAGAATGAGACTTTTCTCCAAGTCTCTCCATTGTATCTCCCAAATATTGATAATTAAGGGGGTAATTTTGAGACAGTTCTTCCCAGGAGATTTTTCTTTTTTTGGCTCATGGATCCTTTAATTATTTGATATATAGTTTTTTAAAAATGAAATGACACAAACTAATGCTCCGCAGCTTTTTCTATCCATTACCTGACATTTTAGAGCAACATTTCTGAGAAACGCCTTAGTCCTGAGACATTCACAGATGTTACATATAATTAATATACTTTAATTGCGATGAAGACAAAACATGCTCTTTAAATCCATTCACAGAGACATGTGTTTCTTTTCATTGGCAAGTTCACAATTACAGTGACTTTCTCAATTGTTTAAAATTGCTATTTTATTCTTATTCCTCTTCACTTGGAGCTTATCCAGTCAACTTAATTGTTGCAGACTTTAACACTGTCACCTTTTTATATCCCTGCAATTAACACAATGAATGTGTGAAATGCTCTCTTCTGTAAAATAACCACAGTCACAATGACACACAGACACACTGACACACACACACACACACACACACACACACACACAAAACTTATAAAATCAGCCTCTCTTAACCTAAAAGGAAGAAGATAAAATTGTATCAATATTCCCATAAGCTGTGTTTCACAGTATCTCTGAACACATATCAAACCCTTAATAGCTAAGTGTTCTACTAGTTTAATTAGTTTTCCTCACTCTATATGAGTAGTATTCCCAACAACGCAGCATTACATTTTGTGTCTCAAATTCAGTAAAGGAAAGCTTCATATATAAAACAGAACAGTGCTCTAAGCATTAGAGGAGGAAGATTTAGAACACTCTCTGTTCCCCATCTACTCTGTGACATGTAACATTTTGCTAATCGCAAATAGCCCTTGATAGAGATATTTGGAAATGGAAGCATTGCGCGTGTGTATGTTTCTTCTGCTAGCTGTTATTGGAAGAGATGCGTGTAGTGTTTTGCATTGACAGTAAAACTACTGTACCTTGCAAGAAAGTGTTTAGAATTTAACTAAAACTTCGGGGAGGATTGCAAAATAAAATGTTAGCCATATTTTTGGACATAAAGAAAACGTGTCTAAATTATGTGGAAAAACTCTACAAGGTGATGAAATCAGTACTCAAGTGAAATATGGTTTAAAATATGTACTTTGGAAAAAAATAAACATTATAAAATGAATAAAAGCAGAAATTTTGATTAAATATAGAAATAAAATGTAGTCTTCTTTCCTAAATACACAAGAGTTTAAGCATGGAGTGGTAAAAATCAATACGAAATTCACCAATAATCACACATAAAGAAGGTAAGCCAAATATTCAATTACATATTATTTCATTGGTATTTACCTTTTGCTTGATAGTGTTTCAAACACTGTTATGTATTATTTCATTTAATCCTCAAAATATCCCTATGAGGGAGATTTTTATACCCGTGGAGGCGCAGAGAACCTAAGACACTTACTATCAGAATTATAGTCTTACCCAAATAAATGTATAAATATATTACAATAAGGAAGCTTTTATCTAGTAGATATTAATTATATTTTAAGTCACTGAATTTCGCTGAAAAAACAAGATAAAATACAGAAACTTACCTGATTATTATATAATTTCATATAAGATGTCATTATTTATAAGTGATTAAATAATATTGCATCTAGTAAATATTGCAGATAAATTTGGCTGCCAAGAGTAAATAAATTCTAATTTCAGAGCATTTATCAAAGTTAATTCTAGGTATAACATGATAAAAATAAAACACTTCCAACTGCAGAGAATATTTTTAAGCATGAAAGGAATAATTCATAATTATCCCATAATTTGTAAGAACAATATGAATAAATTTATGGATATAAATGTTAAATATATATTTAGATACATGTTTAAAATTGAATGTTAAATTCAGACTGTGAAAATATTGAAAGAAAAATTGGTAGACAAAGGGTTTACAATTTACAGTATATATGGAAACTTTATCATGCAGATAAGAATAAGGCAGAAAGAAGGAGGAAAAAAAGGAAAGATGGAAAGAAGGAAGAAAGAAAAGAAGGAAGGAAAATTTAATAAAATAAGGAAAAAGGAAGTACAGAATATTAATTGGCAATCAGAAATCAGACAATTCTAATGGTCCATAAACTAAGAAAACGTACTAACCTTATCAGTAACCCATAGCGTGCAGATTCAAATAGAAGTAAATTATCATTTTTAGCTGATATTTGGGTTGTGGATTGGGAGCAGAGGAAATAGAAAAATATCATTAAAAAGAAAAAATGATGTCGCTTGCATATTGTAGTGAAAGTGAGAATAACTATCATGTTTTCTAAAGTACCCTGGCACGCTGTTACCAAATTATAAATTCATATTACCTTTGCTTCATAAATCCCACTTTGGGAGTCTATTTCACAGAAATAAAAGCACCAGAACATGAATATGCACTCCATGGTAGGTCTGCAAACGCTGTTGGAGTCAGGAGGCTTGGCTCCTCTTGTTGGACAGGGTGTGAAAGGTTAATCCACGAAATGCATAACAGTTTTTTGCCCAAAATGTCTACTTAATTGCACATTGAGTAGCTGTAACAAACTGTGAACATACCAGTAGAATTTAATTAAGTATATGCAAACTATCTCTGAGAGTCTTAAAATTTTCTAAAATTTCATGTATTGAAAATAACAGATAATAAATTTTAATGTAAGGCAATATCAAAGCACATTAAATTATTTTGAGAGGATGAGGATTGCAATCACAATCTTACTCTACAGAATCATTCTGAAACTTCAATAAGGATGTTGACTTCAACAATGAATCAAATGATTCTTTGTTGCTCCCCATGACATACAAAAAGCTGTGTTTGTTTATGAGGCAAAATCTGGCTTATAGCACCACACTACATTTCGGACTCTTTCGTTTTGTAATTGTGTTTTTTAGTCACCTTATTTATTTGTCATGACATCTATATTGCCTTTTAACAACAATTCCCAGTTGATAATCTTAAATGTGCCCAAATTAATGTGATGGTTGTCTTTGGTGTTTTAATTAAGACATTTTTAGAAGTAATAGATAAAAATTTTTGGACACTTTTTGTGGCTTGGAATTGTTGTGAACACTTTACATATACTAATTTTAATTCTCTCAACAAACCTTTTAAATATTGCCATAGCATTGTTCTTGTTGTATAGAACAGAATAAACAAGCCACAGACAAATTTGGCCAGGTCATCCAGCTACAAAATGTTACCGTGGGATTTGAGTCTAGGCAATTTGCTCCCAGAACCCAAATACTTGACCGCATTTTCATCTTTAGATACCCATCAACACATAGTTTAAGGCTCATTACAATGTATAATGCTGTACATATCACTTAGAAACTTGATTTAATTATGCAAAGATATTGCCTAATATCAAGTGTCTCAGTGCTAGTGGTATTTCATGGTTTGGGTTGCTGCAGAAAAGAATTTGCCATCATAAATTCAATTCCTATTTCTACCATACAATATTTGAGTGATGTTAAGCAAGATGCAAAAAAATTATAAGTTTAGTTTTCTACCCAAAGGTAAATGAAAAATGTCTACACTATAGAATTCTTGTGCGGAGTAAATGAACTAATAGACAAGAAAAACTTTCTGGAAAAATTCACCACGTAGAGATTTAAAGAAAAGCTATGAACATAGTAAAGATAGTTTTCATATACCATAATTATTGGGCATTTATTATGGATTGGGAAGTTATCCTTGTGGTTAGTATCTTTCATTGTTGTAATACATTTATCATACTTAATGAACCACAATTGAATATCATTATTAACTAACATCCGTACTTGATTCAGGTTTCCTTGGATTTTACCTAATGTCCTTTTTCAGTTTCTGTATCCCATACGGTATACCACATCACATTTAGTTGCCGTGTATCTTGACTGTAATAATTTTTTTAAACCTTCTTTATTTCTGAAGACCTTGACTGTTTCAGGAGTAGTGGTCAGGTGTTTTGTAGAACGTGTCTCAATTAGAATTTGCTGACTTGGTCTCACAGTTAGCCTGGGGTTATGGGATTTGGGGAAGAAGACCAGAAGTAAAGTGCCATTATCTTCACATTATACCAAGAGTGCATATATCCTATCAACATGACTTTGGACTGTGGATATTAAATTTGATCACCTGAGTGAGATAGTATTTGTCGGGTTTCTCCACCATAAAATCACCCCGTTTTCTCTCTTTCCATACTGTACTCTTAGGAAGGATGTCACCAGGCATAGCCCACACTTAAGGAGTGAAAATTTGTTTTCCATATACCTAAGGGTAGTGTATCTAGATAAATTATTTGGAATTATTCTTTACAAAAGATTTGTCTATTTTCTCCAAATTGTTTATTTATTTCATTATTGATTTATGTAGGTATGGACTCATGGCTTTGTCATCAAATTACTTTATTTATTTTTCTCAAAATTTTCCAGCTTTGTCCATTGGGAGAGCCTCCAGGTGGCTCCTTTACTCCTTTGACATTCTTTTATCATTAACCAGCCAAGATGTTAAACAATTTATCCATTTTCATTAAAAAATTAAGTATAAGACTGTCATTCCTTGTTGTAGGGGATAGTGAATTGTTTTGTTTTTCTAACTTTTTTTCATTTTTAAAGGAACTTAACGTTTTGCTCATAGTCCAATGAGTGGATTGTCAAATTATGTGCCCATACATGTATGATCCCTTCTAACCAATTCTTTGAATGTGAAAACTAATTATTATTTAAATCCAATGTATGTAAAAAATTTTCTATGTAAAATTTCTGAATGATTTGAAAACCAGCAAACAAAAGACCTCAATTGGAAATATATAGGTGTGTTATAGATACCAAACTACAATTTGTAATTATATATCTTAATTTTGTGGCACTTACTCTAAAATCAATCACATAATTGGAAGTAAAACTCTGCTCAGCAAATGCAAAAGAATTGAAATAATAACAGTCTTTTGGACCACAGTGCAATCAAAATGGCAATCAATACTAAGAAATTTGTTCAAAACCATACAATTACATGGAACGTGAATAACCTGTTCCTGAATGACTTTTGAGTAAATAATGAAATTAAGGTAGAAATCAAGTTTTTTGAAATGAATGAGAACAAAGATACAATGTACCAGAATCTCTGGGAAGCAGCTAAGGCAGTGTTAACAGGGAAATTTATAACACTATATGCCCGCACCAGAAAGTTAGAAAGATCTCAAGTTAACAACGTAACTCACAACTAAAAGAACTAAAGAACTCATAGCAAACAAACCCTGAAGCTAGCAGCAGACAATAACCAAAATCAGAGCTTAACTGAAGGAGACAGAGACACGAAAAACTATTCAAAAGACCAGTGAATCCAGGAGCTGGTATTTTGAGAAAATTAATAAAATGCATAGATCACTAGCTAGACTAATAAAGAAGAAAAGAGAGAAGATTCAAATAAACACAACCAGTAATGATAAGAGGGATATTACCATTGACACCACAGAAATACAAATAACCATCAAAGAATATTATGAACACCTCTATGCACATAAACTAGAAAATCTAGAAGAAATGCATAAATTCCTGGACATATACACCCTCCCAAGACTGAACCAGGAAGAAATCAAATCCCTGAACAGATCAATAATGAGTTCTGATACCAAGGCATCAATAAATAGCTTACCAACCAAAAAAGCCCATTACCAGTCAGATTTACAGCTGAATTCTACCAGATGTACAAAGAAGAGCTGGTACCATTCCTAATGAAACTATTCCAAAAAATTGAGGAGGAGGAGGGACTCCTCCCTAACTCATTCTATGAGGCCAGCCTCATCCTGATACCAAAACCTGGCAGAGATACAACAACAAAAAAAGGAAATTTCAGGCCAATATCTCCTGTAAACATTGAGGCAAAAATTTTCAAGAAAACACTGGCAAACTGCCATCAGCACATCAAAAAGCTTATCCACCATGATCAAGTAGGCTTCATGCCCAGAATGCAAGTTTGACTCAACATACACAAACCAATAAATGTGATTCATCATATAAACAGAACTAAAGATAAAAACCACAGATGCAGAAAAGTCTGTCAATATAATTCAACAAACCTTCATGTTAAAAACTCTCAAACTAGGCTTTGAAGGAATATACATCAAAATAATAAGAGCAACCTATGACAAACCCACAGCCAACATTATGGGCAAAAGCTGGAAGCATTCCCCTTGAAAACCAGTACAAGACAAGGGTGCCCTCTGTCACGACTCCTGTTCAACATAGTATTAAAATTCTGGCCCGGGTAATCAGGCAAGAGAAAGAAATAAAGTGCATTCAAATCTGAAAAGAGGAAGTCAAACTATCCGTGTTTGCAGATGACATGATCCTATATCTAGAAAACCCCCTAATCTTAGCCCAGAGCTTCTTAGGCTCATAAACAACTTCAGCAAAGTCTCATGATACAAAATCAATGTGCAAAAATCACTAGCATGTCTGTATACCAACAACGGTCAAGCAAAGAACCAAATCAGGAATGAACTCCCATTCACAGCTGCCACAAAAAGAATAAAATATCTAGGAATGCAGCTAACTAGGCAGGTGAAAAATCTCTACAGGCAGAACTACAAGCCACTTCTCAAAGAAATCAGAGACGACACAAACATATGGAGAAACATTACATGTTCATGCATAGGAAGAATCAATATTGTGAAAAAGGCCATAATGCCTAAAGCAATTTATAGATTCAATGCTATTACCATTAAACTACCATTTACATTCTTCACAGAACTAGAAAAAAAAATTAAAATTCATATGGAACCAAAAAAGAGGCCGAATAGCCAAGGCAATCCTACGCAAAAAGAACAAAGCTGAAGGCATCATGCTACCTGACTTCAAACTACACTACAGGGCTACAGTAACCAAAAGCATGGTACTGGAACAATAACAGACACATAGAACAATGGAAAAGAATAGAGAACCCAGAAATAAGACTGAACACCCACAACTCTCTGATCTTTGACAAACTTGACAAAAACAAGCAATAGGGAAAAGATTTCGTATTCAATAAATGGTGCTGGGATAACTGGCTAGTCATATGCAGAAAGTTAAAACTGGACTCCTTCCTTACACCAGATACAAAAATTAACTCAAGGTGGATTTAGTACTTAAATGTAAAACCAAAAAGTATAAAAACCCTGGAAGATAACCTAGGCAATATCATGTGGGACATAGGCATAGGCAAAGATTTCATAGCATATTTTTTCTATGTCATTTTGATTGAAATAAAAATGAAGATTTTAGGGTGAGTGAAAACAAGAAAAAGTATGAGAAAAAAAGTAAATTTATCTATACTAAAATGAAATCCCCAAATGCCTCAATTTTAAGTCACTATTGACTTATTCACAGTGAAAACTACCTTAATTCAACCTATACCTTTAAAATGGTGTGCTACTAGAGATACATTTTTTAATAAGAAGGCAGGCAAGGAACTGCTTTGTGAGAATTATTTAAGTGATGCATATGCTTCTAATGCTTTTAAGAATATTTACCTCCCCAAAAAAGAATATCATACATAAATATCTTCCCATCCATGATATAATTATGTAAACTGTGAATTACAAGTTAAGCAACCTTATTAAATTCATTTTAATTATATTTTATTTTTATATTTAAAATTTAATATTGACCTATTTTATAACGTTACTTACATTTAAAATTTAATTGCCCAGATATATAACGATCTACCACTACAGCGGTAGCTATTAGTGCATTGGGGTAATTCCATGGTTGATTCATTTTACTTTTGCAGCTGAAAAAACCTCATGCTGAGCAGAGAGGCATCTAATTTGCTCATCATCCATGCTGGAAGCTTTTTTTGTCTATTAGCTTTGACCTTTATGACCTAAAAAAGTGTGGTAATATTTTACAGTTAATAACACAAAAGAAGAGAATAACTGAAAATAAAATATATGAGTAAGAAATTCATTTTAAACCCTGATTTTAAAAATTAATTCAACTTTAGAATTGATAGATTTGCTTGATCAATTACTGGCAATCTGTAGTGGGTAGAAAATTCTGAGCCTCTTTTCAGCATACTTATTAGCAGCAAGGTTTAACAAAGATGGAAAATTAAACTTCAATGATGACTTTATGCTTTAGATTTTTATAACACAAAATACACATAGATTTTTATTTCAATCAAATTCAAGACTTACAGCTATATTATTTATCATCAAGTGAAACCTTCAGAAAGATGAATTCCTAAAGCTAGGGACATACCTCTATGAAACGCTTCCCTCACTTGCTATCTAAAATATGTTTCCTATTTCTACATCAATTCCCATATCTATATTATTTCTTCACCTTTCTTTTCAGTTAATTGAGAGAAAAAAGTGAAATAAAGGAATAGAATGATCCAGATAAGTAGAAAAAGATTACAATCTACTGTCAAGGAATCAACCTTATCCATTGATTATAACGTAATTATTCCTTCTTTCCATGCATCTTATCCATGAATGTTATTTAATCTAATCTTTTGAAAGTGATTTCCTCTAAAGAGACTAAATTACTACTGTGTAATTATGTAAAGAGTTCAAAGAGCCATTGAAAGTTGTAATACAAGGGAGTTATTTGGTAGAGGAAAACAACTAAATTAAGTTTAACTTGCATTTTAATTTGTCATTAACGGTGCTGAAAACACCTACAGCAAACCAAATTCATGCTTTTGTGTCTGAATTACGTAATTTTAACTTCTAAATTATGTAGCCTATATGAAAGAGCTCTACTTTAGGTCTTTCATAATTATCATAATAAACTACATATATCCTACCCAATCAAGTGTTTGTTGTGGTTTTATGTGTTATGTAAGTTGGATACTGTGAAAATAATCCAGTGATCAAATTTCATACTTACTGTTATAAATTAAACATTCTATGTACTTTTAATAGTATATTGTATAAATATAAAGTCTCCCATCAATCACTATTTATGTCAATAGCTACATTTATATTTTAAAAACACTTTGCATATATCTTTGTACCATTGCACAAGTATTTTTGAAGTATAAATTTCTAAAAATAAAAATGGTAGTTATAAATAATTCATAATTCTGAATTTTAAATATATTATTAAAATAGTCTAGAAAATGTTCTTACCAATTTGCATAAAATCATCAAGAGTGAAATAAAGCTTTGTTATATGTTTTCACATTACCTATTTACCAACCTAACAGGGGCAAAATTTTAAATCATCTGCTTTTGGCTACGATATATTTGCTTCTAGAAGATTAATATCCCTCTGCAAACATGTTAAAAAGTAGAAAATAAGGATATAAGTGCATTAAAAGTATCAAATAAAATGTTATTTTAGTACATTAAAGAACTATTTAGTTAACCAGGACTTTAGATACCAGAATCCTGAAGAAACCATGAGAGCAGAGAAAGCAGTAGAGCTTTCTGGAGGAAAGTAAGCTCATTTACAACCCTCCACAAAGTTTCAAATACCTGCTATTCATTAAAAATGACAACTATCAAATACTTGGTATCCCTTAAAAAATTACAAGGTAGGGAAATATACACGACCAAATGAGGGAAAACTATGAGAAAAAACAAAAAACAAACTACAAAAACACCTGACATTAGAAAAGGACCCATGGAGATTTTGGTATTGGCTCTGTTATCAGACAGAGGTCTTAAAATACAACGCTATTATCTTCAACAGGAATGAGACTAATAAGGTGGAAGACAAGGTCAAGACAAAATCTCTAAAATAAGTATTCAAAAAAGATGATAAAAAAAGATAAAAAGCAAGAAATTCAAGTAGAAATGGAGAGAATTAATAGAAGAAAATAGTAATATCTGCAGAATCAGTGCCTGAGAATTCATAAAATAGATATAGGCAACAAATCGCATATGCAAAATATCTGCAAATCTAAGCAGTATACATACAAATAAAGCTACATGAAAGCACTTCACACCATGCTGAAAAAAACACAAAAAAAACTACTTAAAAAGCAATCTAATATTAAAAAGCATATTTATGTCTTTTTAAACAATAAAAACAATAACAGTGACACCTGAATTTTTAGAGGAGCAGTAGAAGCCAGAAGACAATAATTGATGTTTTAAAAGGATGAAAGAAAATAACTGTCAAACTATATTCCAGCAAATATATCCATAAAAATAAATACATATAACAGTTCATTGATGATGTGTAAAATAAACACTATAACTTTTGTTTTACTTTTGTGACTTAAATTTTTTTAACCATGTGCCTAAAACCAGTTTAAGAATTAACTTACCCATTGGACATTTATGCCTTTAAATGAATGGTACAAACACTTTCACCTATGTCCTGTATCTTCCAAGCTACAGGCTTCACAATCTGGAAAAAATAAAAATAAACAGTTTCTCTGCTTACTTTTAGAATTTATAAGTAAGTCTTTGAATATGTTAAATGGAATTGCTGTTAAAATTACTGTGAATAATAGCAACTCCTACTCCTAAATAAGATGTATTTTGTGAAATCTGGATGTTTTAATTCTTTTGACATCTAGTGATATTTTATGCAGTAAACTAGAAAAATTTTTAAAAAGAGTATTTTGTGCATTAAATTAGTCCTTTACTTAAAGCCATAAACACGTGGATTTATTGTTAGATAACTCAGTCTGACAAGTACAAAGAGACTGTAAACTGTTGAACCTTGACAAATATCTAGGGAAAAATACTGAATAAAGATGTCAAAAGGTTTCCTGAAAATTATTTTTTGTTTACAGTCAGGGGAAACATACATTTTGTACTTTCCATTTTCTGTTTCTTCCAGGGATAAAATATTTAGTGTTAGCAGTGTAAATTCTATTCTTAGAGAGCTGGAGCTAAAATGGCTCAAATGGTTTAGAGCTCCAAATACTTCAGGGTATGCACAAAGGGAATTGTTTGGAGTAGTTTTCCTCTCTGTTGTAAAATGGTATTATTATGTACTTGAAAAGTTATCCAAAATGACAAATAATTTTGAGAAGAAAAATTTCAAATGGATATGAAAACTAGAAATAGCTAATAACTTCTCTACTGTAAAATTAACATGAATGATTACATTGATTAATGCATTCACTATTTCATGTCTGAAATGAAGTCATGGAGCACTCCAGAGTAAGCACTGAGCTATAAACTGGTGATAGAATATTAATACAAGTGACACATCTCTGCACTCATACAAATTACAGCATGAGATGAGAAGTGGAAAAATTATTAGAATACATGGTTAGGTATAGTGTGCTATGCAAACATGGAGAGAGTTTCTAACACTAAATTAGCCATAAGGAAGGATTAAGAATTTCAGGTAGAAGGGACAAGGTCAATCCTCAAGGCCTTGACATGTTAAGGACTTAGAAGTATAATCGGCATGGTAAATTAACAGCCAGTCAGGACCAGAGCTAGTGGAAAGGTAGTTGTGAAGGCCTTAGTATCTCATGTCACAAAACTTGGGATATTTTTTCAGAATAACAGGAAACCACTGAAGAGTTTAACCATTGCTAGCTTTTGATTATTGTATATTTCAGGCAGGTACCATAGTGGCATGTGAGGGACAGATTAAAAAATTGTCAGGGCTAAGGGACAAAGGAATCTGCTAGGCTAAGACCAGGATTAGGAAAAAATATGATATTAGGTAGTTTTAATGGGGATGGAGAGAGGAGAATGAATATGAGAAACTTAAAAGAATGGTGGTGATTTTATAATTAATGTGATTATTTTATTAATGTGAACGGTCTAACTCTCTGCAGTGAAAACTATTGAAAACAGGGGCTGATCTGTCTTTGCTCCGTATCCATCCCATGACCCTAGAAGGGTGCTGAGTTCATAACTAATCAATGAATGTATTTTTGAACTGGTGACATTCATACTTCTAAAAATAATTCCAATTTATATGAGATTTGAGGAGTATATGTGCAGGTTTGTTCCATTAATGTATTGCATGATGCTGAGGTTTGGAATATCAGTGGCCCTGTCACCCATGTTGTGAGCATAGTACCCAATAATTAGTTTTTCAACCCTTGACCCCTTCCCTTTCTACCCCTCTGGTAGTCCCCAGTGTTTATTGTTTCCATCATTAGGTCCATGGGTTCTCAATGTTCGGCTTCCACTTACAAGTGAGGACGTGCAGTATTTGGTTCATCTGTTCTGTGTTAATTCACAGCACGAGTATATCTTCTTTTGAGAAGTGTCTCCTCGTGTATTTTGCCCATTTTTATTGGGATTATTTGTTTTTGGCTTGCTGAATTCTTTAAGTTCTTTATAGATATTAGACCTTTGTTGGAATGCATAGTTTGCAAATATTTTCTCCCATTCTCTTGGTTGTCTGTTTGTTGACAGTTTCTTTTGCTGTGCAGAAGCACTTAAGTTTAATTAGGTTTCATTTTTCAATTTTTGTTTTTGTTGTAAGTGCTTTTGAGGACTTAATAATACATTATTTTCCATGATTGATGTCTAGAATGGTGTTTGCTATGTATTCTTCGATAATTCTGACATTTTGAGGTCTTACATTTGAATCATTAATCCATCTTGAGTTAATTTTTGTATATGGTAAAAGTTAAGGGTTTAGTTTCATTCTTCTGCATATGGTTAGCTAGATATTCCAGCATCATTTATTGAATAGAGAGTTCATTCCCCATTATTTAATTTTGTCAGCTTTGCCGAAGATAAAGTGGCTGTTCCTGTGTGACTTTATTTGTGAATTCTCTATTCTATTCCACCTGTCTATGTGTCTGTTTTTGTACCAGTACCATGTTGTTTTGTTACTGTAGCCTTATACTATAGTTTGAAGTCAGGTAATGTAATGTCTCTAGCTTTGCCCTTTTGCTTAGTACTGATTTGGCTATTCAGGATCTTTTTTTGGTCCTACCTAATTTTAGAATAATTTATTTTAAGTCTGTGAAAAATGATGTTGGTAGTTTGATAGGAATAGTGTTGAGTCTGTAGATTGCTTTGGACAGTATGGCCATTTTAACAATATTGATTCCTCCAATCCATGAGCATAGAATGTTTTTCCATGTCTTTATATCATCTATGATTTCTTTCAGCAGTGTTTTCTTGCTTGTATTTCTCGTAGAGCTCTTTCACAATCTTGGTTAAATACATTGCTAAGTATTTTTTTGTTGTTACTGTAAATAGAATTACATTCTTGATTTGGCTCTCAGCTTAAATGTTATTGGTCTATAGAAATGCTACTTAATTTTTGCATATTGATTTTATATCCTCAAACTTTACTGAAGTTGTTTATCAGTTCCAGGAGCCTTTTGATAGTCTTTAGTGTTTTCTAGGTATAGAATCATATCATCAATGAAGAGAGATTGCTTGATTTCTTTTCCTATTTGGATGCCTTTTTGTATCTTTCTCTTGCTTGATTGCTCTGGCCAGGACCTTCTGAATGTATTTATTTATTTATTTATTTATTTTTTGAGACAGTTTCACTCTTGTCTCCCTGGCTGGAGTGCAGTGGAGTGACCTCGGCTCACTGCAACCTCCACCTCCTGGGTTCAAGTGATTCTCTTACCTCAGCCTCCAGAGTAGCTGGGATTACAGACGCTCACCACCATGCCTGGCTAATTTTTTCTATTTTTAGTAGAGACAGGGTTTCATCATGTTGGCCAGGCTGGTCTTGAACTCCTGACCTCAGGTGATCCACCTGCCTCGGCCTCCCAGAGTGCTGGGATTACAGGTTTGAGCCACAGCACCTGGCCCCTGCATGTGTTTTTAATGAATGTAGAAGAGAGAGATGAATAGGATAACGGTCAGACCAAGGTTCTTAATGGGATAACTGTTTAGATGGTGTTTGCCATTTACTAACACAGAGGTATCAGGTGGATAAACTAAATGTGGGAGTATATAAAGATCTCGTTTTTGGTGTTTTTAGTTGGAGATATGTTTAAGCTTTTCTAATGGAAGTATTCAGTAACCAGCTGCATAAATAAGTCTTAAACCTTTAGGAAACAAATTGGAGCTGACATGTACGTGACGTAGACGAAGCCGTAGAAAATTAAGTGATCTAACCAAGAGAGTACAGAGAATGAATTAAAAAGGAGAAATTAGAACTCAGCAGAAAATCAACAATTGAGACATACATAAATAAGAAAGTAAGCCAAAAATAAGAGGTTGAGGGGAGGGAATTAATGGCTAGGGAGCTATGAGGAGAATTAAAACATCATAGTATTCATTCAACTTATTTTTATAAAATACTTGGCAATTGCTAAATGCTAGATATTATTCTAGGTCCTGGTAATACGGCAGAGAACAATAGCTTACTTCCTTCATGATATTTACATTCTAGTGGAGGAAAACAGGCAGCAAACAATATAAATGTAAAGACATGCTACACAAGTAATAGATAAGCTGGAGCATGATGAAGGCAGTAAGTAAAGACAATGCTGATGTGTGTAGGCCTTTGTTATTTTATAGAAAATACCCTGAGGAAGTCTATTTAGGCATGTGACTTTTGAACAGGAACATAAATGAAACACGGTAGAAAGCTACGTATCTGTCTGGATGGAAAAACATTCCAGACAGAATAAAAGCTAGTGCAAAGTGAAGTAGGAAAGAAAATATTTACCATATTCTAGGCATATCAAGCAGGCTGGTATAGCTAGAGTGGAGGAGGCAGATGGGAGATAAAATCAAATGGTTACAAAGGTGGGGAAAGAACATCAAGAACGGTTTAAGCCATTGTAAATATCTTTAACTCAGAGAGGCATGAGAATCCTTTGGAATATTTTTAGTAGAAAAATGACAGGATCTTATATTTAGAAAAATCTCTGATTCTTCTGTTGAATATAGAATATAGAATTCTTCTGTTGAATATGGAAGAAAGGCAAAGTTAGAAGCATAAAGACCCATTAAGAAGCTATTGCAACAGGCCAACTAATGCATATTAGTGATGTGAACCAAGGTTATCATGGTATAAGTTTTGAGCAGTTCTGGTGTTCTCAATACCATGTGGCAATTGAGACACCAGGATTTTTTTGCTGGATCTATTACTGGGTGAAATAAAAAGAGAGTATTGGAGTAATTCCAAAACATTTTCCCAGAGTACATGGAAGAACAAATTTGCCGTATATGCAATAAGTAAGATTAATAGCAGAAGAGTGGAAATAATTAATCAAATTTGTATTTTCAGTATGTTAAATTTGAAACATGTATTAAAAATACAAGGACAGAAATCCTGTAGACATCTAGAATTTAGAGGAATGTCAGAGTTAGTGATATAAATTTGAAAAGCATCATACATATCCTGCAGACATCTAGAATTTAGAGGAAAGTCAGAGTTGGGGATATAAATTTGAAAATCATTATACAAAGCAAAGAATATGCCCTGGAAATTATTTTTAAAAACTGTGTTTCACACTGGAATATTCAACTGAGTCAAATATGGCAGATACATAAAATGAGGATGAAATATTAACCAAGGGATTCATATACTGAGGGTTACCGGTGTTGATAGCAGGACATCGCTGCGGCCCTGCCTTTATATCCAGAGATGCATTTAACTTGCTTGTGTGTGCATCCCCACCTTTGTCCATTCTGCTACTGCCCTCTCACACCTGCAATCTTCTGAAGAGTGTTAGCCCCTACCGTGGAGTGATGGGTTTCTTTCCCTTTAAATTAGACAGATGTGTCATCCATTCTGACTCATATCATGGTGCATTGACCAAGGGTGTAAAAGCTCTGGGGAATCATCCAAAATGATAACCAAAAATACTAATCTCTTTAATGCCTCCACTAAATCATAGACAGAATGAGATAGACCTTCAAAGTTCTAATGAAGTTCTAATGTATTTAAAGCTGTGATGTATCTAAAGCTCATGATAAGATATAAACTTTTTACCAACCAATAAAGATAAATTAGCAATATTTCTATTTTCTCAGTAAGTTCTGTGTACATTAAGTTAAATGAGTGCTTCTAAGTAAAAGAATAAAGGTAAAGTTAATGATAATTTTATAGTTCTTTATAAAACCTTTTGCATATACTTCTCAGAAAGTGAAAAAAGATACATTAATAAAAACTAAGAAATTATATTGCAAATAAGATGATTTAAAATACTTTGCTTTCAATAACATTGAAGAACCAACTAACAGATCCATTAGCAATAAGATATCACTAGACAATTTTTGGCATATACTAGAAATAATTTTTATAATAAAGTTATATTGCTTTAGAATAGTCCTTCAATTTTTATATGATTATTTTTTAAATAAGTTTTCTAAACTCTCAAAACAATATAAAATATTAGAAATAGAATTGATGCTAAGAGCTGTCTCATTTACTTAGTAATGAAGAAAATGAGAAAAAATCCATCTGTGTTTTTGAGATGTTTCAAAAAATTTTGTTTATGTTTTATAATTATTTATCAAAATATGTATTATGTATTTGTAGAAGATACTAACTGGAAATACAAATTCAAAGACAAGAGAAAGTGAGTGATGTAACAATCTAATAGTAAAAGATGTTATACAGATTGGGCATCCTTCATCCAAAAATCTGAAATTCTAAATGTTCCAAAATCTGAACCCTTTTGAGCACTGACATGATGCCGTAAGTTGAAAATTTTACAACTGACTTCTTGTGATAGTCTCCATCAAAAGAAAGGTGCACTACAATTTATTCAGCATCCTCACGGGCAAAAAACAAAAACAAAAGAGCCTCCCAAACTTTTTCAGCTGTAATATGTCTTTTCTGTGCATATCCAGATTCCCCTACACAAACACTTCCACAAAGGGTAGTAAAATGGCACGTGTGCAGGCTGGATGGCCAAGGACAGGATCCCTGCAATGCCCCACATGCGACCAAGACCTACCTGCATTACTCAGCATTTTTTTTTTTTTGTACCTTCTCCGTTCTGCAGTTCGAAGATATTTTGGAAAATGTCAAAAAGGCCTGTAGATATCCCTTGGGTAACAGTGATAAGAAAAAAGGAAGCATTTATGTTTTTTTTATAGTACAGAAAGTCAAGATGCTGAAGAAACTGGGAAGCAGTGTAAGTGTGAAATATTTTACCGAAGAATGTGCTGTTAGAAATACCATTATACATGGCCTGAAGAAACAAAATAAACTGTTGAAGTTCTGTGCTGAAACGGATGAATGGAAGTTAATGAAAAATACAAAAACACTGCATAAATCTGGAAATGAAGATCTCGCTCATGTATTGAAAGAATTGATCCATCAGCATCACAGTGACCCTGGCCACTTAATTGCATGCTGCTCATGAGACAGGCAAGGATCTATCACCATCATGATGAACTGAAAATTGAGGAAAACTGGGAATATTTCTGCTGGTTGCAGAAATTTAAGAAAAGACATTGACATTGACATTACATTTTCAAATATTTGTGGAGATAAAGCACCTGCAGATTATGGGGCAGCAGAGAAATTCATTGATGACCTTGCCAAGGTCATCGATGATGGAATATGATGCAAGGACAAATCTATTATGCTGGCAAAATGTCACCGTTTGGGTATTATTATCTCAGAAAGACACTGACTACAGCTGAGGAAACAGCCCCTATAGGAATTAAGGATGCCAAGGAGAGAAATTTGTGTTGGCAATTGCTAATGCAGCAGGCATGCAGAAGTATAAACTTGCTGTGATAGGCAAAAGCTTATGTCCTCACTGTTTGCAAGGAGGGAATTTCCTACTAGGCCACTGTTGTGTTCTCAAAAAATGCATGGATTACTGGGGACAACATTTGGTCTAATTTCACAAACATTTTCTACCAGCAGCTCATGCTTACTGCAGGAAAATTGGACTGAATGATGACTGTGAGATTTTGTTATTCCTTGATAACTTTTCTGCTCATCCTCCAGCTGAAATTCTCATAAAAATACTGTTTATGCTATGTGCTTTCTCCTAAATGTGACTTTATCAATTAATCACGTGACCGGTGCATCCTTAGATCAATGAAGTGTAAATATGAAAATACTTCCTTGAATAGCATGTTAGTAGCATTGAGCAGAGGCATAGGCGTGGAAGGTTTTCAAAGGCAGTTTAGCATGCAGGATGCCTTACATGCTGTTGCCAATGCTGGGAACAGAGTGAGTAAAGACACAGGTGTGCATACCTGATTCAACTACTGGACTGTGATTATGTTAAGTGATGATGATGATGAACAAGGTGGTGTCATTGAGAATAAAAAATGGTCTTACCACCTTACTTATGCAAAAATTATACCTTCATAGTATGTCAGCAATCTGAAAGATGTGGATATTGAAGAAGCTTTTAACATCAATAATGAGGTTCTGGTTGTTCATTTATTGACTGATAGTGAAATAGCCTAAATTTTTCTGAACGAAGGTTGATTCTTATTATAGGTACAGTAAAGATGACGTTGTTAACACTTCAGAAAATGTTCCAATGGATTACATGGTGAAAGTGTGTGATGGGCTAATTGAAGGACTAGTGAAGTGTATATTTATAATCAAACAAGAAATCATGTCCATTAATAAAATCAAAGAGAGATTTCTGAGGAAAAATATATTGTCAATCAGGCAGATGACTCTGAAGGAAATATTCTAAGAAGCCATCCAGCAGAATGCCTCCTCATCCCTACAGGACCCACTTTCTGGTCCCTCAACTGCTGATGATGTTTACACACACACACACACACACACAGACACACACACACACACACACACACACTGTACGGTAAGCCTTTAATCAAAACATAACATCATAGGTGGAGACTGAAAGTTTATCATTGTTCATTGCTGCTGTTGTCTAGCAGCTGATCCAGGTGTTGCGCTGTGTTGCTGAGTTACCCTTAACATATAGTTTTCTCACTGTAGGTCACACTTTTTACCATTAAGTGCTTATGTGTAAACAAATAGAAGAGAATTGCTTATTAGTGATATATGAATTCAGTGTCAACAATGGTGGAAATGCTAGATGGCCACAGATTGTCCACATGGGGGGCTTGCCTTTGCTTTCTGATAATTTAATATGCACATATTTTGTTTCATGCACAAGATTATTTAAAATATTGTATAAAATTACCTTCAGTCTATGTTTGTAAGGTATATATGAAACAAACAAATTTCATGTTTAGACATTGGTCCCATCTCCAAGATATCTTATTACCTGTATGCGAATACTTCAACATTAAAAAAAATCTGAAATACAAAACATTTCTATTCCAAAGCATTTTGGATAAAGGATACTCAACCTGTATAGTTGTGTGTGTGTGTGTATGTGTGTGTGTGTGTGTGTGTGTGTGTCTCTAACGGATGGTGGTGGTGACCAAATTGTTTAAATGAAAAGTTTTGGTTTCTAATAAAAATATTTGAGGCTTTACGTAGCATTGAAAACATTGAGTAAAAGGAGAATAAACTAACTTGAAGTCAACCCCTCTAGATTGTCATCTGAGTTGGCCAGGTTCAACACTTTCTGATTCAATACTACTTGACATTTTTCTTTACATAATGACTATTTAAAACATTGACAAAATGAAATGACTTAAAGACATTATTATGAGCATGTACCAAATTATAGATTTAAAAATCTTTCAAGCCCCTATTGAAAGCTGTCTCTAAAAAACAAACGCATGAGACATTACCCATTTGGGTACCATGAGTTTTAGTTATTTGGCTGAATTGGGTTTTGAATTCTCATAATAGACGTTTATATTTTCCCACTAAGATTAGCAGAAGCAGAAAAATTAAACTGCCTCTACACAATGCAAATAAACTGTTTGAATGATTGATAGTTGTATTGAACTTATAATGTATACTAACAAATAAACTAAATTATTATGACAATCAATCATTTTAATAATCTTCACAATCTCCCATAAAAAAGCTTGATAGTATCGTTTTCGGGTGGATTTGAAATTTCTAGTTAAATTTTTCAGCAATGAATTTTGAGGAAATTCATTAGTCTGTGTTCTCAATAAAAATTGTACTGTATGTTATCTGTTCGAGTCTATGTAAGTTAGAAGAATTCTATAACACAATATGAGTATTTAATCAGGGCCTGAAAAATCAGAAACTTATTTTTCACATTCTTGAAATTCTAATTAGTACTTGTCATTTTATTAAAAATGCTGTAAAATATCTACACTTGGGAAAATTATAATATAATTTATTATTTAAGTTTTCAGTAAGAATTTAGTGGAGAATATTTATTACTTAGTTGGTATTAAACTCTTATCTTACATCTCAGATTTCAGGGCATATTAGCAATGCCACAGCCACAGTAATTGCTGTTAAATGAAATCGATGATATTTAAATATTTTAGTTTAGCAATGGTCACTATTAGCATTGGCAATGAAACTCAAATGTATAATTTATCATCTTCTGTTATAGGCACTGACCTGTATTCATGTCTTACCGTGTCAAATGGAAAAATAATGATAACGTTTCTTAAAGCTGAGCAACAATAACATTTTGTTAGGTAGCTGATGGCCAAGACATCCAAGTCCAAAATCTCAAGTTTTATTAAAAAGCTATGAATAAGATATGCTTTAGAAAATATCTTTTCTTATGCCCCATCTGGTTTTATTTTAAATCTGGTGTATCAGGAAAAAGTTGGATGAATGTTAAATGAAGAAATTATGCCTCTGCTTTCAACAATTCTGGATTTGAATGTTTAACATCAGTTTTTAGTTTTATTAACTGTTAAATTAATATCTATATAATATATAGATATACACACACATACACATAAGTACATACATGCATACCTCAGAGATATTGTGTATTTAGTTCCAGAAATCCACAGTGAAGTATTACAAAAAAGTGAAACTCAATTTTTTAAAATTTCTCATTGCATCTAAAAGTTATATTTGCACTATACTGTACATTATTATATATAAAATGTGCAAGAGAATTATGTTTAAAACCAAAGTTCATACCTTAATTTAAAAATACTTTATTGCTACAAAATGCTAACGATCATTTGAGCCCCCAGCAAGTCATAATCTTTCTGCTGGTGGAAGGTCTCTATTGATGGTTGCTGACTAATCAGGGTCAGATTGATGAAGTTTGGGGTAGGTGTGGCAAATTCTTAAAATAAGACAATGAAGTTTGCCCCTCAGATTGATTCTTTCTTTCAGGAAAGATTTCTATGCTCTTTGATAGCATTTTACCCACCATAGAACTTTTTTCAAAACTGAAGTCAATCCTCTCAAACTTGACTGCTGCTTTATCAACCAAGTTTATGTAATATTTTAAATCCCTTTTTGTCATTTGAACAATGTTCACAGCTTCTTCACCAGGAGTAGAGTCCGCTTCTAGAATCTTCTTTTTTTTTCCTCATCCATAGAAATAACTCATCATTCATCCAAATTTAATTATCAGATTTCAGAAATTTAATCACACTCCTAATTCTAGTTCTTTTGCTATTTCCACCACATCTTCAGTTACTTCCTCCACTGAAGTCTTGAGTCCCTCAAAGTCATCCATGAGAATTGGAATCAATTTCTTCCAAATGCCTATTAAAGTTGACATTTTGACCATCTACCATAAGTCATGAATGTCCTTGATGGCATCAACAGTGGTGAATCCTTTCCAGAAGGCTACTAATTAACCTTGCCCAGATCCATCAGAGGAATCACTAACTATGGTAACTATAGACTTATGAAATGTATTTTTTAAAATAAAAAGACTTAGAAGTCAAAAGTATGCCCCTGATACATTTGTTGCAGAATGGATGTTATATTACCAGGCATGAAAACATTAATCCTCAATGCCCATTTCCATCAGAACTCTTGGGTGACCAGGTGCATTGTAAATGAGCAATAATGTTTTGAAACAAATCTGTTGGGCTTTTTTTATTCTGAACAGTAGGTCTGTACAGTTAGCTTAAAATATTCAGTCTACCATGCTGTAAACTTATGTGCTGTCATCCAGGCTGTGTTCTTCTATTTATAGAGCACAGGATGAGTAGATTTAACATAATTCTTAAGGACCCTAAATTTTTAGAATGGTAAATAAACGTTGGATTCAACATAAAGTCACCAGTTGCATTATCCCCTAACAAGAGAGTCAGGATGTCTTTTGACTTCTCCTCTCTAGCTATGGAAGTCATCTTCAATAGATGGCATCTTCTTCCAATACATGGCTATTTTGTCTACATTGAAAATCTGTTGCTTAGTGTAGACACCTTCATCAGTGCTTTTAGCTAGATCTTCTGGATAACTTGCTGTAGCTTTCACATCAGCACTTGCTGCTTCACCTTGAACTTCTATGTGTGGTGATGGCTTCTATCCTTAAACCTCATGAAGCAACCGCTGCTAGCTTCACACTTTTCTGCAGCTTCCTCACTTCTCTCAGCTTTCACAGAATTGTAGAGGGTTAGGACCTTGCTTTGAATTAGGCATTGGCTTAATGGAATGTTGTGGCTAGTTTGATCTTCTATTCATACCACTAAAACTTTCTCTGTATCACCAATATGGTTGTTTTGCTTTCCTATCCTTGTGTGTTCACTGGAGTAGTATTAGTAATATTATTCAAGAATTTTTCCTTTACATTCACAATTTGGCTATTTGGCCCAAGGGGCCTAGTTTTCAGCCTATCTCAGCTTCTAACATTCCTTACTCACTAAGCCTAATCATTTCTGGCTTTAAGAAATATGTATAAAATAGCAAAGACATAGAATTAACCCAAATGCCCATCAATGATAGACTGGATAAAGAAAATTTGGTACATATACACCATGGAATACTATGCAGCCATAAAAAGGAATGAGATCATGTCCTTCGCAGGGACATGGATGGAACTGGAAGCCATCCTCAGCAAACTGACACAGGAACAGAAAACCAAACACCACATGTTCTCACTCATAAGTGGGAGCTGAACAATGAGAACACGTGGACACAGGGAGAGGAGCAACACATACTGAGGCCTGTCGTTGGGGGTGGAGTAGGGAGAAAAAGAGTATCAGGAAAAATAGGTAATGCATGCTGGACTTAATACTTAGGTGATGGGTTGATAGCTTCAGCAAACTACCATGGCACACGTTTAGCTATGTAACAAACCTGCACGTCCTGCACATGTATCCCAGAAATAAACTAAGCTGAACTAAAATAATAAATGTATATAAATTTATGATGTTCAAGCATAATTTTGTTAGATGCGTAGATTGAGTAGTAGTGAAATCAGGGTTTTTAGGGTATTACCCAAATATCATATATTGTACCCATTAATTAATCCCTCATCATCCATTTCTAGATTTTGATTTACAATGAGATGTTCTCCTCATCTTTTCACTTGACTACTTAGGAGGCCATTGCAAATTATTAATTGGCCTAAATTCAACATTGTTGTTTCTTAGGGAATAGCAATACCTGAGGAGAGGGAGAGATGGGAGAGCAGCCATTCCATGCAGTAGTTAGAACATACATATCTATTAATAGATTTTGCCATCTTACATGGGCGTGGTTTGTGGCAGCTCAAAATAAATGCAATAGTAACATCAAAGATCACTGATCACTGATCATCATAACAAGTATATCAATAATGAAAATGTTTGAAATATGGCGAAACACAGACACACAAACTGAGCACATGCCGTTGGAAAAATGGTGCTGATAGACTTGCTTGCTGTAGGTCTACTGGCAGCCTTCAATTTGTGAAAAACATCATATCCGTAAAGTGCATTAAAGTGAAGCACAATGACAGGATCTGTGCTTGGACACACATTTTATTATATGTTCATCAACACTCCTGATGCTGCTTTAGTATCAATATTTTATTTATGGAAATAGCAGATTGTTTTCTTCTGCTAATAGTTGAACCTGACCTGAGGAATTAAATATGAGGCTAAGAGATCAATCTGACTAATAAATAATTTGTGATTTTTTTTAGAAATTGTGATATTAATATATTTAGGTGAAAAAATGTATGCAGCATTCCAATAGTTCTGTATCCTCTGGTGTTTTTTACTTACTATTTCAGATTTTTTTTTCTTATGGTTTTTTTCTAAGTCAGCTTCTGCTTGCAGTTCTTGTTGATGTGTGGGTAACACAATAAAAGAAAGCAGAGTTTTAAATAATATTTTTTGCATCTCTCATTTGTAGTATTGGTATTGCTGGACCCTTCCGTACACATTGGAATCCTGAGATACTGCAAAAGCATTCAACAACCCATGTGCTGCCAGAAAATGTAAGTCCCTTTTACATTCTTGAAAGTATGGTATTGTAAATAGTTTTACATGAGATATTTTAAGAGGCTTTAATAGTTATGTGGTGCAGATAGGCATTGCTATAAAATTGTAATTTGCATGAATCTAATTGAATCAGAGAACTTTGACTATTAAAACATACATTTTTATCATGAACATACTATGTGTCAAAACCTAGGAATACAAGTGTTAAAGAGGAAAAACTGTTGTTATATAGGCATATGGCCTAGCTAGAAAGGATATTTGTAATAAACCAGTTAAATATGGCAGGCAATTTTAGAATGCTAAGTATTAAGGCAAAAATCACATGGGGTAATGGAATTGAGCTACTATGGTCTGAAAGTTTTGTGTCCTTCTCCAAATTTATAGTGGGGGTTGAAACCCTAACCCCCTAGGTAGTGCCAGGTATTAGGAGGTGGGTGGTGCCTTTGGGAGGTGATTAGATCATGAGAGGGGAGCCCGCATGACTGGAATTAGTGCTATTATTAAAAAGGGGACTCTGAAGAGTTCCTCTGACCTCATACCTTGTGAAGACATAAAGAGAAGGCGCCATCTGCAAATCAGGAACAGCCCTCCCTGGACTCTGAATCTGCTGGCTCCTTGGTCTTGGACTTACCCACATCTAGAAACATGAAATAAACTTCTGTTTATAAGCCATACAATTTAAGGTACTTTCTAATAGACACCCAAACTAAGACAGTGACTTGTGTCGGCATAGGAGTATGGTATCTATCTATCTATCTATCTATCTATCTATCTATCTATCTATCTATCTATCTACCTACCTACCTACCTACCTGCCTGCCTATGGAAATAAGTCTGTTAATATTCCTACCCTAGAGGCTTTCAATATTTTTCAGGCTTGAGTACTTTCCTAAGGGACCATAGTTAAGACCTCATAACATAATGTGTATTGTGATGTTCTTGAAAAAAAAAAAAATCTGTGAGTGGTTTCTCAAAGTTGTAATTGAAGAGAGCTTAAGAAATTGATTATTTATGAATTTAGGATAGGGTGAAGGGGAACAATAAGGGCAAGCTAAGGACTTAAGAGAGCTCTGAACATGCTTTGTTCTGAAAGGAAAATAGCAGACAGCTAATGGCACTCAAGGCAAGCCATGCTAGAGGGCATGGACCATCTGCTGGCTTTCAGTAGAATGACATAGTCATTGCCAAAATGGACCCTTAACAGAGAGTAGCAGTGGTCTTAAATGTCCACACTTGTCACTCTTCCTGATCTCTAATATTATGCAATTTCCTCCCATTGACTGAAAAGCCATATATTAGCAAATATTACCCAGATATATATATAATAACATTGTTATTCAGTTTTTTTAAAGAATGCCTTTGTTTAGCTCACCCATCATCACCAACACTCTGAATGAACATAAAAAAATTTCCATAGACCATTATTATAAAGAATTTTACAAGGACAGTGATGATTATAATATACTAAAATATTATGAGATTGCAATTACTCATTTAAATCCCCAGGAAATGCCAAATAGCCAACTTCCTTAAGATTCAGAATAAGTGACTGAGTCTTTTCTGTGAATGTTCATTTCCTGCTTTTTGAGAGATTAAATGTTCTTCCCAGCATCCCTGAATTCATGAAACTTGCAAAGTTTGAAAACTACGTATATAAGGACTTCAAAGGCTTAAAAAAGCTGGCAAAGAAACATTTCAAACCAGCAGTTTTTCAATATTTTACAGATTATTTTGTGTGAAATAAATGATATTAAAGTAGGAGAATGTGATTCTATAGATAGAGATATATGATCCCCGAGGCATCCCTGCACATTCCAAATACTCAACCAATTTTGCGTTTGGAAAATGGTGCAAGCGTTTTTTCTCAGGTTTAATCTGTTTCACATTGGTGAGCTGAAGAAAGGAACAAAAGGTCCACTTGACAGGTCTATTCTGCACATTCGTCATATGTCCTCATAAACCTGTGTCATTTTAAAGGCGATGCATTTGTGTTTGTTTTTGGCAAAAGAATTTAAAATGCTCTGTGACAGACACTGAATATAAGAATGTCAAACACCACACATCTAAAAAATGTACATTGTAAAAATAAGTAGACACAAAAATTAAAACATATAAAATGCAATGATTTTCTGTCATTTTAAAAAAAATGTTGTGTTTATTCTTTCTCGTTTTCTAAGATCTTAAATTACAAGCTTCTTAAACAGTAAGTTATCTAATATGCTAAACTCTATGCACCTTATTTGAGCATTAATTTTAACATTTAAAGTAACAACAAATAAAGTCACCATTTAAATAATGCCTCATGTAAGTCTATACAAACCTGAGATATTCCTGAGAACCAGCAAACAAGTGTGTGTTTATAAACAATTAACATCTTTCAGTGCCAGATTATTATTTTTTTCTGAGTAATAAAAAGCTTATATTTGAAAATTGAGACAATAAAGATGAAATGATTTATGTATATTAATTTATTCATTTCAGTTAAGACATTCAATTAAGTACATACTTTACCAAAATGTTAAGTTCTTTTTCACCATATTAATTTATCAAAAAAAATTAAAATATCCATTTCCTCCAAAGACTATTCCAATTCCATTGGAAAATATCTGTGCTACAACAACCCTATTCATAGAAAAATATTATTCCTTTATGATTGAGGTTAATGTACAAATGGAGTCATTTATAGACTATGGATCACTTCACAAAGTGTTGGCTGCTATATCCTTCCAACCACATGGCTGTGAAGTTTTGGTTTTTACAACGTTTATTTCCAAAGCTTTGTGAATAATTGGGTATAACTTAACAAGCATAAATTCATATAACAAAAATTCATGATTATTTCATTAGGCTGGAATAATATAAAATATAGTTTCAATATCTTACCTGTATTGTTATGATGAATATAGATTACTTATACATATTGAAATATAGATATAGATAAATACAGATATAGAAGTGTACACATATAAATATAGACATACAGGTACACATGTATACCTGTATGTATTACAAATAGAACGTATACAATAGTCCCCCTATCTGTGGAGGATACCTTCCAAACCCTTGATGTCTGAAACAGCAGATTGTACTTGAAACTGTCAAACTGTGGATTAGGAGGAACTACTGTATGTGTATATATATAACATATATATATAGGTATATACACACACACACATATATACACACAAAACAAGTAGTGTATATTACATGTGTGGGTGTGCATGTGCATATGTGTACATGGGCAAAGGAGGATAGATTGCAGGCACGTGAAGATGCTAACTCGTAGGTATAGAAAGGAGAACACGATTAAGATACCATTACATTGGAAACATTGAGGAGCTTATATAAAGACCTCTCAGATAAACATATATTTTTGCAAATGCCATATAAAATATGTATACACTTATTTGCCCATATTTATGCAGTGTCTACTATTCATGAGGCAAGATAAAAAGATACACATGAGATCTTAATTTTGTGTCCTCCAAAAACTGACACTGAGCTTTTTTTTTTTTTTTTTTTTTGAGATGGAGTCTTGCTCTGTCGCCAATCTGGGGTGCAGTGGCGTGATCTTAGCTCACGGCAAGCTCCGCCTCCCGGGTTCACGCCATTCTCCTGCCCCAGCCTCCCGAGTAGCTGGGACTACAGGCACCTGCCACCATGCCCGGCTAATTTTTTGGTATTTTTTAGTAGAGACGGGGTTTCACCGTGTTAGCCAGGATGGTCTCGATCTCCTGACCTCGTGATCCGCCTGCCTCAGCCTCCCTAAGTGCTGGGATTACAGGCTTGAGCCACCGCACCCGGCCGACACTGAGCTTTTGATTAGGCTGTCTGGGAGAGTGATATAGTTTAGATATTTGTCCCCACCCAAATTTCATGTTGAGTTTTAATCCCCAGTGTTGGAGATGGGGCCTGGTTGGAGGTGTTTTGGTCATGAGGTTGAGTCCCCCATGGCTTGGTGCTGTCCTTGCAATAGTAAAAAAGTTCATGTGAGATCTGGTTGTTTAAGTTTGTGGCATCTCCCTCTTAACTCTCTCTTTCCCCTGTTCCTACAATGTGACATGCCTGCCCCCGCTTCACCTTCCACCATGAGTATAAGCTCCATGAGTCCCTCCCGGAAGCTGAGTAGATGCCGGTGTCATGCTTATTCAGTTTGCAGAACTGTAAGCCAACTAAGCCTTTTTTCTAAATAAAAATTACTCAGTCTCCGATATTTCTTTATAGAAGTGAAAGAATACAGGAAATTGGTACCAAGGAGTGGAGCATTGCTGTAAAGATACCTGACAATGTGGAAGCAGCTTTGGAACTGGGTCATAGGCAGAGGTTGGTAGAGGTTGAGGAACTCAGAAGGAAACAGAAAGATGATGGAATGTTTGCAACTTCTTAGAGACTCGTTAAATGGTGGTGACCTAAATGTTGATAGTGGTAATAACAATAAAATCCAGGCTGATGAATTCTCAGATGGAAATGAGGAACTTATTGGGGACTGGAGCAAAGTCACATGTGTTGTGCCTTAGCAAAGAGCTTGGCTGCATTGTGTCCATGCCCCAGAGATATGTAGAAGTTTGAACTTCAGAATAAATGACTTAACGTATTTGGCAGAAAATATTTATAAGCAGCAAAGCATTCAAGATATGCCCTGGCTGTTTCTAACATCCTAAACTCAGGTGCAGGAACAAAGTAAATGACTTAAAATTTGAACTTATATTTAAAGGGGAGGCAGAGCATAGAAGTTTGAAAATCTGCAAGCTGACCATATGGCAGAGAAAGAAAAAGCATTATCAGAAGAATCCAAGCAGGCTGTGGAGCAACCACTTGGCTTGAAAGATTTACATAATGAAAAGGGACCCAAGTGCTAATAGCCAAGATCATGGGGAAAAGGCCTTCAAGGTATTTAAGAAACCTTCTAGGCATCTTCTCTCATCACAGACCCAGAAGCACAGGGGTACTGAATGGTTTCAGGGGCCCAGGGCACCACTGTCCTGTGTCACCTCACAGTAATGTTATTTTACTGTGAGGCCGCACCTCATCTCCAGGCCATTCCAGCTCCAGACTCAACTCTGAGGACCCCAAATACAGCTTGGGCTGCCACTTCAGAGGGTACAAGCCATAAGCCTTGATGGCTTTGACATGGTGGTTAGCCTGCAGATGAGGAGAGTGTATGAGTGAAGCCTGTGGGTGAGCAGTGTATAGGAGTAAAGGAAGCTTGACAGCCCCCACCTAGATATCAGTGGATGTATGGGAAAGTCTGGGTACCCAAGCAGAAGCCTGCTGCAGGGGTGGAGGCCTCACAGAAAACTTGCATTAGGGCAGCATGGGGAGCAAATGTGGGAATGTGGGATTGGAGCCCTGACACTGAATCCCCACTGGGACACTCCCTAGTGAAGTTTTGGGGACAGGGACACTGTCCTCCGGACCCCAGAATGGTAGATCCACTGGCAGCCTGCACCCTGCACCAGGAAGAGCCTAAGGCATTCAGCTCCAACCTGTGAGAGCAGCTCCAACCTGTGTAGCTGGCAAAGACACAGAGGCAAGGCTTCCCAAGGCTTTGGAAGCCAATCTCTTCAACTAGTGTGTCCTGGATGTGGGACAGGGGGTAATATAAGAATATTTTGGAGCTTTGAGGTTTAATGATGCCCCATTGGGTTTTGAACTTGCATGAGACTGATAGCCCCTTTCTTTTGCTAATTTCTCACTTTTCAAATGGGAATGTTTACCCAAGGTCTACGCTCCCATTGTATATTGGAAATTAATAACTTGGCTTTTTTTTTTCTTTTTTTGTAGGCTCATAGGTGGAAGGGACTTGCCTTGGCTCACATGAGACATTTGAGTTAATGCTGGAATGAGTTGAGACTTTGCGGGACTGTTTGAAAAGGCACGATTGTATTTTGAAATGTGACAAGGATATGAGATGTGGGGGACAAGGGTTTGGATATTTGTCCCCACACAAATCTCATGTTGAAATATAATCCCCAGTGTTGGAAGCGGGGCCTGATGGGGGGTGTTTTGGTCATGAAAACAGATCCCTGATGGCTTGGTGTTGTCCTTGCAATAGAAAGTTCATGCAAGTTCTGTTTGTTTAAGTGTGTGGCACCCCCCTACCCTCTCTCTTGCTCCTGCTCCCGCAATGTGAGATGTCTGCTCCTGCTTCATACTCCACAATAAGTACAAGCTCCCTGAGGCTTCCCCAGAAGCCAAGCGGATGTTGTGCTATACTTGTACAGCCTACCGAACCAGGAACAAATTAAACTCTTTTCTTTCTTTTTTTGGGGGGGGATGGAGGGCACGTGTGGGTTGAGGCAGAATCTCACTCTGTCGCCCAGGCCGGAGCGCAATGGCATGATCTCGGCTCACTTCAACCTTTACCTCCTGGTTCAAGTGATTCTCTTGCCTCAGCCTCCCGAGTAGCTGGGACTACAGACGCACACCACCACACTCGGCTTATTTTTGTATTTTTTTAGTAGAGACATGGTTGTGTCATGTTGGCCAGGCTGATCTTGAACTCTTGACTTCTGCTGTTCCGCCCGTCTCGGCCTCCCAAAGTGCTGCGATTACAGGTGTTACAGGTGTGAGCCACTGCACCCAGCCAACTCTTTTCTTTATAAATTACCCAGTCTGAGGTATTCCTTATGGCAATGCAAGAATGGCCTAATACAGAAGGGCAGGAAGAGTGGTAATGAGGTGGGGAAGTGACACAGGGAAGATGCATTAAATGGAGTGTTATGAAGCCAAGCACCACTGGGGATATCTGGAACTTAATGTTGTGAGGAAATTCTGAGACTCGTCTAAAACAGATGTCTCTGAATGATTTAATTCAAGGAGCAGGAAGCCTAGGGTATTTATACATCAGCTTCCTAGAGTTACCATTTGAGGACAGCTCCCAGGGTATGTTAGCTTCCTGGCATTTCTGCCTGTGGTACTCATGGGGGAAAAAAAAGCAGCTTTCATGACAGTCACAGAAACACAGAGAAAAACAGCTGAAAGTCTAGGAGACACTTTGCTACCTCCAAGGGAAATGCCGAGGCCCTGATCACTTCTGTAATCATTCACAGACACATTTATGTATATGTCAAAAGCCAAGTGTCTGTGTTCGAACATTCATTTATATGTAAATGATAAATATATTTACATCTGTATATTGACAAAGCATGACAACAAATATCTCATGTAAGTGATTTTTTGGGGCAATAGAACAAATTTGTTTCTGATAAAATATGGTATAGAATGTTATGCATTATTAAAATGTTAACATAAAAAAGTACTGGGATTGACTTTGAAAAAAATGACAGCTAAAGTGAACACAGTTTCCTTTTGTCTCAAAGGAAATGATGCTCTGTGGAATTTCAATACACAACTATTCAATTTTAGAAATTTTATCACAAAAGGCAAAATCTTTTTGGAGAATATGTGCACATTTCATCTGTGACTTCTGAATATTACTAATGAGCAACAAATGGTGTTTTTAAAGTTGTTCTTTGAAGGAGAAAGGAGTCAAATGTATGATTTTACAAAATTGCAATTTATTATTCTAAGTTTTATGGAAAACTAGCAGTGGTATAATTCATGAAAGAAAGGAAGAAAAAAATTCCTATATTCTCTACAAGCTGTTTTTCTATTTTTTTAAGAGAAAATAGAGAAATATTAATCTTTTCGTTATAGAGTTGTAAAAGGTATTCCTTAGGAGGAATAATTCATACAAAGAAAATGCATCGTTTACTCTCTGACTCATATACATTTTCCAAAAGTACATTTTTTCCTCAAAATAAGAATCAGTGTCTTGTCAAATCATTTGATTCCCTACCTTCTCAAGATATATACTTATATATGTTTATAAATAAATCTCTTCCAGTATGCACAATTTTAGAAATTATATTTAGAAATTCTAACATTGATAACTTTTGATAGCAATTACTCGATTGAACATTGACCAGTATTGAGAATACTGTTATATTTTAAAGCTCTATAAGGAAGTGAAAATGTGTACATATTCCCCTAAAAATAGAAATTCATATAAGTTGTGACTTTTAAAATAAAATGCAATGTATAAATTGAAACTCTTCTATTTAAATGCAGAAATCAATTTTGAATAAAAATATGAAATGAATAAATGGATATACAAGAAAATTATGTGTTTTTGTTAGGTTAATATGATCACATAGCATTGTTTTGCCTTTATTACCTAATTTCTCTGATATAACATTATAGTACTTTTATAATGTAAACATATTAAAGCGAACATTAAGGATGTGAGATATACAATGCATATCGTTAAAGTAAGTGTTGAACCTAATGACAAAATTTTATGAAACAGGGCACATCATTTCTTGATGTTGTTTCATTTTAATTTGGCTCAAAAGTTTCTGTTTCTGATGTGTAAGTACTTATTTTCCTTAAATTTTCTAAGAAATTACAAAATGATAGGCATTACTGTCAGTCCATCTGGTTTCTACTTCTAAAATGTCACCATGGGAAGAATGGGGAGAAGGAAGGAAGCACGAAGGTGGGGTGGGGTGGGGTGGCGAGGAGGGTGCTGGGGAGCAGGGACAGGCCGTATCGATAGGGAAAGAGACTGAAACACTGGAATACAAGCTGAGGAGGAAGTGGGGCATTGCAGCTGAAGAGAACAAGTTTATCATTTTCATGGGTAGCCATTCTTGGCTATGTGTTGACTATTCTGGTCTTATTTCTCCCAACTCAGCCACCTCCATTCCTTCCTGATCTGCATTCCAAAGCAGGTGAGTAAATCTAGCTCCTAGGGCTACCAAGTGATCATTCACTCATAGTTTCACATAAATGGCTCCAACTCTGAAAAGTCTTTTCATTACTCTCACCATTTTCCTTCCACCAAGTTAGTTAATAGTTACCTTTTTTTTTTTTTTTTTTTTTTGAGACTGAATCACGATCTTTGCTCACTGCAACCTCTACCTCCTGTTTCAAGCGATTATCCTGCTTCAGCCTCCCCAGGAGCCTGGACTACAGGCAGGTGCCACCACGCCTGGCTAGTTTTTGTATTTTTAGAAGAGATGGGGTTTCACCATGTTGGCCAGGCTTTTCTCACACCCCTGACCTCAGGTGATCCACCTGCCTCGGGGTTCCCAAAGTGCTGGGATTACAGGTGTGAGCCACTGCGCCCGTTACCCAGTTACCCAGTTAACTTCTAATTGCCCTAATCATCCCCCAAGTATAAGTATAAAACTCATTTTTCTCAGTGAAGCCTTTTCTTACTCTCAATAATTGCCCTTGGAGCACCTTGACATTTTTCCTCATTTGCCATATATCTCATGTCATCATCATTTCTTGTTTTAATTGTCTGCCATCCCGCATAGTAAGTATGCACTATAGGATTAAGCTCAGTAAATGTGCCTAGTATTCAACACTTAGCTTAGGCTTTGCACATCATAAATGAGCTGAGAGAGAGAGAGAGGGAGAGAGAGGGAGAGGGAGAGAGAGAGAGAGAGAGAGAGAACTAAATCCTTTAGAACAAGGGCTTGAGAAAACACAAAATGGTGTTATAGGTTGCATAATGCATTACAATTTTCAAAGGATTCTCTCATACGTATTGTTTTAGGCAAGACGCTTGGGTAAATTTTTATTTCTCGTCATGTATTTTTGCTTTAGTCACGGTGCTGACTTTATTCTCTCCTATCATTGTATCAATGAACATGTAACCAACGCTTTGAAGTGGCTCCTCTGATCCCTGTCAATGAGTTATAAAGTGGGATCTTAGTCCCACCACAGAAGGCGTGGGTATGCTTCCTGATTGGTTTTCTTAGTGTGAGCATACCTGCTCCTGGATCATCTGGCATAGCTAGAAGGCTAAGTATTATTTTTGGCCTACCTTGGCCACATACTGTCCTGTGGGATTGGTGGAATGTGATTTTATTTTTATTTAAGAGGTAGAGGAGAGGTGATGGGAAAATATAAATGATAGACACCACTTAAATTGCCTCAATTTGTTATATTGTCAGTATTGGAATATTACTTTTATTTAAGTGAGGAAGCTGAAGATCATAGTGATTAACCATAAGCTTTAAGCACGTACTATGGATCTGGGAAACTGGGAGATTATCACACACTGATGTCAAAACTGGAGGTTTTGTGTCTGAACCTCACATTTGTCTTCATATGTGCTGTGCGTCTAAACAGATATATTACCTACTGCTTAACTAGAGCCTGTTGGTAATTCATCTTATCCCCAGGACACCTCTTCCAGCTCTGGAGAGCAGGAATTTTAGAGCACATGCACTGATGTGAGAAACACAGTAGGGGATTAAATCCAAAACAAAGTTTGTTTTGTTTTGCTTTTCTTCGTTTTTTGACAGTTATTCCAAATAATTGTTATATAATGCTAACATTGGAGAGATAATAATAGAAACATTATGCAAAGAAAGCATCAATGGTCATTAAGTTACAAAAAGTGTTAGGAATGAAGTCTATAAAAAATGGTATGAGAGTTTTCTTGCTATTCATTTGCACTGAGTTAGTAGGCCAATAGCTAAATGTTTCACAGTCACCCTTGTATAAATCTAGTGCACTCTATTCAGGAAAAAAAAAAGAAAAAAAAAAGATAAGAGCGCGGTAGCTCGTTCAAGATATTTTCAGATTGCTTTTCCGTATTATAAACGTTTAAGTCGTGAAGTATCGTACAGAACATGTCTAGGTTTGTAATGTTACAGATGAGGAAATGGAGATGCTTAAAACTCAAGTGAATATTCAAAGATTAAGTAGTTATTATCACTCAGAATCAAAATGAATAACGGAGTCTTCTAAATTCTTTAGCCAGTGCTTTTTCATTAGGCCATAATTACCAGATGCTATGTTACCAGAGTAATAATTCACTTGATATAGGAATTGAGTTATATTTCAAAGTATATACTATGACAGAGGACACATTTATCTTGTGACTATAAAACACTATTTCTCTATATTTAAAAATGGGGGCTATCTTAGGGGCATGTATAATGTATCAGAGATCAAGAATATATTAAAATTAAACCAATAAGAAAGTACTAGTGATAATGTTAGTCTCTACATTTTCATATAGAAGCGAGTATCTTATAAGCAGTGGCAAAAAACAATTAACAGAAATGATGAGAAAAAAACTCATTTCATGTTTTCAGGGAATATATGTTTGATGTAAATTAAATTAATAAAGAAGTTGAACCATTCTATTTTATACCAAATTTCATATTTCAGGAGATGGTGTCCTATTGAGAGAAAAAAAAAGGTTTATAACTCTATTAGTTACTTCTGGCTGTTATAATAAATTATCATAAATTTAATGGTTTAAAACAACATAGATTTATTATTTTACAGTTCTAGAGGTTAGAAGTTTGGTGTGGGTAACCCTAAGCTTACCCCAATGTGTCTGCAGTCTGCATTCACTCTGAAGGCTCCAATTCTTTTCCAGGTTCTAGAGACCTCCTGCGTTCCCAGGCTTTTGGTTCCTTGCTCCATCTTCAAGCCAACTACATAAAAAACCTTCAAATCTCTCTTCCTCTCCCTTTCTCTCTCTCTCTCTCTCTCTCTCTCTGACCATGGCTCCTGATTTCATCATCACTGTTCCTTCCTTCTTAAAACACTCTTGTGGATACATTAGGCCCACCATAGATTCAAGATAATCTCCCAATCTGAAATCATTAATTACATACTTAAACCTTATTTTTTCATATAAAGCAACATATTCCAGAGATTTAGGACATGGACACTTTTGGGAGAAGGGTATAATTCAGCCTGCCATAATCTCCTATTGGATGGATATGACGACTTTTTGAAGAGAAAAACCATCTGACTTATAGTGCTTTGGTACGTTTAGAGTTTGATGTTGGGATGCCAATTCAGTTCTTCATTGCCAGTCTTACCAAAATTTCTTACACCAAAGTCCTAGTTTATTCATACATATATAATAAATAAATAAATATTTCCTTAAGTATAGCAGTTGGTTTTTTTAAGAAAAATGTGTAAAATTGACAAATCCTGAAGTAGACTAACAGAAAAAGGAGACTCAAATGACAAAATTTGAGAAATGAAAGAAGAGACGTTATAACTAACGCCTCAGAAATGTAAAGGATCAAGAGGGATTTTTATCAACAATTGTATAGTAAAAAAAAAATGAATAACCTGAGAGAATGTATAAATTTCTAGAGATATAGAACTTATCAAAACCAAATTGACAAGAAATAGCCTGAACAAACAAATAAAAATCAGGAGATTGAGCCAGTAATCCATAACCTCCCAACATAGAAAATCCCAGGACCAGTTGGCTCTACAGGCAAATTCTATCAAAACTCAAAAGCAAATGAATACCAATCTTTCTTTAACCCTTTCAGAAAAATAAAAAAAGGAAATAGTTCTAAACTCAATTTTATGAGGCTAGCACCACCTTAATACCAAAGCTAGGCAAAACACCACAAGAAAAAAGTATAGATATAGATGCAAACATTGTTAATAAAATACTAGCAAATACCACATCAAAAATATTACACACAATGACCCAGTGGAATTTATTCCTAGGATGCAAGGTTGGTTCAACATAAACAATTCAGTCAATGTGATTTACTGCCTCAACAGAAAAAAAATGGGAAATCCACACGATCATCTCAATAGAATCAGAAAATACATTTGACAAAGTTTAACACCCATTCATGATAAAAACTCTTAGCCACTTAGGTACAGAAGGAACTTACCTAAACACAAAAAGACCACATATGAAAAACATGCAGCTACCATCCCAATCAAAGTGGAAAAACTGAAAGCTTTTTCTCTAATATCCAGGAAAGGGCAAGGATGCCCACTCTCGCCACTTTATTCAGCATAGTACTGGCAGTCCTAGCCAGAGCAATCACACAAGAAAAAGAAAAAAAAAGATTCAAACAGGAAAAGAAAGTAAAATTATCTCTGTTTGCAGATTACCTGATCCTTTATGTAGAAAACCATAAAAACTCTCTTAAGAAAGAAACTGTTAGAGCTAATAAATGATCTAAGTAAAGATGTAGGATACAAAGTCAATGTTTGTATGGTTTTTTAATACAAACAAAAAAAAATTCAAAAATGAAACCAAGAAATCAATCTCATTTACAAGAGCATCAAAAAGAATAAATACTTAGATTGAAATTTAATGAAGGAAGTGAAAGATTGTCCACCAGAAACTATAAAACATTGACGGAAAACATTAAAGATGACACAAATAAATTTTTAAAATCCCACATTCATGGATTATAAAAATTAATGTATTAAAACATCCATACTACCCAAAGTTTTTTACAGATCCAATATTATGTCTTTCAAAATTCCAATGGCATTTTTCATAGAAATAGAAAAAAGAATCTTAAAATTTTTATTGAACCCTAAATGACACCGAATAGCCAAAATAATCTTGAGCAAGTAGAACTAAATTGAATATGTAATACTTCCTTATTTCAAATTACATTACAAAGACATAGTAATAAAAACAGTATGACACTGACATAATCACAGGCACATAGACAAATGAAATAGAAAAGAATACTAGAAATAAATTCACACGTATACAGTCAACTAAATTTTGACAAAGGTACCAACAATATCCAATGGAGAAGGGGTAGTTTGTCCAATAAGTGACCATGAGAAACTCAATATTCACATAAAAGAATAAAATTGGACCCTTAAGCAATACACAGAAAAACTCAAAATGTATTAAAGATTGAACATAAGATCTGACACTCCTAGAAGATAGATGAAAATCTCCTTGACATTCAGCTTGGCAATAATCTTTTGGTTATAACACCAAACACACAGGCAAAAAGGCAAAAATAAGTAGGACTACGTCAGACTAAAAAGCTTCTGCACAGCAAAGGGAACAATCAACAAAATAAAAAGGCAATCTAAACATGGAGAAAACATACTTGCAAATCATGCATCTAATAAGAAATTGATCTCCAAATATATAAGACAACTCAATAGTATAAATAAATAATCTAATTAAAAACTGGTCAAAAGGGCCAGGCACCCTGGCTCATGCCTGTAATCCCAGCACTTTGGGAGGCCAAGACGAGCGGATCACGAGGTCAAGAGATCGAGACCATCCTGGCCAACACAGTGAAACCTCATCCCTACTAAAAATACAAAAATTAGCTGGGCGTGGTGGCGTGTGCCTATAGTCCTGGCTACTCAGGAAGCTGAGGCAGGAGAATCGCTTGAACCCAGGAGGCGTAAGTTGCAGTGAGCTGAGATCACGCCACTGTACTCCAACTTGGCGACAGAGTGAGACATTGTCTCAAAAAAAAAAATCGGTTAAGAAACTTGAATAGATATTTCTTAAAGGGAGACTTACAAATAACCGACAGGTATATGAAAGCATCCTGAACATCACTATCTTCAGAGAAATTCAAATCAAAACCACAGTCACATACCATCTCACACCTGTTAGAATGGCTATTATGAAAAAGATAAGAGTTAACAAGTGTTGGCAAGATGTGGAGCAAAGGAGACCCTTGTACATTGTTGATGGAAATGTAAATTGGTACAGCCATTATGGAAAAATGTAATGAGGTTACTGAAAAAATTAAAAATAGAACTACGATATGATCCAACAATTCCACTTCTAGGTGTATATCCCAAGAAATGAAATCAGTGTCTCCAATAGATATATGTACTTCTATGTTCATTAAAGCATTATTTATAGTAGCCTGTGTTATTTAATGTATAAATGGATTAAAAAGTGATAGATAACTTATATGATATTACACATATGTCACTATATGCATATACATGGTGGAATACTACTAAGCCTTAAAATATAAGGAAATCCTGACATTTTTGACAATGTGGATGAACCTTAAGGATGATATGTTAAGTGAAATAAGCCAGACACAAAGGAAAATACTGCATGATCTCACTTACACTTGGAATCTAAAAACTCCAGGCCAGGCATGGTGGCTCATGTCTGTAATCCCAGCTCTTTGGGAGGCCAGGGTAGGCAGATCACTTGAGGTCAGGGGTTCAAGACCAGCTTGGCCAATATGATGAAACTCCACGTCCACAAAAAGTACAAAAATTATCCAGGGGTGGTGGTGCATGTCTGTAATACCAGCTACTCAGGAGGCTGAGGCAGGAGAATCACTTGAACCCAGGAAGAAGAGGTTGCAGTGAGCAGAGATTCTGCCACTGCACTCCAGCCTGGGTGACAGTGTGAGTGCGACTCTGTCTCAAATAGAATAAAATAAAATAAAATACAACTAAATAAAACTAAATCTGCAAATTCATAGAAGCAGAGAATCAAATTATAGTTACCAGGTGCCACGATTTGGGGGAAATAAAAAGATGTTTATAAAAGGAGACAAAACTTTGTCTATGTAAATTCTAGTGATCCAATGTACAGCAGGGTAACTATAGTTAATAATGCTGTTTTGTATGCCTAAAATTAGCTATGTGAGTAGACCTGAAGTATTCTCACTGCACCAAAGAAATAAATGATAACTATATAAGGTAATGGATAGGCTAATTAGTTTTACTATATTAATCATTTAACCATATATGTGTATCAAAACATCACATTGTATACCTCAAATATATATGCTTTTTATTTCATTCTTTTTTAAAAAGAAACCATCAGATTAAGAATATAGTAATCAAATCATCAGAAGACAGTTACTTGGAATCTTATGAAACAGAATTTGGTTTCAAATGGAAATTGTAATTTATTCATTCCTTTCAGGAACTCCATGAATGGGATTTTCCCTTATTTATTCTCTTTTATTAAGCTTTTAATTTTATCAACAGATCCTAAGCAAGATCTCTTTTTCTATGTATATTAGAAATGAATATAGAATATATATATCTCCTTCTTAGGCATACTGAATTATCACTGGCTGTCTTTCTTTAAATGGAATTAATTAAAATACTGTATACTAATATTTATGAAGTTACTGGGCCAAATGTGATAATCCAACATGTAAGATAGGCATTTTGTAATTACAGATATATTATTGTTTTTCCATGGAATGTGGCAACAATTTAATGAAATAGATGTATATTTTGTACTTAATCCTTACTTCAGTGCAGAAATCCTTTAGATAACAAAGACTTTAAGACATTTACATGATTTTATATACACTAGAGAGACATATGATTGCATGAAAAAAACAAGGTAAATTCCTTTATAGTGCATCCATCATTTTCTACATAATCTTACTGCAGACCAAGCAATAACTTTATTGTCTGTGCATAATTTGTGCATGGAAATAGTGCACAATTTTCATGCTTTATGGAGGATCTTACTGAATGACTTGAAGGACAGTAAAAGGAGACACAATTTTCTCCCTCCTAATTAATTTTAAAGTAAAGTATTCATCAAAATATGATACACTGGAAAAGAGAAGTATATGCACTGTCTTTTGAATTCTGATACATTTCAAGTGTAATGACCTTACAATGGAACATTAAAATTTGTCTTATATATCATGAAAATGTTGAAAGGTTGTTTTTTATCACACAATTTTTAGGATGTTATTTTAGCATGCTAAATTTTCTTATATTTAAATTCTTCTCTTTTATACAATGGGCAGATAAATGTCACATCTGTTTATAACATTTTGATAGTGATGTTCAAAGTACATTCATCCTCAGTTATGGTAATTTAAATAACTCTTTTATCTATCAAACCATTACATGAAGTTAGGGTTTATAAAAATGTTGGACTCACTGCAAATTTAACAGAAAATATGCAGGAATGTGTGAATCTAACACTGCGTCCTGAGGCAAGTGGCAATTTAATATACAATATTTGTTGCTTGAGTATGATATTCAGGAAATTCAAAACACAACAACATGTAAAGATTTTTTTCTTTTAGTGACCAATAAATTAATTTAAATAAGACATTGTTTTAAAAAAAGTTACCATTTTATGAGTATAGAAAGCGTCCAATTTCATCCATCAAATGGAAATTTCACATGCACTCATATACACACAAATGCACACCCTAGATACTCAAAAACTCTAGGAGCTCTAGTTAATTAAGGAATATTAGAAATCTGGAGAAGTCCAGTGTCTGTACATTTTGAAGATTAAAAGTAAATGAATTTTTCATTTAGATGAAAGCAAATGGGAACACACTATAATCATAAAACTCAAATCTCATTCTTGTCGATGACAATATTGTGGCAAACTCAACTCACTGGTCTCTGTCTAGTCATCAAATAATGACAGCTACATTCATTAAGAATATATCTATATTGATGAGAAATAAAATAAATGTTCATTCTATGGTAATATCTAATGAGGAAATTGATTTGAGTATATTTAATATTACAGAATTGTATTAGTCCCTTCTTGCATTGATAGAAGGAACTACCTGAGACTGTGTGATTTATTTTTAAAAAAGAGATTTAATTGGCTCATGGTTTGGCAGGCTGTACAGGTAGGTTGGCTGGGGAGGCCTCAGGGAACTTACAATCACGGTGGAAGGTGAAGGGGAAGCAAGCATGTTTTCACATTGTGGAGCAGGAGAGAGAGAGCAAAGGGAGAAGTGCTACAAACTTTGAAACAATGGGGTCTCCTGAGAACTAACTCACTATCAGGAGAACAACAAGGGGGAAGTCAACCCCTATGATCCAGTCACCTCCTGCCAGTCCCCTCCTCAAACACTGAAGGCTACAATTCAACACGAGATTTGGGTGGGGGACATAGAACCAAACCATATCAGGGATTATTGGCAAGGTTAAATGTAATGATACCTCACAGGCACTTGAAAATATGGGACAAGAGTTTAGAAATAAGGTCAAGAGTCTGGATTAAATTTTAGAGATATGCTCATAGAGGCAATTCAACATATTACGTAATTAAATGTTTTTACCAAGGTGGTGAGTGTATATAGCAGTAATTTTCAATCTATGGGGTACATAAGAATCACTGATTGTATGTTAGAATCTGTGCTACAGCTTCAGGCTTTTGGATCAGGTAGATCTGGGTGAAGCCTAGGCAATCTACAAGTGCCGAAATCTCCCTAACTTGTTCTAAAGGAGATAATCTGTAGGATTTACTATAAGGAAATTGCTAGAGAGTGATGAATACCAAATACAGCTGTATCTTTTAGATGTAACTATGTTTAAAGAGAAAGAGTGAAAAGAAGTGTGGGAGAAGGGATTAGAGAAGAAAACATTAAAATTACTTAAGGAAAATCACAGTCGAAGAGCTATAAAAGCTAAGAAAAGAAGAGTTTAATAAATCTGTGTCGAGAAGAAGAGTTGGAAGTCTGTTTGATAGGAAGGACCTAAAGGGTAAAGCATGTTTAGAAGGAGCAAAGGAGTGTGAGCACTGCATACATGGGAAGTAATGAAATCATCTTTTGATACGAGTAGTCTGAACTTAGTTCTGAAACATGAAATGACATTTATCTGACCTTTTACAAGATACAAAAAATGTCAGTTGGAGGGACTATTTTCAGAGTTTAAAAAAGTAGTGATCTTATACAGTATAGTATCTTTGAAATGATCTTAAAATGTTAGTATTTCTTTTCTTTACGTACTGGTTTCTGACTAGCTGGATGTCTCTTTTCATTTATAATTCTTTCAGCTGATGTGTTATGATTGTGCTTAAGTAATATTTCATTTTTCTGTTGGGTATATACTTACATTAAAATTGGAAATATTTTCTTTGTTCCTTTTGCGGTTGAATTTAGATAATTTGGAATTTTTTTACATTTTTCTATATGTCAAATATTTGTTATGTGAATGTAGATGATGAACATCATTTATTCATGGTTAGAATATTCCCATGTTTAATAGAAATATGGAGTTTTTTATTTAAAGTCCTTAACAATAAGTAGATAGCCAGACGTGGTGGCGTGCACCTGTAGTCCCAGCTACTTGCTACTTGGGAGTTTTGAGGCAGGGGAATCCCTTGAACCCAGGAGGCGGAGGTTGCAGTGAGCCGAGATCGTGTCACTGCACTCCAGACTGGCAACAGAGCGAGACCCTGTTGTACTTAAAATAAGTAAGTAGATAAGGTACTGCAAATGTGTGAAACAACTACCCTTGGCATTCGTATGACTGTGTTTTTGTCCTTATACAGCTTTTCTTACCGAACATGACGAAAGAACAACTATAAATTACCTAATAGAGATGTTTGTTTTTTATTGAAACCACTGGGGCTGGCCTGTTTAATAAAAATAATATGAGGACTATATATTCCAAACAGAAGCAAAACAAAAAGCTTGATGAGTACACATGCCCTAAAAGAGCTAATGTGACAAACAATGTATATTTTTCATTTGTCTTTTGCCCAGAGATAGGAGAGCAATAGTTTTTGGTCATGATTCTACCTACTTTGTTTTTTACTTGTTACATATCTAGCACAATTTGTTACATGTAGAACAAGAGTTATATCTAAAACATGTCTTCCATATATTACTATAAAAATGAGGGACTCCACGGAGGTTGCAGTGAGCCGAGATTGCTCCACTGCACTCCAGCCTGGCCACAGAGTGAGACTCCGTCTCAAAAAGAAAAAAAAAAATGAGGGACTCCAACATCTATATATATTTTATGTATTCCTTCCTTCTGTTTAATATTGTATGTTTTAAAGTTAGGATACATGTTAATATTGTATTCATAACAATTTCAGCAATTGAATATGCACACAATAGCAATCCATATCAATAGCTCACATGTATTAGTTAATATTTAAAGACACTGTTATGTATTTCATAGACATCAATTAATTATTATACTAAAACATGTCTGTGAAGTAGGTATTATTCTCACTTCACGAATGAAAAAAATGGGGATTTGATAACTTAAAAAAAAAGTTCAAGGTTTCCACCTCATAAGTGGAATAGCTAAGGTACAAACATAAATCTATTAAATTAGAGAGTTTATTGTCATGAAATTCTGTCTCCAATAATGTTATAGCAATATGTACTGGATTGGTGTTCAGGGAATAATATGAAGAAAACTGCAAATGGTGTACATGATGTGATACAACTATTTAGTGCTAGGCACAGTGTAAGTCACTGAGAGGCAGCTTTGTGAAACTGAATGAATTATTTCTTCACAAGTGATACTGAACCAACTTGGCCTACCTTTCTTCACCAAAAACAAAGAAACAAACAAAAAAAGGAAAACTTCAAAGATTACACAGATGAATCCTATTATAAATAATAAGGTAAAGTGGGGAACCAGTGTTTATGTATGAGCAAAGTATAAGTTATTGAATTAAATAATATATATGTTATAATATATATGAATATATATATATTATATATTCATATAATATATGTTATAACATATATGTATATATAATATACATATATAATATATATGTATAATAATATATATGTTATAACATGTATAATAATATATATGTTATAACATGTATAATATATATGTTATAACATGTATAATAATATATATGTTATAACATGTATAATAATATATATGTTATAACATGTATAATAATATATGTTATAACATGTATAATAATATATATGTTATAACATGCATAATAATATATATGTTATAACATGTATAATATATATGTTATAACATGCATAATAATATATATGTTAATATATATAAATTAAATAATATATGTTATTATATATGTTATATAATTCTATATGAATTAAATAATATATACTATGTATTATTGCATTAAATAATATATATTATATATGTTATATATTATATGTTACATATATAATATATATTATATATGTAACATATAATATATATGTTACATATATATGTTACATATATAATATATATGTTACATATAATATATATTATTACATGTATATATTATATTTGTTATGTATAATAATATATAATACATAGGTATGTTTACATGCATATGAATGCATACATACACACACATACAGAATGCAAAATACATCCAAAAATAGATACAAATATCTCAATTCCAGATGATAGAAAAATATCTAAACCTCAGATGTGTTAAGTTACTTGGAGCCAGCATTTGGGTGAACTGATGGTGAATGGAAGGCAGGTAGGAGTTGTGGGTGCAGCACCTTCAAATCTTGCACGTAAATGCAGTGTTAAAATATTTTATGGAGTAATAGACTTGTATTTCACATTTTCACACTATTTATAATTTGTGTAATGTAAACTTTTCTTTTTTCCATAAGCAAAAATTATTTAAGCTTGCTGTTTACTATATAAAATTATGTGTTGAATGTTTGTTTACTTGTGATTGTGTGTTTTTCAACTGCATATCTAATCTCACAAAAATTAAAACAGCTTTGAGATCAAATAAAAATTCTGGCTTTCAAATGGCACTACCTTTGGGTATTGGTGTATTAAGGGAAAATAACATTGAACTATTTTTTATGAAAAAAAGAAAAATAGCAATTTAATAATGAATGTGGACTTTTTTTGTAGTTTCCTAGTGAGAATTCAGACAGTGGAAATGATAATAGAAAATCACCCTTTGACCTGAATCATGCTAGGAAAAAAAATGATTAGAAAATATTTTCTCATGTTATTTCCACAGTATTAATTTCATTAATCAATACACTATACTAAATTTTTAGTAATGACACTGGATGTTTTAGGAAAATAATAAGAGGGTGATGCTTTTCTAACATTTTTCTGAACATAAAAATAAAAACATGATGTTTATAGAAGTAAGAGAATTAAAATGTTTATAATAGCAAAATAAATTTAAAAATGTGTAATTTCTAAAATCACTTTATTTTTTTACAAATATTTACTTTAAATAATGTATTGTAGTAAAAAAAAATTACCCTTAGAATATATGTGCGTGTGTGTTTGTGTATTTATACACACTTTCGTCAGTAATGAATGGGACAGGCACCACAATATCAAAGGTATGTAGTGATGCTACAGTTTATTCAATTTTGCTAGGGTCCCATAACACTTTTAATAATATTATCATAGACAAAAGTTGACACTGCATTTAAAGTTAAAAGCAAATGCCATCCACATACTTGAACAAATGAAATAATTTAATTCCTATAAAATTACTCCTATTCGAGTACATTCTAAAGTTTGGATCATTAGAGAAACAGGGAAGGAAGGTTATTAAATACACAACTTCATGAACTGACAAAAGAAAATGATACGAAGTTATTTGCAATGTTTTAAATTTTAGAGTCAGATTTTCCAAATCATTCTGATGATTTCATTGATTTAAAAAGTTGGGATTTTTTCTTATTGATAAAATTATGTCAATTTTAACACATCTTGTGTTATTGTGTATGTGACATAAATCAAAGGAAAGGATTCAAGTGCCTAACAGGAAAAAAGAAGAATATTAGAAGTCATAAAACAAGTTCTACTCACAGCTCTGCTATTGTTTAATAGATCATCTGGAATAAATCTTTAATCATTCTTTATTATTTTGCATTGCTGGGTGATTGAATGAAGGTACAGAACTAGAGGTCCTCTCTAGTCTAGTCCTTCCTATGTCTCAGTACTACAAATCTATATCGTCACAGCTGGCTCATGATAACTAGAAGTTAGAACCCAGTTATTTGAAATCTTAATGAAAATTGAAATAGGATTATTGTAAGCACTCTATTTCTCCTTACTAACTGGCATAGAAAAATAATGAATTATTGTCAAAAATAATAAAGTTGCCTACAAATATTACATAGGAATGTAACTGCTGGGGGTTTCTCTTACTGCTATAAATTAACTGAAATAAATGTTACATGCCAAAAGATATTCACTAAAACTTTATTGATAAGAGCCAAACAAGGAACTTGTATGGCTCTAAAAATCCAGTGATATGAATGGGTTTTAATGAATTAGGGTACTTCAGAATGTATTTTGTTACCATTAAAATAGTTAAAACTCTATATTAACAAACACATTGAATGACAATGTACTAAGTGACAAAATCAAAATATAAGATGATAATTGTACAATGATAAACCTTTAAAATATATAAAAGAGGAATCAATATATTCCACATTAAATATTTAAACAGTAAAAATCCAGAACATCTTAGGAAATGGAAAATTTTGATACTGTATATAGTAGATATGAAAATCCTAATATGTATAAATTAAACAATTGCATATTTTAGATCACAAGACTTTGAAATTAAAAAAGGAATTACCAAATTATGACATACTGCACAGATGTATATCACAGTCTACCGCCTAGCGTTCTTTCAACTATTGTATCTTTCGTAGCCTTTCTTTCTAAAGTCACCTCACATATAACCCATACTAATATAAACTGTTTTATTCACTAAAACCAGGATAATGTAGACTTATGGTCATAGTAAGAAAAAATACCAATTTTACTCATCTGTGAAATTATTTAGTCATCACAAAATTCTCTAAATTTTGTTATTATGAGTAACTTGAGATTTGTGTGTGTACATGTATTTATTTTGTATTATATATGCATATGTTTATAAATGCATTTTAAATTTTATGTAGCCTATTTTTCCATGTTCTATATGCTATATGTACATATTTGATAGACAACTAATGTATTAATATTATATAAAATAAAATTCTCTATATTTCTATAACCCCTCTCTGTTTTTCTCTATGCATTATAAATACATTCTATAAAGTGTATTTGTGTTTATGTATATTCCCATTAATAAACATTTACTTAAAATCCTGTTTAATCCATTTAAGCCCTTTTGGTAGTCGTGATAGATACCATTGATGTTCACATTTTAAAGGCATGACAATTATGCCTCAAATATTCTTAGATTTCTTAGGCTCATGCTGTTAATAGGAACCAATACTTGTATCAGTGTGTGTCTAGCTCAGGACAATAACCCATTACACTTTATTCTTCTTTGCAGTGAGGCCCCTTAACAGTGCTGCCTCAAGGAGGTAATTCTTCCAAAGTATCTCTTACATATGAGGTTGTGCCATTGACTATATAAAATAAGGATATGAGATAAAGAAATATTGCCAGTAGCCACATCTGATTTTATCAATCTGTTATTTAAGATTTAAAGTTAACATATTATTTTAGAATGGTGTTTTCACATATTTTATACAAATATGTATTCTTGTTCAAATTGACTCTTACATACATTTTATTCCTTTTGGGGTTTTCATTTTATGATTATTATTTGTTTTTAAAATGTAGTCTCAAAAATAAGATGGCCTTTAGATTTCTAGCATAGGTAAATACATGAATTGAGTACATTTGATAAATTCCAATCAGGTTTCTGACATACTTAAATTAGATAATCACACCTCATGTCTAATATACTAAATTCTAGGAATTAAAAAATATATACACTAGATGTGTGTATATTTGATCTTTTTAAAATTTTTTTATTATCATTAGATAATATTAAAACAGAGATGAGAAATAATGCATGGCCAAGAGGAAAATACTATATTGAGTATGTGGAAAAAATGGACAAATGTTTAAAATTGCAGGATATTAATTGAGTAGTATGAAAACCACAAACATACGTACAGGCTTCTTTTGCATAATAAGTTTAGAACATAATGGAGACATATGTTTCCTATAGGATGTGCTCACCTGCGCTCGAGTGTATACAATGTGCAAATGTTCTCAAAGTATTTGTTTGCTTAATCATTTTCTTCTTAAATTAGCCTATGAGTTTGGGAAAGTGCATTCACTTTGTTAAATTTTATTTTAAATATTTGCATTAGAAGATGACATTTAAAGTCATCCTGCAGAAAACTAATGTATGTTTCAGTTTATGAAAAAATTATATTTTGAAAATTATATCCCTAAACAAAAAAAATAGGAAAATTTTTCAACTATTTCATATCTCTTTGCTCATCTTACTAATTTAAAGTAATAATTGTGGTCTCATTTAAAGATCACGTAGAAAATATAAGCTAGGAAATAAGAAAGATATATTTAAAATTCCATGTTAAAAATCTATACCACTCTAGCAGCATGTAAAATTATGTGTTTTTAAACAGAAAATTTCTTTAAAATGCACAGACATGTACCTACATGCATATATATATTTTGGGAGCAAGCCCCTGAAAATCTGGCCATAAACTGGCCCCAAAACTGGCCATAAACAACATCTCTGCAGCACTGTGACATGTTCATGATGGCCATAACGCCCAAGCTGGAAGTTTGTGGGTTTACTGGAATGAGGGCAAGGAACACCTGGCCCGCCCAGGGTGGAAAACCGCTTAAAGGCAATATTAAGCCACAAACAATAGCTTGAACGATTTATGCCTTAAGGGCGTGTTGCTACTGCAGTTAACTAGCCCAACCTATTCATTTAATTCGGCCCATCCCTTCGTTTCCCATAAGGGATACTTTTAGTTAATTTAATATCTATAGAAACAATGCTAATAACTGGTTTGCTGTTAATAAATATGTGGGTAAATCTCTGTTCTGGCTCTCAGCTCCAAAGGCTGTGAGACCCCTGATTTCCCACTTCACACTTCTATATTTCTGTGTGTGTGTTTTTAATTCCTCTAGCACCCCTGGGTTAGGGTCTCCCCAGCTGAGCTGTTCTCGGCATATGTACACGTGTGATATGATACAAATATCCAATAATGCATTTTAATAAATAATGATATAGGTACAGAGATTCAGATAAGATGGAGAGAACTGGAAACATATAGATAGATACAGGTATAGATGGAAAGAGAAGATAGAGCCACAGAGACAGAGGTGGAAAGAGTGTGTTTATGCACTTTCTAAAAGATGACTTTGCAAGATTGATGTTTTGAAGGGTATCTCGAGGTTTTCTTCTAGAATTTATATAGCTTAAGGTTTCACATTTAATCTTTAATCCATTTTGAGTTAACTTTTGTATATAGTGAAAGATAAGGGTCTAACTTCATTCTTCTGCAAATGGCTAGACAGTTATCCCAGCACCATTTATTGAATAGGGAGTCATTTTCCCATTGCTTGGTTTTGTTGCCCTGGTCAAAGGGCAGATCATTGTAGGTGTGCAGCTTTATTTCTGAGTTTTCTATTCTGTTCCATTGTTTTTGAACTTGTACCATGCTCTTTTTGTTACTGTAGCCTTATGGTGTAGTTTGAATTCCAGTAGTGAGATGCCTCCAGCTTTGTTCTTTTTGCTTATGATTTCATTGGCTACTCAGGCTCCTTTTTTGTTCCACATGAATTTTATATTAGTTTTTTCTAATTCATGGAAGAATGACATTGGTAGTTTTGATAGAAATAATGTTGAATACGTAAATTGCTTTGGGGAGAATGGCCATTTTATTATTAATTCTTCTAATCCATGAGCATGTGATGTTTTTCCATTTATTTCTGTTATCTTTGATTTATTTCAGCAGTGTTTTCCTTGTAGATATTTTTCACCTCCTCTGTTACCAGTATTCCTAGGTATTTCATTTTCTTTGTGGCTATTATAAATAATCCTAAGCAAATTAATGCAAGGAACAGAAAACCAAATACCACGTGTTCTCACTTATAAGTGGGAGGTGAACATTGAGTACATATGGTCATAAATATGGAAACAATAGACACTGCGAACTACTAAAGGATGGAGCTAGGAAGAGGGGTGGGGGTGGAAAAACTACCTGTTGGGTACTGTATTGGTCCATTCTCACATCGCTATAAAGATACTACCTGAGACCGGGTAATTTATAAAGAAAAGAGGTTTAATTGACTCACAGTTCTACATGGCTTGGGAGGCCTCAGGAAACTTACAATCATAGTGGAAGACGAAGGGGAAGCAAGGACCTTCTTCACATGGCAGCAGGAGAGAGAAACAAGGAGCAAAAGAGGAAGACCCCTTATAAAACCATCAGCACTCGTGAGAACTCACTCACTATCATGAGAACAGCATGAGGGAAACTGTTCCCATGATCCAATCACCTCCCACCGGATCCCTCCCTTGACACACTGGGGTTATGAGAATTACAATTCAAGATGAGATTTGGGGTAGGGACACAGCCAAACCATATCACTCTGCCCCAGCCCCTCCCAAATCTCATGTCCTCATGTTTCAAAACACAATTATGCCTTCCCAACAGTTCTCCAAAGTCTTAACTCATTCCAGCCCAAAGGTCTAAGTCACAAGTCTCATCTAAAACAAGGCAAGTCCCTTCTACCTATGAGCCTGTGTATTATTCTGTTTTCACATGCTGAGATAGACATCCCAGAGACTGGTCCATTTACAAAAGAAAGAGGTTTAATTGGACTTACAGTTCCACATGCCTGGGGAAGCCTCACAGTCATGGCAGAAGACAAGGAGGAGCAAGTCATGTCTTACATGGATGGCAGCAGGCAAAGAGAGAGATTGGGCAGGGAAACTCCCCTTTATAATACCAGCAGCTCTCATGAGACTTATTCACTATCACAAGAACAGCATGGGAAAGACCTGCCCCCATGATTCAATTACCTCCCACCAGGTCCCTCCCACAACACATGGGAATTCAAGATGGGATTTTGGTGGGCACACAGCCAAACCACATCGGCCTGCAAAATTAAAAGCAAATTAGTTACTTCCAAGATACAATGGGTATACAGGCACTGGATAAATGCTCCCATTCCAAATAAAAGAAATTGGCCAAACCTAAGGGACTACAGGCCCCCTGAAAGTCCAAAATCCAGCAGGGCAGTCATTAAGTCTTAAAGCTATTAAATAATCTTCTTTGAATCCGTGTCTCATATACAAGCAGTGTTGATGCAAAGTGGTGGGCTCTCATGGTCTTGGATAGTTCCACCCCTGTGGCTTTGCAGGTTACACTCCCCCTCCCAGCTGCCTTCACAGGCTGGCATTGTGTGTCTGTGGCTTTTCCAGGCACACAGTGCAAACTGTCAATGGATCTAGCATTCTGGGGTCTGGAGGGCTGTGGCCTTCATCTCACAGCTCCACTAGGCAGTACCCCAGTGGGGGCTGTGTGAGGGCTCTGACCCCACATTTCCCTTACACACTGTTCTAGCAGAGGTTCTCCAGGAAGAGTACTATGCTCACTACCTGGGTCCAATTTGCCCATGTTACAATTCTATACATGTACCCCCTGTATCTAAATTATAAGCTAAAATTTAAAAATCCTTTATCAAATGCTTTTGGTACATAATCAAGTATAGCATACTATATATCATCTAGGAATATTGCATGTTATATACATTTTGTTAAAGATTATTTATATTCCTATGAATTATATCTTTATTTTGTCATTTATGGCCTGAAAAACACACTGGACCAATTTAACTAAAAATTGTAAATTGTGGCCATTTGTGTTTCTATGAGTATGCAACACATGAACATGTATATCCATGCACACAATACATAATAAAGGTGATTTTTGTTTCATGTAAAATAAAAAGGATGATCTATACCATATTTTAGGGAAGTTGAGTTCAATTAAGAAAAACATGCCTATAACTAAAGAAGCTTTCTATGATGTACAATTGAGATATGTGTATTTTTAGCTAAATTGACAATAAATTAAACATCAAAGGCATGAGAACTCTGATTATCAAATAAGAATTAATCTATACATCTAACAAGTAAACAAACGATACATCTTAATACATTGTGAAAACATTCCTTAAATAGCTAAATTCTGGTATTAGAACAGTAATGTTTACTGTATCTTTTGCTGGAACTGGATTTATGTTTGCTTTCAACACTGCAAAAATGTAGATCAATATTGCTAATAAATCTTTAAATGCTTTTTAACCTTACAAGCTCTTTATAATCTGAAGGATAATCAATAAACACGGCAGTAAAATGGTTTGTGATTCATCTTTTAAGGCAGTGTTACTCTATGACATAATGCCAATAACTCTGCATGTGAATGCCAAGATCAATTTTGCATCTGATACATTATTTGAACAGAGAAGGCAGTACAAAATAATCACTTTTATTTACAAATTTACCAGATTAACCTTAATCAATATAATACTTAGCTAATTATTTTATCTGCATTATACTAAAAGAAAAAATAATTTTATTACACTATGATTTTTTTCTCTTGAGACATTACTAATCACCAGGATGTGCCTAGCTGATACCAAATCAATTATGAATCCTTTATTCACATACAATATGGCAAATCATACACTGTACCTGACTCAATTTTTAGAAGAGAGCTTTTATTTTTCATACCCAAGAGAAAACAAAAAGTAAACCAAGGATTTTTTTTAGCATCTTTCTCATGAGCAAACATTTTATATTACTTTAAAAAACTTCCTTAGGCTGGGCGCAGTGGCTCACACCTGTAATCCCAGCACTTTGGGAGGCCAAGGCGGGCAGATCACGAGGTCAGGAGATCGAGACCATCCTGGTTAACACGGTGAAACCCCGTCCTACTACAAATACAAAAAATTAGCCGGGTGTGGTGGTAGGCGCCTGTAGTCCCAGCTACTGAGCCGAGATCAGGCCACTGCACTCCAGTCTGAGAGACAGAGTGAGACTCCATCTCAAAAAAAAAAAAAAAAAAAAAAAAAAAACTTTTTTAAACTTAATTTTTATAGTATATTCAAGTATACTGATTTATATGAAATATATAACTGTATCTCATAATAGATACATTGAGGCAAATAATAGGTATGATTTTATAGGTTGGTGCAAAAGTAATTGTGATTTTGCCATTAAAAGTAATTAAAAGTAATGGCAAAACCGCAATTTTGCACCAATTTATATTGTATATTTCTAATATAGCAATAATTAGGAGGAGTCAAGAGATTATATTCATTTTTATTATTTCCCAAATGATAAGATTTCATAAATTCTTATAAAGAATGAATCTTAAGGTATGTAAAGAAAAACATTTGTAAAAGCAAGTTCAAAATGAATTTCAGCAGATTATGTGTTACCATCATGAATAAATGTCCTCTACCACCAAACAAACAAACAAACAAAATAAAACAAAACGAAAAAACATTTAAGAGGATGGAGAATCACAGGATGACATGCAAACTGTAAAAACCATCAAACTTTATTACAGTATATGAAATGCCCCCCTTGTAAGAGGTGGGGGGCGAAGTTGTTGACCTAAATAACTTGGAAAACGATGGAGTTCGTAAGACTGAAAGGAAAGGGAATTGTAAATAGAAACGTCTCCAGTAGGTAAAGTTGTTTCCTGAAGGAATATGTGTTAATTCTGATACCATGCACATTCATGCTGAAATTTTAAAAATAAAGTAAATGAATGTCAGAAGGTGGGAGTCAAGATTTATTTTTATAGTGGGAGGTTACAGACAAGCAGAAGAAGAAAGTAAAGGATTATATTTGAAGATATCAGCATGAACTCATATTACTTAATACAGCTAAACACCACTGTTCTGTGCGGGAAACGCATGAGGGGAGAAGAAAAGACACACACACAATACCTTTAAGGGTAAACAAGTTTTATCCCATGTAAATGGCAATGCAGATATAATAAGCAAATGATATAATAATAAGAAAATTGATATAATCAGCAGAGTGATAGAATAAGCAAATTGCAATGAGAAGGGAAGAAGAAAAAGAAATATATATGTAAGAGAAAAGAATATATATATATGAAATATAAATATATATAAGAAATATATATGTAAGAAATATAAATATATATATTATATATAAGAAATATATATAATATAAATAAGAAATATAAATATATATTATATATATTATATATAAGAAATATAAATATATGTAATATATATTATATATATAAGAAATATAAATATATATAATATATATATTATATATAAGAAATATTAATATATATTATATATAAGAAATATAAATATATATAATATATATAAGAAAAAAGAGAAATATATGTGTGTGTGTGTGTATGTGTATATATATATATATATGTGCATCCTCCTTACCAGACAATGGAGGACTCACCACCAGACCGGGAAGCAACAGCCTGGGCTCCAGAGTCGGCTGGACACTCTGTGTCCGGCTCCTCTTTCGTGCACAGACGAGGAGAGGTCTCATGAAGCTTCAGCACAGTCTGGGATCCTGGCTCTTTCTGTAACAAGTTGTTGTGCATGAGGCCCGGTCACGAGGGCCCTTCACTACTGGGCTCAAGGAACACAAATAGGTCAACTTGTTTTTGTGATTGTCTATTGTTTTTCAATAACTAACATATAGGAATAGATTGAAATAGAGATTTCTCTGAAACAGAGCTGGATGAACGCCTCAAGGGGCTCACACAACCTGTTCTGGGACTTGGTGATCATTGTTTGTGTCCATGTTCAATTGAGTTCAGATTTAATATTTAACTTTTCCTCCACAACCACACATGACTGTACTAGGACCATGCAACTAATAATTCCTATTAAAGAAAAACAATACGCAGTAGGGGAAACAAAACAACTGACAAAAATATAAGGAAAGACTGATTTCCTTTGTTATACAAGCTGAAGAGAATTGCAGAATACCAGGCAAATGAGTGGGAAAAGTATACACATGGCTTTTTGAAAACAAAATTATAGTACAAAGATAATAAGAATTTTGTAAAAGTTATCTATGAATTGGAATAAGGGAAAATACTGAAATGTAAATTTCAAAATCTTAAACAAGAAAGTGTACATAGGTTAATTGTTCTAATATTCACTGGGTCCAGATGTACTGTACTGAGATAACAAGAGTAACAAAATATTACTTGAAGATTTTAGCTATCTGAGAGGTTAGTCAAAATAAATAATTCAATAATTGGGAATCATAAATTTTATTTTATTTTATTTGAAATGGAGTCTCACTCTGTCACCCAGGCTGGAGTATAGATGCTGGATCTGGGCTCACTGCAACGTCTGCCTCAGAAGTTCAAGGGATCCTCCCACCTCAGCCTCCTGAGTAGCTAGGATTACAGGTGCCCACCACCACACCTGGCTAATTTTTATACTTCTAGTAGAGACGGGGTTTCACCACGTTGGCCAAGCTGGTCTGGAACTCCTGATCACAAGTGATCCATCTGTCTCTGCCTCCCAAAGTTCTGGGATTACTGGCTGAGCCACCATGCCTGGCGGGGAGTTGTAAATTTTCAAAGGTCATGTACTTGTAATCTTGAAGATTAATTTAATGGATGTTATGGGTTAAGTATAATGCAAATAATAAAATATTTTTGTAACATTTGGTTTCTTCCAAAATAAAAAAAAAACAGATGGAATATTACTCAATACTCTGTTATTTTCCTATCATTTAATTTTTTAATGAATAAATGCTATATTAAGTTGTAATTTCCCTTCTTCCCTAGGAAATAATAGGGAAATACACACACTCGTAATGAGCCTTTTTAGAAACCTGATACTTCCTTTTCCTTATATGGAAAATAGACTTCCTACTCTTATCCAAATTACAGTTTAGTGTGAAAACTGGACAACATATAAATTCCAGTAAAATTACATAGTATACGAATTGCCAAAAATATTGAAAACTACGTAATATGATGGGTTTGAGATAATGGAGATTTTTTCAATGCCACTCTTTTCATAGTTTTCAGAGTCACAATACACCAACAAGGCTTTCAGATACATTGGTGGTATGCCTGCATTGTGTATTAGTCTTTAAAAGGTTGGTTATTTAGCCTGGGAAATGCTATGTGTACATTTACCTGTACACATAGCAAGCATGCTTTTAAGGGCTATTCCCATTAAGTAATCTATTTCTGAAATCACTTCAAGACTCTTCTTGATGCCCAAATTTTGCATTTCTCCTGTGTTACGAGAACAGCATGCTTGATTTTCACGTGAATCTTAGCCTCACTTTAAACTTGACCTTACGTAGTGACAATTTAAGGATCCCTTACTCATTTTGGAATACATTATCAAGTTATATTTTTGAATCGTCTGACATTGACCAAAATTTTGTCTCAATTGTAATAGCTTCCTTATTCCTGAAATCCTGCATGCAGTTTGTGTGTCAGGATAAGGAGGATGCACTTTGTTTGAAAGTCCATCTCTCTGGTCTTTCATGCAGCATACTTATGCATGACTTTGCTATTTCCTTTTCCTTCCATGAAAACTCTTTAACAGAAACATATATGTGTGTGTGTATGTGTAGTATTGACTGCCGTAGACTTACGTATGAATTGTTAATATTAATTAGAATTATTTCTAGTATCATCTTGGTATCTCTTCATCCACATTACCCAAGTGTTAACTCAGGAAGGGATGTAATCCCACATCCCACCCCTTTTAATGCACCTCCTCGTGTTTTAGGTACGGTATTCAGATATTAGAGTCTCTTTACATCTAGTCCAAGAGTTGCTGTTGCTGCATTTTTGCTTTGAGTTAGTGCTTTTGACTGCAAGTATTAGAAAGCCAACAAAATTACTTAAGGAATCAGAGAATGCCTTATTATATCCTGGCAGAATAGTAGAGGTCAGAACTGACTCATTTTCATAGCTCAATGATAACAATACTCAGATTATTTTTAGTCTTTCAGCTATGTTTTTCTCTCCTTTGTTGGCAGTGTTCTCAGTATAAATTTTCTTGAGTTGACAAGATGGCTAAATGGTTACAGTGGTTCAGGCATCCTATTCAAATAGATAAGAGATTACCCACTGCCCTCTTTCTGTCTCCCTTCCTAATCTTAACAGTTGGAAAGTCACTTTCATAAACACCAGCAGACCTGTCTCACTGACCAGGATTGTCCCGTATGCCTTGACCTTAAGAAATCATGACCTGGAACAGTGCAAGTACCTTAAAAGGCTTAGACCAGCCAGTATCTAATTTCCACGGATTGAGTAAAGTTCAGCTTTCCTGTAAGTGTACAGCTTCATAGAGAATGATGGATAGCTGAAGAAATCTCTGCTGGTGTTGAAGATAAGGAATGAAGGAGATGGGGTTTAAACTTGAGTGTCAAATATTAACAGGTTCAATGTGTAGAGTCTACTACAGTACATGCTAAACATCCACTCCTTCCCTTTTTCTCATTAATAAAGCTTATACCTGTAGATAATGCACTCACTCATCTGGAATGTGAGAAAAGCTTCATCTTTCTAGTGTATCTATGTCCAATTTCAGGAACTCTGGTTTATGCTCAAGTCTTTCTCATTACATCTTGATACAGGTATCCACTAGATAACCAACACAGAGAAAAGAGAATACGAAAACTCTGACAAGTTCCAAAATAGTCGACTTAAAAAAAAAAAAACTCTCTCTATAGCTAATTTTTGCAATTACTTTTATCAAAAGTTGGAGTCTATTTCTTCAGCTCTCAAAAATGTACTGCCCATGTAACTTGCTTTGACCAAAAGGAAACTGCAGGCTTTTGGACATTTTGTATGCTAACCCAGAGCCTCAAGAAAGTAGGCACATCTCTGATCTATCTTGTAACCGCGACTTGAAAAGCCCAGATGACCTTATGGAAGAGGAAACATCACAGAGAAGAGAATCCAGTTGACCTAGCTGTCAAGCTGTCAACATGCCAGAACTGTCTACAGTCAGATGATCACCCTGCCCCCCACCAAATATTTGAAAGAGTACATCCTAGGACAGGGGTTGGCAATTTAAGTTTACATTTGTAAAGTGTCGGTAAAAAATAAAGAAGAATGTGCAATAGGAACCCATACATGACATACAAAGTCAAAGATATTTACTGTTTAGTCCTTTGAATAAATATTGCTGATTCTTAATCTTTTAGAGAAAAAGATCCAGCTGTCCAACCCACATTTGACTGTATATGCATGAGTGAATTCTGGTAATAGAAGAAAACAAATGAAATGGAAAATAATGAACAATAATAGTAGATCATTATTAAGCCACTAAATTTGATGTGGATTGTTTTTGCAGCAATTGCTGATATAATGATTCAGAAACTTCCATTCAGAAAATAGAAGAAAAATAATATATAAAATTTATGGATCTATAGCAGAGTTCAGCATGCTTTTTTTTTTTATAAAGGACTCAGTAGTTAATATTTTCAGGCTTGTGGAGAATGCCATGTCTGCCACTACAAAAATAACTCCGCCATTGTAGAGTTAATGGAACACTGCTATATCCATTCACTCACTTATTGCGAGTGAAAGCATGAAAGTAGCCATACACAATAAATGAATGAATGGGTACAATTCTGTTCCAATAAAACTTTATTTACAAACAGAGGAGACAGGCCATGTTTTGCCCACATATTAAATATTTCAACCCCTGTCATACAGCATGTATCATGGGTTTAGAAGCTATCCCTAATGGAAGAAAAGAATGAAGATTCCTATGGAACAGGTATGAGTATTTTTGGTTTCACTTTGCTTTCTTGACCAATACATCTATTTAACTTCTGCTTTCTGGCGAAATCTCCAAATTCCTTTGTTATCCATAATTCTTAATTCTTCATTTAAGGGAATTTTTCTTGTCCATTGTCCTTAAGGTTCAAACCTGGGCTGTATATTGGGAGGACTATGTTTTCTGGGAGTCAACCCAGCTTACTCAGCGTTTTAGTTGTTCTTGACTATGGGAATGCAGCAGCCTGGGAATTCCTTTCCGGTTAAGAGTTGTCGTCATTCAACTTATGGTTTCTTAACATAACACTTAGACTTTTACATTTGTGTTCAGTCAATTCTCAGCTAACAACTCCAACCAAAATGTTTATTCAACCCTAGATTTCTGTACGGAAATCCAGTATCCTAGCCAAGGTACTCTGCATTTGTTTATAACTTGGATGCTCAGTTTAATGATCTTGAAAGACCAAGACATGCAGTCTCTGGGGGAAGTCCTTGTCTCTATTTATCATACATTCATTTCCTCTGGGCTATTTTCATTTATTTGGCAAAGAATGCCAAATAGAAGGTACTCAGAGAAAAATTAGATGTTAATTATGTTCCAATCTTACCTCCTGCTGTTTCCCCTGCTTACCATGTTGGAGAGAAACCAAACTTTCAAGTTAAGGCATACTAAAAACTACAAAAAATAGCCAGCAAAATACCCAGGTAACCCCACATTGTGCTGTTCATTTTCATTGTGTCTGTAAGCTCAGTTGAGGTGTAAGGATTGTAATTTGCTCAATTATTTTGTGACCCCATAAAAACGTTAACCAACTGCCTGTTGGGGAAAATGATGTTTTCACTGCCCTCGTTTCTGTTTACTTTGATCAGCCAATAATGCCACGTAGATGAATTTCCAGCATCCTACTCTTGATACTGTTAGTGTCTTTCACTAATAAGTTAAATACAATTTAATTTTTCTTTCCTGAATGCTATTGATTATTATTCATCAAAAATACTACTTATAGACCCAGCTTATTAAATGAGTAGATAAAATGAAGGTTAATATTCCCAAGGACTATGCTTAATGTGAAGCTAATTGTATTATTAAATACACAGAGACACAGATATATAGATACACAAATCTATAATCTTTTATAAAAAGCACTTATATGGAAATCAGGACTAATTTGCTTAGGCTTACAGTCTTCTCATTGATAACATAGCGAATGAAATATTTTCTCTTGAAATCTTGTTTTTTTTCCCTTTTATTCCTTATTCTTTAAGGAAGGCTACAAAAGATAGAATATTATTGTGTACATCTATACAACTGTGTACATAAATGCATTTTTATCTGGGGACGTCAAGATTTGTGACGCACTCCCAACAATTCTAGCCAGTAATCAAAAATAACCAGTCACAATTAACTTACATTTTTCTTGCTGAATATCAAATCTTTCATAGGTAGAAACTAACTATTTTGAAAGAAAGTTTTCAGACACATAAAACATTTTGAAGTATTCTTAATCTTGTTTGACTTCTGTGCAATGCACTATATCAGAAAAACAAAGAGAATAAAATGTTCTTAGAATATCATTATGTTTTAATGAAAGCAAACAACTTTTTTTTTAAGTTTTAGTCATTGTCCTTTGTCTTACGGAGAAATAAAATAAAGAGAAATTTAAGCTTTCTCGAGATCTTTTGAATCCATGGAGTACGCTTTGGAAGAAAGCAAAACCATTGTTTTGTTTTAATTTTCAGATCTGGAAATGAGCACTGCATACATGAATTGCCAGCAACAGTGTGTGTTACAAAGAAACCACAGTTTATTTTCACCAAGAGAACATTTTCACTAGATTCCTCTCAGGTGTTCATTCATAGGATTAGAAAAAATGCCATTTCACTGAAGTGGATTAACAATACATTTACAAACATAAATAGCTAAAAACATTCATTATCTATTATAGCCAATTTACATTGGAAACTGAGTAATGCAGGTTAAGGGTGAGTTGTTTACACTATTCTATATAACTTTCCAGAGATAATCATCAGAAAATGTCATAGCTAATTGCCTGGGGTCCTTGGTTTTAGGCATGAATTAAAAAGAGAAGAGAAACAATAAGTTTAGTTTGTGTGTCCAAGCATAATTTCTCAGTGATACACGGATATAAGAGATGAAGCCCAGGATGACAATAAAAATAAAATTTAGCACTGAAATCATGTATAATATTGTCACTTGATCCCTAGCTGTCTCCCTCATGATCTTCCAGCAGATATCAAGCCTAACATTAGCTGCTGCTTGGTATGGCAATCTTACGATGCCGTGGATAATTGGGTGATGTTGCATGGTAATCAGTGAGGTTTGAAGGATACCCCCCGGTGTTGTATTTATAGCTGTTCATAAATATGGATCTTTTGGCTCTTTCTTACCCTACAGCGAGTTTTGCGATGTCTGAGAGCGATCCCACGGAGGAGAATATTTTCTTCCTACTAAAGGCCTGATGATCAGCCCCAAAGTCCCCCAGGAAGCTTGTAGATCCTGATGGTAGTGGAATTGCTTTCTATCTTCTCTAATTGTCTTACATTATTGAGTGGACACTGGGATCTGGTCTTTAATATGATTTTAAGTATGCCATGCTAGCATAGTGCTGACAATGAAGTGGAAACTCAGTCAAAATTTGCTGAATTAATATATATGCATATGAGTGTATGCATTTATGTGCATACATATGTGTATATTTATTTACATGCACTGCACTTTTTTTCAGAAATATTAGAAATGTTCTATAATTTGTTTTAGCAATGCAAGGAAATACTGATAAAATAAGAAGACCAATATATTGAGTCAAAACTTTTCAGAACTGACTTTATCTTAAATTCTGCCTTACCTTTTAAAAAATTCATTTGCTAACATTTATTTTTCTTTCAAGTAAAACTTACATATGACATAGTGCACAAATCTTAAGTCTACATCTTCATGATTTTAATGTATGTTTACATCCAGACAAAGACATTATATTTCTAGGACCCCATCAGGCACCCTCATGCCTTCATTCTGGATAACGATTACCCAAAATGACCACTTTTATATTTTCTACCATCATATGTTATTTTTCCTAATTTTGAAATTCATATATATGTAATAATACAGTATATAGTACTTCATATCTCATTTTTTTTCACTCAACATTGTAAATATGGGATTCATCCAAGTTATTGCATGTTTCAGTGGTTTGCTCTTTTCTTGCTTGGCAGATTTTATTATATTAATATATTACAAATTACTTATATATTTTAGGAATGATGTACATTCAGTAGTTGTTAGTTTCTGTACAAATGTTTAGATTTAGTAGACAATGAAAAGGTTTTTCCAACCGGTTTTACCAATTCAATTCCAACCAGGGAATTGTGAAATTTCCAGTTGCTCTACATTTTTGACAACACTAGGTCTTGTCAATTATTTAAATCTTAGCCATTCTGGGGGTGGATCTAATATGTCAAGTATCCTTTTATATACATATTGGTCATTCAGAAAACCTTATTGCTGAAATGTCTGCTCTATTTGTTTGCATATTATATTTGTTTGCCCTTTCTGCATTGTTTTGTAGCCGTGCTTTGTATTAGCTAAGTATGAGTATGTATGGCTTGCAAATATCTTCTCCTGGAAATTTTACTCTTTTAATGATGTATTTATTTCATAGAAATCCCTATTTAAACTAAGTTTAATTTCTCAAAATTTTATGGTTATTCTTTTATGTTTTGTATTTTCTGCAATATGCACTTAAATTTTCTTGTAAAAGCTTTATTATTTTTCCTTTCTTATATAGATCTGTAATCCTTTTCAACTTAGGTCTTTGTGTACATTTGGGAGTTATATAGGTATGTGTCTTTTTCTGTTCTCTAGGTGCTATGTCCTATATCTCTACACTTACATGGACACTATGCTGTCTTATTGCTAGCTTTAAAAAAACTCTTGATATCTAGTGATATACATTCTCCAGCTCTGTTTGTTCTCATAAGGATTGTGTTGAATTTTCTACTTCCTTCAATTTTCATAAAAATTCTTAAATTAGCTTGTTAAACTCCAGGAAAAAAAATAGGAATATTGATTGAAATTATATTTTATTGGGCACAGTGGCTCACACCTGTAATCCCAGCACTTTGGGAGGCTGAGGTGGGCAGATCACTTGAGGCCAGGAGTTCGAGATCAGCCTGGCCAACATGGTGAAACCCCATCTCTACTAAAAACACAAAAATTAGCTGGGCATGGTGGTGGGTGCCTATAGTCCCAGCTACTCGGGAGGCTGAGGCAGGAGAATCACTTGAACCCAGGAGGCTGAGGTTACAGTGAGCTGAGATTGTGCCACTGCACTCCAACCTGGGCAGCAGAGCAAGACTCCATCTTAAAACAAACAAACAAAAAAGATATTATATTTTATCTATAGATCTATTTAGGAAGAATTTATATCTTTACAATATAATGTATTTCATTTATTAGCATCACATCGTATTTCTAAATATATTTATATCTTAATTTATCTAAAATAGATTTGTAGTTATTAGTGTAGAGAGCTAATATACCTCCTGTGAGATTTATTCTGTGGTATTTTTTGTAGTTTTATATAAAATGATTTTTTCTTTCCATTTTTAAATTTTTTGCTACAATATAAAATAAATTGGTTTTTACACATGTAATTTAAAATTATAGACCCCGTTAAAATAATTTATTCCTTCTAGCAATTTATTTAGAAATTATTCCATTGTGTGAATCTGATGCCTAGAATATCCAACCATTATATTTACAAGCCAAGGATTAATACAATGTCATATTTCACAAAGGAGTCATTTAGTTTGTAATTATTTTTGGCATAGCTTTTTGTCACAATAGTAACATTATTTAAAACAATTTATTTGAACAATTCATACTTTCTTAAAAATAATCTTTTACTGTAATAGTCTATTCTTAAATTTTCAATTTTTTAAACTATGTCATTTTGATTGGTAATTTATTTTTATCATCCCCACTATTGTTTGAAACATATGTATTGCTTTTAGATATTTTTCTAAAATGTTCATTGCTCTTAAACATTGACAAAGACTCTATATATTCTATGAGATCAACTTTTTTAGCTTCTACTTACAAATAAAAACATGTAATATTTATCTTGCTGGGCCTGGCTTATATCACTTAACATAATATCCTCTAGGCTCATCCATGTTACAATGAAAAACAGGATTTTGTTAGTTTTCATTGCTGAATAATATTCTATTGTGTATATATACCAAGCCTATTCGTTCATCTATTGATAGATGCTTAGGTTGATTCCATATCTTGGTTATTGTGAATAGTACTGCAATAAACGGGGGAGTGCAGATATCTCTTCAATACATTGATCTCCTTTTCTGGGTCATGAGCAACGTGAGGAATGGGAGAAACAGCTAACTGCAAGATAAATAGTGTAGAAAGAGCAGAGCAGGACAGGCAGCACTACAAGAAACACCTGGAAGAGCAGAAGAGGTTGGAGGAGCAGAGGCTAAAGGAGGAACAGAGGAAGGATGTCCTGGAGGAGAAGTGGAGACAGAGACTTGAGGAGGAGAAAGAATGTCATGGGGCTGTTGTACAGCATCCAACGGGAAGGAGCCAGAAGCCAAAACAAAAGTGTAATCTGTGGTCTTGGGGAAAAACTCTCCACGGTAGCCCTATGATTCACAGTGCAGGTGGTTTTCTTGAATCTTCAGTCTCCTCTTTCAATTTAGCAGGGCTGGACCACCACTTCACAACTTCTGGTGGTACCAGCGAAGCTGTGATACAGACATCCCTGTGACTGCCAATTGCCTGACCTGTAGCTAGCACCTCAGGCCTAGGGCCGGTGCGTCAATCGCTGAACCATCACCACCTTAGTCATCATGCATGCTTAATACCTTCATGCATAGAGGTAGATCTGGGATTGACACATTGTTTCTTAAGTGTGATAATATGACTCAGGTGACTTAAAGGTGTTGAAATAAAGTAATTACATGTAGTAGAAAAAATAAAATAGGATTTATGGATTATAGAGTAGTTCTAGCTTTAGATTTTTTAAGGAACTTCCATTCTATTCTCCATAATGGATATACTGATTTATATTCCCACCAACAGTGTAGAGAGGCTGGTATAGACAGGAGGAGATGTGGATAAAGAGATGTCAGTTAAATAACACAAAATTACAGCTAGATAGGAATAATAATTTCTTGTATTCTATAGCACTGTACGGTGACGACAGCTAATGGTAACTTACTCTATATTTTCAAATATCATTGAGAGGATTTCGAATGTTCCCAACACAAAAAAGTATAAATGTTTCAGATGATGGATATGGTAATTACTTTGATTTGATTATTACACATAATATGCATTCAAATACAACTGCATACACCCTAAATATGTACCATTATTGAGTCAATTAAAAAAAATTTTGCTGGGCATGGTGGCTCATGCCTGTAATCCCAGCAATTTGGGAGGCTGAGGCAGGCAGATCACGAGGTCAGGAGATGGAGACCATCCTGGCTAAAAACCCCGTCTCTACTAAAAATACAAAAAAATTAGCCAGGCGTGGTGGCGGGTGCCTGTAGTCCCAGCTACTCGGGAGCCTGAGTCAGGAGAGTGGCGTGAACCCGGGAGGTGGAGCTTGCAGTGAGCCAAGATCGCACCACTGCACTCCAGCCTGGGCGACAGAGCAAGACTCTGTCTCAAAAAAAAAAAAAAAAAAATTAAAGAACTTGCAAGTTATATATATAATAAAGGACTTGTATCTAGTATATATAAAGCACCCTTACAACTCAAAATGAAAAGACAAATTGTCCAATTAAAAAATGGACAAATGATCTGAATTGACAGTTCTTCCAATGAAAAATACAAATGACCAATAAACACATAAAAAGCTGGTCAAATCATTAGCCATTGACAAATCAAAACTACAGTGAAATACCACTTTACATCTATGAGGTTGACTATAATAGAAAACACAGATTACAGCCAATAATAAATGTTATCAAGGATGTGGAGGAGTAGAACACTCATACACAATAGGTGAGAATGTAGAATGGTGCAACTTCTGTGGACGACAGCTCGGTAGTTTCTCAAAAAGTGAAATGTAAAATTACCATGTGACCGAACAATAGAGTAGAATATCGTTCTACTATAAAAATGAAATACTGGTATAAGCTTCAACATAAATGAACCTTGAAAACATTATGCTAAGTCAGCCAAGACAGACACAAAAGGCCACATATTGTATGACTCCATGTATATGAAATGTCTAGAATAAACAAATCCATAAAAACAGAAGGTAGATTCATGGCTTACCGGGGCTAGGGAGAAAGGGTACATGGGGAGTGACTGCTTGATGGGCATGACTTTCTTTGGGGGGAGATGAAAATTTCCCAAACTAATTGTAAGTGATGGTTGCACAAGACTGTGAATTTACTAAAAAGTACTGAATTGTGTATTTTAAGTGAATGAGATGTATGGTAGGTAAATTTTATGTGAATAAATCTCTTATATAAAAAAAAAGAATGAAAAATACAAGGTAAGACAATTTGGATAAAATAGCTAATTTGTAATTTGATATAAAGAAGAAATATAAAAAGTAAAAAGAAAAGGCAGAACAAAATGATTTAAGGCTACACCAATGTTGTAACAATTTATTGTGTATTCTATTAAAATACAGAAACGTACATGATACAGTTTGGCTGTGTCCCCACCCAAATCTCATCTTGAATTGTGATCCTCATAATCCCCATAATTCCCATGTGTCAAGGGAGAGACCAAGTGGAAGTAATTGAATCATGGGTGTGGTTTCCTCCATGCTGTTCTCGCAATAGTGAGTTAGTTCTCATGAGATCTTATAGTTTCATATTGTTTGGTAACTCCTCCTATATTCATTGTCCCTCCTGCCGCCTTTGGAAGAAGTTGTCTTGTTTCCCCTTCACCTCTGTCATGATTGCAAGTATCCTAAGGCCTACCCAGCCATGCCAAATTGTGAGTCAACTTAACCTCTTTACTTTAGGAATTACCCAGTCTTGGGCAGTTCTTTATAGCCGTGTGAGAATGGACTAATACAGTATACTTGCCAGAGTTAGTTTTAGGGAGATGGAGATTTCTCTTCTTAAACCATTTGAAGATGCTTGAGGTGGAAGGATAGATTATAATAGACCAGAGTGTGATGAGAATTACATTGGAGGATAATACGGATGAGTCCAGGGACAGGAGAAAGCTATGTTTTTCATTACACTTCCTATCCCTGTAATTCAGAGTGGTCAGTAAGTTACTCAAAAGAGTGAAAATATACCTGTGATGAAGCTTTGGGGAACTTAGGAGTGTAGCTCTGCATTGAGAATCTTGAAATATATTTTGAGACTTGGAGAAAATAGGTGATATTCTTTAGGCCTTTGCAGATATGTTGGAAATAACATGGCACAAATTCCAGCCAATAGGAAATCTGGACCACGTTCAATGATTTTCGAGAGGCTGGAGCAACCTAGAAGACACTAAAAAAGCAAGTCAGAAAAAAGGGTACGATTACTACTAACTCATTCCATTTTGTTCTCATCCACGAAAATTCGAATTAAGATTCTGTTCAAAGCTGTAGCTCTGATTAAATCTTCCAATCTTTAGTAGCTTGCCAGTGTTTCAAAAGAAGATCCAGATATATGCAGCATTATGTGAACTGTTTCAAAAGAAGATCCAGATATATGCAGCATTATGTGAATTAACTGGAGTCATTAAATCTTACGATTTTCATATGGATTAGCTAACAATGGAGTGGTCATTGTTTAATCAAGCTCCATTGGAAACTTAAGCCTCTGTGGGCCTTGGTTGCATCTCACTGGGTCATCTTGACTTATCACCAGCTTAGAGGACCCAGGAAACATTATTAAAGGAGATCTCACAAAATAATTTCACCCAAGCACTTTTGAAGGAAGTGGGATTAACAAAGAAAGCATAAAATGTCCTCTGTATTTTACCTAAAACAAAAGTGATTAGTTGTACAAAAAAGTCTGCCTATGGTATAAAAATACATTTGCCAGAATTTTATTTGAGGCAGTACATGGTGCTAGTTTAGAATGCATTCTTGGTAATCTCTGAAACTTGAATGTGAACAAAATGTTCTTGTTAAAGTTAGAGAAAAGCGAGGCTAGTGGAAATAAGAATGCAATTAAGGCCAGGTGCAGTGGCTCAAGCCTGTAATCCCAGCACTTTGGGAGGCCAAAACGGGCGGATCACGAGGTCAGGAGATCAAGACCGTCCTGGTTAACACGGTGAAACCCTGTCTCTACTAAAAATACACAAAAAAATAACCGGGCGTGGTCGTGGGCACCTGTAGTCCCAGCTACTCAAGAGGCTGAGGCAGGAGAATGGTGTGAACCCGGGAGGCAGAGCTTGCAGTGAGCCGAGCTCGCCCCACTGCACTCCAGCCTGGGCAACAGAGCAAGACTCCATCTCAAAAAAAAAAAAAAAAAAAAAAAAGAATGCAATTAAACAGAAAGATGGTAAGGGGGTATGATGAATGATACACTCTTCTGTTTTCCCTTTCACTCATAATATTCAATAATAACTTGCAAATATTCACAAAAATTTTGAAGCTGCAAGAAAAATTTTGAACAAAGATTTTTTTTTAGCAACAAACTATTTGCTGAGAAAAATTTTCAGAAAAAAAGTTTTGTTTTAAATACCGCATTCAAAAATAGAGAAGACCTGTTGAGAAGGAATTTAATTTTGAGGGAATTAGGGTTGTGTTAATTGCTGAAATCAAAGAGGTGATCGGATGGTCTTGATACTTTTTCAAGATTTTAAGTCAGATTCTATCAAATCACAGAATTAGTGATTTCCCATATGACTTGAGGCATCTTGACTGCAAAGAAATAGCACTTTGATTAAAATAGTAGAAACTAGAGGACGTTGTGCTAAGTTAAATAAGTCAGGAACAGAGAGACGAATACTGCATGATATCACTTACCTGTGGAATCTTAGAAAGTTAAACTCATTGCAGTAGTTAGTAAATTGGTGGTTACTAAGGGCTGGTGGGGAGGGTGGGTGCGAAAAGGGATGGCATTGAACAAAGGGTAAAATTTTTAATTAAACAGGAGGAATACATTCTGGCGATCACTTGCACAGCATAGTGACTTCAGTTAATGACAATGTGTTGTATATTCCAACACAACTGAAAGAAAATTTTAAATGTTTTCAACACAAAGAAATGATAAATTTGAGGTGATAAATATGTGATAAATTTTGAGGTGATAAATAAATAATTAGCCTGATTTGGTTATTCCACAATATATAAATGTATCCAAACACCACACTGTACCCCATAAGTATAATTATTTGTCAAGTAAAAACAAAATACATGTTATACATTATGTTAATACACACATATTTGCAGATTTATTTTATGTTTTCAATTTGATGGAAATATAATTTAACAAATCACTTCCAGGGTGGAATGCTAAAGAATAGGCAAAATGATATAATTGTTGATGGAAGGCAAACATAAATATTCTTCCTGGGCTGTGAAACTGTAAGGTGAATGGAAAATTCTCACAGTAACTGCAGATCTATAAGGTGGTATCTCACAATGCATTCACTGTGAATTTATTCTAAGCACAGTTCAATGGGAAATTATGCAAGAGTAAATCTTTGTGATGGAAATATTTTCAATAAAACTACTTCTGTAAGAAACATGTAGGTTAAGGAAAAGAGCAAAATTACATCATTACCAAATTTATCAGCGAGTAGATTATTAGAATTTATTTAAAAATATCTTTTTAGAGAAGTTAGCTAAAGCAAAATGAGTGGAGTTTGTGGATACCTATAGCTATCGCTCTGAGGCTCATTCTAAGTCATTTTATGTCAAATGGTTGACTTTTAGGGAGGATATGGTTAAATTGTTCTGCTCATCTCTTTACCAGAAATAAATGGATCAAGCCCAGAGTACTTTCTGTGAATTGAACAGTTTCACAGGGTTTGAGAAAGGACTTCTCAGTTTAGACCAAATTATACTCCATGTGTATACCTTGGATTTGTTTATTTCATATTGCATCCCTCTTTTTTTGTTAGGTGATGCTGCAATATCAACCAATTCACAAACATCAATGACAAAAAAAAAAAAGACACAGGTTTTTTCTATCTTTCACATTCTATGTTGTCTAAGACTTCACTGAAGATAAGCTGCGTGCCTTCGTTATTCTGGAATTCTGGTTGAAGGAGCAGCCCTTACAAAACGAAACTGTCTCAAGATGCAGGGGAGAGAAAAAATTGTGGGACCAGATATTGACTGAGATTATTTCTGCTCGGACATGGAAAACGTCACTGTAGTTTGCATTTAATTTATCAAAAAGCCAATGACACAAGGAATTATAATTCTATCAGGGAAGAGAGAAAATGGGAGATTGTCAAATCTACCAATGAATTTTAAAAAATTGTTATCATCTGTGTTTAATGTCCTAGAGCTAACCACATACATATTATATGAGAGACTAAAGTGCCTATATTCATTAAAGTGATCAGAGAAATTATATTTTCAAGTACTATTTGTACATATGTATATATTTTAACAGCTATATGATATTTCATTTTAAATATGTACATATTTTCTAGAAATGTAAGCAATTTTGCAGTGAGCATCCTTCTTTGAATCTGCAGTGCATCTAATGTATCAGCACATACCCAGTGGTGGTATTACTGACTCATGGGGCATTTATTTAAAATTGTGATAGATATTACCAAAATGTAATTCAAATATGTCATACCAATTTAAAAACTCACCAACAATAGATGAGAATCATGATTATCCCAGAATGCTGTCAATATTGAGTATTGAAAAATTATATCTTATTCTAGTTTTACTTTGCATTTATTTTGCTATTTGCAAGATTGAGTTTCTTTTACATAGTTACTGTAATATGTATCTTTACAGAATTATTAGTGGATTCAGACATTTAAGTATATTGTGAGAATCATAAATTCTTAGAGAGTTGAACTACAGATTCAATATAAACCAAGTGGCCTATTTATCTTAGGATATTGAAAACATCTTTGACCTTCTATATCTATTATTTATTGAATTAACCAAAATAGCCAAAAATATTTAATGACTTCTTTCCATAAATTCACTAGTTCACACAAACAAAGAACATATAGATTAAATGTGGGTACAGGGCATGAAAAAGTCTTTAGAAGACTAAAGACATTGTGTTCAAATTATTAGCCCAATGTTTGTAGAAAATAAGTGTTCCTAATCAATGCATTAAAGACTTTTTGTGTAATCAGTTGTCTAGGAATGTTTCTGAAGGAGGAGGTTATGGAATCTTCCTTTGTGAGATGGTAGGATTTAGCTATATGAAAGCCGTCAACTTTTATGTATGGTACTATATATTATGGTATGAATAAAACATGTATTTATACCGTAGGAATTACTTAATAATGCTCAAATATTTCAAATAATTGTTTTTTATCCAAACCGTTTATTGATATGTACAATTTACATTTTTAAAGAACTTAAAATTTACTAAGTGACAATGCCAGTAGACATCACTAGAATAACTAAACATGCAGGCAGAATACAAAAAGGAACCATCTAAGTGACAAAAGAGATATAACTACAGGTGAATCTATCTAAGAGGGAGAATAGAAATTAATTATTTGATTGAGGCTTGAACCTGGAATGTCTACAGGTGAAAATTGTTGGAGAAAGTCTCAAATATAGAAAATGCCATGAAAACACAGGTAGAAATAAAAGCAGTTTTTAGAAAATGTCTAAATAATGCACTAAGAGATTAAAAAACAAAGACTTTAAGATACTTTCTTTTGTTATTAATTGACACGTAATAATAGTACTTATCTATGGGGCACAGTGTGATGTTCTGAAATACGTTTACATTGTGTAATGATCAAATTAGGGTAATTAGTATGTCCCTTACCTCAAACATTAACCATTTATTGGTGGTGAGAGCATTCAAATTCGTCCCTTCTGGCTATTTTAAAATATATAATACATTGTTAACAAGTCAACCTACAAGCAATAGGTTACTAGAACAGATTTCTCCTCTTTAATTGTAACTTTGAACCTGTATAACTAGCCACTGTCCACCTACCACAACCACCCTTCCTTGACTCTGGTGACTATTTTTATCCTAGGACCTCCATGAGATCAACATTTAAGCTCTCACATATAACTGAGATCATGCAGTATTTGTCTTTCTGTGCCTGGCTTATTTCACTTAATACATTTCCTAGGCTCATGTCTGTTGTCACAAATTACAGAATTTTATTCTTTTTCATGGCTGAATAGTATTTTATTACATACATATACCATATTTTCTTTCTTTATCCATTTAACCATTGAGGAACACAAGCTGATTTCATACCTTGGCTATTGTGACCAGTACTGCAATAAACATGGGAGTGAAATATTCTTTTACACACAGATTTTCTTTCTTTCTTTTTTTTTTTTTGATATATACCCAGTAGTGGGATTTCTGGATCATGTTATAGTACTATTTTTAATTTTTTGAGGAATTTCCATACTATTGCTCATAATGGCCATACTAATTTACAACATTACAACAGGAAATAAGGTTTCCTGTTTCTCCACATCCTCACCAGTATTTGTTATGTTTTGTCTTTTTGATAATATGTATTCTGAATGAAGGAGATGACATCTCATTGTGGTTTTGATTTGCATTTTCTTGATAATTAGTGATGATGATCATTTTTTCATGTATGTCTTCTTTTGAGAAATGTTTATTCAGGTCTTTTGCTCACTTATGAAAAAACAGTCTTGAAAGATAATCTGGTTAATATTAAGTCTTGGGAGCTGAAGTTTATATATGACTTGGTGACAAAACGATGCCACCATGTATTACATCATATAAGATATGACCATTGTAATACAATTTTATACATTCAGGGAGCAGCATGGCCAAAGAATGTGTGATTGATTGGACATGAAGTGGAGGTAAGAAACATAACACCAAGGTCATAAAAAGGAAGCAATTAGGGAACTGGACAGGAACCATGATTTGGAATGAGACTGGAAGGAAAGAAGCAATTGTGAGTTATTGTAAGGTTACAATCCAGAAAATAGCAATGGACTAGTTATGCATGTAGTGCAAAAGGGCTAAATAAAAGGTTAATATGAAGCTTTTGAAATTAACTGCCTGAGAAGATATTGTCAGCTTTAACAGAATAAAACTCAGAAGGGATTGTTGATTTGGAGTTGGACAGATAAATTATTATATGATGTTGGTTTTTTTTTACATTATGACTCAGCAAAATTGACTAATAAGGTTTTCTCTTAGAAATTCTTGTCACAGTCCCTGAGACGTCAGGATTGCAGAGAAACCTTTCTGCTCCTCAAGTTCAATTATCAGATTTGAAAGCAAATTTGAACAGTGGAAGAAAGCAATCCTAGAATTGAAGTTGCTCTCTAAAATCTATCTCAGGAAGGCATCTTCAATGGCATTTGTTATGTCCATGCTATTCTAAAAAGAAATCAGGTACATTGAACATTTGCAGTGCATTACTAGTCTATTTAAAGAAAAATCAGCAAACAATTGCAAATATGTTTTGACTGATACAGTGACAGCATGCAATATATTCAAGTTAGTGTGAAATACACAAAGGCACTTTCTCTTTGTACACACAAGTGTGGATAATAACATGGACCTCATCCATCACATCATATTATTGTTTTACAGCATCCTTAATGTACTATTAATGCAATATGGGAAGTTTAGTCTCCATTCATCAAGTTGTATTAGTACTGTTCCTTGTTATTATTGTATTAAGTTAATATGATACAGTTCTTAATATAACATCATCAAAGTCCATACTGAACGGTAGCATTAATATTAGGAAATTTTCAAGTGCATTTCCACACTGCTTGTGAATCTTTTATGTGCCAAGATGTAATAAGAGGCTCAGAAATATCTGTTGAGATTGCAAGAATATCCATGAGGGAACGTTATGAATGTATTATTTTTCGTGTCTGCATACATTCCCATGGAGGCATGTCCCACATGAGCCAGTAAACGTATTTGAAGGGTAAACAACATTTTCTACCCCAATTCTCATATTGGAAGAAATAACATTATATTATAAAAAATGTAGGTTGTACATTTATCCTTTTAAAGTCTACTTGGTTTTGGTGCCTATTTACCATGTAGGAAATCATAATTCAGTTCAAAAGATAAGATATGCAAACATAAAGTCGTTAACTAGATACTCAGTTATCAAAATGTGTGTGCTAATTATTGGAAAGACAAACAAACCCAGACACAGTTGGAGCTAGAAAAAATAATTTTGATACAAAGGAGCCTGTAATTTTTTAGATATCTGAATAACTCCCAATATAATGCAGCATGTGACTCATACTTTAGAAATCTGAATAATTTTTTTGCAGATGAAAAATGAGAAGTTACATGAAAGAACAGCATGGGTAGGATGATGCAGGAAGAAAAGTTAAGACTAATTGGGACACTTTCAGTTTATAGTGAAGAGACTAGCTTGTTACTAAATAGAAATTATAGGGAAATAGGAAATACAGAACTAGATTGTAGTTTTTGAAACTAATCCTATAGAAATCTGTGAAGCTATTTGAAGATTATTAGTATAATATAAAGAATATAAATGATTATCTTAGGTTGACAAATATGTCCGTGTTCTTGTAAGTAGGAAAAATATATAAGAAATTAGGAACAGAAGAAGAAGAACAGTTGATAAGACTCTAGACAAGAGGAAGTAACAGAGTGGGGAGAGAAATAAAAGTTATTTCGGAAAAATGATTCATATATTTAAGAGCTAGGAGACCTTTCCAGAATTATGTATGTTGAACTTCTCTGTTTATATACAAGGTAATGTTGTATTGAAAATTACCAGAATTTGGGACTATTTGTATATTGCTAATAAAAAATACAAAACACTTATTAAATATATATGTGGATAGATAGATAGATATATCACAAACTCTGAAAAGAAAGAAATGATGGTTAAAGAAAAGAGCATAAATTCTCCTCTGGAATATTGATGGAGTCATATTATGCTGATAAGATGAAAACAAACTTATGAGGTAAATTATGGTTGTGAACATTGATTTTTGAATCCAGTGACAACTGTAGTCATAAATTAGCACCAACTCAACAGCAAGCGAACATTAAAAATATAAGAGCAGAAGGTCAAGGACGCTTGCCTCCCATTTATGGTTTAGCAATAACATAATTTCTGATGTGAAATGGAAATCAAACAGAAAGACAAGGCTCTGTAAATTACACATTTAGCATGTAGAGTCAATACAGAGATATTGCTAAACCAAGTACATAATGTGTGAGGCTCAGTTCCAATCATAAAACTGGAAAGCTCCTGTAGCAGAGAAAAATCATCATTTTTTTCATCATTTTCAATATTGACGTGAACAGAAAAGAAAGAAAAAAAATCCCTGTTATAGCCCCCATTTCTTTTAGTGGAAAAGTTTTTTTTTTTTTTTTTGCATTTTGACACTTACTTAGATCAAGACTTTATGTGAAATACATATATATATATATAAACATATATGTATGTATATATAAATATATATGTATGTGTATATGTATATATTGCTTACATAGTCCACTGGGTACAATGCCTTTTCTAACATCAGGATACATGATATATCTAATCAGTTCTGCCTTCTGAAAAACATGTTCAGTCAAGTAGTAGGAGAATTCCATCTATTTGAATGCATTTGGGGAGTAAATGGTTTTCTGCACAGCTGATTCAGACAGAACCCTCACAACATGACTGAAGTGGTTACGAGAGAAATTTATCTATATCTCTCTTGTCATTTAAAACTGGAAACATTACCCTGGAAGAAAAGGACTAAGAATCAACCTGTTTTTCTAACATCTCTAGTATGTGCATGCATATATATATATATATATACATATATATATATATATACACACACATACATATGCCCAATATGTGTGCACATACGTATGTATATGTGTACATATCAAAGATCTTAAAATAGAGATTTCCCAGGGAGATTGTAAATTTGAACTTTTGAATTATTGAGGGAACAATCTACTACATCTTTATTGTTCCTATGCAAGAGTTATCTTGGAGGTGTGACTACATCCTAGCCTTGAGTTTTGCCTTAAAATCTCAAATTAAATTTTTATATTCCCTTTACTTCTGAAAATTAGGGGCATGTGAAGACATATTAACCATGCAGCTTCTTGTATAAAACATTTTTCTGAATGTAACTTGATATTGACCATGAGTTAATCATGTGCGTGTGCATGTGTGTGTGCGTGCATGTGTGGGTGTTTACTTTTAGGATACAGTTTATTCCACCAGAAATATTGTGCACACCTTTTCTATCTGACATTGGCCTCTTTTTTACTATCTTTTAACCAATCTTCACGATCCTTTCTCTATTGAATTCCTTTTTCTACTCTATTGTGTACTTTGCAACCAGCACTCCAAAATGTTGAACAGTTGCTTTTTTGGTGCATAATTTCCAAACACATACAGGCATGCAATGAAACACCTATGTTCTAAATGTAAGTTCATCTTAGTAAACATTCACAAAGTATTCCTTACAGTAAATTTTTTTTTCTAAAACAAATATTGCAGTTTATCTTTATCTTTTCTTTCTCTTTTTTGTCTAAGTCTATAATTATACTCAGGCAAGTTCATTGGTTATTTTTTTATCCTTTATGCTGTCATGAAAATGACCAAGTCCTATATTTCTGTCAAATTATCTCATTTCGTTAAAACTAAGATGTAACTCAACTTGATAGGGATAGTGCATTCCCATATGTATTTTGTTGTGGCCAGGGAAACAACCAAGAAAATGAAAGGTAACTATATTTGTGGATTGGAAAAGAATATTTGCAAACCATGTATCAGATAATGGGTTAATAACTACAGTGTATAATAAACTCAGCTAACTTGATACCACACACAAACACTTGAAAAAATGGGCAGAGGACCTAAATAGACATTTTTTCAAAGAAGATATAAAAAATGATCAATAGATATATTAATATAAAAAAGTTTGTCAGTATCACTAATCATTAGGAAAATGGAAATAAAAACCACAATGAGATATCTCTTCACACCTATTGTGATGCTATTATCAGAAAGACAAATGGTAACAAGTGTTAGCAAGGATGTGGAAAATGAGAATGAAAATTGTTACTGCCATTATGTAAATCAATACGGAGATTCCTCAGAAAATTAAAAATATAACTACCACAGACCCAGCAATCCCTTTTCTGGGTATGTGCCCAAAGGAAATGAAGTTAGCACCATGCAGAGCTATCTGCATCCCCATGTGCATTCCCCATGTGTTATTCCGAATAGCCAAGATATGGAATCAATCTAAATGGTCATCAATGAATGAATGCATAAAGAAAATGTGGCATTTGTGTATACAATGGAATATTGTTCTGCCTTGAAAACGAAGGAGATCTGTCACTTATGACAGCATAGATGAACCTAGAGGACATTGTACTAATAAGCCAAGCACAGTGAAATAAAAGTGATCTGACTTATATCTATAATTAAAAACAAACAATAAACAACTCAAATACATAGAAACATAATTGAACAAGAGTCACAAGGGGTAGAAAGTTGGAGGAAATGGGGAGATGTTCATTAAATGGTACAAATCGTACCGTTATGTAGAATGGAGAACTCTAGAGACCTAATGAGCAGCATAGGGACTATGCTTACTATCATACCCTGGAAATTTGCCAACAAAGTAGAGTTTAGGTACTTGCACCACACACACAAAAAGTTAACTCTGTGAGATGATGGTTATGTTTATTTGTTTCACTGTAGTAATTATTGCACTATATATATTTATATAGCAAAACATTATGCTATACATCTTAAATATATGTCCAAAAATTTAAAACTTGAAGTGATTTTATACCAATTTTATGCACTTTAATGGCATTTCAAAAGTTAATGTAACTGCAAAATCAAGATAGTGAAGCTGCTGTAAAAAACAGTTTGGCAATTCCCCAACAAGTTAAACATAGAATTGTTATATGGCCCAGCAATTCCTTTATATTTATGTACCCCAAAATTGTAAACAGGGGCTTAAACAGATATATGTATTCTAATGTTCACATTAACATTATTCTTAATAATCAAAAGATGGAAACAGCCTACATGATCATCAGCTGATGAATGAATAAACAAAATGTAGTAATATACCTACAATGTACTCTTATTTGTCTCTAAAAAGCAATGAAGTTCTTAAACATTGAAAAACCATAGATGAACATTGAAAACATTATACTAAGTGAAATAAACCAGACTCAAAAAGACAAATATTGTCTGATTCCTTTTATGGGAAAATTCAGTGAGACAGGAAGCCGACTAGAGAGCTGCAAATAAAGGGAATGGAGAGAGATTCCGAAAGCGTACCAAGTTTCCGATTGGGGTAATGAAAATGTTTGGAAACAATGATTGGATAGTGATAATGGTTCACAACATTGTGAATATAATCAATGCTATTGAATTACACAATTGTTGAAATTGGAAATGGTATTCTATATATATCTTACCACAATCATACATGCTATGTAAATAATAAAAAAGTTAATAGAATCTTTTAAATCAAATTTTCAATCAATTTTTTATTAAACATTTCAGCTAACTATTGTCAGTCAGGAAAATTAATTTTAAAAATATTAATTTACATTGTTGCTGCTACTATTTCTTATTTAATTAAGAATGGTCACAGAAAATCATCTTGCAGTCACTACAGATAGATGTAAAAGTGCTGTCTCCAACCCCACTTCTCCAGCAGCCTCCAGTTGTGACCACCTCACTTGTATGAGGTTCAACAAACTTTGAATCTCTCAAACAAACTTCACTAAATGGAGTGCTCATAATCACTATGTCTGAAAAAAAATTAGAATATCATTAAACAATAGTAGTCATAGTTAGAAAGGAAAACTATCACTTCTTAGTAGTTAACAAAGAAAAAAATTACAATCACCCCGAAGTATATATCCCCTGAATAAGAAGGAAAATGATAGCTAGGTGCCTGCAGTCCCAGCGACTTGGGAGAATAACTTTAGCTTAGGCATTTGAGGCTGTAGATGGTTACCAGACCTCAGCCTGGGCAATATAGTGAGACCTTGTATTATAAAATATAAACACATAAGAAATAAGAAGGCAGGGAAATGGTGCCTAAAGTCACTTATTCTATTTTTTTGTTGTTAGATGGAGTTTTGCTCTTGCTGCCCAGGCTGGAGTGTAATGGCAGGATCTCGACTCACTGCAACCTCCACCTCCTGGGTTCAAGTGATTCTCCTGCCTCAGTCTCCTGAGTAGCTGGAATTACAGGCATGTGCCACCGTGCCTGGATAATGTTGTATTTTTAGTAGAGATGGGGTTTCTCCATGTTGGTCTCTAACTCCCGACCTCAGGTGATCCGCCCGCCTCAGCCTCCCAAAGTCCTGGGATTACAGGTGTGAGCCACTGCGTCCAGCCACTTATTCTATTCTTATTAAGGTTATCTGTATGCTGAGATATCATTTATTGGAGAACTGCAAGTATTGACCATGAAGAGCTGCAAATTTGGAGCCCCTTATGCTGAAATAGGATCACATTCCCATGAGCAGCCAACGCTGTCTGTGAATACACCTGGATCCGCATCACTTTGAATGGATTATTATCCACACTGCAGAGAAGAAACAACAGTGTGGGACTGATCAAATCTTTGTTTTCTCTCTAATTGGATATAGAAGCTGTACTCGTTCTCACTCCTTTGAAATATAATGGCCTAGATTTCCTGGAAACTTGTGTGAAACAATGGAAATCAAGAAGGTTAAAGGCCTGTGACAAGAAGGACTTGAGTGTGTGAACAATTATTTATGGAAAAACAATGAATGAGACCCATTTGTGTCATATCCTAAAGCTTTTCATAACATGTGCTGAAGTGTGATACTTTAGGAACATTATAAGAAATACCCAATTCTCATTTTTCCTTGGAGCAGGCAGGAGTGTAGGAAGGGATATATTGAAAAACATTCACATTACACATACAAGCTTCTTTATTCAGATCAGTAACTGTAGCTACTGATTTACACTGCATTGTTCCTCTTTTGGTGTTATTCAGATTTCATAATTTTTTTGCAAGTAACTCTAAACCCAATTATGTGCAATATGTGTCATAATCTGTATCTTATGTGTTTGGATATATTTTGAACCTATTAAATTTTGACTTCTCTGAGTATCATGAAGAGTGCAATATTAATCATTTTATCTCCAGTAATGCAAAGCAGAAGCTTTAGATTTGATTAATTTTTATTACAAAATATGTGGCTACTCTTGATTTTTATTTCTGCTTCAATTTTAGCAGAACTTTGGCAGGGTTGAACTCTCTAATTTCATGACAGAGTTGGCTATGCCCATGTGCCAGAATGAAAGTGTTTGCACTTCTTCTAAGAAGGTAGAACCTCCTATCTAATATCAGCATTATTCTGTTATTACGTGTTCATGTTAAAATGGGGAGAGATATGATGCTTTTGTGTGTGCGTGTGTGTTTGTGTCTATGTTTGCATATATATGTCAATATATATACATACACATAAGCATAAATAGAGACAGGCTACAGTAACCAAAACAGCATGATACTGGTACCAAAACAGAGATATAGACCAATTGAACAGAACAGAGCCCTCATAAATAATGCTGCATATCTACAACTATCTGATCTTTGACAAACTTGACAAAAACAAGAAATGGGGAAAGGATTCCCTGTTTAATAAATGGTGCTGGGAAAACTGGCTAGCCATATGTAGAAAGCTGAAACTGGATCTCTTCCTTACACCTTATACAAAAATTAATTCAAGATGGATTAAAGACTTACATGTTAGACCTAAAACCGTAAAAACCCTAGAAGAAAACCTAGGCAATACAATTCAGGACATAGGCATGGGCAAAGACTTCATGTCTAAAACACCAAAAGCAATGGCAACAAAAGCCAAAATTGACAAATGGGATCTAATTAAACTGAAGGGCTTCTGCACAGCTAAAGAAACTACCATCAGAGTGAACAGGCAACCTACAGAATGGGAGAAATTTTTTGCAATCTACTCATCTGACAAAGGGCTAATATCCAGAATCGACAATGAACTCAAACAAATTTACAAGAAAAAAGCAACCCTATCAACAAGTGGGCGAAAGATAGGAACAGATACTTCTCAAAAGAAGACATTTATGCAGCCAAAAGACACATGAAAAAATGCTCACCATCACTGGCCATCAGAGAAATGCAAATCAAAACCACAACGAGATACCATCTCACACCAGTTAGAATGGCAATCATTAAAAAGTCAGAACACAACAGGTGCTGGAGAGGATGTGGAGAAATAGGAACACTTTTACACTGTTGGTGGGACTGTAAACTAGTTCAACCATTGTGGAAGTCAGTGTGGTGATTCCTCAGGGATCTAGAACTAGAAATACCATTTGACCCAGCCATCCCATTACCGGGTATATACCCAAAGGATTATAAATCATGCTGCTATAAAGACACATGCACACGTATGTTTATTGCGGCACTATTCACAATAGCAAAGACTTGGAACCAACCCAAATGTCCAACAATGATAGATTGGATTAAGAAAATGTGGCACATATACACCATAGAATACTATGCAGCCATAAAAAATGATGAGTTCATGTCCTTTGTAGGGACATGGATGAAGCTGGAAACCATCATTCTCAGCAAACTATCACAAGGACAAAAAACCAAACACTGCATGTTCTCACTCATAGGTGGGAACTGAACAATGAGAACACATGGACACAGGAAGGGGAATATCACACACTGGGGCCTGTTGTGGGGTCGGGGGAGGGGGGAGGGACAGCATTAGGAGATATACCTAATGTTAAATGACAAGTTAATCGGTGCAGCACACCAACATGGCACATGTATACATATGTAACTAACCTGCACATTGTGAACATGTACCCTAAAACTTAAAGTATAATAAAAAAAAGAAAAATATAAAAGCTGAAGAAAATGTATACAATATTTTGCCTTTTGCCTTAAATAGTTATAAATAATTAAAAATTATTGTGATTCTCTGGTAATGGTAGTGTCTACATAATGCCAAAATGATATGGAGTATATTTCCTCTCACATTAACAAATGTGCAAAGTGTTAGATTTCTTTCATGACACGTTCTGTTGAAAACTATCTCTTAACAATACATCTCCTTCTGTCACATAGTAAGACCATTTCAACTTTTTACTTCTAATGTTTGACCTTGCTTAATGGTTGTTTTTAATGAAGTAGCAACATTTTTAACCCAGGATGGGTGGTAAATTTTTACAACAGCAAGTAGATAAACCATACCCAGCTGAAGGTGTAATTGTGAAATGGTGACATAATGCGTTCAGGGTAAGTGTTTATGTGATGCAGCTCAAAAAGGAGCAGATTTGAATTTGACTCTTAGTAAAGTTATGAATGATAAATAAATCTTCAGATATTCACTTTGAATATCTAATTGGTCAAGTCAAAGAGTTACTGTATTTTCCAAGTATTAGTTTTCTCCCATGTGTTTATTTGATGTTCTATATACTCTTGCTCTGTACCAAAACCTCCTGACTTTTCTGTAGAAATTGCTGCTATTCTACATTCTTTTTCTGTTGCAGAAGGGTAGAAATAAGGCAGATTAATGTGTTCATTAATTTGTTCAACAGTTAGTAAAATAGTAGAAAACAGTAGTGCTTACATGGAGTTTATAAGTCTACTGGGGTGAGAGAGAAACCATAAACAAAGTAAATAGTTATAAAATATATCAAATGGTGATAAGGCGTACAAAGAAAATAACGCAGGTTAAATATAAGATGTGATACAACTGGAAAGAAGGAAAAAAATCTATGTTTGTATAGCAAAGTCATAAAAATTTTCAAAATTGATTTGAAATGGAGAAGTCAATTGTGAACACATTTGCTTTGCTTGATTTTTTTGATGTGATAATTATTTCCTACAGTTTCTTTATCTAAGAGGAAAAAGCTTGAATTCAGTTACAAGAAAAAAATATAGAAGAAACTGGCTTATGAGATTAGCTGATTTTTTTTTTTTTTTTTTTTTTTTTTTTTTTTTTTTGAGGCGGAGTGTCGCCCAGGCTGGAGTGCAGTGGCGCGATCTCGGCTCACTGCAAGCTCCGCCTCCCGGGTTCACGCCATTCTCCTGCCTCAGCCTCCTGAGTAGCTGGGACTGCAGGCACCTGCCACCACGCCCGGCTAATTTTTTGTATTTTTAGTAGAGACGGGGTTTCACCGTGTTAGCCAGGATGGTCTCGATCTGCTGACCTCGTGATCCACCCGCCTTGGCCTCCCAAAGTGCTGGGATTACAGGCGTGAGTCACCGCGCCCGGCCGAGATTAGCTGATTTTAGTATGAACGCCATCACTCTAAGCAGCTGACATAATAGAATGGTGAGATGGCCTATTGAAAACTCAGTGGCAGCACCTGATGTTGATAGAAACTTGCTCAGAGCTGTCTGCTAAGGTGAAGTATAAGTTTTCACTTTGTGACTCATATATAGTGCCATCTTTTCTATAAGAACACTTGGCTCTGGAAATCAAACAATGGAAGAGAGGGCATAACTCTTTTCATTATAGTAAACCCTCACTTCTCATTTGCAAAATTTTTCTTTTATCTTTGGGATTTGTGGGTCTAGATGTCATAGTAATCACAGGATAGATGCTTCTGTCAGGGGATCCAAAATAGTTGAATGGCACCTGAGGCTAGGACTGCTAAACTGGCCACTTTGGGCTCCACATTACTGTGCTATCAGAAGTAAACATGTGAGAGATGACCGTACAAACTGGGATGACTGATTGTGATTATCTGGAAAAATAATGTTCGTGTTTTGAGAGTATCTGTAAGCCAAGGTATTCACTCGATTCCTATGAGCATTGGTAAATATTACTAAAAGACAATAGCAAACCAATTTAGATAGAACCACGGATGACTTCTTCTATTCAGGAGCAGGAGTTTGGAGTCAATGTGCCAGAAAATGAAGTGCTGTCAGCTGAGGAGCTTGCTGAAACCAAAGGAAACATTGCATAGGGAAGGAAGTAATACAGACCAGCTATTGCCATAAGAACAGTTATAAAGATGAGAACTGCAGAACTATAGAAATACATGTGTATATTCAATTTCTCTCTTTAAACTCACACATATATACATCTACATATACACATATTGATGGATTGATAGATTGATGATAAGGTATTTAAGAAACTTCGTAATCTTTGTATTTTAACCAGCGTTTCTAATAGCCTTCCTCTACTCTTCTATAAAGCACTGCTGGTGATTAAATGTATAGCACCATCTTTAAGTTGCTGGATATCTGAAAGACATCTTGTAAATGAGATGGAAGAAAATGAAGAGTACTCAATGAAGGGTACAGTGACTTATGAGAGTGCAACCTTTGCTTTTTGAGAGGGAGTCTTGCTCTATAGCCCAGGCTGTTGTGCAGTGGCAATATCTGGGCTCACTGCAACCTCCGCCTCCCAGGTTCAAGCAATTCTTGTGCCTCAGCTTCTTGAGTAGCTGGGACTACAGGTGTGCCTCACCACTCCCTGTTAATTTTTGTATTCTTAGTAGAGATGGAGTTTCTCCATGATGACCAGGCTGGTGTTAAACTCCTGACCTGAGGTGATCTGCTTGCCTCGGCCTCCCAAAGTGCTGGGAATATAGGCATGAGCCCCTGCTCCTGGCCAACCTTTGCTTTTTGAAGAAAACTTACATCATATTTGCCAGAAACAAAATGCAGTTTTTAATGGTTCAGTAGCTGAAATTTTGTTAAAAGTTCATATACAGATGCTGAATTGACAAAGGAATGAATTGCGCTGGGCTTTTTGTGGTTACCCAAGCCTGTCTGACACCCCTATTTACAGTCTCCTTGGATGGCCAAGGAGAATCTAGGAAGAATCTTTCTCAGTATCTGATTTATAGCATAGGTCCAGATAAGATTCTGCCAATGAGAGGGTTTCACATGAGATTTAGAAAACGGAAGAAACAGAGAAGTTATCATTATCTGAACTCATTTGGAAGCACCACCAAGCTTGCACATAGCAAGTCACTCACACCGGCTTTGATGCTGCAAGATGTTAAGGGAGGTTCCATCAAACCACCACCACCCCATCCCCAGCACTAACTAAAATTCTACAGTTTCACAAAAGCAACTTAGTAAGTGTCTAAAATAGTGAGCTCCTATTTATAATATTGTCCTTTGTTTTCATTCAAAGGCATTCTAATAGTGTGTAATAAGTCTCCAATTATCTGCCTTCAAACAGTGTCCACTTGGAATACTCACGGTGGTTTTCATTTTCCTTACCAAATCTCAACTGAAGCATCTGCAAAGAGCATTCCAGGCAGAGGAAAATGCTACCCACACCACCCCACTGAGGGAGAATGCATCAGTTAAGGTCCTGTCTCATTTTCCTTTCACTTGGCCTTAAATGAACTTCAAGTATCACAGCTTCTTTGAAGGTATTCAATAACATATTTCCTCAGGCAGAGTACCTAAAGGATATTTGCTGGATTATAACAGTGGAAACTGTAGAATAATTCTATACTTCATATAAAATAGTTCTGTTTTAGCCAACCCAGGTGCCTGCAATATCAGAACCATTTTCTATGACATAAGTAAGCTACTTCTCATGTCTCAGTGTGATGACCAAGCCTCTTGAATCGAGTTAATACATGACTTCTTTTAGACTTAAATGAGCCAACTGGACTGAAATGTTGTAGTTTTGTAAAATGACAACATGAGCATATTTATCAGTGTTCTGAGTAGATAAACTGTGCTTATTGGATTGTTCCAGCAGACTAACCACTACTCTGATTGCATTAAAAAAGGCACTTATTGTCATGATAGCCAATGGGATTGTTTGTCAGTATCTGAATTCCAACCTAAATAATTGTTGTGTTAAAGGAAATTTCTTGATTTAAAATGGAAGATACCCAGAAACACTCCTTAGTCATATTATTGTAAATAATTTCAATAAGTTTGTTACTGGTGTTGTCAATTGTGGATGAATAGATATTGAAGGCATCTACATAGCAAATTACTGAATTAATATGCAGAATGTTACTTCAGAACTCTCTATAGGCTTTAGAAAAATGAACACATCAGCAGAATCCAAGTGGTAGTTAATAGGTTTACCTCAGTGTCAGGGAGTTCAGAATTCATAAGATTATGTGTCCTTGTCTATAATTAGTGTAGATCTTACTTATTGTTCATTCGTTATGATGTGGGAGCCATCTAAAATATGCTGTCTTATTGAATGTAATGTTTGTTTTATAATGATTGTGTGTAAAAATTTCTGCTTTTAGACTCACCAGGGATCCAGTACAAAGTAGTTAAAATGTTACTGAACTTAAGCATTAAAGGCTTTATCTGATAAAGAAAATAAAAGATAATTCCTAACAATCAACATTCTCCCTACGAATTAATGCATCTGACATAGCTCACTCTTGTAAATATATTAATTGAATTTGAAGCCATTGAGTACCAGAAAGATTCTAATTTATATCCTAGAGTTGGTTTGCTCAGACTAGAGCTCCCAAGAGGATGATACTCAGGAGGGAAGAGATGGTTCTAGGCCCAATTACAAGAAATAAACCTAAAACATGTCCATGCTGTTGGAAATTTTGACCTACAATTGTAGTCCAGTTTTCAAATATGTGCTTTTACTAGAATGATTATATCATTTCTTTATTAACTGTTTGACAGTAAATACTGTTTTTGAGATACTTCTAGTGTCTAATGACACAATATTCTCATCTGTCTACAATTGCCCAATCCTATTTTCTACTACTGCTTACAGGCAGTCTATACTCAAAACAATGAATTACTACATGAAAGATTGGATTTCCCATATCCTTAGTTATGCTCATTTCGCTCCCGATACTGACAATAGCTTTTTCTGTTTAATTTCTTCATATTGAACTTCACTCATCTCTTAGTGAAGTAAATATAGCTGTAGAGTTCAAAAATTAGAATTTCTTCAAATATACTCTATCTTAATGGTAATCATTAAATTTCATTAATGTATAGTTTTGAATTATATTGATACATAATGTTTTCATATCACCTGCTACCCTTCCCTCCCTGTCCATTCTTTCTACATAAAGAGCTTTGCTCTTACTAACAGAATGACTAGGTATCAACAACTACAGGATATGTTTGTGGTCAATCATGTCTGCCATTACTTATCTGAATACACACATACAACAGTTATATACATCAAGAAGTATAAATAGGGGTACATAATTTGTATTAAATATAAATACATATTACTTATATAATAAAAATTATATACAAAATATATATAATATTAAATACAGATAAGATTTGCCAAAGAGTTAAATTTGACTCCATATATTATGTATATGTCATTGCCTAATTGGCTAGAAGAGAATTAATACAGCTCATGTAGCCCTTTGCTCTATATTAATTTCAAAGTACTGTGGAACCACTAGTAGCAAAGTTGTGTTATATACTTCTTATGCTCCGATATATTTGTTCCTTTGTGTGAAACTTTATTTTATGGTTGAATGTGCTACAGTTGTATTTTATAATTTATATCTATTAAAGTTCCATGTGTTTATTATTTTGATGTTTCACTCTAATCAAACCTTTATTTTGTAGTAACTTACCTATTTTACAAAAATAATGTTTAAACTATTAAATTTTAAAGCTATTAAGCTTATTATTTTGGATTGTTTTAAAATAAAACATTCCATAGCTATTATGAATATGGAATTTATTAATGACTGGTAAATTCTTTAAAATAGAATTTAAGAAATTCTGAGAAAGAAAACTGTTATGTATAAATTTATACTTTTGTCATCAATGGCTAATTGTTACCTTTTTCTATGAATATGAGTTAAATTAGCTAATCAGAAAAATCAATAATCTGAATATAATAATGTATAAGAATTCAATCCCAATTAATACATCAATTCAATTATTTATTTAAGAAAATATTGAGTGCTATATGCCAAGAATGTGCTAGTAACCAGGAAGACAAAGTCAAAAAAATGTCAATTAATTGATCCTGAATGGTTAAGAAAGGCAGACAAATCAACTAACAATACAGCACAGTGTCTAGTGAGAGCACATTTCATACTTGAGCAGGACCACCTGAGACTGACTTTGAGATCAGGATGGAAAAATACCATGCCAAAAAAGGAGACTGAAATTACGTTAGCTAGCCAAGGAAGGGTTAAGGATATTAAGGTTGATTTTATCAAACTTAAAAGAAGATATATTAAATTTGTTTGTATTCAGCAAAGAGAAAAAAGTAAACACAATAAATTAACATTTAATAAAAAAAAAACTTCTCTTAGTTTGGCATCCCCCTCTATATTGCTGAGTGTGACTGAAATGTTACCTCCAAAAATTATCTCTCTGTTGATGGATAAGGTTGATTTAAGTAACCTGACTAGCTAGACAGCTCTAGAGAGTTGAATCTGTGTGCTATTTATTACATATTTTTAACTATCAGAGTGTAGGGGATTTGTAAAAAGAGTGTCATATTTTTATTTTTAGTAATTCTATATTCTCGAATACATGGTCTTTCTGCAAAGTCTAGATTGTTTTAAGATTAGTTGAACCCTAAGGGCAGTGCATATTTTTATTTGATCGTGGATTAGGAAAAATGTGGATAAAGTTTTGCAGCTTGTTCAAAACTCTATCCAATGTATCGATGAAGAAAATATTCCAAAGGAGAAAAAAGTAATGTCACTAAAGTGTTTGTATTTTTTTAAGCTGCTTTTATTGGTTTGTATCTCTTCATAAAGAAATGGCTCCCAGTTGGATTCCTTTAAGATTGAATGCTAGAAGGTCTTTCTTGGAATTAATGCAAAGTCTCTGTTTAGAAGATAATATGTCTGATAAGTCAAGTTGATTCCAAAAAAAGAATATATTCTCGTTACAGCTCAATGACCCACCCTCAAGCACTGGTTAGCAAATAGTCCATTGAAGCAAACAATGACCCAGTTCCATGCAGAAACAACTTACTGCTGTACTGAGGGAGGAAAGCAGAGAAACCTTATTCCTTCATATTACCCAGAGACTTCTGATAAACTAATAAACTAATTAGAATTTCGTGGAGTTTTTATTTTAAGTGTTTTCCTCGTAGCTAGGCTTACTGTTTTATAAATCCTGCTTGTTCTCTATCCCCAGATTCATTAGACTCTGAGATGCTCAGACTAAAAAATGCAGAAAATCTTGGGAAGAATATAAGTTTTCTGTATTTAGCTATTTTTAAACTTCATGTTTTGCACACTGAACTGATATTAAACTAAGAAGAATGCAGGTGAGAACACTTCTTTTTAATATATGCTAATGAGTGCAGTTTGGCCCAAAATGTGCTGCTGTTTCTATATAACACTTTGTTACTGCTGGGAAGATTTTCTCCTAAGTGGTTCTATAGTTAATTATTATCCCCTTCATACCTTCATTTGGATTCTATACTACCATTAACCACCTTTTCAGGCTTCCAGTACCTAGCAAACTAGTTCGTAGTTTTATTACCTGCAGTGAAAAGATTTAGAAAAGAAATTAAGGACCATTTTTTCCCAGATTTGATTTTCATGCCTTGGAAAACATTTCAGAGAACATTAGAATTTCTAATATCTTGTTATATTACCTTGAAAATTGGAATTTAAAATAAAAGCCAAGAGTTTGAACTAAATAGAAAGAGTGAATATAATCTAAAAATGCAATGATAATTGGTCCAATCTCCATGAATTTGAAATGAATGAACAGAAATTTTCAACATGAAAGTTATTAAAATAACTTTTAGTTATGGAACCTGAGGGTAGTGGTAAGTATTGGCTTTATCTATTGTTGGACTTAAACTAAATCTCTAAAGCCAAAAAAAAAAAAAGTTTATTTTCAGCTGTTTTATACTATACCTTGTTTTTTGCATAGTGTTGCAATAAAACTAGGAATAAATTATGCCAACAGAATCTATGCATGGAATTCCTTATAATTGTCTCTGAAGAAGTTGTGGCATGGTGAATCTGTCAGCCAATAGACCAATTTCTAAACTTCCTTCATAAGATAACTTTACAAGTTTTGTGACCTCGCGAGGAAACTGAAGCTCTTTTGACCCCTAGTTTCTCCTGTAGTAAATGAGGAGAGAAGAAAGACAAGAGGACTGTGGGTGAAGGGAAGACTTTCAAGTATTGATATTTCATGATTAGGTACAAACCGTGAATCTTGTGTTTAATTTTTTTCTATTACATTTTTGTGTGATTGGTGTCTTCTTCAGCTAGCAGGATGCCTGCTATATATTGCCGTCTAGAAGGAAAACTGAATATTGAAGAATTTTGTGTCTCCTGGGGGAACATTGAAATGTTATTTGCCATTAAAACGCAACGTTACGCTACTCATGAGCACAGTGTGTCTGTTCCACGATAGGGAACAGAACTCTGGCAAAGTCTGTAGTAATGAATCTCTACCTACACATTCCTTATTATAATTTGCACAAAGAGCTTGTTTCAAGATTGGACAGGGACAATGTAAGTTCTCACTCAAGATTAATTAAAAAGCTCAACCCAGGATATATGGATCAAATAGTTTATTATTTAAAGGATATCTTCCAGATGTTCATATGTTGCTAGAGATTGGTTATATGCAGGAAATAAGTCATAAGTGTTTGTAAAAGTAGTAATAGTCTAGCTGGCTGGAGAGAAAGACAGAAAACATAAGTGTAAGTTGGTATGATATATGGAATCGTAGAATCATACATAGTGTAAAGCAGCAGTATGGCTAAGCAAAAGTAAAAGCTTCCAAAAAGTCCAAGTAATATTTTTCTCTCAGGTAATCAAATGTTTGGAAGAGCTGTGACGAAAGACAAAAAATAACGAGTACTGTTGAGGATGCAGAGAAAAGGGAACTCATACACTATTGGTGAAAATGTAAAAATTCACAGATGCTGGGAGAAGTAAGGTTTCTGGTTTAGTGAAAAAGGAGTGTATTACTCAAGGCAAAAAAAGTTAGCCTGAGCAGAGTATTTGTGTCAGTTTCTCTTGCACCAAAATCCCACAAGGGCAATGCAGAATGGTTTCAATGAATGCCCTCACACAAAGTACATCCATTATGGAAAGCAGTGAGGTTTCTCAGAAAACTAAAAATAGAACTACATACAATCCAGCAATCCCATTACTGGATATTTATGCAAAGAATGGAAGTCAGTCTGTCAAAAGGATACCTGCACCTCTATGTTAATTGCAGCACTATTCACGATAGGCAAGATATGGAATCAACCTAAGGGTCCATCACAGACAAACGGATAAAGAAAATATGGTAGGTATACACAATGGAATCTTATTCATCCATAAAAAGAATTAAATCCTATCATTTGCAACAAAATAGGTGGTACCGATGGTCATTATGTTAAGTGAAAGAAGCCAGTCACAGAACAACAAATATTACATGTTTTCACTCTATGTCTGGGCTAAAAATGTTGATCTCATAGAGGTGGAGAGTAGGATAATAGTTATCAGAATCTGGGAAGAATAAGGGTGGGGAATGAAGAGAGACTGGTTAATGGGTGCAAATACACAGTTAGAAAGAAGAGATAAATTCCAATGTTCCATAGCACAATTAATGACAATTCATTGTGTATTTCAAAATAGCTAGAAAAGAAATCATAAATGTTTGAGGTGATGGACATCCTAAATGCCTTGCTGTGACCATTACACATTGTGTGTATACATCAAGATACATGTAACCCAGAAATTTGTACAATTAATATGTATCCATTTTTTAAAAAAATTAAAACTGTGAAGGTCTGAGATTTTACCCTACCTACAATCTTAACAAGTTAACATGCCAGCTTCACAGATGCTGGGAGAAGTAAGGTTTCTGGTTTAGGGAAAAATGAATGTATTACTGAAGGCAAAAAAAGTTACCCTGAGCAGAATATTTGTGTCAGTTTCTCTTGCACCAAAATCCCACGAGGGCAATGTGGAATGGTTTCAATGAATGCCCTCACACAAAGCAAGGTGAGCTTTGGAAGAGAAACCTTGAGCATAGGGAACCTGAATCTATAATAATATGCAATAAGCATGTCTGCCCTTAGCTCCAGAGGTAAACACTGTCTCTAACTTCCCGGGCTACAGGCGGCCAGCCTACCCTTTACCCTGATGGGAAACATTACCTCTCTCTTCCATGGCTGCTTCCTACATGATGTTCCTGAAAAGATCGTTTGGAACAAAGGCAGTAGGTGGCTGTTCTAAGACTTGTAGAAATGGTTAGAGACCCACAGAAATTTGTCTTTCAACAAGTTGTAGGGACTTCATGTTCAGCAATTCAGAAGCAGACCTGGACCAGAATGGTGCATTTTAAGTACGTCATGATCTGTATGTTGCAAAATAGAGAATCTTAGATGGCTCTAAGGTGAAAGAAAAAAAGAAATTTTATTTTGGTTCAGGAAAATGGCATGACACAATTCAATAGCTATGTGCATTGAAGGTAGAATTTTCATAATAAATTTCATTCTTTTCTGTTGAAATGAAGGTAAACTACAAGAATACTATTAAATTGTAGGCTTAAAATTTGAAATATAAAAGTAGCAATAAGTAGCTAATATAGATTATTTATATAGGCACCATATTGAGACGTATGATTTTCTTTATTTTTTTTTCTTTGAGACTGGAGTCTTGCTCTGTTGCCCAGGCTGGAGAGCAGTGGCACAATCTCAGCTCACTGCAACCTCCACCTCCTGGATCAAGCGATCCTTCTGTCCCAGCATCCCAAGAAGCTGGGATTACAGGCATGTGCCACGATGCCCAGCTAATTTTTTGTATTTTAGTAGAGACTGGGTTTCACCATGTTGGCCAGGATGGTCTCAATCTCCTGACCTCATGATCCACCTGCTTTGGCCTCCCAAAGTGCTGGGATTACAGGCGTGAGCCACGGCCCCAAGCCTACTGTTTTTTGTTTTTGTTTTTGTTTTTGTTTTTCCTGAGACTGGAGTCTCGCGCTGTTGCCCAGGCTGGAGTGCAGTGGCACAATCTTGGCTCAGTGCACCTCCACCTCCTGGGTTCAAGCAATCCTCTTGCCCCAGCCTCCCCAGAAGCTGGGATTACAGGCATGTGCCACCATGCCCGGCTAACTTTTGCATTTTTTTGTAGAGACAGAGTTTCACCATGTTGCCTGGGCTGGTCTTGAACTCCTGAGCTCAGGCAATCCACCCACCTCAGCCTTTCAAACGGTTGCGATTATAGGCATGAGCCACCATGCTCAGCCTGAGGCATAGGATATTTAATGAAAACAAACAAACAAACAAGCCAGTAGTTACAGGGAAGCTGATTTTGAAAAGCTTTCCACCAGTGCACATGCATTGAGTGCCTGTTATATATTGGGTGTACATTCTAGGCTTTGGGAAATTGGGGGAAATAAGAGAAAATAAACCAGATATATATTTTCTACATTTTGTCCAGTTAGAAGAAGAAAATGGGAGGTAATGTTGTACCAAATGAGAAAAAAAAATGTCAGACATGTTGTAGAATAGTCTATCAGTGTTATGGGCATGAGAAACAAATGAAAACTAAATGATAAATGTAAGTTTCAAAGAACACTTGAGATTTAACTGAGCCATGAAGGAAAAAAAAATGATTTAAAGAGGCAGAAAGAAGCAGCAAAAATGCCATAAAAATTAGAAAGCACAGCATTATAACTATTAAGGGGAGCGACTAAAAAGGGAAAATATTATCACTTGAAAAGGTTTATACGGCATAAGATTTAACTGTGAATGACCTTGATAGAATCTGCCTGTACTTGGAGAGTGCATTTGCCACAAAGTCTCGTGAAGCTTATATGTACGCAGTGGCCTCTTGTACAGTGTAATTCACAATGTGTCCACATGGTACAGTAACTTTGTAAATTTTGCTAAAACAACATTTTTGTAGCCCTACTTTTGGAAATTCCACCTCCAAAATAACAATGAATAAATACATAAAACAAAATAAAAGGCTTCAGTTCCCTCAGAATCCTGGATGTTTTTGGAAAGAAGGTAAAGTATTAAAATCATTGGTCACGATTATAACTGAATTCAGTAAGATACCCTTTGTGTTTCTTTAGGTTTTCAGGGCCTCAGATGTCACTCTTCCTTTTGCTATGCTTATGAAATCTTCTGAATTAGATTACATTCAACTTCTGGAAGTTCAGTCATTTACTTTTTTTTAATCTTCTTAATTTTTGAAAATTTCCAAGAAAAATTCACAAGACTTAACAAAATGTTCTACTTGTTTCTTATTTCCCTGGATGGACATCTCCCATCCAAATGTGAGAGGCTACTCTTGGGCTCACCCCTTGCTGACTGAAGTGGGTGCTGTGGTGATCTGGGGAGACTACTTGTCTGGGACAGAAGCCCTCATTCCCTCTCCTTAAGCAGAGCCCACATTCAATGTGGGGGTACAAAGCCTTTGAAGGGCCAGCTCAGCTCCTGAGATCTCCACTTGGCTTTCATTAGCCAAGAAAACGTGCTCAATGATGGCATAGAAGAAAAGCAGTTGAAGCATGCGGGGCAACTGCAAGCACACCTGGGAGACATTGCCACCCAATGCAACAAAGCCAACTTCACAATAAAGCTAGTCATACATTTCTGGTGTCCCAATGCATACAAAAGTTATGTTTATGCTACACTGCAATCTATTAAGTGTGCAAAATCGGTATGTTCAAAAAAACTGTCTACACATCTCAATTATAAATACTTCATTGCTAAATTATGTGAATAATGAAGGGAGACTTCAGCAAGTCATAATCATTTTCCTGGTGGAGGCTCTCACCTTGGTGTTGATGACTGCTGGTTGATCAGGATGATGGTTTGCTGAAACTGGGGTGACTTTGGCAATTTCTTAAAATAAGACAACAATAAAGTTGATTGTTTCTTCCTTTCACGAAATATTTCTCTGTAGCATGCGTTGCTGTTTGATAACATTTTACCTACCATAGAACTACTTTCAAAATTGGATTTGATCCTCTCAAACCCTGTTTTGCTTTATCGACTAAGTTTATATAATATTCTAAATCCTGTATTGCCATTTTAACAATGTTTACAATGTCTTCACCAAGAGTAGACTCCATCTCATGAAATCACTTTTTTTGCTCATCCTTAAGAAGAGACTTCTCATCCATCAAAGATTTGTCATGAGATTACAGCAGTTCAGTTGCATCCTCAGCCTCCACCTCTAATTCTAGTTCTCTTGCTATTTCCACCATATCTGCAGTGACTTTCTCCATGGAAGTCTTGAAGCCCTCAAAGACATCCATGAGAGATGGAATCAACTTCATGCAGACTCCTGTTAATGTTGACATTTTGACATCCTTTCATGAATTGCGAATGTTCTCGATGGCATCTAGAATGGTGAATCTTTTCCAGAAGGTTTCCAATTTACTTTGCCCAGACCCATCATAAGAATTACTGTGTACAGCAGTTATAGCCTTATGAAATGTATTTCTTAAATAAAAAATTTGGAAGTCAAAAATGCACCCTTGATCAATTTTTTGCAGAATGCACGTTGTGTTACCAGGCACTAAAACAATGTTAATCACCAGTGCACATCTACATCAAATATCTTGGGTATTCTGGTACATTATCAATGAGCAATAATATTTTGAAAGGAATCTTTTCTTTTTCTGAGCAGTAAGTCTCAATAGTGGGCTTGTAATATATAGTCAATCATGCTGTAACAGATGTGCTGTCATCCAGGTTTTTGTTCCATTTATAGAGCATAGGCAGAGTAGAGTTAGCATATTTTTAAAGGCCTTAGGATTTTCAGAATGGTGAATGAGTATTGACTTCAGCTTAAAGTGACCAACTTCATTTGCCCCTAACAAGAGAGTTGGATAGATTTTGAAGCTTTGAAGCCAAGGACTGGCATCTCCTCTCTAGCTATGAATGTCCTAGATGGCATCTTCTCTCAAGAGATATTATTTCATCTACATTGAAAAGCTGTTGTGTAGCGTAGTCACCTTCATCAATTATCTTTGCTAGATCTTCTGAATCACTTTGCTGCAGCTTCTGTATCAGCATTTGCTGCTTCACTTTGCACTTTTATGTTATGGAGATCGCTTATTCTCTTAAACGTCATTAAAAAACCTCTGCTAGCTTCATAACGTTTCTTCTGCAGCTTCCTCACCTCTCTCAGGATTCATAGATATGAAGAGTTTTAGAACCATGCTCTGAATTAGGCTTTGTTTTAAGGGACTGTTGTGTTTGGTTTGATCTTCTATCCAGACCACTAAAACTTTCTGCATAGCAGCAGTAAGGCAGTTTCACTTTCTTAACATTTGTGTGTTCATTTGAGTAGCACTTTTAATTTTCTTCCAGAAATTATTCTTGCCAGGCACAGTGGCTCATGCCTGTAATCCCAGCACTTTGGGAGGCTGAGGCAGGTGGATCACCTGAGGTCAGGAGTTCGAGACCAGACTGGCCAACACAGTGAAACTTCGTCTCTACTAAGAATACAAAAATTAGCCAGGCATGGTGGCGTGTGCCTGTAATCCCAGCTACTCAGGAGGCTGAGGCAGGAGAATCGCTTGAACCTGGGAGGCGGAGGTTGCAGCGAGTGAGATCACGCCATTACACTACAGCCTGGGTGACAAGAGCGAGACTTTGTCTCAAAAAAATAGAAATTATTCTTGCATTCACAACTGGGTTAACTGTTTGTCCAAGAGGCTTAGCTTTTGGCGTGTCCCAACTTTCAACATGCCTTCCTCATTAAGCTTAAACATTTCTAGCTTTTGACTAAAGTGAGAGATGAATGACTCTTCCTTTTGCTTGAACACTTAGAGGTCAATGTAGGGTTATCAAGTGATCTAAATTTCATATTTTTCTGTCTCAGGGAATAAGAAAGCTCGAGGAGAGGCAGAGAGACAGGAGAAGACCCTGTCAGTGGGGTAGTCAGAACACAGAACAGTTATCTATTAAGCTTGCTATGTTACATGGGTGTGGTTTGTGGTGTCCCTAAACAATTAGAATAATAACATCAAAGATTATTGACTACAGATCACCATAACAGATACCATAACAGATATAATAGTAATTTAAAAGTTTGAAATATTGTGAGAATTGCCAACATATGACAGAGACATGAAGTGAACACAGGCTGTTGGAAAAATGGTACCAATGTATTTGCTTGACAACAGGGTTGCCACAAATCTTCAGTTGGTAAAAAAATCCCCACAATACCTGTGAAACACAATACAGCAGAGTATAATAAAGCAAGGTTCTCCTGTAGTGACTAGGGAAAATTTTGTTCCAGATGGAGGATCCATGTGTATCAGGGCACCGCCAGGAAGTGTTGATTATGTAGTGACAGATTTAAGTGAGGTGCCCCGTACTTCCCATGCAGGTAGAAATGAACCTGTCATGAGGAGCCAGGGACACAGACAATCACTAGAAGGCAGAGGCAGTCGTTGTTTAGCAGAGGTACTTGCCTTGGGCAAAACTGTATCGAAAAGCATTGGAAAATAATGTCATATGCCACAACAACATCATGTAATACAAGAAAAGAAATAGTGAAATTTTATACATACACATACATATAATGTCATAAAATTAATATTTTCTTTTGGAATAATGAAGAGTCCATTAATAAGACTTTAGTATTTGACTGTAAAGGTTTAATTTTAATTATTATAGGTTATAATGTCATAAAATTAATAGTTGACGCTATGAGTTACCTTGGTGAGTGTAGATAAGGCGATGGGGTGGAAGATAATGCTACAGTGAGGTAAAGGGTGAATAGAATGAGAAGATTTATGGGCAAAAATAAGATCTCTCCAAGAGGGCAAATTGTTCTCACAAAGGAAGTTCCAGAATCTGTTTTAGAGAATGCAAGAATGTAGTGCACACCAGGGCGTTCTTGAGCTACAAGCTTATCACTTACACATTGATACTTATTGGTTCATTTATTTTTCGTTTCAAATGTTTACGTCTTTTGTTGTGGCTCGAATATGGCCCCCAAAGTTTGCATGTTGGAAACCTTATTGCCATTGCACCAGTAGTGAGGAGGGGCCTTTGGGAGGTGACAGCGTCATGAGGTCTCTGCCCCCATAAATGGATTAGTGCCATTATGGCAGGAGAGGGAGCACTGTGAAAATATAAGATTGGCCTTCATTTGCTTTCTTTGTGTTGTGTGCTCTTTTTTACCTTCCACCCTCTGGCCATGACCGTCCCCAGGTGCCAGCATCATACTCCTGGACTTTCCACCTTCCAGAACTGGGAGAAATAGCAAATCACTTCTGTCTGTAAATTACTTGGTCTGTAGTTTTCTATTATAGCAGCAGAAAACAGGCTAAGACACACTTGTATTAGTTTGCTAGGATTGTCATAATAACATACCATAGATTTGATGGTTTAATAAATAGAAACTTATTTTCTCATGGCTTTAGAGCCTGAAGTCCAAGTTCAAGCTGTCAACAGGTTGGGTTTTATTTGAGGCTTATTTCTTTGGCTTGCAGAGAATACCTTCTCACTGTGTCCTTGCATGGCCTTTTTTCTGTGAGGATGATCCTCTGGTGTGGCTTCCTCTTCTTCTAAAGACACTAGTGCTTTGGACTAGGGCCCCACTCCTATGATCTCATTTTACCTGGATTACCATCTTAATGGCCTAATCTCCAAACACAGCCACTTTGGGGGAAACACAATTCAGTCCATAACAATCCTTATTTTCCTTCAATGTCTACAGAAGACAATTGAGCCACTAGTATTATTTTCTTTTGGAATAATGAACAGAGTCCATTAATAAGACTTTAGTATTTGACTGTAAATTTTATGTATTTTGTAATTTATACCAGGTTATTTAATATTTATCATTTTATATATTTTTATTTATCATTTTATGTATTTTGTAGTTTATAGTGGTTTATCTAATATTTATGTTCTTCTGAATATTGGTCATAATTAAGGGTCTTCAAATTTTTTAAATGAGAAATAAATAGGATAATGTTTATTCTTGGGAGCGTCTCTGAGATACAATCTGCTATAAAACTCTTAGTGATTTCTATTCCCTTTAATTGGAGTTTAAGATATGTAAAGTGGTAAGAGACTGAATTGACTACGTAGGTAAAGCCTGGGTGTCAAGGAACTAGAGAACATTCTAAGGAAGGCACAAGTATGCACTGAGACGCTGAATTTCAATTTAGGAGAGAAGTCAGTAATTAGGTTGTAATTTTCAAAGTGGTCATAACTAAAGGGCATAAGACTTACAGTGAAACATTTCCAGGGAAATGAAAACTAACCAGAAGTAAACATTTTTATTATTCTTATTATAAAATTATTCAAAACAACAATGTTTAGCCAATGAAAAGTGTTTCTAAACTAAACCTTGTCATTAAAAACCATATCGGTACTGGTTAATGAATCATTAGAAAAACAAAACTAACATAGAATCATGGAAAAGTAAGTGAATATAGCCATGCATTAGAAACTCTTGAATCTTTTTTTTTTACAACAATGGCAAAATTTGAATGAGAAATTATTGATGGTATTCATCACCCAGTAGGTAAGATAGCCATATCACTCTGATTCAGCCTCTGTTGATGCCCGTATTTCTTGTAGTAGATATGAAGAGCCAGGAGTGACACTCACACCACCCTCCACCCCCTTGGAAGTGTTACACCCGTTCACTTGTCCACACCTTGTGTTCAGGCAGGAACTCTTGCTGTAATGCTGGAGGTGGTCGGGCACAACTCACAGCCCTGCTTGGGACACAGCAGCTGGGGGTCCATGGAGATGTCTACCTGAGGCCAATTGGAGCGATGGATGCTGCTTCAGGTAAGTTGAAGTTCCTTCTTGTGAGGAATGTAGGCTCAGTTTACTGGTCTGGTTCTTAGCGCAGTGGTGCAAGCTTCTTAGTCTCATGAGGGCTGAGAAGCCAGCCTGTGAGCGCTCAGGCTCTCTAACTTCCTGGGCTCCTAAACAATGCCTGGGCCCACCCACCTAGCTTCCTAGACAGCGTATCTAATCACAAGCCTATAATGCTCTCCAAACTGTTTTCTTGTGTTTTCTAAATATACTATGATTCTGGAGTGGGAATGAGAAGAATAAAAAACAAGTGACACAAATATGCTGAAACAGGTTGGACAGCTACATCCAGCTATGAGAGAAGAACACCAAGTATTTCAGCCACCTTGGCTCTAGTGGAGCTCTTATGTTTTCTGTCTAGTAAGATAATAATAATAATGGTGAAAGGAATGTCTTTTTACATCCATGGTATTTGGGATTCAAATGTAATTACAGATTAGGGTTTTTTTTTCACTGTCTCATGGAAACAGATATTGCGCTAAATCAAGAAAATTACATAAATAGGGAAAATGTCCTATTTTAAAAACCCTAACATTTACAAGAGTTGCCTCCAAAATTTGTTATTATTTTTATCCCAGAGTAAACCAGGTTACTTTGAAAAGCAAGGTCAGGAAGGATCTCCTGAGGGCTACATCATCAATACTTTCTATCTACCATTTTAAGACCCAAAATAGCACTCATGCTATAGTGTAGAAAACACTAGAGATCTTAGGTTATTTGAATTTTACAAATGCCAGGGTGAGTTCTTGGCCAAAATATTTTTAGCTTAATTCATCGGTATCCTTCAACAGAGCCAGGAATCAAAAAAAAAAAGTTAATTCAGAAAACGATTGGTACTTATGTAAAATTAATATTTTATTTCACTACCGTACACGAATGATAGGTAACTTAGATTACCACTCAGTAAGCTAAGGCATTTCCCTAAAGGGGACAGTGATTAAGCCAGTAAGAAGTTTTAAGATGGACTATTCAAAACTGCTTGTTTTACACTGACAGTGGTGAATATTTGTCAAATAGATGCCCTCAAATGAAAGTTTGACCAAATATTAACAAGTTTTCCAAGGTAAGCCTGCATCTGAGTCTTTAATATATTTAAAAAAATAAATAACTGGGCACGATGGCTCACGCCTGTAATCCCAGCATTTTGGGAGGCCAAGGCGGGCAGATCACTTGAGGTCAAGGGTTCAAGACCAGCCTGGCCAACATGATGAAACCCCATCTCTACTAAAAATACAAAAAGTTAGCCGGGCGTGGTGGCACAGGCCTGTAATCTCAGCTACTAGGGAGACTGAGACTGAAGAATCGCTTGAACCCAGGAGGCGGAGGTTGCAGTGAACCAAGATCACACCACTGCACCCCAGCCTGGGTGACAAAAGTGAAAACTCTGTCTCTAAATAAATAAATAAATAAATAAATAAATAAATAAGAAGAAATAACAAAATAATATATTAAATATTATTTTTCGGTAAAGGTTATGACATTTAAAACTTTCCTTTTATATCATAATACATAAGCCCTTAGTGACTTAGGAGATTGTTTGGGTAGGTGCAAAATAAAAGCTGTTATATTTAGCTAACTAATCAAGTAAGTGACTTTCAATTTGATGCAGCTGTACACACAGTGAACATCCCACATCACTGAACAGTTAATGCTACCTTTTATCCTTTATCATTTTCTTTATGAGCTAAGGGATTGCTCATTCAGATTCTCCTAATCCTCATAATACCTGGGCCATTATTACAAATCCTTGCTGTTCAGATAGCATCCAATTTCTTATGAATCTCATGAGTATTAAAGATATCTTGTTAAATGAAAAAGGAGGTATCACATCTTGCCTGGAATTTCATTTGCAATTCAATAGTTTAAGTGCTAACATAAAGAAAGGGCTCACTAGAAATGCACAGTAATGTGTTTCTTTCTCTATCTTAGGTATGACACATTTAGGAGACTGTCTCTCATTCAATATGCAACAACCAGAAAAATATTGCTTTTGAGCCCCTTTTGTTATCATGAGTAAGACTAAAGAAACCAGAGAATAGAGGGTGGGGCGAGGGATTAAAACAGTTAGAAATTCTAAGAGATGTACATATATGCAATCAGTGCAATAAAACGTGGAATGTTTTAGGTGAGACAAATTTACTTAAAATAGCCAAAATATACTTATGCTTACAATCATACTTCATTATAAGCATATATATGCTTATATATATTCTTATATATATGTATGTTTACAATGAAGTATGATCGTAAGCATAAGTAGGTATATATATATTTATACATATATATGCTTGTATATGCTTATATTGAAGTATGATCATAAGCTTAAGTATATTTTGGCTATTTTATATGTATGCATATATATACAGCTGTTATTATACTATAGATATATATATACATATACTATTATTACAATATATATACATATATACACACATACATAAGCATATATATATATACAGCTATTATTACTAGAGAGGGGGAGTAAAGCGTGAAGCCTGCGCAGTTATCAAACCAAATAGACACTGACAGCATCATCAAATTCAATCATCATCTAATTTAGGGTTTGCCATATTTTGGATTTGAAAACTAAATTTTGTCAATCTACTAGAGTTAGATTGATGTATAGCCTCTATCATATTCAGTAGTCTTAAAAACTATAAGAGGAATGTCAAGCTAATCCTAAGTCTCACACTACTTGATCATCACATTATATTCATGTAGGAAAAATGAATGCAGAAACAAAGGATTATTGGAACATTGCACAGTAACATCTAAGCAAAGGGAATGTTACAGTGACTAATGTTTTATGTACCAGTTTCACAGAGACATATGTGACAAGAAGAACACAATGCTTGCATCTCTACTAAGAAAATTCTTGGATGAATAAATGTATACTTTGATTTCTGAGTTCAGTTTAATAGATATAATACAGGTCCTATTACTTTAGATTCTATTCTGTTATTCAGAAAATGATTTAACGTTTCTTAATTATTATGACTTTCTTGTTAAGTTTAATCTAAAGAGGGTCACCTTCATTAAATATTGGGAATTTCAAATGATTGTATGTATTAATTCATTTCCCTAAATTATACATCTAAAATCAAAGGAGCATACTAGGTATTCCCATCGAAATGTTTCACAAGCCTCAAAAATTTGACATACACAGACAGAAACTGTTTCCTGTTAAATCCAGTTCCATGTCATTATAAAATGACAGAAAATTCAATTCAGTAAATAGTGACACCAGAAAGTGAACTGGAATCTAGTTCATTCCAGATTCCACCACCTTATTCCCTATTCTCCTTATCTTGGTAATGACACACTTTCCTTGGTACTTAGGCAAAGAACTTAAAATTTTTCTCCACATCTTCTTTAGATTTAGTGCCTTTGATAACTTTCTCATCCTGATAAAGAATATCTATGAAAAATGCACAACTAACGTAATATTTCTAGGTTAATGTCTGAATCTTTCCTTCTAAGATCTGGAAAAAGATAACAACATCTGTTATCTTTGCTTACCTTCAACATTATATTGGAGGATATAAGTAGAAAAACTAGGCAATAAAAATATTTAAAAGTATCCAGATTGGAAATGGATAAATAAAAATATTTCTATTTGCAAATGACATATTCTTGCATATAGAAAATAGTACAGATTCCACTAAAAATTACTACAACTAATTAAAAAGTTCAGCAAGATTGCAGGATACAAGATCAATATTCAAAAATCCATTTTCTATATAGTAGCAATGATCAGTCCATCAAGGAAATTACAAAATCATTTCAATTTACAATGACATTGCAAAAAATAAATATGTAAGAATAAATTTAACAAAATATTTGCAAATCATGTACATCAAATAACACAAAATATTAGTGAAATGATTATAAAAAGACATGGATAAAGGGAAATATATCTCATGTTCATAAGTAAGAATATTTACAATCTTAAGATGGTAATATTCATCAAATTGATCTATAGATTTAACATAATCTGTATTATGATCACAGCTAGTTTCTTTGTATAAATTGACAAATGATTCTAAAATTTACATGGAAATGAAAGGAATACAAAATATCCAAAACAATCTTGAAAAAGAAAAACAAAGTAAGAGGACTAATAGTCCCATATTCCAAAATTTATTACAGTGCTGCAGTAATCAAGAGAGTGTGTCACTGCCATAAAGAGAGACATGCGTATCAAAGAAATAGAATACACACTCCAGAAATAAAATTGTGCATTCATCTTCAATTGTGTTTTTGAAAAGAGTGCCAAGAAAATTCAATGGGAAAATAACAATCTTTTCAAAAACTAGTGTGGGGATAACCACATGCAAAATAATAAATGTGGATCCCTACCTCACTGTGTCCAAAAACATTAACATAAAATAAATGATGGACTCGTATTTACAAGTAAAAAAAATCATAAAACTCTTAAAGGACAACACAGGATAAAATCGTAATGAACTTAGGTAAAGCTAAGTTTTAATAGACAACACTAAAATTACAAGCAATAAAAAAATACATAAATTGGATTTCATCAAAAATTTTAAAAAATTTATTCTTTGAAGACAGCATCAAGAAAGAGAAAAGGCAAACAATGAATAAAAGACATTATTGGCAAATCTTAGATATAGGCTCCCTGTTGCTGCTGTAGCAAATTAACAGAAACTTAATTGGATAAAAGAACAACAAATGAAATATATTGGATTTCTGGAGGTCAGAAGGTTGCATTCCACCTGAATCTCTGGAATATCCATTTATTTACCTTTTCTGACTTAATAGAGGCTGCTCACATTCCTTGGCTTGTGGCTGTCTTCCAGCCAGCAGTTGCCTCATTTCAACCTTCTGTCCTCACATATTTGTTGTAATCGCCTGCACACGCCTTTCCTTTTTAAGCACCCATATGATTATCCTTTCCATCTCAATATTCTTAAGTTAATCAAATCTTAAGTGAATCAAATCTTCAAAGTTTGTTTTGCCATATAAAGTAACATATTCAAAGGTTCTAAGAATTACCATGTGGGCACCATTAGTGGGGGGAGGGCATTATTCTGCTCACCACATCATCTATCTGATAAGGGACTTTTATCCAGGATATGTAAAAAATACTTGCAACTCAAAAATCAAAAGACTTGTCATCCAATTAAAAGGTGGACAATTAGTTTGTACACACATTTCTTCAGTGTAAAAATAGCAAATAAACACATGAAAAGACGCTTAATGTGATTAACCATAAGGGAAATGCTAATAGCAACCACATTGAGACACTTCTTCATAACCATTTGGATGACTATCGAAAAGAGATCAGACCTCCAAAAAAAAACAGTGTTTTTGTTTGTTTGTTTGTTTTTAGAGGGAGACAGTTACAAATGTTGGCAAAAATGTGGAAAAATTAAAACCTTCATATATTGCTTAAGGTTCCATGAAATTTTACAGCCACTTTCGATAACAATCTAGTCGTTTCTTAAAACATTCACCATAGTGTTACCTCTTGACACAGTAATTGCATTCTGGATATATACTCAGGATAAATGAAAACATGTTCACAAAAACTTGTTCACATATGGTTTTAACATTGTTATTCAGATTAGTCGAAATGTAGGAAAAATGCAAATGTCCATTAACTGATTAATATATTAACAAAATGTGGTAAATTCGTGCAATGGAATGGTATTTCGCGATCTTAAAATTAGAAGCACCAATACACATCTTGACATGGATTCACCTTGAATACATTATCCAAGCAAAAAAAAAAAAAAAAAAAAAAAGCCAGTCTTAAAAAATCACGTGTTATGTGATTCCAGTTATATGAAATGTCCAGAATGGCAAACTTAAAGAGTCAATGACAAGTGTCAGCCTAGAGTTGGAGTGAGAGTGGAGGTAATGGAGAGAGACGGCTAATGGATATGGAATTTCTTTTGCGGTTAATGACAATATTCTGAAACTGATTGTGGTAATGGTAGTATAAATCTGTGAATACACTAAAAGCATTGAATTACACAATTTAAATGGATGAATTATTTGATATGTGAACTCTGTCTCAAAAAAGCTGCTTAAGAAATGGAGAAACATGGAAGGTTTTCACAGTCCAGAGGTTACTGAAGAATTTGATAAAATTATAAAGGATACTTAGTACAAGAGAACTGTGACCATACAGAATTCGCTTCTACATTCATAAATTAATGGGGGTGGTGGTAGGAAAATAAGTAACGTTTATAAATATTACTGTCTTTAAAAACATTGTATGCCCTTAAATGCCAACCATAACATTTTCACAACAACTTTCTTCATCCTTCAGAAAAAGCTTGGAGGTATATCTCCAAGGTGGCGTTAGTCATTTGTGTCACTGAAGCCTTGATTCTTTTCCTTGAACTGATTCCCTCATTACTGCAACATGTATTTATTCAGCACATAAGTCCTAAGTAACAAACTGGAGGTGGAAGATAAAATAGTGAGCGAATGCAGATATGTTCCTTGCCTCTTGGAGTGTCCCATCAAGCACTGATGACAAACATTGTTCATTCAATGATATTGACAAAAGTATCATTGAAAAATGAATTTAGAGTTTATGTGGAAAAACATGCCGTTTAGGGACTGTACTTCATAGGAGCACATTTCTAAAGAAAAATGTGTTCATTGGAGAATTACTGGCTATTTCAGGAGGTGAAAGTGGGTGTCTGCTGAACTGTGAGCGGAGCCGTCCAGGCAGAGGCAAGAGTCAGTGAAAGGATTCTGTGCCTAGCAGGAGCAGGACATGTTCAGGGAACTGCAGTAAGACCACTGAAGCTCAGTATAGCAAGCAGAGAGGCAAGGAACAAGAGGAGTCTAGCAAACTAGGCAAAGATGAGGTCATTCAATGCTTAGTCATATATGCTTAAAAATGTCTTTATTTTGAGAACTGGAAGCTACTAAGGAGTTCTTATCAAGTAAAACAAACTAATGTTTAAAATTCCTGGCATTTCCACATCCCCTGTTACACTTTACCTTATATTTTGGCTCGTTTCTGGTGTGCTCATTTTCTCAGAGAGGGAATATAACACTGGCCAGGCTAATTTTTTCTCCCTAAAGTATAATCACCTATAAACAAAAGAAAGGACACGTGTAAGCATTTGGGATTATACATAATAAAGTAAAAGTCCCCTGCCCCAAGCTGGGGAACCATGCCATGTTGTGGCAGGGTGAATATGTGGGTAAAGAAGGGAATACAGAAGTATTATAACACACAGTTAGTTGACCCCTAAGGAAGAGGTCACAAGCTTTAGATGTCAACCTCTACCCATGAGCATACTATGAGAGCAGAGAGCAGAAGTGGTTTATAGGTCATAGTCTGGGTAGATTCTCAGGAAAACGCCAGATCCCAAAGTTTGATAAACATTTCACAGACCACGTTTATACTCTTATGCTCACCAGCACTATGAGAGTGGGATACATAGTAGTCTACTGGTCCCAACATCTTTGAAAATAATCCCTGATCTAAAATTTCTGAGGTTCATATGCCCTGCATGACAAACCTCAGTGAAAAGTGGCAATTGGTGGTACAGCTTCTTATTAAGGAGCCTACACATTTTACAGTAGATTTCAGGAATGCATTAGGGGCTTTCAGTAATGAATTTCCCAACCTCGTATTCTCATTTTCTTCTGAAGACATGGAAAGAAGCATAACACTCAAGGTTGACTCAGTGCTTACAAGTCTGGATTGGATTCTCATGGGAACTTGTAATTTCATGGCCTGAAATGTGCATTTTCAGGGGAAAAACTAATAACTTCTTTGATCAGCAGTACAATTTTTTTCTGAGAAATTCATAGAGGAGACAGTTTGAGGGTAGAAGAAACAGAGGGCAGCAGAAAGGGCCATTATGCGAAGCTATAGGAAGAGAAAGCAAACTGGAAAACAGGATCCCATTCTCTCCTCCAGTCCTCCAGGATCCTTCCTTTGTCCAGCATTCAGGGAAACTCATAGGAAATCACCTGCAAAAGGAGAATGTAGTCTGCAGAGTAAAAGTCCTGGCATTTCAGAAGGATTCATTTAGAAGTGAAGGAAACTTAAAAGGAGCTCAATTTTAAGATTGAGAAGAAGTTTCATTGTAGGCCTTGGAACAAATAAGAGGAGAGGGTGTGAAAGAGGAATTGCAATGGTGTGAGTGAACCTGGATAAACACACACACACACATGCACACACTATAAAAAGGGATTGGAATGGTATAAATGAACCTGGGTAAACACACACACACACACACACACACACACACACACACAATATAAAGAGGGATTGCAATGGTATGAATGAAACTGGATAAACACACACCCATACACACACACACACACACACACTGTAAAGAGGGATTGGAATGGTATAAATGAACCTGGGTAAACACACACACACACACACACACACACACACACACACACACACACACTGTAAAGAGGGATTACAATGGTATGAATGAACCTGGGTAAACACACACACACAAACACACACAATATAAAGAGGGATTGCAATGGTATGAATGAAACTGGATAAACACACACACACAATATAAAGAGGGATTGCAATGGAACGAATGGACCTGGATACACACACACACACACACACACACACTATATAAACAAGTTACACCAAGTAAATGGACCCCAGTCTTGGTCTGAGCTAGGGTAACACAGTAAGTGCCACCATCATCTTCTCTCTGTGAGTCCTTAAGGAGGAACTTAAGAAAATTGAGAAAGGAAAATAGGTGGCTTCTTCCTTTTGTGTCTTGAGTTTTACTCTCCTTAATATGACTGATCTTTAAATTGAAGTGAAGATAAGAAAGTCTCTAATGTAACACAACATAATGATATTGTTGGAAGTTAAATAATGCTTCAGGCTAGCCCTGTTAATAGGGACATCCCTGCTGGTGGGATGCATATTAATATCTTTGTGCTATGTTAGGGCATCAGCCATTAACACAGCATGGTTGAAAGAACATCAGCTTCCAAGTGAGTGACATAGCCTGAAACTTACTGGTTCTGTGCCCCTTAGGCAGTTACTTCAATCCTCTGAATTTAGCTTTGGCTCTACATTGGGGGAAATTATGTCTACCTCACAGTAGTTTTGGAAGTATTAATTTATATAATTCATATAATATAGAGAGAGCAGTTTGACAGAACTTAACACTACATATTCAATGAATCATAGCTGTTATTATTATAAATGTAACCAGTTTTTCATATTAAATAATTGGCCATTAAAAGATTTGTGAAGGAATTTGCAGTGGGTAAGTGAAGTTTTAAGGTGTGTACAGAGCCAGAGAGAAAAATTGCTGTATAAAATAGGCAGAATAGCTAGCTAGTGTAGGTTCAAGTAGGGACAGAAGCTCAATGGTGCATAGGTAATTGGAGGCTCTCATTGATAACAGAAATTAGATGCCTAATTAAACTAATTATATTAATGAAGAGGAGAGACCAAAGCACATGAAGGGAAACATATTCATTAATTTGGCAGATGGTAGTTTTGCTTATATTTTTAATTAAAAACTACTTTGAATTTTGCGAACAAACTGGGATAGCTAATTATCTATCTATCTATCTATCTATCTATCTATCTATCTATCTATCCATCCAATGTATCATATGTACCAATATAATAGTCCTATAGGTGTATAAAACGTTTTCAAGTAAATGTATATTAGGACTAAATCTAAATAAAATTTTAGATTATTTTAAATTATTCTAGGAGAGACCTATATACACAGAAATTCTGTTTTTTCTTTACTTTGGACTTAAGGTAAATATTGGTTGAAATATATAATAATACAATTATCTTCTTTTTAAAAAAATTTTCATTGGCATTATTTGGCTTTATCTTCCAAAATTTTCTTGTATATTCACAATTTAAAAATAACATAAAATAATAGCCTATTAAAGATATCTTGTCATCAGCATTATCATCATTATTATTATCATTATAAAATAAAATGAGAACACACGAAATATTTGTACCACTAGGTTAAGAAATAAAGCTCTGCCATGTAATATAAAATGTCCTTATGTATTTGAATCCATTTTGTGTAACCTATTCATAATTAATCAGTAACTATTATGCAGACTATCATAGCATTCTTTCCTAACATTTTAAATATATTTTATCACTCAGTTGTGTACCACTTTTATTCCTATTCAATTTAAAATAACTTGTAAGTCTCTTTTAACCAATAAGTTCCCTTTCATTTTTATCTTTTTCTTAAAATTGCTTTTATAAAGAACCTGAGGTATTTGACATGTAGAGTCTTCCACAGCTTGGATTTTGTTGATTGCACAAGAATTTCCTCTGTTTTCTTTATTTTTTTCCAAAGAACTGCTCAATCCAAAGAATCCAGCAGACTCAGGTGCAATTTTTTTCATTAAGGTCAAATGTTGATAAAATGTCATCTTTAAAGTATAAAAGAAAGGAAACAACAACAAAGAAACAATGTTCAATCTAAAATTTATTCCAAGAGAAAACATAATTTAAAGTTAAAAAACTCATCAAATTTTAAAAATTACATAAATCATTGCTAGCATATTCATACTATAAGAAATACTAAGCTATATGTTTTTACATATAAAGGAGAAATAATAACAGTTAGGAATTTGGATTACATAAGGCAATAAAAGTGATTTGAATGATAAATAAATACTTATTCTTAAATTTTAATTACTTAAAAAGAATTTTACCCAATCTAACTATAATAAATAATTTTAACTATTTATATTAAAAAGTATTGTAATGGTTTTGGAAGTTTATCGCATACATAGAAGTAAAATATACTACAATAAAAGCACAAATGAAGAGGTATAACTTGAATGCAGACTGTGTTAGACATGCACATTGTAAAATACATAGTTAAGTGATCAGTGGATATTAAAACAGAATAATAAAAAAATTTCCAAATTCAGACATAAATAAATAGAAGAGAAAAGAAATAGAATCATATGGGACAAATGTCAGACCAAAAAAGACACATCTTTAAGTCAAATGTTTTTATAATTATATTAAATTTAAATTGTTGACACATACCAAATAAAAGGTGGCAATTATCAGATTGTAAAACAATATAACATCCCTCTGCTCTGTAGAAGGAACTATTTTACATATAAAAATGTATCACTTTCAGATAGTTTAAATTTAAAATAGTGGAAAACATATATATCATAAAAACAAATTTTTAAAAACTGTAATGACATATTAAAATTATGTTAAATGGAATTCATATATGAAGCATGTGCAGAGATACAAGATATGTTTCATAATGATAAAAATATAAATTCACCAATAAGTCATACAATCGTATATATGTATGCATCTAATAACAGTCTCAAAATATGTGAGGTTAAAATTATTTTTAAAACTAGACTGTGAGAGACAAATTCAAAATACTTGGAGGTTTCAAGATATTTCTGTGTACAATACATGTATTCAGTATTCAGGTTACAAAAATTATGTTTCTTATGTAAGTCTTACATCATCACTATATAATATGTAATATATTCAGCAAACAATTCCTGTATGCTGAATTATATAATTCTCCTATGCTGAGTACCAAAAACATTATTGAGAGGAATTAAGGAAGATCTAGTAAACATAGAAATGTGCCTGTTTCATGATGTGAAAGATTTAATATAATATTAATTTTCCATTTGTCTGTAAATTTAGTGCAACCATAATAAATATTCCAGCAAATATTTTTACAGAAATTGATAAGTGAATTTAAAAATTCACTTATGAGAATCAAAGGACCAAAAAAGCCAAAATAACTTGGTGAGAGTTTTACATTGGCTGTCTTAACCTAGCTGAATTCAAAATTAACTTTAAACCTGAAGAAATGCAGACTATTTGAAATTGGTATAAGGATAAACTTACAAACAAAATACAAGAATGGAGATTCCAAAGTAGCTCCACACATATCTGTTCAGTGGATTTTCAACAAAGGGACCAAAGCGAATTCAATGGGAAATCAGTTGTTTTCTCAAGACATGTCTTGGAAAAGTTGGATGTTCATTTTCAGAAAAATTGAACCCTGACCATCATCACACACTATCCACAAAAATTAACAAAAAATTGGTCATAGATCTAAAGCTAAAGCAAAAAAATTTCCAGAGGAAACTACGTGAGAACATCTTTGTGATCTTGAATTTGCCAGTTTTCTTGAATAGGTGAAAAAATGAATAAAATTGGAGAATTAAAAAACGGAAAACATTTGTATAGTCGCTCTTCCAAATAAAATCTACAAATAGCAATGATGCACATATTACGATTATCAATCACCATGATTTGTCATTATGGAAATCCGTATTAAAACCACACTGGAATGCCACTACACACCTGGTAGAATGCCTGCAGTCAAAAGGACCAGCAGTACTACCAGGTGCTGGTGAGGATGCGATTCAGTTGGAACATTCGTACATTGTAGATGAAAATGCAAAACCCTAACACACTTTGGGAAATATCCGACTACTTTCGATAAAGCTAAATATGCATGTGTCATATGAACCAGAAATTCCACTTTTAGGTATTTACCCAAAAGTGGTAAACACATATATACAACACACAGACTTATTCTCAAATGTTCATGATCTGTGTCAAAAGGCAAAAGGGGATGCTCATAAGCGCTGTGCTCTAGTGAGTAAAGTGGATTCCTACAGATGTACAGGAAACTAAACCCCCAACCACTTTGTGCATCTTGGAATTGAATAATTAAGTAAATAGATGACAGATGGTGGAAGCCTAGATTCCTCCTCTTCAAGTGGGACGTTAAAGACCAGGAAGGGAAGAAGCTAGAATGATTGGTACAGTAATGAATTAAAATTGAAGGCCGGGCGCGGTGGCTCACGCCTGTAATCCCAGCACTTTGGGAGGCCGAGGTGGGCGGATCATGAGGTCAGGAGATCGAGACCATCCTGGCTAACACGGTGAAACCCCGTGTCTACTAAAAATACAAAAAATTAGCCGGGCGAGGTGGCGGGCGCCTGTAATCCCAGCTACACGGGAGGCTGAGGCAGGAGAATGGCGTGAAACCAGGGGGGGCGGAGCCTGCAGTGAGCCGAGATCGCGCCACTGCACCCCAGCCTGGGCGACAGCGACACTCCGTCTCAAAAAAAAAAAAAAAAAAAAAAAAAAAAAAAAATTGAAGACATTAGTACGAGCTTGTATTGTGCATAGTACAGATACATGTGGTTACACGGAGAATGTTTGTCGATGCATGTGTATACCAGTTGGTACACAAACATATATTTCCTTGCTCTGTCAACTGAGAGGGTCCACAAACAATGGCACCCAGTACCAATAAGCATAGCTAGAGCCTCAATCTTGGTTTTTAATACTATTAATATCTTCAATAAAAGGAACTAGGGCTCCTTGGAGAAATGGCTGATTCTATGACTGGAGAAGACAATATACACAACAAGCTGAGATCTGTGTCATCTCAGAAAGCAAAAAAGTGGCATTTTTTTTTTACCAAAAAAAAAAAAAAAAAAAACTATGGAGCCCGCCAGAGACCACAGGAGCCTACTCCCACCAATAGACTAAGCTGGAAAAATTTAAGCAACAAAATACCGTATTGTAACTCAAAGTACTAATATAAACATCAGTGACTTATTGCTGATATATAAATGACTGAAAAATAAATAAATATGGAACAAGAGACAAATACCTCATGCAGAATTCCAGATAATATGTGTAGCTATGTCACTCACAAGAAGCTGGAGTGTAACTCCCCTCTTTCCAAGTGTGAGTGGTGTCTATTTACTCTTTCCAAAGAGCGCAGTTGTGGAAAGAGGGCTATGAATAATGTTAGAGTGGAGAAATGTGACAAGTATTCGCTCAGGGGGATGATCAAGGTGAACAGCAATCATCCACAGCCATGTTCATAGCACGTATTCTTGATATAATTAGACTAAAATGTCACTATTCCTTATTGGTCTTTTTTTCACGAACCCATAATCCTAGTCTAATCATGACAAACACATAAGACAAATCTCACTGTAGTGGTATTCCGCAAAATACCTCATCTGTAACTCCTGAGAACTGTCATGGTCATCAAAGGCAAGGGCAGTGTGAAAATTGTCAAGAATGAAATAAGCTTAAGACAAAATGACCAAAAGCAATGTGGTATACTAGATAGAATACAACAACAACAAAAACAAAAGATATCTAGTAAAAACTAAAAAATAATCTGAATAAAGTATGGGCTTTTTTCTATAATAGCATATCAATATTGGTTGGTTCCTTAATTCTGACAAATGTACGATACTAATATAGAGCAATAATAATAGGGGCGACTGGCTTTCAGGTATATGGAAACTCTCTGTACTATCATCTCAGTTTTTTGTAAATACAAACATCAATTTTTGTTCCCTCAAATATTTCTTTTTTCCTAATATATATATTTATTATATATAATATTTATATATATATATAAAATATATATTTATTTATTTATTTTTGAGATGAGGTTTCACTGTGTTGCCCAGGCTGGTCTCAAACTCCCAACCTCAAGGAATCCTCCTGCCTTGGCCTCCCAAAGTGCTAGGAATACAGGCCCCCACTATCTATTACCTCCGTATTTTCCATGGCATGCTCTTTAATCTTTCTAACTAGAAATTCAACTGCTCTAACTACCAAGTTTTCACTTTCACTTTTGAAATGGTTTCTACAATTAATATTTTGTATGGTTTTCCCTAATTCCTCACTTCTCATAAATGACTTGTCTCCTGCTATGTAGTTACTACTTTCACCACCACATTAAAATAGCTAGGGTGATGGTCACACCTGACATCCTTTCAATATCTTGCCCAACCTGCCTGTGGCACTTGGAATGAATTGGCTCACCTCTACTAATTTCCAAAATACTACTCTTTGGTTTTGCACTTGGCTCTTTGACTTCCTACTGCAGTTTTCTATTTTTTCCCAAGATTCTCTTATTCCATTTTTCTCCAACATGTCTGTGTTCTCTAAAGTTGCGTGAACTCTGGACACCCTAGTCTATTTCCCAGTAATTGATAACCACTTTTATGAATAATCTGAAATCTGGGATTCTGGTCTCATATTTCTCTTTTGATTGCTAAACTTTAATAATTAATTGTCTGATTTTTTCAGTCCCTTCATTCATAAACTGATTATTAGGGGCCTATTAAAAATGCAAATATTTTATTCAGAGTTCATTTTGCATAACTGGAATACTTTCATCAGTGCATCAGAAAACGCTGATAAACAACACAGCAGTGTTGACAACTAAACAAATAGGTGATTGCCATGCAACAGCTTTGCATGACTTTCACAAAACAAAAGTTAGTTATTCCTCGCAACACACTGTAAATGCTGCTTCATTGTCTTGAAGATTGTGTTCTTGCTAAATTTGAGAATAGCATGCTATGCAGCCATCAGTACTCAAGCCCTAATCTTGTCAGGGTACCAGTTTTTAAACTTGATTATCTCAAATCCTTCTATTCATCATTTCAAATAAGTTAACCAGAACTTGTATAAATGATTTTCCCTTTCTATTTTATTATGTATTTTTCACTGATCTTGCAATATATACAAATGTTTTATTGTGTTTCTAGAAAACATGTTACTATTATGTTCATACAGAAGTATTCCATTGCATTAAGTAGGCTTTCTACTTCAGCGTTCCCAATTATTATTATTATTATTTTGTGAGACAGAGTCTCGCTCTGTCACCCAGGCTGGAGTGCAGTGGCGTGATCTCGGCTCACTGCAACCTCTGCCTCCCAGGTTCACGCCATTCTCCTGCCTCAGCCTCCCGAGTAGCTGGGACTACAGGGGCCTGCTACCAGGCCCTGCTAATTTTTTGTATTTTTTAGTAGAGACGGGATTTCACTGTGTTAGCCAGCATGGCCTTGATCTCCTGACCTTGTGATCTGCCCACCTCGGCCTCCCAAAGAGCTGGGATTACAGGTGTGAGCCACCGTGCCTGGCCCCAATTATTTTTATGTTAGTTGATGTTTGCCTATGCTGTTATTTTAGGATTTTGTCTCTAGTTGGTCCAAGAGCTTTGTTATTTTCATGTGGATTCATCTGTGGTTCTATTAAGTCATTCTTTTATGTCATGAATGAGGTTTTCAGCTGTGGTTATTCTATTTCATATAGTCCTCTTTGTTTCCCATTATTTTTGTAATACTATTTTCCTGACTGTGTTCCCCCAGCTCTGCAATCTCTGTATCATTAAATGCTACCATTTATTTCATTTTTAAATTTAGATTTTATTAAATTATTCAGAATTTTTAAGGTTCCTTTTTGTATAAGACACAATTGTATACACTCTTCACTTTTTGTACAACATGTCTTTTTCAAAATTAGTTTTATATGGGCTGCTCATGCCAGCCTTTCCTTCTCTCCTGCCTTCCTTGTGATGCAGAATTTTTTCTTGACCCCTTTGTGGAACTAGCAACTGGGGTACTGTGTTTACTCAGCCCGCCACATTCAACCCCTTTTGGGAGGAAGTACAGAGCAAATGAGTGCAGGAACTGGATGGCCGCTTTGGGGCTGGCAGGAGCAAACACTGTGTAGGCCCCATGACAGCATACAGGTGGGGGTGCTTGTGACCTCAAGGCCCCCGAGGGACTGTTAACAATATTCTCTTAGCTCCAATGTCTGTGGACTGCAATGTGTTATCAGCTCAGTGGGCCCTTTTCCTTATCACACGCGTGGCTGCCCTCCACCAGCAAGAGCAAAGGGCCAGTGTGACAGCCCTTTAGGGTATCTGCACTTGGTAGGGCCAAACTCTTGCCTGGTGCCTAAGAAGAATGAGGTCATGCAGATGAATTGAAGGATGGTGAAAGCAGACAATGTTATTGAGCAATGAAAGCAGCTCTCAGTGGAGACGGGGATGAAAAGAGTACTGGAAGGGCAGGTCACTTTCCCCTGAGGTCAAGTTGCCTCTCTGCCTCTCTCCTCCAGTCAGGTTGCCTCTCCCTGATTATCCAGTCACTTCTTCTGTCTACCAGCTGAGTCTGGGGTCTTTATAGGCACAGGATGGGGGCAGGTGGGCCATAGGTAGTTTTAGAAAAGGTGACATTCGATTGGTAAAAAGGCATTATTCAGAAAGAACCAACCGGGAAAGAGCAGGCAAACAGGGATACACATTCTCACTTTGGGCTGCGGGTTTCAGGCTTTTTGCCTTGAAGGTAGGGTTTTGCCTGAGTTCCATTCCTATCTGCCTAGAGTTTCTCTGTCTCCTGCCTCTATCACTTGCTTCCTCCCTTTTTTCCATCTTTTCTTTTGTCCTTCTTTTCCCTTGTGATGTGTTTGCATAAGTGTCACACCAGCCATTTTATTATCTTCCTAATATGTAAAATGGCATCTCTTTACATGCCATTAATTTGTGCTTATGGATTAAGGGTGGATCTCTCTGCATTCTTCCAATTAATCTTAAATCTTTTTTTCTATTTTTGTGAGAGTTGTAACCAGGCCTATATTATAATATAAAAATCATAACCTATTTGTTTTACTTATTTTCCTTTTTTTCCCTTTCCTTCCTCCATGCAGGATTGCTTGTACTTAGTCATTCAGTAGATGGTGGTCACTATTTGACTAATAATTATTGCCTTCATATCCTGACCCCCAGGGGCTGCCCACAATGGGGAATGAACTTGTTTTTCTTCCAAATAACAATGATCCTGAGGTCTTGCAAACTTCATTAATTACATCCAGAAGTTTGATCAGTTGAGGGGCATAGGCAGCCTAGATCATTGGGATCCCCCATTCCTACCTTACTCATGAATCCCCAGTTATTTTCGAAGGAAGGAAGGATTTGAGAGTTTGCCTCCCTTGTCCTCTTGCTTTGGCCAAATTGAGTAAACTTTTTTCTCTGCTCCTAGGTGCTGCTGTGCCCATGTTTGACTAATTGAGCTTCAGGTATTTGAGCTTAGCCTTTGGGATTCTACAACAGCTTTGTAGTTTATGAACCAATGCTTTTGATTTCCTAGAGGAAGTGTAGAAATTGGGCAGACTTAGCCAGTGTTTGTATGCCACAACCTGGAAAAACTGAGCTCCAGAATGTTTCCTTTCTACTGATCTGAGAAAATCTGATTTCAAAGGGAGTTACCTTATATTTACATATTTTTACCCAAAATGAACATGAGACTGGAGAATCTTTTGCATCCATTAGACAAAATCTAAGACATTTTTAGTCTGTGTTCCCAGATATAAAGCAGGATGAATACATGTGAACGTTTCCTTTTGGATCTTGCTTCAATAGTTTATAAAAGTGGGGAAGGGATTATAATTAGAGGCTCTTTATTCCCCCCACCATTCCTAAAAGAGATCTTATTTTTAATTTTCTTTTGTTAGCTGTTTTGCTACATTTCTGTTTGCTGATGAGAATCTTGCCTCTAAACAAGTTTTATTTATCTCTTTCATTTTCCTTCAAGTAAAAAGTCATTAAAATAGCCCTTGTCTGTTGTGAATCAAAATGGCCAAGCCGCCTCTTTTTTTCTTTATGGAAAATTTTAGATTATGAGTTGTCTACAAATTTTCCCTTCTGTTTATCTTCTAAAGCCCATTTATTTGCCTTCACTTATATGGAAGCTAAAACAGTTGAACTTATGAAAGTAGAGAGTAGAATGGCAGTTACCAGGGGCTAGCAAGGGGATTGGGGTTGGGAGGCTGTTGGTCAAAGAGTCAAATTTGCAGTTCCACAGGAGGAATAAGTACAAGAGGTCCATTATACAACATGGTGGCTACACTTAATAACAGTGTATAGTCATCTGGAAAATCACCAGGAGAGTAGATTTTAGGTACGTTTACACCCCCCCCACTCCCCACCAAAAATAAGTATGTAAGGTAATGCTTCTGTTACTGAATTCAATTTAGCTATTCCACAATGTATACATATTTCAAAACATCATGTCACACATGATACATATATACAATTTTATTTACCAATTTTAAAAGTACAATTTACAAATAAATATTTTGTGAGTACTTTGTTTACTCACCTGTTTCTTATATGCTTTTGTCAAGAAAAATTAAATTCCAAAGAGTTATACCAAGTTGTATTGTGCATAATTTAATTTTTTTATTTAAGTGTATATGCCACTTATATTTAATGTAATTACAAAATGTTTTTTACATTTAAATATGTGATCATAATTCATTATATCGTCTGTATAATTTGTCTTCATTTTTGCATTCTTTTGATTTGATTGAGAAGTGTTTCATTTTGTTTCACCCCTAAATAAATGTGTTAGTTATACTCTCTTTTGTTTTATTTGTTTGTTCACTGTGCTTTTAGCATATTGGATTCTTCTTTGTGCTGCTTCCATTAGGGAGTTTGTAACTGCTATTTATTTTCCTTTCAATTACCACCTTTACCCCTAACCCATCCCTCATAATCCCTCTGGACCCTGCCTGCTCTTGCAGAGATATTATATCTCTGATACAAACATGTTGCTACTTTCACTAAGACCTTTGAGTACATTGCATATTTTGAATATGGCAATTTCTGACATTTTCCCAGGTAAAATCTTCATTTCTTTTTCTCAGAACCTAGTTATAATTTGATAGATTCAAGCTGGATTTTTCTTTGTTTAAAAAAACATGAAGCCTATATTCAAGACAATATAGGAATAATTATGTCCTCATCTAACAGAAATGCTTCCTGGGTCCCAGTGAATCATTTAATGGTACCTTATGGAGCATATGTTTTTGTGTCTTTGTGTATGTATGTATGTATGTATGTATGTATGTATGTGTTATTATACCTGTATCTACCTCAGCGAAGGCAAATCTGCTACAAAGATTCTCAGAATTCAAACACTAGGACACTTATTTTCAGAAAGCTTCTTTTCTGTATAAAGAATATGCATTTTCTCAATCCGTTCTACATTACCAAGTAGTATCAAAATTAACTTCAAAAAACATATTCTCTGCAACCCATTTTTCCGGAGTTTGTTGGTTTTGCTCAAGGTACGGTACACCACGCAGTTTTATTTATTTATTTATTTATTTATTTATTTATTTATTTATTTATTTTTGAGACAGAGTCTTGCCCTATCGCCAGGCTGGAGTGCAGTGGCGCAATCTTGGCTCACGGCAACCTCTGCCACCCGGGTTCAAGCAATTCTCCTGCCTAAGCCTGCCGAGTAGCTGGGACTACAGGCACGCGCCACACGCAGTTTTTAAATAAATGCATTTTGCCACTTTATTTGAGAGATGCAGCTACCGTCTTCTGTTAGTGATACTCTAATGCCTCTAACTGAGCCTCCCTGGCACTGTAGTGTTTTTCCTATGGAATAATTTAAGGTTACTAATATCAAAAAAATTTTATTGAAAGTGGAATTTCTCATCTTTCTTATTTGGGGTTAATTTCCTAGAGATAAGTACTCTTTATTCTAGTAACTTATAATTAGAATGTTCATTTTTTTCTTAAAATATATTTCTATCTGAATTACCACTAAATAATTTAGATGTAGTACATTGTAGATTACAAAATGGAAAGTGTACTTTAAAGTAACTAAAATATCTAGTTAAATTTTGTTACATAATTTATTGATAATTATATGTACTTAAATAATAACTTTAAAACTTGTAGAATAAACAGATTTTATCTATCATCCACCATCTCAACAAATAGGTAAATGGTACCAACACATGTACACTTAAAAAGACAAAATGCATCCGACTTGCCTTTTTGCAAAGGGATTTCTTTTTTAGGAACTCAGAAGAAAATATTTTGGAACCAAAGAATTGAATAGACACACACACTTATTTATTTTGATTTGATTTTTGTTTAAATCAAAATATCTTAGGAACAAAATATATTCAAGACCGTTTTTGGTAAACTGGACTAAGTCTCATTAAAAAAAAAAGAGAGAGTGAAGAATGTACCAAAAAAACAACAAAAATGAACTTGAAACATTTCTGATATAAGCTAACAAATTTACTGTTTTCTTTTCAATTATAAGTTATTGTTACAACTCTATTTTTCTGTGGTCCAACTTTCTCTGTGAAGTAAAATTTGATGGTTCTATACTTCTTGACATTTTAATTCATTAGAATTACCTAAATTAATAATCACATATATCCTTCTTAGTACCTGGAGGAATTGGCAGGCGTCATTCTTTTCCCTGAGGCTGGGCTGTAGATATTAGATGTAATAATTTGAATGTGCCCTTTGGGCCACAAATACCAAAAGTAGGCAGGGGCAGAGACAGAAAAGATATATGCTTTGCACATAGTGGCTCTCCAGTATTTATGTGTTTAATCAAATATAACTACAACTGTATGACCTATCTCCTATCTTGATGGGATATTAGAAAGTGATAATATTATGGGGTGGGTGAAATTAGTTTTGCCTCCTTTGAAAGCTGTACAATCTCACTGTAGGGCACTGATGGCATGCTGTCACTCGCGGAACTTGAGCTGCACTGGTATGCAGGCCCAGCCACTGTGCCAATTGGATGGGGATCACTTTGCCTGAAGCATACAAATGAGGTATGCTAGTGATTAGATGAAAATGAGAAAAATGGACACTTTATTGCAACGTGGTTAACAGTTAATCTATGAGGTACAGGTATTAGTTCTGATTTACAAGAAAATGTAAAAAAAAGGTAGATTTTTAACAGAAAGAAGTAGGCTAGTCAAAGCTGCAGGAAAAAAACAAATAACTTTGGAACTTCAGTTGAGATTCCAGTAAAGGAAAAATAACCTTTCGGACTTGTATACTCTTTTTGTAACACATAAAATATAGGTCATGAAGTCATTAAATATTTATGCTCCTTAGCTGATGTTTCTGGGAGAATATTTAATTATAAAAGAAGTGTTATTGTCCAGCACAGTTGGGGATAGATTCGGTGAGACAAAAATATTTGGCAGAAATTAGAATATAGATCATTTCTACATGGTAATGAGTGGCCCTTAACTGAACAAGCAAAATACTTTATGAAAAATTTTAAGGGCATTATTTTGACTAACACAAGAATAATCTTTAAAATAACACATTAATTTCTATTATGTAATGTCAACAGTGGAGCTAGTTCACCTATAACTTCAGCTATAACTATTTAAGTTATAAGTTCAGCTATAACTATAGGGATAAGCATACAAGTTGAATTGAAGAACAAAATACAAGATATTTGACACAGAGCACATTTGGTTAGTTGCTCAATGGTTTACTCTTTGTTGTTACTGAAGACCCTCCAAAGGAGAGGCAAATCATAGTCTTGTGGACACCAAAAAGGAGACTTCTCTCTCTGCTGAAGGAATGGCATTCAGGCACCATTATGGATTTCGTGATGGAGGCCGCGTCATCAGGTCTACAGTGGTCTGACTGCTAGGACACCTGGTGACAAGAGAGCTTGCACCCAGTCCCTGTGCACCTGGCCTCACATCTCACATACACCTCATGTTCTCCTTTCTCCTCATGCTGCTTCCAGGAACACTCCAGACACCCGCCCTCTTGCTCTTTTGTGAGGATATGCAAAAGCTGACTGCAGGTGGATTCATGATTTCAAGAATACATAGGAGTTAAATCAGGCTCACAAAATACAAAAGAGGAAATAATAAAAGATTGAAAACATCAACTACTTAAGGGTAAGACTTCTGTTCTCCTAAGTGAACTCCCTATTTATAACCCAATTTATGAAGAAGGAGGAAAGAGAGAACTTCCAGCTGGTGATACACTCTTTCTTTCATGGGACTTTGGGAGAATGATGCGTCTGGAAAAGACATTATTGCAGACATGCAAAAGTGACACTTATTAATAGAATGATGTCACATGAGAAAAAGTTTTTAAAAATCCATTTTGTAAAAAGAAACCTGCATGTTCTGATCAGATTACCTATTGCTTTAAAAAACTAGAATTTATAGCTTTATAGACAATAGACATTAGTCACGAAGATATTTTCTATCTGTTGACTAATGTAGTCTAGAACTAGGAAGCCCCCCAAACTGAACAATATTCCTCTGAACACAGCATTTCACAACCAGTATCGGACCTTCACTTGTCACTAGAAAATAAAAAGACATCATTGCATGAGAAAAATGAACATGATTTGGAAGCTGTATCATATCTGTCTCCCTTGCTGACCCTGGTCCTTCTTGAACCCCATGAATTATTGGTAATGTTTATGTTGAATGAGATCCATGTTTCAATTGAGCCTGCTTTCATACTTTATCCTATTCAGGCATTGAAATAATCATCTCCTATAAATCAACAGGAATTAAAACAAAAGGCCTCACAAAAAAAACAAAAAAAAGGAAAATAAATATTTCAAAAACAAAAAAATACAGCTTTGAAAAGATGTTCAATTCTTTATGAATCAATATAGTACCAATTCTACTAAATATTGAAAAAAATAATCAGTACAGGTTAATTTTTCAAATATACTGATAAGGAATTCATGATAAAGACAAATTATAGAAGAAAACATATAACGCTTGCATAAAGTTAAAACTTAGAAAACCAGGAAAGACCAGTCGATATATTGCAAAAAGAAACACATGTAGAATCAAACTATTAGGAAAAACAAGAGAATAACACACATGAATTCAGAATTATGATTATTTCGGGGTGAAGGACTCTGTGGCTACAGGATGCTGTATAGTTAGCTAACATATGGCAATGTCCTGGTCTTTACCTTGGTAAAGGGCTCAAAATTCCTCGTCATGTTACTTTCCATAACTTATATTTAAATGTTACGCACATATTATTTTGGTATTTTCTATAATCATGTTTCGAATAAGTCTAAAAGTATCTTCTTTCAGGTAAGGTTACCAACAGAAATGATATTTGTCAAACTTGGCATTTATTTAAAGACAAAAAAAAAAGACTCGTTTTCCTACTCCTAATTGTTTTTCTTTTTTGGATATATACTTCCAGGACAAAAGGAAATTTTTATTTTCAAGAAATGTCTTGTGTCCCTTGCCAACATTTCTGGGAAATATGTGAAACTTTTCACTTTTTGTAAATCTCCCAAAAAATGTTTCTGACAGGTTTGAGAAAGTGTTTTTTTTTCTTTCCTTGCAGCTGTAACTAGACATATTTTCAAATCACCAAACATGCTATTCCAATATGTCAGCTCAGCATAATCATGTGTGAATAAAAGTATAATTTTAAAATGTTCACAGTGGTATCTAATATGGGTAAAATATACATTATTAAATAGTTAATTTTAAAATATATATCTACATGTTATTTGGTAGAAGTTTGAATACTAAATAACATTTAAAGCTGATGTCCCAAATAGCAAAAATTAGATGCTGGCATTAAAAAAAGAATATTTGTACCATGTTTTTAAATTACTTTTATTTATTTACTTTTATGATTAAGTATAACTAAATTTGGTTTTCATGCAAATTCAAAAACATTTATTTACTTTCTTAAATAGAAGTAATTTTGTGCATGTATATCTGTGCATATATATAATTTGCTAATAAAATATAGAATAAAATTGTAACCCTCACAAACCATTCCATAATTACATAGATATTTTTATAAGATTTTTAGTAGACAGCCAAGAAGCTAAGGGATTTTTCCTCAGTATTTGCTAATTGAGATAATTTTTATAGTCATAATGCTGATTTAAGAATTTTGTTTTGTGATTGACCTAATTCTGTGGGTTTTCTCATCATTGAACATTGTTTTTGACAAGTAAAATATTAACTAACTTTTGGCAAAATTCTTTCTAAATACTTTTAATTTATCTTTGTTATTTGGCTTTCTACTTTTTACAAATTATTTCCGCATCAGATGGTTATTTGTTGAACAATTTGATTGACTTGTTATATTAATTAAAAACACAAAATAAGGCCTGGCATGGTGGCTCATGCCTGTAATCCCAACAGGGATGCTGAGGCGGGTGGTTCACTTAAGGTCAGGAGTTCCAGACCAGACTGGACCACATGGTCAAACCTCGTTTCTACTAAAACTACAAAAATTAGCCAGGTGTGGTGGCGGGCGCCTGTAATCCCAGCTACTCGGGAGGCAGAGGTTGCAGTGAGCCTAGATCGTGCCACTGCATTCCAGCATGGGTAACAGAGCAAGACTCCATCTCAAAAAGAACAAACAAACAAAACACACAGAATAAAACAATTATGTGCTATATTCAAGAACTTGTGACTATATTCATTGGCAAGTAAATCACTCTCATAGTCACAATTCCACGGTGGTCCATTTAAAAGGCTGATCTCGCAATGTCTACATCTATCGTGGTGGTTGTGAGTGATGAGGACAATTCAGATGTTCATTATTGTTAGGGTTACTGAGTCCAATCAGACATATATCCTGAATGGAATGTAATATAGTGGTTAGAAGCATCAGATTTACCCTAAGAAACATATATTTAAACACACACACACACATTTTGTTGAGAAAAATCACACTACTTACCAACAGCGCTATTTCAGTGAGACACGCCAAATGCATGAAAACAAACACCTATGGGGAGTAGGTATCAGGCAGAAGGGAAGGATGTTAAAAAGGAAGGAGCGATTTCCAATTAATGAATCAATTAAGCAGAAAGACCTCGCACAGATGTAATTCAATGTGTTGGGAGCACAATTAGTGCAATGCCTTAAATCTGATTTTTAAAAATAACAATAAAAAAGAGGATAAAACTATTGATGATAGAAAAACTTTGAGTAGAAGCAGAACTGTAGCAAAACCTATATGCCCCTGTTTGAAACTATATGGGACAGAAGATCATAGCAGCCTACAACTGAGAAAGTTTCTTGGGACATATTATTGTCAGGTCGACTTTTCATTTGATATTCAAATTCTTAGATATGCGTGATTGGTTTGGATCTGTGTCCCCACCCAAATCTCGTCAAATTGTAATCCCTAATGCTGGAGATAGGTCCTTCTGGGACGTGATTGGATCATGGAGGTGAATCTCTCATGAATGATTTAGTACCATCCCCTTGGTACTGTCCTCACAATAGTGAGTGATTTCTTGAGAAATCTGGTTGTTTAAAAGTGTGGGCCTGGTGCGGTGGCTCACGCCTGTAATCCGAGCACTTTGGGAGGCCGAGGTGAGCAGATCACAAGGTCAGGGGTTCAAGATCAGCCTAAACAGCCTGAAACCCCGTCTCTACTAAAAATACAAAAATTAGCCAGGTGTGGTGGTGCACGCCTGTAGTCCCAGCTGCTCAGGAGTCTGCGGCAGGAGAATCGCTTCGACCCGGGAGGCAGAGGTTGCAATGAGCCAAGATAGCACCACTGCATTCCAGCCTGGGTGAAAGAGTGAGACTCTAAGAAAAAAAAAAAAGTGTATAGCACCCCCCCACCCCACACCTTGCTCCTGCTCCCACCAAGCGTGGCACCTCGTTCAACCTTTACCTTCTGCCATGATCGGAAGCTTCGTGAGGGCTTCCCAGAAAGAGAAGCTACTATGCTTCCTGTACAGCCTGCAGGGTCATGCCAATTAGGTCTCTTTTCTTTGTAGATTACCCAGTCTCAGATAGTTTTTATCTCAGATCAATGCAATAATGGATTGATACAATCTTAGAGAAATGTTGAAGACCAGCGGTGAGTCTCTTCTCCATACAACAGGAATTCAAAGAGCTAACTAGAGGGTCATAACACAATACAGTCAGCATTGAATGGACTGGAGTTCAACAACAACAACAACAACAACAACAACAACAAGACCAAGAGGAGAGTGAAGAGTATACCAGGGAGTCTTTCTTTCCAGGAATGTGTGATGGTTAATTTTATGTGTCATCTTGACTGGGCTAAGGGATACCCAGAACGCTAGTAAAACATTATTTCTGGGTGTGACCATGAGAGTGTTTAGGGAGGGTATTTCCTGAGCATGCGAGTCAGTAGACTGAGTAAAGAAGACCCATCCTCACCGCTGGGAAGGCACCCAAATCCCTTTAGGGCCTGAACAGAATATAAAGGTGGAGGAAGGATAAATTTTCTCTTTGTCTTCTAAGCTGGGGCACACATCTTCTCCCGCCTTTGTAGCATCTGATTCTTAAGTCTTCAGAATCAAATTGAGAGTTACACTGTTCACTCTCCTGGTTCTTGGGCCTTCCAACTAGGACTAAATCATGTCATTGGTTTTGCTGGTTCCCTAGTTTGCAGATAGCAGAGGGTGAGACTTTTAGGCCTTCATAATTGCTTGAGAAAATTGCCATGACACACATGCGCACACACACACACACACACACACACACACACAAACACACACGCACACACACACACAATCTTTGTATACATACAAATAATACCACATATATGCGTGTATGTATACACACACATCTTATTGGTTCTGTGTCTCTGAACAATCCTTACAAATAGAGAACGTGATAAATAGCATATGTTCACTTTGTCATAAATATAATTGAGAAATAACTATAGTCAGTTAAAATAATGCATGTCCACATTTAAAATTAAAATAGAAAAGCAGAGCTGGAAAAATTCAGATAAAATTTATTTTGAACTATAACATTAAACATAATTTAATTGTATATACAACATGCAAAATTAAATACTTTTATAAATCAAATGTATACTATTCAAAAACGGTCAATTTTTGTCAGTGGAGACATTCTGCTGAGTGTGGAATATCATGTTCTTTGACCTATTTGATAAATATTATGTCATATCATTCAACAGCTTTGAAACTTTGGATCTCTTCTTTTTCCTGAGCTGATCTATTGGGTAGCAAATTTGATGATTTGAAAAGATATATCACTACAAATGAAATATTGGCTCATATATTTTGGCATAATTATGATTCTCCTATTGACAGCACATGTACAAGTCATTTAACAATATTTTTTAACATTTTATGTGCAAAAATTTTAAACATAACAGTTTAAAATATGTGTTACAAATATAAAAACAGTACAGAAAACTGCCATATATACTTCACCCGGATAGACTGATTATTATTTTACTATTATGTTTTATAGTTTGAATTCTATTTCACACATGTGTATGTGCATATATGTTTAAGTTTATATACAAATACATAAACATAAATTTTTTCTGAACCATTTGTAAGTTGCACCCCGGACATTTTCCCCTAAATACTTCAGTATGTATTTCCTAAGAATAGAGAAATTTTTTTATATAATTAAAATATTTCGGTATATATAATATTGACATAATATTTAATCTACCGTCAATAGCATTATTATTAATTATTATTATTACTATTATATTGAGATGGGGTCTCGCTCTGTCATCCAGGCTGGAGTGATCTTGGCTCACTGCAACCTCTGCCTCCCGGATTCAAGCAATTCTCCCACCTCAGCCTCCCGACTAGCTGTGATTACAGGGGCGCACCAGCACGCCCGGCTAATTTTTGCATTTTTAGTAGACACAGGGTTTCACCATGTTGGCCAATTTCATATTATTTTTAATTGGACATATTATATGCTTTGTAGCATTTTACTTTTCTCTAAGTCTGAATCTGATCTAGGATTAAATATTACATTTCACTGCCACATAGCTTCAGTGTTCTTAATCCTGGAACATTACCACAATGTTTCTTTATCTTTTACAATATAGTACTTTAAAATAGAATCATTCTCCCTTTTTTACTTTTAATATAAAATGTTTTTATCAAGGATTTGTATGACATTCATTCATGGTTAAATTTACGTTCTGCGTTCCACACTTTTATGCTGCATAAGCTATGTTGTGTCCTCAGACAATCACGTCTGGAGGCATAGAATGGCCATCTGTCTATCACTGATGATGCTAATTCTGATTCTCTGGTCCACTGTAGACTTTTTTCTCATGTAATTAATAAGCAATCCATGGAAAGACATTTTAAGATTGTGTGCATATCCTCATCAATATTTTCCCTGAAATTTAGCATCCATTAATGGGTTTGCATGAGCCAATCTTCATAGCGATGTCACAAAATAATATTTTTCTATTTCAAGCCTTCCCTCTGAATTTACTTGTTGGCACTCAAGTTTATGTTCTGTAAATAACAGTACTCGTAAGTCAGATTTAATTTAATATTATTTATTTACTTATTATAACTTAAGACTCACAGATTTCAAATATTTAATACTTTATAATTTATTATTGTGTCAACTCATGATGTTGCTCAAATTGACCCAGATATGGCTAGCTCCTGTGTCCTTCTGGCATGTCCTCTTCATTTTTAGGAGGTCATCGAATTACTTTTTGTTGTAACCAAATAATCCAGTATTATCTTGTATTTATTTTGCTTTGGTCCATTATTCTGCCATTTCTCCAAGGAGTCCTACTCAAAGCATTTCTTTTAACCTTAGAAAATCAGAAAATTGCTTAGAAATAGTTGTAGATCATTATTTATATTTTCATAAAAGACCCACTACTACATCTGACAAGGAGGATAATCAAATGCCCTGCTTATATTTTTATCTTTGGATATTCATAAAGAGAACTTTCATTATTTAATATGCCATCCAAAGTTCATAGAAGATAATATCCATGATCTTATTGTAGACTTGTAACCATTTTGACAATTTAATTTTTTAAGAAAAATGGCAAGTCACAAAAATTATCAAAAGGCCAAAACCATCTAAATCTGTAAAATTATTTCAAATGCCAGTTGCTGTCAGGTTTAGTTTCATGGCTTTTTGCATTAAAACCTGTTATCAAACTGTAGAAATAAATATTCCTTTTCATTATCACATTTTATGTAGTGATTCAGAAGGCAGTTGAGTTTTATCGTTTGAACGTATTAGCAATTGTGTAAAATTCAGGGAGACTCTAGACTTTAATTCAGACCCTGGGGCAGTCAATACTTGCCAGAACCAACTCTCAGGTAAGGAAAATCAACTTATTTCAGTAGGAGAACTCCTCTTTTTGTTTTTGTTTTTTAAATAAGTAGACATTGACTTGCCCTATTTCAGGGTCACAGTTTTAGCAAGAGGCAGAAGCAGCAAAAACATCTAAACCTAAAAAATCCTTCAGGAATCTTCTCCAATAAGCCACTAGGTTGTATGTTGTGAGTAGCACAGAGGTAGCAATAGCTTCTCACCACCCCACATACCACCAGCAGGTTGTGGGCACAATCACAGCTGTGTGCTATGGATGAAAACGACTCTGTTTGAGGTCTGCCTAAAGGATGGGTATCCCCTGGTCAGATCAGGAAGATCATGGACTGATCTTTGCTGGTATATTTTTATTGAATGTGAAATGTCTGTGCCCTAAAAAGAAATAGTGATTTAGGATATTTGCAGGTTAATTAACTTACATTTTTAAAGGAAATAAAACCAGGTATACCTGCTTAAACAGGTATCTGTTCCCCTGTGTTCATTGCAGCACTATTCACAATTGCCAATATATAGAATAGATCTGAGTGTCCATCAGTGGATGAATACATAAAGAACATGCAGTATATATACACAATGGAATACTATCCAGCTTTAATAAAGAGGAAAATCTTGTCATTTTGGATGGCATAGATGAATCAAGAAGACATTATGTTAAGTGAAACAATTCAAGCCCAGAAAGAAGCAGGGACTAGAATGATGGTTACCAGGGACTGAGGGTGAAGAGAGTTGGGGACATGCTGGCTAAAGAAGGGGTCCCCAAGCTCTGGACCACAGACCAGTATCAGTCCATGGCCTGTTAGGAACCGAGCCACACAGCAGGAGGTGAGTGGCAGGTAAGCAAGCGAGCATTACTGCCTGAGCTCTGCCTCCTGCCAAACCAGTGCGACATTAGATTCTCAAAGGAGCACGAACCCTATTGGGAACTGTGCATGTGAGGGATCTAGGTTGTGTGCTTCTCATGAGAGATTAATTAAAGCCTGATAATCTAAGGTGGAACAGTTTCATCCTGAAACCATCCTCCCAACTCTAGCTCTGTTTGTGGAAAAATTGTCTTGCACAAAACCAGTTCCTGGTTGGGGACCAAACCAAAAAATTTGGGGACCCCTGGGACCCCTGGGCCAAAGGATACAAAATTTCATTTATATAAGAGGAATAAGTTTTAAAAATCTATTGTACAGCATGATGACTATAGTTAACAATGTGTATTGTGTTTGTAAGACTTGCCAAAAGAGTAGATATTCAGTGCTCTCATCACAAAAAAATGATAAGTATGTGAGTAAGGCATATGTTAATTAGCTCAATTTAACCACTCCACGATGTACCCATAGTATAAACAACATGCATATGATACATCTATACAATATTTTTGTCAATTAAAAATTAATTAATTAGAAAACGAATTTCACCCTTTCTTCCCACTGTATCCTAAATTCCCAAACTTATAATCCATGGGGTGTCATGATACTCACTCCTATCCATGATACTTTTCCCCCTTGCATACAACTTAGTTTTGCTTCTTTATTCCTTTACTGTGCTCTCTTGGATAAGCCACACCATTTTTAAATGTAACTCTCTGCCTATCGTTATCAATGGTCTCGAAGCTGAACTTGGGAAAAAATACAAAACCACGGGGGCTGCTCTCCATGTCAATTCATGATCAACAACTCCAAGGAGGCACTCGAAGTTTCTGGCAGTCAGACGATCCTTCTGTAGTGCTTCCTCTCTCTCACTCTACTAGATGACTGTTAAATGATTCTAGCATTTCTACAAACCTCCCCTTCCCTTGGTTTCAGTTGCTTATCAAGTTTGCTAGTTAAGAATTTGTTTTTTTTTTTTTTTTTTTTTTTTTATTATACTCTAAGTTTTAGGGTACATGTGCACATTGTGCAGGTTAGTTACATATGTATACATGTGCCATGCTGGTGCGCTGCACCCACTAATGTGTCATCTAGCATTAGGTATATCTCCCAATGCTATCCCTCCCCCCTCCCCCGACCCCACCACAGTCCCCAGAGTGTGATATTCCCCTTCCTGTGTCCATGTGATCTCATTGTTCAATTCCCACCCATGAGTGAGAATATGCGGTGTTTGGTTTTTTGTTCTTGCGATAGTTTACTGAGAATGATGGTTTCCAATTTCATCCATGTCCCTACAAAGGATATGAACTCATCATTTTTTATGGCTACATAGTATTCCATGGTGTATATGTGCCACATTTTCTTAATCCAGTCTATCATTGTTGGACATTTGGGTTGGTTCCAAGTCTTTGCTATTGTGAATAGTGCCGCAATAAACATACGTGTGCATGTGTCTTTATAGCAGCATGATTTATAGTCCTTTGGGTATATACCCAGTAATGGGATGGCTGGGTCAAATGGTATTTTTAGTTCTAGATCCCTGAGGAATCGCCACACTGACTTCCACAATGGTTGAACTCGTTTACAGTCCCACCAACAGTGTAAAAGTGTTCCTATTTCTCCACATCCTCTCCAGCACCTGTTGTTTCCTGACTTTTTAATGATTGCCATTCTAACTGGTGTGAGATGATATCTCATCGTGGTTTTGATTTGCATTTCTCTGATGGCCAGTGATGATGAGCATTTCTTCATGTGTTTTTTGGCTGCATAAATGTCTTCTTTTGAGAAGTGTCTGTTCATGTCCTTCGCCCACTTTTTGATGGGGTTGTTTGTTTTTTTCTTGTAAATTTGTTTGAGTTCATTGTAGATTCTGGATATTAGCCCTTTGTCAGATGAGTAGGTTGCGAAAATTTTCTCCCATGTTGTAGGTTGCCTGTTCACTCTGATGGTAGTTTCTTTTGCTGTGCAGAAGCTCTTTAGTTTAAATTAGGTATTGATGGGACGTATTTCAAAATAATAAGAGCTATCTATGACAAACCCACAGCCAATATCATACTGAATGGGCAAAAACTGGAAGCATTCCCTTTGAAAACTGGCACAAGACAGGGATGCCCTCTCTCACCGCTCCTATTCAACATAGTGTTGGAAGTTCTGGCCAGGGCAATCAGGCAGGAGAAGGAAATAAAGGGTATTCAATTAGGAAAAGAGGAAGTCAAATTGTCCCTGTTTGCAGACGACATGATTGTTTATCTAGAAAACCCCATCGTCTCAGCCCAAAATCTCCTTAAGCTGATAAGCAACTTCAGCAAAGTCTCAGGATACAAAATCAATGTACAAAAATCACAAGCATTCTTATACACCAACAACAGACAAACAGAGAACCAAATCATGGGTGAACTCCCATTCACAATTGCTTCAAAGAGAATAAAATACCTAGGAATCCAACTTACAAGGGATGTGAAGGACCTCTTCAAGGAGAACTACAAACCACTGCTCAAGGAAATAAAAGAGGACACAAACAAATGGAACAACATTCCATGCTCATGGGTAGGAAGAATCAATATCGTGAAAATGGCCATACTGCCCAAGGTAATTTACAGATTCAATGCCATCCCCATCAAGCTACCAATGACTTTCTTCACAGAATTGGAAAAAACTACTTTAAAGTTCATATGGAACCAAAAAAGAGCCCGCATTGCCAAGTCAATCCTAAGCCAAAAGAACAAAGCTGGAGGCATCACACTACCTGACTTCAAACTATACTACAAGGCTACAGTAACCAAAGCAGCATGGTACTGGTACCAAAACAGAGATATAGATCAATGGAACAGAACAGAGCCCTCAGAAATAATGCCGCATATCTACAACTATCTGATCTTTGACAAACCTGAGAAAAACGAGCAATGGGGAAAGGATTCCCTATTTAATAAATGGTGCTGGGAAAACTGGCTAGCCATATGTAGAAAGCTGAAACTGGATCCCTTCCTTACACCTTATACAAAAATCAATTCAAGATGGATTAAAGATTTAAACGTTAGACCTAAAACCATAAAAACCCTAGAAGAAAACCTAGGCATTACCATTCAGGACATAGGCGTGGGCAAGGACTTCATGTCCAAAACACCAAAAGCAATGGCAACAAAAGCTAGTTAAGAATTTGAAGCAGTTTAAAGGGAACTTTGAAAAACAACTAACCACCTGCTGCTGAGCCCACATATTCCTTCTTCACTCTTGGATAAATTTTTGCCATGTCCAGGTAAGATCCACATCTCTATGCATAGATTCATCCTCTCTTCTTCGAGAAAAACCTCTGATCTTCTGCTTTAACGATTTTTATCTCTTACTGAATTATTCACATTAGCATACAAAATGCTGCTATGACTTTTATTTTAAAATGAGCGGCTTCTGCAACACTTCCCTTTGAGCCACAACTCCATTTCTCTAGTCGTTGTTACACAAAAACTCTCTCTAAGAGTAATGTGTATGTTTTTCTCTGCCTATTTTTTTTCTTGAACACATTCCATTCATGATTTTTTTCCTTCCACTATAGCAAAAATGCTATTGTCATGATTAACATTGACCAATCCTTTCACAAATCCAACATTAATTTTTTATTCATCATCATAGTTTACTTATAAGCAATAGTTGTTAATTATTCCCTTCTCATTGAGTCACTTTTTTAAAATTTTGCTTCTGAAATGCCATATTTGCCTTCCTACCACTTTTGTTTTTTAAAAATATTTATTTTTCCTTTAAATGATTCTTTCTTATCAATTGGACCTATCTATTTTGGAGCACTTCAGGATTCTGTTCACAGACAGTTAATTTCTATTTTCTGTCTATATTCAGTCCCCAGGTGATATTATTCAAGTTCACATTTCATGTTTTGGATTATTCGTATGTGTGTGTGTGTGTTTGTGTGTGTGTGTTTGTGTTTAAATATATATCTCCAGTCTAAATATTTTCTCTGAACTCCACAATAACCACTTCTTCCTTCTTTTTCTCAGTCATAAGCCATGGTATCATCCTCAACTCTTCTGCTTTCTTCCTATCCCACATGTAGTTTATAATATTATACCCTCTCAATATGTCAAGGATATGAACACATCTCTATCATCACTGCCTAAACCCAGATTCAAGTCACCATGAGATCTTCTTGCCTGAAATATTGCAAAGCCTTTCCAAAGAGTATTCCTGCTTTTAATACCTGTTTCGCTTCAGGATATCCTCAAAATAGAAGCCACAGTAATCATTTCAAAACATATGCCAAGTCATTTTTATTACTTGATTCAAAATACTCCCAAATGTACTCAGAAAATAACAAAAGCCAAAGTTATTAACATGACCACATTACCTCCCATGTCTATGTTTACTATGACCCTTTTCCTTTTTCAATTTGTTCTGACAAAGTAATTTTATCCTTACTTACTCTTTTGAGGTATATTAAACGCCCAAGAACTTTCTTTCTTTTTTTTTTTCTTTTTTTGAGATGGAATCTCGCTCTGTCACCCAGGCTGGAGTGCAGTGGTGCAGTCTCGGCTCACTGCAAGCTCTGCCTCCCGGGTTCACGCCACTCTCCTGCCTCAGCCTCCCGAGTAGTGGGGACTACAGGCACCCGCCACCATGCCCGGCTAATTTGTTTTCTATTTTTAGTAGAGAGGAGGTTTCACCCTGTTAGCCAGGATGGTCTCAGTCACCTGACCTCGTGATCTGCCTGCCTCAGCCTCCCAATGTGCTGGGATTACAGGTATGAGCCATCGTGCCCAGCCTAAACACCCAAGAACTTTCTAGAACTCAGTGTCTGGTATATGTTTCTTCTGCCTGGAATGCTCCCTGACATCACTCAACTCTTTTTTCTAGTCACTTTCTCTGCAAAGATTGTGCTATAAGCCCATTTCAAAATTTCAATACTGCCCAACTTGCTAATTCCGTTTCCTGGTTTACTTTTTTGTGTAGCTTTTCCCACTAACATATTATAAATATTCACTCATTCACTGCATATTATATGCATTTCACAGTAGAATATAGGCTCAATGAGGCCAGAAAATGTTGTCTATTTTTTTCTCTTCTTGTGTTAGTCTATCACCCTTCTAATAAAGACATACATGAGACTAGGTAATTTATAAAGGAAAAAGGTTTAATGTACTCACAGTTCCACATGGCTGAGGAGGCCTCACAATCATGGCAGAAGGTGAATGAGGAACAAAATCACATCTTACATGGCAACAGGAAAGAGAGTGTGTGCAGGGTAACTCCCTTTTATAAAACCATCAGATCTCATGAGACTTATTCACTATCATGAGAACAGCACAAGAAAGACCCGCCCCATGATTCAGGTGCCTCACTCTGGGTCCCTCCCACTACATGTGAGGATTATGGGAGCTACAAGTCAAGATGAGATTTGGGTGGGGACACACCCAAACTATATCACTTCTATAACCCTGCCCTCATAAAAGTACCTTGCTGAGATGTATTTGTTTAATTAATTAAAATTAAATAGACAACAAATACTTTATTGTTATCTTCTAATAACACTTTAAGCAAAGTGTCCTTTGATACAATATTTTATACCATTGATCCCTTATCCAAAAAATGAACACCTCCACTCCAAATTATATATCTCTCTCAGATTTGGGGAGCTCTACCAACATTCTCTTGCAAGTATTTAACTGAAAATAATGCTGCTAGGTTTTCTCAGTCCATGTTACATATGAGGAACTCTTGAGCTATAGACAATTTTTAAGCCACATTCCATTGTATTACTGTTTGATAGCTTATGGAGAAGACTACCATGAAGAACATTAGATTATCTGTTATCTTTCTTGATCTTTACATGGCCTTTGTTTCTAAGAAAAAATAATTGCTTACAGCCTAAGTTTGACTAGCTAAATATAGAGTCCCACCAGCTTTGTCGTGGACACTGATGTATTACTGCAAAATTATGACCCGGTAGGAAAGAGTCGGGTGTATCTTTCAGAATTGGTGGGGAAGGAAGGGTCCTGTCTTGCCCTGCTGTTCTTTCCACTTCCTCTCTCCCATTGTTTATTCTTTTTGGGTAGGGTAGCTGGACTGGACTTTCTAACACCACCATCAAGATAAATTTATAAACATTATTATTTTTGTTATTCCCAAAAGTTACAGAAACATAAATGTTCTACTAGATGTGGAGCGAAGAGACAACTGAGACCCTTGCCTATCCATGAGCATTTGGAAGGAATAATTAAAGATCAGCCATTTCCAAGATTAAATTACTATTTTGAGATCCTGGTAGTGTTTAGCTGACTTACAAACTGTAAGATCTTAAACTATGACACTGTTCACTTGATGCATATTTTGCAAAAAGGTTTTCCTGCCCAGTCAAGCAGGAAGTTGCACTTTCCTAAGCTGAGCAATCTCTGGTTGATTTATTTGGGATGAGATCCTAACTTTTTTATTTTGGATGAGACTAATGTCTAGTTCTACCTTGTCAGGATTAGACTGACATAAATTTGATGAATAGATGAAAATAATGTAAAATGAGGAATGTAGTGTTGCTTAATTCCAGTTTCCTCACATGGCTACTTAATTCACTGATGAAGCTTGAAATATTTTCAGTCCTCAAGTCTCACGCATGCCTATATTTCAAATATACCTTTGCAAATGAAATAGATTAAGAAACACTGGGCTGCTGGATGATGCTACACTGCTTGCCACCAACATTTACATAAAATAATTATCACGCACATATGCAAACACTCCTATGCTTACACATTTTCTTATGTTTTAATGTATTCATCTAACTGAAACTTTATACCTGTTGAACAATAGCCCTCCATTTCTCTCTCCACCAGCACCTAGAAACCATCATTCTCCTCTCTGTTACTATGAGTTTTACTTTTAAAAAATTTTTTATTTGTTTTTTTATTTTTTGAGATGGAGTCTTGCTCTGTCGCCAAGCTGGAGTGCAGTAGCGCTATCTCGGCTTGCTGCAACCTCCACCTCCAGGGTTCAAGCGATTTTCCTGCCTCAGCCTCCTGAGTAGCTGAGACTATAGGTGCCCGCCACCACAGCCAGCTAATTTTTGTATTTTTAGTAGAGACAGGCTTTCACCATGTTTGCCAGGATGGTCTCCATCTCCTGACCTCGTGATCCACCCGCCTTGGTTCCCCAAAGTGCTGAGATTAAAGGAGCCACTGCGCCTGGGCAAGTTTTACTATTTTAAATACATCTGATGTGGTTTGGCTTTGTGTCCCCACCAAAATCTCATCTTGAGTTGTAATCCCCGGGTGTTGAGGGAGGAAACTGGTGGGAAGTGATTGGATCTTGGGAGTGGTTTCCCCCATGCTGTTCTCATGATAGTGTGTGAGTTTTCGTGAGATCTGATGGTTTATAACTGACAAGTTCCCCCTTCACTCTCTCTCTTCTTTCCTGCCACCATGTGAAGAAGATGTCTGCTTCCCCTTCCGCCATGATTGTAAATTTCCTGAGGCCTCCTCAGCCATGCAGAACCATGAGTCAATTAAATGTATTTCCTTTATAAATTACCCAGTCTTGGGTATTTTTTATAGCAGTGTGAAAACAGATTAATACAACATCATATACACAGAATCACGCAGTATTTGTTCTTCTGTGACTGGCTTATCTTACTCAGCAAAATGCCCTCCAGGTTAATCCATGTTGTCACTTACAACAGGATTTGCTTCTTTTGTAAGGTGGAATGACATTCTGCTCTATGTATATACCACATGTCCTTTATTTAGTCATCCATCAGTGGACATTTTTAATTCGGCCAATGCCATCTTGTTTTTAATCTTTGGTGCCTAATTGTCTTACACTTAGAATTTCCCCACTTTGAAATTACTTAAGAATATTTAAAATATTTTATAAGGTTTTAATATTTTAAATCAATGTGATTTAGTCAAAATTCAAGTCTTAACTTAGGTAAAATCTATATGCAATGAAAAGAGTATTGTAAGTGTACAGAATAACGAGTTTGCAGAAATGTATGCAACACGTAACTATACCCTGATCGAAATATGGAAGATTCCTGTCACCCCAGAAATGTTATTGACTTTTTAGATGAAGGCCAACACAATTCTAGTGTTTCATTTAAGGGAATCATGCTGTCTTTACTCTTCTGCGTCTGGCTTCATTCATTCTGCATTAAGCTTTTGAAATTTACCCATGTAGATGTGTGTGTCACAAGTTCAATACTAAGTTGCATTCTGTTTTAGGGATAGACCACAATTTATGTATTCACTGGCTGGTTGACATATGGGCTATTTTCATTTTGAGGCTTTTAAAAATAAAGTTTAATGAGCATTCAAGGACAGACCAGTATAGTATTTCAAGTATGGTATTTCAGTACTCACTGAAAAATAACCTCATAATGTATCTAGGACCTAATTGTCTTTCATGACAAAAAATAAATATTATCTGCAAATGTCATTAAATGGACGATCTTGAGATGAAGTAATTATCCTGGATTATCTGGATGGACCCTAAATTGCCAAAACAAGTGTCCTTATAAGAAAAAGACAGTGGGGGCTGGGCATGGTGGCTCATGCCTGTAATCCCAGCACTTTGGGAGGCCGAGGTCCAGGGATTACCTGAGGTCAGGAGTTCAAGACCAGCCTGGCCAACATGGTGAAACCCTGTCTCTACTAAAAATACAAAATTAGCAGGGCATGGTGAATGCGTCTGTAATCCCAGCTACTTGGAAGGCTGAGACGGGATAATCACTTGAACTCAGGAGGCAGAGGTTGCAGTGAGTCAAGATCATGCCATTGCACTCCAGCCTGGGTGACAGAGCGAGACTGTCTCAAAATAAATAAATAAATAAATAAGAAAAAGAAAGAGTCAGTGTGAGACAGCATACACAGGCTGAAGAAGATGCAGTGTGGCCATGGAGGTGATGGAGGTGGAGGTTAGAGCACTGACAGCCATCAGTAGTGGAAGAAGCAAGAATCTGGCATTCTTTACTAGAGCCTCTGGAAGGAGTGCAGCCCTGCTGACACCTTGATTTTGGCCCACTGAGACTGATTTTGGGCTTCTGGCCTCAAGAACTATGAAGGAAAAATAAATCGTGTTAAGCCACCAAGTTTGTGGTAATTTGTAACAATACTATGGAAAAGCAATGCATGCATGCATATTTTTATCTGTCTGGGGTTCATACCTAGAAGTAGAACTTCTGGGTCATGAAGTAAGTATGTGTTTACTTTGACAAGAACTATAAAGCTGATTTCCAAAAAAAAAAAATATATATGAATGTACAAGAAGTAAAGTGTGAGCTCTGGTTACTCCACATCCCTGAAAACTACACATAAGCTAAGAATACAAGTTGACCAAGATAAGCCACCATGCAAGCCATTAATCCTACTTCTAACTGTTTACCTAAGGAAAATAAGAACATATATGTTCACAGAGACCTACATGTGAACGCTCATAGAAGACTTAATAGCCCATAATTGGAAAAAAAAAGGTCATTGACTACAGAATGGATAAACAATGTTTAAACACATATAATATCAACATAACGTTTTGATGTTGACCTTGATCTCATGGCTGAATAATTTTATAATTGAAGTGCTTAGATTATTTGCACATGATGGAATTAATACTGAACATGAAAACATCACCATACTAGTAATTATTTTTAATTGGCTCATCTTTTCAGTTTCCCCCTCATTTTTATTTTCTTTAAAATAATTTTTTATGGATGATTTTCTTACTTTTGATGATTTACTAGCAATTCCTCCTTTTTTGTTGTTTTGTACTTTAAATTTTATAGCATTAAATATAATTTTTAGGTTATGAAGTCATTTGTTTATTGTACTACATTTACAAAGAAAGGAGATAATGCACTCAGTAGAAAGAATAAAAATGGGCTGGGCGCGGTGGCTCACACCTATAATCCCAGCGCTTTGGGAGGCTGACATGGGCGGATCACGAGGTCAGGAGATCAGGACCATTCTGGCCAAATGGTGAAACCCCGTCTCTACTAAAAATACAAAAATTAGCCGGGTGTGGCTTTGCACATCTGTAGTCCCAGCTACTTGGGAGGCTGAGGCAGGAGAATTGCTTGAACCCAGGAGGTGGAGTCGGCAGTGAGCCAAGATCACACCACTGCACTCCAGCCTGGGCGACAGAGTGAGACGCCATCTCAAAAAAAAAACAAAAAAAAAAAACAAAAAAAAACAATTAAAATGTGTTCAGGGGTCTATCTTTAAAGGACAGCAAATAGAAATCCTTTAGTGAGATCATGGCAATTTGACAATATTATTATTAAGTTCAGTAACGGCACGTGGTGTACGTGGAAGATCAGGTTCCACAGGTGCAGCTTTCTACATCTTCTAATTCATCTGGTTCCTTAAATGATAGTGGAGAAAGCCCTTATTTGCTGGAGAAGCATTTCCAAATGAAGTTACAGGTTCTCTCTCCTTATTAAAATGTCCTGTCAATTATGAAAACTGGGCCTTTTGTTTCTATGTTTTCTGGTCTGGCTATAACACCCTGCTGACATTTGGAGTTCAGCATGTATGGCCTTTGAGCTGGCTACAGGTGACTCCTTGCTTGAACCCCTTTCAGGGAAAGAGCACACTCAAGATGAAGATCACATTGCATTGATCACAGAACTTCTGGGGAAGGTGACTCACAAGCTCACTGTGCCAGGGAAGCATTCCAAGGAATTTTTCACCAAAAATGTGACCTGAAACACATCACAAAGCTGAAAACCTTGGGTTTTTTTGAGGTTCTACTGGAGAAGTATGAGTGTTTCTCAGGAAGAGGCAGCTGGCTTCACAGATTTCTTACTGCCCATGGTGAAGCTGATCCCTGAGAAGAGAGCCATTTCTGCCAAGTGTCTCTGGTGCCTTTGGCTCAACTCCTAAGCCCCTGCCCAGCACCAGAGCAGAGATCAAACACTGACCCTCCACCCCTCCCCTCCAAGCATTTTCCTCTTCCCTTTTCAGGGTGAAGCTCTTCCTTCAAGGGTATATATAAATATCACATATATATGTGTGTGTATATATATATCACATATATGTGTGTATATCACATATATGTGTGTATATATATCACATATATGTGTGTGTGTATATATATCACATATATATGTGTGTGTGTATATATATCACATATATATGTGTGTGTGTATATATATATATATCACATATATATGATACATATGTACTTGAAGAAAGGTATATGTAGGAAGGTACAGGACATCTTAGGTGAATTTGGCCTTGATTGGACTCTGCCAAAGACTAGTGGACTCAAATGTGAAACTGCCTCTTGCCCTGTACCCTTGCCTTCCCATTAGGACTTCCTTGAAATTGCAAGCGTCCTTTTTAAGAAAAGCTATGAAGGTAAGTGAGCCCATCCTTTTACTCATTGACTGTAAGAGTAAAGTTTTCTAGTGCAGATCATATTGCCAGCAGAAGGATGAGGAGGGGAAAGGGTGTTAATTCTTTGTACAGCATTAACAGACAGGGACACTAAACTTGCAGTTTCTAGGCTGTAGTATAATTTTTAATTTATTTCAGTCTTCAAAGAACATTGTGTCAGTTACAGTGTAAAGAGCTTACAGCTGCGGATGCCATTTTCTCTCTCAGCTCTGTGCTATTGTGCTCCTACATGCTACTTCATTGTAGGTGCCAAACACAACAAAAAATATTTATAGTTAATTTTTTGGCTCTCATTGTTTAATTATCTTTTAAAGACTTTAAATAACTAATGTTAATTTATTTTCCATGTACCCGTATTAAGACTGTGAGGTAGTTTTCATTCTTTGTGCATGTTCGTGTTTCCATCTGGTGTCATTTTCACTCTATCTAAAAGACTCCTCTTAATTTTTTTTAAGTACAAGTGTACTGGTGATGAGTTTTTTCAGCTCCAATATTTCTAAAAAAGATTTCATTTGGCTTTCTGTCTTGAAATCTGTTTTTTCCTGGTTCTGTTTGGTTGTCCCTCTCAGAAACTCTCAAGTACTACTATGCTAGGGCAATTATAGGGCTGATTTTTTAGTTTCTCTTTACTCAGTAAACTCTGCCTTGCTCTGACTGATGTCCAAGGTCTGAAAATTATTATGTAATGTGTTTTTCCAAATTGGTTTGTTGTTCAACAAGGGAGAGTACATCCACCTCCTATTACTCCATCTTAGATACACCTGGATTCTCTCCCGCCCAGAAAGTTCTTATTTAAAAACTGGACATCCCAGGTAATACGCTGTAAAGAGACTTGGGCTCTTATTTTTTGGAGGCTTTTATTATTGTTGCCATTGTATTGCTTGTTAGTTGTTTTGGTAACTTGCTTGGAGCCCAGCTGTAAGATCTGTTTCTCTCATGATACGCAGCTGTTAATGACTTCTTCATCACAGTCAAGCTTCCCCTAGAAGGGAGAGGCAGAAATGCTGTAAAAGCCCCATCCTAGAAGCTTGGGCACACCAGGCCTTCCTAAAATTCAGGCTACATCATGAGACCTGATAGTAGCTCCCCTGCCCCGCTGTGAGGTTTGCACCTAATACTGTGGCAGCAGTCTACTGAGTATGGAGGGGCAAGGTGTGAAAAGAGGTCCCCTCGGAGCTGTATACAGGGCCTGCTGAAAGCTGGGGCAGGAACAGAAGAAAAAGCCTCCGGCTTTGGGGGCGTCACACAAAGCAAAAGGTAGCAGAAATTATGGCAATAAAGGAACACAAATCCAGCTCAACCACTGGCTAGGTTGCCTCAGGCTCCCACATTGAAAGCCCCTTAGACTCAGGACCTTCAGATTATGAGACTGACATGTTGCATATTGCATTAAGGAGGCAATTAATACTTCATGATCTCACTTATACATGGAATCTAAAAGCATGCTAATCTCATAAAGGTTAACAATAGAATGAAACCAAAATAATATGCTGTGGAATGTATATTATATTGTTTGTGTACCTGTGTATTACTATGCATATTTGTTTTTTACTTGATGCATTGTATTATACACTGTAATTAAATATACATTCAGGCATTATGTGTGCAGTTTAGTGTGTTGTAATGACATTGTGTATATTTAGTTTTAGCAGACTATTTTTCTTTTTCGTCTTCATTTTAAAGTGTGCAATTAGATTTAGTTCAGTTACTGCAAAATGTTAGCAGAAGATGTTGGGCCCTGGTGAAATGGGAAATGAAGATTATGGTCCCCAGAGGTGGCAAATTAGAAATTTAAAGCACATGAGAATATATATTTTTAGTGTTACGTATTTTAAAATTTATAATTTAAAAATATTTTTAATATTGTCCATAATACACAGCCCTGTAGTACAATGGAAGGATATGTGACATGGCTTTACACAAAGATCTGAGGTTGTAACTCTCACAATAAACTTATTTGCCAATTCTTCTATGTACATAAACAAAATAATAATTAATTAATTAACAAATACAACATCAACTGTTTTCAAGTTTGCAATATGCTTTAAAATGCATTCAATAGGCCGGGCGCTGTGGCTCATGCCTGTAATCCCAGCACTTTGGGAGGCCGAGGTGGGCGGATCACGAGGTCAGGAGATCGAGCCCATCCTGGCTAACACGGTGAAACCCCGTCTCTACTAAAAAAATCCAAAAATTTAGCCGGGCTTGGTGGCGGGCGCCTCTAGTCCCAGCTACTCGGGAGGCTGAGGCAGGAGAATGGCGTGAACCCGGGAGGCGGAGCTTGCAGTGAGCCGAGATCGCACCACTACACTCCAGCCTGAGCGACAGAGCAAGACTGTGTCTCAAAAAAAAAAAAAAAAAAAAAATGAATTCAATAGGTTTTTTTCTCATAGAGAACACACCATTAGTAGGGTTGTGGTTACTGCTGTTCTTCAATTTAGAGATGAGAAAAATAACAGGTAAAAATTTTGGCAATCTAACATACATAATCTATGTATTAGTCATGGTTCTCTAGAGGGACAGGACTAATATGGTAGATGTATGTATAAAGGTGAGTTTATTAAGGAGTATTGACTCACACGATCTCAAGGTTAGGTCCCACAATAGGCTGTCTACAAGCTGAGGAGCAAGGAAGCTAGCCCGAGTCCCAAAACCTCAAAAGTGGGGAAGCTGTTAGTGTAGCCTTCAGCCTGTGGCCGAAGGCCTGAGAGCCCCTGGCAAACCACTGGTGTAGGTCCAAGAGTCCAAAAGCTGAAGAAGCTGGAGTCTGATGTTCAAGGGCAGGAAGCATGTCGTTCAGGAGAAAGATGGAGGCCATAGGACTCAGCAAGTCTAGTCTTTCCACGTTCTTCTGGCTGCTTTTATTCTGGCCGCGCTGGCAGCTGATTAGATGGTGCTCACCCAGATGGAGGGTGGGTCTGCCTCTCCAACTCCACTAACTCAAATGTTAATCTCCTTTATCAACGTCCTCGCAGACACACCCAGGAACAATACTTTGCATCCTTGAATCCAAACAAGTTGGCATTCAGTGTTAACCATCACAATCTATGACAGTCTTTGTTCAGTTAAAATTTACTTTGGTAAATTAATTGTAAATTAGCTCTAGCAGACATAAGGAACATATTTTCTTCATATTGTTAAACAAATAACATATAAGTCGTATCAAAATATTTCTAAAGTAACCTGGCAGAAAAGCTTTCTCATAGACATTCTTCTCCTTACCCATTTCCTTTATAGAATTCTGTTTCACTTTCTCCTTTCCACAGAAATTATTTCAGAATAAAACTGAAAAAAACTCTGTCTTTTTTTAGTTGAGTGTAAACTAATTCATTTTAAAGAGATTTTAGAAGGACTGTTTTTGAACTAACATGCTGAGTAGCTTTGCATCTTTTATTGACACATTGCAGCAGAAAAGTCATTGTCCATTTTAATCTGTGTTGATTTATTCATTATTGTGGATTTATTCTATAGTGATTCAGTAACACTTAGCAAACTTTAATTCTCAACTCATTATATCTTGGGAGGAGTTATATATGCTTCATCACTCTCATCTTCCTAGTCTAGAACATCTTTGAATTACACTCTCACTTCTGTATAATGTATAATCAGATGAACTTCTGAGCATTCTTCAAAATACTACAAAGTATGTAAGATGAAGCATTTTCATTTTGGTGAGGAAAACTATCAAATTCATTTTTTCTTTTTCTTTGCACCTTTTAAAAATTAATGACTGATGTACTTAAATGTATGTTCTTTAAGGTTGAAATAAGGGAAAATGTTCTCAAAGGTAAAATGTATAGCTTTCATTGAGGCAAACATTTTTAGCAAGTTTAACAGCAAACAAATATTAAATGGGGCATAAAACAAAGTACATCACTGATATATGCAACTGAGAATGACGTTGAAAATGTTGAATATTTCTTCTTTTTTACTCCCCCCCACCCCACACTGAGTCTCGCTCTGTCCCCAGGCTGGAGTGCAATGGCAGGATCTCAATCTCAGCTCACTGCAACCTCCATCTCCCAGCTTCAAGCAATTCTCCTGACTCAGCCTCCTGAGTAGCTGTGACTATAGGGACACACCACCAAGCTCAGCAATTTTTTTTTTTTTTTTTTTTTTTTGCATTTTCAGTAGAGACAGGGTTTCAGCATGTTGGTCAGGCTGGTCTCAAACTCCTGATCACAAGTGATCTGACCACCTCCACCTTCCAAAGTGCTGGGATTACAAACGTAAGCCACCATGCCTGGCCGAAAATGCTGGATGTTTCTAAGCCATATTCTGCATGAAAACATATGATAAACTTCTAGTGCCTAATTTATTTTCCCAAGATGCAACATCTATACTATGAAAAATACTCATTATGGCATGGGAAATTTAAGTGGCAGCCGTGGTCTAATCTGAATACTGTTTTAAACTTTTCTCATGGGGATTTCAAGATTACCAATTACCTATAGTTTTATTTACTCAAAGTTTTATTTTAAAATTTATTTTAAAACAAATTTAAATTTTATTTTAAAAGTTTTTTTAACTTTTCAATTTATTTTTAATTGACAATATTTGTCAATTAAAATATAGTATTATTTTGCAGTAAGATTTGATTGAATTTGATATTTTGTTACATTTTGATTTTTTGTTTACCATAAATAATTGACTTTAAAAAATTCAATTAACTTTATTTTTACACTGTATTTTTCAGCCCATAAAATACAAATCAAATTTTGAAATGAAAAGAATATTAGAATTTTATAAATGTTTATAGGCTAATAACTTGACACACTTTAGATCTCAGGCTACTAATGGCCTATAAACTTGAAATGTGATTTACATCATTATATGGCAAACTAAGTGATATACATAGGCATGTAGTTTTAAATAATACTTTGTTAAATTAAAGAAGTGTCTTAAAATGACTTCTTTTCATTTGGAAAATATAGCCTTTGTCTTATTCAACAAGGGAATACTAAACTGTTAAACTTTATATCTAGAAGTGACATAACCCTTTATTTTGTTAATGGAGGAACTGAAATCAAGGAGTTCATCATTTATCTAATATTCTTCCTAGATCATGTGGCACTGTGAGATCTTAACATAGAGATCTAATTGCCATTTGATTATGATGTTTCTTTTAGTATAAGTTGAGATAAAGCAGATCATATTCATCTGCATAAATATCTAATTTCGTACCAGCTTCCTTAAACCTAGTAAATTGTAATAAATGATCTAATCAATTACTCCATAAAGGGTAGGTAATGTTTTTCTCCTTTTATTATAGAAAATATAATATTCGATAATTTATATATTTCATATAAAGCATTGACTTACGGGCTAATTCATTAAATTAACATAGTTGATTATAAACCCTAACGTATAACATTTCAAACTATTGTGTCATGTTAATCACTAACATAAAATCCCCTACTAACAGTATATATTTCTTTATCAACTAATTATCCTCTATAAAGCACATTTTGTATTTTTTAAATAACAGCACAAGTCAGCGTCTGACCTTTTCTAGAAACGATTGAAACTGCCTAACAATGCTCTGGATACTGCTTCTTTGATGGTCCTTGAAAAAGTCTTTCTTTTCATTTAAAATTTATTTGTCTCCTGAGTCACATCCTGTAAACTTTCTTACAATGAAAACCACCAAATGTCATCTGTAATTGATTATTAACCATTCTTGAATTCATTTATTAGTTCCAAATATGAATCTCTCCTATATTCTGTGCTGTCTTATATAATTGGTTTGATTATTGTGAATAAACAATAGTGATAGTACCCTCAATTATTGTTGATGCTTCAAAAGTCAACACCCGGGTGAGTCATCACTCCTAGTTAAAAATATTGGATGATCTACAAACCTGTGAAAATCATAAGTGAATAAATTTATCAATAAACAATCCAAATGCCACATGCTGATAAAACTTCTCACCAGGAATGATTTAGCAAAAAGTATGTTTGGATATACATAAGAAAATAATCAAAATATTTTAATTATTTAATTTAATTATTAATATAAGTAATTAGCCATTTTGGAACAACCCTTTAATTTTTATCATATAATTTTTAGAAGTATGAACAATTCATTTTATAAAAAAAGCAAAAATTGAGCAAAAAAAACTTAAAAAATAGTATATATCAATGGCAATGGATGATTATAAAATCAAATTTTCTTAGATTATACATGCATTTCTGTTCTATGAATTAAAATTTATTTGGGGTTTGATAATACAGTATAACATTCTGTAATTGAAATTATAATGTACATGCAGAAATAAATTTCAGAATAATTAGAAAATATACAATAGACTAATATAGCATACTTTAATATAAACTGTAATGAAGTAGTTGTTTCTTTTGATCACATGTAATTTTTTATTTTTCCTCTGAAATGTTTATAAGCAAGTGTCTCATCAATCTTTGTACCATACTATATTGTTAAAAAGTCTTTCTTAAATCATCTGGATAAAGCTAACATTCAGGAATTATGCCAAGCAAGTTTTTTATTAAATATTAAAGGTAAATGATTTTGTTCATGGTAAGAACAGTGTCAGTAAGTGTTTTGCAGACTCATTCATTCTATGCCACTAAAAACAATAGTAAAATAGTGTTTAATGAAAAACTGTCTCTCTGTTTTATATAATCAACTCATAGTACTTGAAAAATACTGTCTCCTTATCCGCGTGACCCTATGTACACAGGAGCAGGTCTTCAATGGCACCAGAGGGGCATACTCCCATTACTTAAGCCTTTTAAACCACAACCACCTCATCATTTCTCCAGATTCAAGGAGGTGTGTGTCTTTAAGGGTGTCTCTGGCTGAGAATTCTGCCTTCACCATTATACTTAATATTACTTGTATCTCATTTATTATGAACATCTCTTCCCATCTCTTTGACTTATACCTACTTGAATGTAGAACTTAAACTCCTTTTTATATTCTCCCACGCAGGCTAACAACAGCAATGAGTAGACAACAGCATTAACTGATACCAAGGATTAAATATCCCCACTCTTAAAACACTCAAGTCAATCAAATGTGTGATTTTTTTTCTATTGACTGCCTCAGAGCCACAGTAAAAGTATTCCTGCCACATTATTTTGCACAGCAATTGAGCTAATTCTATTAACTACCTCTACATTCAAGTTACAGAATTACCTGATTCTGTACCCTAAGTCAGAAATAGCTCTGTTAAAAGGAGAGGCACCCCTAGGTGCCAGGTGCTCTCCTGCAAAATCACTAATAATTCTTTTTTCTTCTTAACATGTTCTCCTGTTTCTCATGGGGAATCAACAGTTTCTAAGTGTGTGATTTTGTATTAAGATTTGACTTAAAGTAGGGAAAATAGGGTCCTTGCTCAGCGTGTCAATTGTCTTTCATTTCTTCCTGGATCCACTGTACAACTTTGCTTTCTCCTAAGTGAGAGCCTTACTGTCCCATTGGAGAATTGTTTCTGTCTACAGAGTGATGTGTGGATAAAGAGAGAGTTGTTTGACTTTTCTCTTCATCATCATCACCTCACTCAGATTATACATATGTATAACATTGTCACAGGATCCTCAGGGTGTCGCTTTGCCAGCCAGAAACCTCTGTGGCCAGCATCACCCCTGCTGGGGTATTACTCACACCTGCTGGGGTCATTCTGCCCACTCAGCCTGACAGACTGAACTCAGCTTGAGCTACTGGCGTGGATCCCACACCTGTCAAGGGCAAGCCAGGCATGGAGTAATGAGGGATGTGTGGATGAGTGAACATGGGGTCTGGCCACTGCGCACAGCCAGGCGCACCAGCTGCAGTGGGATGGGCAGCTCCAAGAGCTAGCACAGGCACCAGCTCCGTGAGAGGCTGTGGCTGGAGCAAGGGTGCTCCACACCCTTGGTGTGGGCACCAGGGAACACTGTGGTGCCCAAAAGCTCAGAGATGCTAGGAACTACAGAGCCCCAAAGAAGGTGTTACAGCATATCACAGCCCAGGCTTGGGGAGCCAAGGTCTGGATCACGAGAAGGGCAACAGCTCTTCTCTGCTTCTCATCGTCAGCAGTGTGGCGAGCAGTGGGGCATGTTTTGGCCTGTTTTTGTTACAGCTCTTTCAATCCTGCTTCCCCACTCCAGCCTGTGGTTCCTGGGCTGGCCTGGCCCTACCGCTGCTTCCCGTTGTGTGACACGGTCACTTGGTGTCGGTGGAGGGCGCAAGAGCTATAGTGTTACAGCAGCTCTGGCTTGGGGGATCTCGAGGTCTGGGTCCCCGAAGGCTCCCCACCCTTCACTTTCACAGTCTGGCAGCATGTCACCATCTGCAGCTCAGCAAGCCAGGAATGTGTTACAGCTCCTTTCACTCCTGTCGTTCTGTGGGTCTCAAGTTCTTGTCCTGCATCCAGGAAGAATGAGGTTGTGTGGATAACTAGAGGGTAACGAGATGGAGAGGAGTTTTATTGACTGACATAAGAGCTCTCAGGAGACCTGAAGTAGATAGTTTTTTTGCACAGGCAGGTTGTCCCCAAGAGTGTATGAGTCTGGCTAAGCCTGAGGTTTTTATGGGCTCAGAGGGTGGAAGTGCGTGCTGATTGATTGGTCCATGGGACGCCATGGGCAGGCCTAGAAAAGACACCATAAGTTCTTGCTCTGGGTCATGGATTCTAACAGGAACTGGCAGCCCAGCTGCCAAACTTCAAGTGGTCCCTGGCTTGAATGTGATGCTTCAGGGGGACCTGCCCTTTCCCGCCTAGGAACCTCTCTGCCTCCTGACACCATCAACATGCTGTCCACGGTGCCCAGGTTGTTTGGACCAAAGGGGCACCTGCAGGTCCATGACAAGCTACCCTCAGAACCGCCCAGATTCTCTCCTATGCTTATTGGCACCCAAAGTCCAGAGGAGACTGAGGCACAAGGGGGCTAGCATGTCAGTACCACCCCAAGCACCCACAGACCCAGCTGGGTCACAAAAGTGCCCAGGTTTGGCCATGACTTTGCTCTGCAATGGAGAGGGCGCTGGGAGGGGAGAGAGGTCAGGGAGTGGGAGCAGGCACTTCTGAGCCGGAGGGGCAGAAGGCTTTCCAGAGCCTTGAGAATGCAGGGATTCCCAGGTCCAGCACAATGGCTAAGTGGCTGCAGCTGCACCTGGGAGTGTGGGGCTCCTGCCCTGCCAACTCGGTAGGCCATGGGACTCCCACCTTTTTCCAGCCCCTGCTGGCTCTGTGGAGTGTGCAGCCCCAGCCGTGCCTCCTTGATTGCAGCTTGTTTCCCTGCATTGGCTGCTCCAGACGGGCCACCGCTGCCATCAATATCTATAGCAGTTGTGCATTTATTATGTCATTATATGTGCATTATATTGTGTTGGGGGGTTTGAGAAGTATAATTGAGAGAAGACTTGGGAGCCAGTTGTAATTTCAGTGTTCATAAAATTTTTCTAAAGCTACACCCAATGTATCCAGTCTGGGCTGATAATTTGATCTATGGTGTAATCGTTTGGCAAATGACTTTTAAACAATTCTCTTCTTCTGTCACCTAAATGATTAATGGAGGTTAGTCTAGGGAATTAAGAGGAATAGTTTTTTGGATTGGGATTCATTACTAACCATAATTTTTAAGTGATGGAAAGAGGCAATTGGGTATGAGTGAAGTATTAAAGTGCTTTTGTATGAACCTATTGATTACACATAATAAATGTGTAGATGGGCTATTTACTAATGTTAGCTGCTCCACTATATTGATTCTAGCATGTATGATTTGACCCTATGATTATTTGTAAATACCATGCATCAGACAAAAGTTAATTTTAAAGGTATCATTCACTGAGTTTTGTCAATCATTATATAGAATATTTCCATAGCCTATATTCCCCCTTGTATACTTTTCCAGCCAGTCACCTCTCCCACCAGCACCATTGTTTTTGCTTTCTGTCAATAAAGTTTTGCAATCTCAACATTTTTACTTTTAATAGAATTTATTATAGTTTGTGAATTTTTTTGTTTTTTTCATTTGCCATTCCCTGGTGATTAATTCATGTTATTGCTTATATACAAGTATTTGGTTCATTTTATTGTTGAACAATATTCTATTTTATGGCCTTTATTTGTATATCTGATAGTAGACAGATGAAAATTTATTGTTTCATTTTATTTTTTCATTTTTTTAGCTACCATGAATAAAGCCAAAAAAACCATTCAAGCAAATATCTTCGTGTGAACATATGTTTTTTTTTATTATTCTTGAATAATTACTCAGCAGTAAAACTGTAGATCTTATGGAAAGTATATGATTAACACTGTAAGAAATTGACAAAATGTTTTCTACAGAAGCTCACCAATTTGCATTCTCATAAGTAACATTCAAGAATTCCAGTTGCTCTGTATTTTCACATACACTTTATTTTGCAAAACTTAAATTTTAACTATTATAGTATGGTAATTGTATTAGTCTGTTTTCACACTGCTGATAAAGACACAAGGCTAAGAAGAAAAAGAGGTTTAAATGGACTTACAGTTGCACATGTCTGAGGAGGCCTCAGAATCATGATGGAAGGAAAAAGGTACTTCTTACATGGTGGCGGCAAGAGAGAATGAGGAAGAAGCAAAAGCAGAAACCCCTGATAAATGCATCAGATCTTATGAGATTCATTCATTATCATGAAAATAGCATGGGAAAGACCAGCCTCTGTGATCCAATTACATCTCCCTGGGTTCCTCACACAACATGTGGGAATTCTGGAAGATACAATTCAAGTTGAGATTTGGGTGGGGACACAGCAAACCATATCATTCCACCCCTCATCCTTCCAAATCTCATGTCCTCACATTTCAAAACAAATCATGCCTTCCAAACAGTCCCCCAAAGTCTTAACTCATTGCCGCATTAACCCAAAAGTCCACAGTCCAAAGTCTTATCCAAGAAAAGGCAAGTACCTTCTACCTATGAGCCTGTAAAATCAAAAGCAATCTAGTTACTTCCTAGATACAATGGGGGTACAGGTATAGAGTAAATACAGCCATTCAAAATGGGAGAAAGTGGCCAAAACAAAGGGGTTTCAGGGCCCATGCAAGTCCAAAATCAAGCAGGATGAAAAGACAAACTACTGCATGCACATTCATGCATCACATCACAATGTTTCAGTGAATGATGGGCCACTTATAGAATGGTGGTTTCATAAGATTATGATGGAGCTATCACCTACTGATGTCACAGCCTTCATATCGTCATATTACAACACAATACTCACGTGTTTCTGGTGATGCTAGTGTAAGAAAACCTACTGTGATTCCAGTCATATGAAAATACAGCAATACAATTAAGTACAGTACATAAAGTTTGGTAATGATAATAAACTTACTAGTTTATGTATTTACTATACTATATATATATTTTTTTCAATTTCTGATTGTTTATTCCTAGCATATAGGAATAGAATTGATTTTTTAAATTATACATTAAGTTCTGGGGTACATGTGCAGAAAGTACAGGTTTGTTACATAGGTATACATATGCCATGGTGGTTTGCTGCACCCATCAACCCATCAACTACATTAGGTATTTCTCCTAATGCTATCCCTCCCCCAGTCCCCCACCCCTCAACAGGCCCTGGTGTGTGATGTTCCCCTCCCTGTGTCCATGTGTTCCTATTGTTCAACTTCCACTTATGAGTGAGAACATGCAGTGTTTGGTTTTCTGTTCTTGTGTTAGTTTGCTGAGAATGATGGCTTCCAGCTTCATCCATGTCCGTGCAAAGGACATGACTCATCCTTTTTAATGGCTGCATAACTATACTATATTTCATTGCTACTTTAGGGTGTACTCCTTCTACATATTAAAACAAAGTTAGCTGTAAAACAGCCTCTGGCAAGTACCTCAGAAGGTCTTCCAAATGAAAGCATTGTTATCGTAGGACATGACTGATCCATGCATGTTATTGCCCGGAAGACCCTCCACTGGGACGAGATGTGGAGGTGGAAGATGGTAATATTGATGATGCTGACTCTGGTACCCTAGCCTAATATGTGTATTTGTGTCTTACTCTTAACAAAGAAGTTTGTAGAGTAAATTTAAAAATTTAAAAATAGGAAAAAGCTTATAGAAAGAATATAAAGAAAATATTTTTCTACAACTATACAATGTGTTTTAAGTGTTATTATAAAAGACTCAAATAGTTAATAGTATATAAAAAGTTTATAAAGTAAAAATTTATAGTAAGTTAAGGTTAATTTATCATTGGGAAAAAGTATTAAAAAAATAAATGTGGTGTAGCCTAAGTGTAGAGTGTTTATAAAGTCTCCAGCAGCGTATACATATATCCTAGGCTTTCATGTTTACTCACTGCTCACTCACTGACTCACTGAGGAAATTTCGGTCTTGCAAGCTGCATTCATCATAGGTGCCCTATATAGGTGTACCACTTTTAGTCTTTTATGCCATTTTTTACTATGACTTTTCTGTGCTTAGATATGTTTAGATACACAAATACTTAAAATTCTATTTCCTATACTATTTAGTAGAGTAACATACTATAAATGTCTGCTTCTATCCTGGATCTGTAACCTCTTTCACAGAAAGTGAGACTGAGAACAGAGATAACCTTTCTTTCTTAGAATCAATGGATTCAATGACCAATTTATTCTCTTTGGTAAATATCTCTTTTCCCAAAGGCAATAGCTGATATGGTTTGGCTGTGTCCCCATCCAAATCTCAACTTCAGTTGTAGCTCCCATAATTCCCACGTGTTGTGGGAGGGACTTGGTGTAAGATAATTGAATCATAGGGGCGGTTTCCCCCATACTGTTCTCATGGTAATGATTAAGTCCCATGAGATCTGATGGTTTTATAATGGGAAATACCTTTCACTTGGTTCTCATTCTCTCTTGTCTGCTGCCATGTAAGATATGCCTTTTGCCTTCCACTGTGAGTGTGAGGCCTTGCCAGCCACGTGGAACTGTGAGTCCATTAAACCTCTTTTTCTTATAAATTACCCAGTTTCAGGTATGTCTTTATCAGCAGCATGAATACAGACTAATACAGTAAATTGATACCAGTAGCATGGGGCACTGCTGAAAAGATACCTGAAAATGTGGAAGCGAGTTTGGAACTGGGTAACAGGCAGAGGCTGAAACAGTTTGGAGGGCTCAGAAGAAGACAGGAAAATGTGGGAAAGTTTGAAACTTCCTAGAGACTTGTTGAATGGCTTTAACCAAAATGCTGATAATGATATGGACAATGAAATCCAGACTCAGGTGGTCTCAGATGGAAATGAGGAACTTGTTAGGAACTGGAGCAAAGGTGACACTTGTTATATTTTAGCAAAGAGACTGGTGGCATTTTTCCCTTTCTCTAGAGATTTGTGGAACTTTGAGCATTAGGGAGACGATTTAGAGCATCTGGCAGAAGAAATTTCAAAGTAGCAAAGCATTCATGGGGTGACTTGGGTACTGTTAAAAACATTCAGTTTTAAAAGGGAAACAGAACATAAAAGTTCAAAAAAATTGCAGCTTGATGTGACAGAAAAGAAAGACACATTTTCTGAGGAGAAATTCAATCCTGCTGCAGAAATTTGCATGAGTAATGAGGACCCAAATGTTAATTGTCAAGACAATAGGGAAGAGGTCTCCCGGGCATGTCAGAGACCTTTGTGGCAGCCCCTCCCATCACAAGCCCAGAGGTCTAGGAGGAAAAAGTGGTTTTGTGGGCAGGCCCAGGGCCCCCCTACTCTGTGCAGCCTAAGGACTTGGTGTTCTGCATCCCAGCCGCTCTAGCCATGGCTAAAAGGGGCAAAAAGACAGCTTGGGCCGTGGCTTCGGAGGGTACAAGCCCCAAGCCTTGGCAGCTTCCATGTGGTGTTGAGCCTGCGGTTGCACAGAAGTAAAGAATTGAGGTTTGGGAACCTCTGCCTAGATTTCAGAAGATGTATGGAAATGCCTGGATGTACAGACAGAAGTTTGCTGCAGGGGTGGGGCCCTCATGGAAAACATCTGCTAGGGCAGTATGGAAGGGAAATGTGGAGTTGAGGCCCCCACACAGTCCCCACTGGAAGTCTGATGGGATTTGTAACAGAACAATTACAAAGTTAATTCCAGAAGACTATGTTCCATCCAGATATTTTGAGATGCTGGTTGAATTTACCTATGTGCTTAAAAAAAACTATTATTTACTGTATTCCATTTATTTAAACTCAAGAGAGATGTTAACTGTAGCTAAGGTGTTGACTTCAAGGAATTTACTATTAATCACCATCTCTCAACTGATGTATAAAAAACAAATGCAATTTTCTTCTAATACCTAGGCTAATTAGGTTGGATAAATTGTCAGTGAGGATATATACACTCTTTTGTAAAAGATTTCCTAATAGTCTATGTTTCCTCAATTATCAATCAGAAGTGATATTTTTATTGTAAATTTACTTTCATAACTATGATGGATTTAATATTTAGCATTAGGACATGCAGAATATCTTTGTTTTAAAGATTTGTATAAAATTAGTGATATTTTGATACAAAGTAGAACTCCATAGAGGACTGGCCCAAATCCATATGTTTGGACACATTGCATCAGTTTATCCTGTCCTTCTAATTTAGTCTAGAAGGGAGGAAGGAGGAAGGGAAGTCAAACACAGAGAACATGATGTGAGACAGCTGAGAATGCTCGTGCGTTCAGTGTATCATTGAAACTCTGTAAAGCCCTTTACACACATTATTTTAGCTTATTTTTGTCCCATGGAATTGAATTTATCCCTTTGATTTTAATGAGAAAATTTAATCGTTCAGAAGGTAAACCTCTTTCTGATATTGTACTGAAGTTGCTATACATGCTAATATCTTGCTGAAGTAATAAAAACAATATTAATGGACTTTGAGAAACATATACACTACTAAAATCTACACTATAATGAACTACTGTTTGACTAATTCAAATTTTCTGAAACATAAAATTAAGATATTAAATTAATATATTTTATTCTAATGGAATAGAATGGATTTCAATTTCAATTCCATAATAATGATGTTCATTACCAAAGAAAAAGTATATGCTAAATTATAGTTAAGATAACAATATTAAATTATGTGGGTTATTTAAAGTTTAAAGCTAAATGTTTATCTCTCAAAAATATTTTAATAGCTTGAATACTGTATATTAATTGTATCACGTGGCTTAAAATATTATGGGAAAATTATCTTTGAAGATATTGTGCCATGTCTTATGGCGCATCAGCAAGTGAGAAATTGCAATTTAATAGAGGGAGTGTCAAACTAAAATTGCAATTTTCTCAAATATTTGTTTTGCTTATTTGTCAATTAACATATTATACAATTCATTGAACTTAATTTTCTAGGCATCCCCAACGCGCTAATTAAGACCACATGCTTTGCAACTTTACAATCAGATGGTGCGCTTTAGTCTTTAAAAAATACAACAATGCCAAATTAGGTTAATATTTACTATAAGAAACAATATCAAATAAATATATGAAATCCAGGCATTGTTAGATAGTTGAAAAGTATCCAAGTTTATATAGGAAGTGATTATAAAAGGAGTGTGCTGCAGCTGGTGTAAATTTTGGGGATTAGCCTTGAATTCTGCCTTTCACAACTCCCTACTTAACCACAAGTGGGAGACACTTCTTGAGATTTTGGATGTCTTACACAATAAACCTTTGCCCAGACCAATATCCCGAAGCATTCCCCTAATGTTTTCTTCTAGTAGTTTTGTAGTTTCAGATCTCAGATTTAAGTCTTTAATCCCAGAACCACATGTCTTGATAATTTTGACAGAAATTCCTGGGGAAATTTGCAATTTTTCAAATCTGGGTTTTATGTCTACAGCTGTAGTTCATGGACAAGGTTCATCATCACAACATAATGTAATGGTTTATTGGAAACAAAAGATTTGTTTTAAAAAAGAAGAAAAAGAAATCATTTTGAAGAGCCAAGCACTTTAGCCAACACAATTTCACATCAATGAGTCAATAAATACATGTTGAGTGAATAACTATGTGCTAGATAGTGAATGTGTTATTTCTTGAGGCTTCATATTTTGAAAAATAAACATATACTCTCTAAAATTTGATATTATAAGTTCATTGAACAAACAAATTAATTCACTGTAAAATTTTCAAAGACGTAAACTGTAGCTAAGCAGCTAACCTGGACTGCATCAAGACAGGTGTTTTTTTTTTTGGAGAAAAAGAAGCTAATATGAAATACAGTAAGAATTAATCAAGTAAAGAGCCGGACAAAAAATCTTCCCATGAGAAGTATCGGAAACAAAATATAGAGATAACCTTTTCTCTAGGAAAATAAAATGTTCAGTATGATTTGACTATGACAATAAGAAAAAAGGCTATAATAAAAAAATGAAGTTAGAAAAGAAAAAAAAATGGCCAAGTAATAGCAAAACACATAAGTAAACTTACTGGTTTAATGTTATTCTACTTTCAAAGTAAATGGTTACAGGTATTTTAATTAAAGTACATAACAGCATCAGAAATGTGATTTAGAAAGCTTTCCCTTACTGTGGTAGAAAAAGTATTTTAGAGGAGTCTAGGCATGAGTCATAAAGATTACTGAATGTAGTAGACCAGGTTAGAAGCAGACAGAGACTAGTAATTCGCCTCAGACCACTGATTTTGTATTAAACAAATAAATGTTGAATGCTTATCATAGATGTGGACTCTCAGAATTCAATAATGTAAACATCAGCCAGTGATCCCTGGGAAAAGAGAGATAATAATCATAATAAGTCAATATATTATCGGTTAGGAGATGACGGTAAACACTAGCAAGAAAGGCAAACACAGATCTGTGGTCAGGGCCATCAGGATTACTGTGGACAGGTTTGAACGGAACATGTAAATAAAGAATTCAGGACTTCTGGTTCCATAATGATGGTATAGAAGCAAGACGGCATTACTCCTTTTCACCACAGAAATCCAAAAATGACAGCATTGAGATTATCACCAGCAATGTTCCAGAATTCAAATATGAAGACAAGACAGTTGCTGGGGCCAGAGAAAAGTAAAAAAAAAACTTTGAGCATATGATAAGAGAATAGGGTTTTCCTATTTGCAATGCCCATCTTCTTATTCTGCCTGGCACAAAGTACATAAAAAATATTCCCCCAATTCACAGTTTATACTGGCAAAAGTGAGATCGACGTGGACAACTAGCTTCTCCACAATCTTGAGTTACCTCACAGGAGATGTGTCCCTGCCTTAACCCACAGGACGCATCATGAGTGCGTGAAGGGAGAAATACCTCTGAGAACAAGCAGAGACAATGGGTGAAGGTGGGAATACCATCCCCAACCCTGGAAACTCTGCTTTGTAACTTCGACAAAGGAGACACAAAATCAGAATGTCTGTCCAGTAGTTCCATGCTGTAGGCAGTGCCAGGTGCCCTGGGCACAAAGACCTAGCCAGCCTTGCCACACTGCCAGACATCCCCATTGTAATGTCTCCCATTCGAGAAGGGCAGTACTCTGATCCTATACTAGTGATCCAGGATACAAGGTGAACCAGGACTTAAGGCACCATTTAGAGACCAAAAAAGAGCAGCGACCTAGCAGTAAAGTACATCTAAGAAAGTATATTCAGTAAATGCTAAAATACATCAGACAGAGAAGACTAGAACAAAAATTAATCTTTCAATGCAAAGACATAGACATACATCCATATCCATAAGTAACAACAACAAACAAGAATCATTATCTCCCCAAATGAACAAGCAAGAATCCATTGACTGATCCCAACACGATGGCAGCATGTGAACTCTTAGACCAAGAATTTAAAACTGCAGTTCTACAGAAACTCAGTGATCTTCATGATAACACAGAAAAGCCATTTAGAATTGTGTTAGAGAAATATAACAAAGAGATTGTAATAACAGACAAAATCAAACAGAAATTTTGAAACTGACAAATACATTTGTTGAACTGAAAAATTCACTAGAGGCTTTCACTAGCTGAATGGATCAAGTAGAGGAGAAACTCAGTGAGCTCAAAGAGAAGCTATTTGAAAATATACAGTCATGGAATTAAAGTGTAGATTTACTTTTTTTTTTTTTTTTTTTTTTTTTTTGAGACGGAGTCTCGCTCTGTCGCCCAGGATAGAGTGCAGCGGCGCGATCTCGGCTCACTGCAAGCTCCACCTCCCAGGTTCACGCCATTCTCCTGCCTCAGCCTCCGGAGTAGCTGGGACTACAGGCGCCCGCCACCGCGCCCGGCTAATTTTTTGTATTTTTAGTAGAGATGAGGTTGTTTTGTTTCTATATTTGTGTGATCTAACGTAAGTTGTTATCTCTTTAAAATAACATTATATCCATAAAATGTTTTTTGTAAGCCTCATAGTAACCACAGTGCAAAAACATATAACAGATTCAGGAAAAATAACAAGTAACAAATTAAAATATACTGGTAGAGAAAATCATTTAACCACAAAGGAAGATGGTGACAAAGGAAGAAAAAAAGAGAGGAGTTAGAAATCAACCAGAAAGAAGGCAATAAAATGGCAGTAGCAATTCTTACTTAGCAATAAAAACACAATGTAAATGGCCACAAATCTCTATTTAAAAGGCCTAGAGTAGTTTAACAGATAAAAACCAAGACCCACAAGAGGCCCACTTCAGCTATGAAGACACACATAGACTGAAAATAAAGGGGTGGAAAAAAGTATTCACTGCAGCTAGAAACCAACTCATCTAGAGAACATCAACAGAGAAACATCAATGTTAAACTACACACTAGAACTAATAGGCTTAACTAATGTTTAAAGAGCATTTCACACAACTGCTGTAGAATACACGTTATTTCCTGGGCACATGGAACATTCTTTAGAATAAACCAAATCTCAGGCCAAAAAACAAGTTTGAACAAATTTTAAAAAGTGGAAATCATATCAAATATCTTTTCTGACCGCAATGGAATAAAACTAGAAATCGGTAACAAGAACCTTGGAAACGTCACAAACACGTGGAAATTAAACAACATGTTCCTAAATGACCAATAGCTCAATGAAGAAATTAAGAAGAAAATTTTAAAATGTCTTGAAACAAATGATAATGGAAATACAACATACTGAAATTTATGGGATACAGCAATAGCAATACTAGGAGGGAAGCTTATATCAATCAACTAAAGCAAAAAAGTGGAAAAGCTTCAGATAAAGAACGTAATGATGTACCTTGAGGAACGAGAAAAGCAAGGAAATATGAAACCCAAAATCAGTAGAAGAAGATAAAAAATCAGAGCATAAATAAATAAATTTGAGAATTAAAAAAATATAGTAAATCAACAAAACAAGTTGTTTTTTTAAAAAATCAAAATTGACAAGCTTATAGCTAGACTAACTAGGAAAAAACAGAGAAGACCCAAATAAATAAAATCAGAAATGAAGAAATAACAACCAACACCAGACAAAGAATTATCAGTCTATTATGAAAAACTATATGCCAATATATTGAAAAATCTAACAGAATTGGATACATTTCCAGACACATAAAACATCCAAATATTCAAGAAATAGAAAACCTCAATAAACCAACAATGATTAAGGAGATTGAAGCTATAGTAAAATATCTCCCAGCAAAGAACAGCCCAGGACATCATGGCTTCACTGCTACATTCTACCAAACATTTAATGAACTAACACCATTTCTACTCAATTTCTTCACAAACATTGAAAAGAACAGAATACTTCCAGACCCATTTAATGAGGCTAGTATTACCTTGATACCAAAACCAGACAAGGACACAACAGAAAAGGAAAACTTCAGGCCAATATCACTAATGGACAGAGATCCAAAAATCATCAACGAATAGTAGTAAACCAAATTCGACAATACATCAAAAAAATTATTCACCATAATAAAGTGGGGTTCATCCCAAGGATGCAAACACAGTTCAACATACACAAATCAATAAATGTGATATATTATATTAACAGAAGAAATAACAAAAAATGGCCATCTCAATAGACATATAAAAAGCATTCAATAAAATTCAACATCATGTTATGATAAAAACCTTAATCAATATGGGTATATAATTAACATACCTCAAAATATTAAATGCTACATATGGCCAACCCAGAGGTAATAGTATACTGAATGGGGAAAAAATGGAAGGCCTTTCCTCTAAGATCAGAAACAAGGCAAGGAGGCCCATTTTTCTACTTGTATTCAACACAGTACTAGATTTCTTGGCCAGAGCAATTAGGCAAGAGAAAGAAATAAAGAGCATCCAACCTGGAAATAAAGAGTCAAATTAGCCTTGTTAGAAGACTACATGATCTTAAACTCGGAGAAATCAAATGACTTCACAAAGAACTGTTAGAACTAATAAATCAATTAAGTTGCAGGATACAAAATCAACATACAAAAGTTTGTAGCATTTATATACACCAATAGCAAATAATCTAAAAATATATTAAGAAAGTAATCCCACTTACCTAGCAATAAATTTACCCAAATAAGTACAAAATCTATACAAAGAGAAACTATAAGACACTGATGAAAAAAATTGAAGAGGACACAATAAAATGAAGTTATTCCATGTTCATAGATTAGAAGAACTAATATTGCTAAAATGACAATACTACCCAATGCAATTTACAGATCCAGTGTAATCTCTGTCAGCATAACAGACATTCTTCACAGAAGTAGAGAAAAATCCCAAAATTTATATGGAACACAAAGAACCCTGAATAGTCAAGGCAATCCTGGCCAAAAAGATCAAAACTAGAGGCATCACGCTACCTGATTTCAAAATATACTACAAAGACAGAGTGACCAAATCAGCGTGGTACTGGCATGAAAACAGACACACAGAGTAATGGAACAGAACAGTGAACACAGATATTAATTCATACATTTACAGCCAACACATCTTTGACAAAGGAACCGAAACCATACAACAGGGAAAGAAAAGTCACATCAATAAAGGATGCTGAGAAAATTGGAAAACTATATGCAGAAGAATAAAACTAACCCTATCTCTTAACATAAAATAAAATGAAAATTAATTAAATACTTATATCTAAGACCTGAAACTATGAAACTACTTGAAGAAAACATTGCAAACACACTGCATGCAGGACATTAGTCTGGGCAAAGATTTTTCTGTGTAAGATCTCAATAGCACAGGCAACCAAAGAAAAAGCAGACAGTTGATTTTACAACAAGCTATAAACCTTCTGCAAAGCAAAGGAAACAATCCACAAAGATAAGAGACAACCCACAGAATGGGAGGAAATACTTGCAAACAATACATCTAACAAGGGATTAATAACCAGAATATACAGAGCGTTCAAACAACTCAATAGCAAAAGAAAATACTCCAATTATAAAATGGAAAAAGATATAAACAGACATTTCTGAAAAGAAGATATACAAATAGCCAATAGGTAGATGAAGAAATGCTCAGACTCACTAATCTTCAGAGAAATACAAATCCAAAGTATGATGCAGTATCATCTCACCACAGTTAAAATGGATTGTGTCAAAAATAGAGGCAATAAGAGATGCTAACAAAAATGTAGAGAAATGGGAACCCTCATATACTGTTGGTGGGAATGTAAATTAGTACAGCCACTATGGAGAAGAGTATGCATGTTTCTCAAAACAACAAAAATAAAACTGCTATATGGTTCAGCCGTTCCACTACTGGATATATATTCTAAAGAAAGGAAATAAATATATCAAAGATCTATCTGCACTCTAATTTTTATTGCAGCATATTCCCAATAGCCAAAAGATGGAATCAACCTGTGTCCATCAACAGGTGAATGGATAAATAAAATGTGGCGTATATATATATGTGTGTGTATATATATATCTGATATATAATATATATTATATGATATATATTATAATATTCCATAATATATAATATATAATACATAATATATACCATATATACTATTCCATAGTATATATTATATATAATATTCCATTATATATATACACACACATATATATATATATATATATACACATAAATATATAATGGAATACCATTCAGGCATAAAAAGTAATGAAATGCCATCATTTGCAACAACATAGATGGAACTGGAGGCCGTTATGTTACGTGAAAGAAGCCGAGCACAGATACGACATGTTTTCACTTACATGTGGGGCTAAAAAGTGGATTTTATGAAGATAGAAAGTGTATTGGTGGTTATCACAGCAAAGAGAAGGGGAAAGGATGAAGGAAAAAAGAAAGTAAATGTGTTTATTACCACTCCAGTGGGTAGTTTCTAATAAATAGATTTTAGCCTTCAAAATTATCATATTTAAAACTGTAGTGTTTGAAATTTCTAAAATTATTTGAGCAGGTAACCTATCTCTTTATTATAAGGAATTGTATTATTTTCTTTTATCTTTTCTCCACAGTTATCAACTTTTGAAGTACTTGTTATGCCATGGGGAAAGGGGTTACTGTTGATTAAGAATGTGGTGGATAATGCACAGTCATTTTCAATGAAGAAAACTGTAAAACACCATCTGCCAGATGTTCCATTTCTCTCTTTTCCTCTCTTTATTAACAGTCATCTTTTCATTGTCATCATATAATCTCGTTTTGGGTAAGTGTAGTGGATTGAAAAGGATGTTGCCCTCTAAGAACAATATTTATCTTTCTGATAGGTTTTTGTTGTTTTTATCGTTCTTGTTTTAATATTGTATGTGTGCTTATGCATGTTAATCAGAGGCATAAGGCTTCTTGATTTTGTTTTATATTTTAGCATTTACATATGGATAACATTGCACCAATTCCAAAATGAATGGAGAAAAGATGAGAAATATTAGATGAGACAAAGCAAGGTAAAAAAGTAAGATTAAGATCGACAAGTAGAAGAATAAAAGAAAAAAGACAGAAAGTTAGGGGAAACTAAATCACAAAGACAAAGCACTTAAGGATGGAACACACACAAAAAAAAACCTGGCAAATGAAAGTTAAGTCAAACTTTAAACCTATCAGGGTTTTTGGCAAGGGCACATTGTCGATTCTTATATGAGTGACAAATTATCTTTATAGTGTTCCTGAAACTCTGCCGTATCTCTCATTTAACCAATTTCCACAGAGACTGAATGCACTATTGAGACACTTCCTAAATTAGCTGTAAAGTAGAGATTGCTAACTTGTGATAGAACTCATACAATTATTTTCTTTGGGATATTAGGAAATCATAAATTACCATATAAATTGCTTCAGATTTTAAAGTGTATTTTAATAGTTTCATATCACTTATATGTCAGTGAAAAAGACAGTTGATTTGTATTCAAAATGTAATAGACTTTTAAAAGGTATGAGCATGATAGGTATTTAATTAAATAAAAAGATGTAGGCATCATTTAAAATGAGTACCTCTCGTTGTTTATTATTTATAAAATCTCAAGACACATTCCAGAGTTGTGTTCATATGTAACACAACTTCATACTCTCACAATCACATAAGACTATTTTATTTATTCTCACTCTATTCATATTGTTTATACTAACTTTGGATACAACTGGGTCAAATTAGTTTTGCTAAACTGGTCAATTCTAAATTCTTTTTTCATATCCTTTGCATTTTTCTAGTGAATATAGAATTTTCTCTGGCTCAGCTAAAACACAATCTACATTATTATTTTTTCACATCATCAGTCTTGCCCAGGAGTATATTTGCATCACTGTAGCTCATGTTTTGTATCAAATTCACTCTTTTGCAACAGTTTCATAGCAAAACTATGCATTCATCTGTACTTTTCTAAAGTATAACAATAAAATATCTGAGATTAATTTTATGAATATATAAAATATTTATCTACATATCTATTTTTTTCAGTTTTAGCCATTATAAATACAGTGGTTGTGAATATTTGTATAAAGCATTTTGGAAATAATTTCTCTTGTTTATAGTACTTAGCACTCAGGAGTGAAAGGGGTGAAACTTAGGAGATGCAAATGTGCAACGTTATTTCCAACTGTAAACAGTTTTCTAAAGACGTTATACCATTGTATACTTCTACAACTAATGTCTGAGAGTTCCAGTTGCTTCTCATTTTATCCAGCACTAGAAATTTTAACCATTTTGGAACATGCACAGTGAATTCTTCCCAGCTGTAATTTTTATGTTCCTAATAAGTAGGGACATGTAAATATCCCTAATATACAACTGTGCTGTGATCTGAATGTATATCCTTCAAATTTCAGATGTCGAAACTCAGTGGCCAAGGTGATGGTATTAAGAGGTTTGGGCTTTAAGAAGTGATTAGGACATGAGGGCTCCTCTCTTATGAATGTCATTAAGATCCCTATACACCAGGCTTCATGCAGCATTCAGATTACTTGGGCTTCCATGTTCCACTACACAGCACTTTGCCCCTCCAGAGGATGCAGCAACTAGGCATCATCTTAGAAGCAGAGACACCCTCAGCAGAAAACAAACCTGCTGGCACCTTGACCTTGGACTTCTCAGTTTTCAGAATTGGAAGAAAAAAAATCTCTCATTATAAATTACCCATTCTCGGTTAATTTTTTATGGCAATACGAATGGACTGAGACAAACTGGCAAATGCATAGCTGAATTTCTCACATGCCTGTTCAACTGTCTAGCTCTTTTTGAAAATTAGACTACTGATCTCTGTTTTACTGATTTGTAGAATTTTTTAGAAGTTCTTGGTACACATCCTAAGTTCCTTAGAGGAGCACAGTATAGATTTTGATAAAATTTTGCCTATTTAAAAAATAATCTGTGATTTCTCTGTCATAATTTAAAATTCTGGGGCCATTTCAATGTTTGTAACATGCTACTACATTTTTCTCTGTGAGTCTTATGGTTTTAGTTTTTATATTGAGATCTATGTTTCTTCTCCAATTGATGTTTTCCCCTACATTGTAAACAGAGGTTTATTTTTTCCCCATATGAATATCATTTTGTTATTTTGTTTCTCAACCATATTTTGAAATCATAGTCAATTTCCAATTGTAATGCATGGCACATTTTTTTGAAAATCAGGGAACAATATATGTTTGGGCCTATTTCTAGATTGCCTATTCTGTTTCATTGTCTTGGCGGGTATCACTTTATAATAATTTTGAAATTTTATAATGTGCCTTCACCAACCTTACTCATCAATTTAAAAAATACTTCTACTCTTTTAGGCTTTTTGCATTTCTAACTACATTTTAGAATTATCTCATCAAATTTTATGAATAAAAATTTTGGGATTGTATTAGAATAAATAATATCAAGTTTTCCAATCAATGAACATATCTTTTGATTTCTTTAGGTTCTTAATTCCTATTAACAAAGTTTTGCATAAGTTTTTAAGATTTATTTTTAATGATGTAGCTATTTTTATACAAATTGCCAAAGATTAAGCGTGAGGGAGTGTGAAAGAATAGAACCTCTAGAATCCGCAAATGTGAGGGCAGGTTGCACACAATCATAGGCTATTCTCCACCTTCAGGAAGACATACGCCTAGAACAAAATAGGGAAAGGCAGTTGTTTTAGTCAGGGTTCTCTAGAGAGACAGAACTAATAGGATACGTGTATACATGAAAGAGAGTTTATTAAGGAGAATTTACTGACATTCTTCTCACTCACCTCCTTGCTCCTCATCTTACAGATGGTCTGTCTTGGGAAAAGTCCCATGATAGACCTGGGTATATCCTGGGTAAAGTCCCGGGATAGACCATCTGCAAGTTGAGGAGCAAGGAAGCCAGTGGTGGATCAGTTCGAGTCCCAAAACCTTAAAAATAGGGAAGCCAACAGTGCAGCCTATAGTCTGTGGCCAAAGGCCCAAGAGCCTCTGGCAAACCACTGGTATAAGATCAAGAGTCCAAAAGTTGAAGAACTTGGAGTCTGATGTTTCATGGCAGAAGGATCCAGCATGGGAGAAAGATAAAGGACAGAAGACTCAGCAAGTCTGCTTTATTCTAGTGGCTCTGGCAGTTAATTAGATAGTGTCCACCCACAATGAGGGCAGGTCTGCCTCTCCCAGGCTACTGACTCAAATATTAATCTCCTTTGGCAACACCCTCACAGATACATCCAGAAACAATACTTTGTATCCTTCAATCCAATCAAATTGACACTCAATATTAACCATCACAAGTCTACCTCTTTTCAACTTGAATCCATACACATGTCCTGAAATCATACATAATCTTCAAAGGAAGAAAATACTAAGGTCATAATTACACCTAACATAATACATCTATCCTTTGTACAACCAGAAGGACACGAATCCTTAACCTAAATGCTATTACATAAAGTTAACAGCACTTAAATGCTGATACGAAGTCAATAAATCTTATGTCACATGATAGAGAAAAAATAAATAAATTGAAGGTTTTTTTTTTGTATAAGTGTATACATGCACAAACATCTTCTTAGCAAAATAAGGAGGAAATACTCATGGCAATTAAAGTCCTTGTTTCTGCAACTGGTCACGTGGGAGTAGCTAATAGGAATGACTACCTTATTCTACTCCCCAATTCTGTATTGGCTTTGCCTTCAGCAAGCACCTCAATGGGTTGTGACTTTTTTACCTGGTTGGGTGACCCACAGCTTCATTCCTGAAGGGTCTGGGCCATTTGTAGTCATGTGTGGATTGGGTTGTTGTAGTTTCCCACTGACCTTAATCACAGGGCATGGCAATACTAAAAGATGCACTAAGGGATCTGCTGTATTCTGCACATACTCATCCTTACATCTGTTATAGAGTAGTAGACTGTTTTCATCTTGATAATCTGGGTCAGTCACCCCAGCCAACACTGTAACTCCCTTCTTATCCTGTTGACTTAGAGGTGGAAGGAGCCCAAAGTGCCCAGGTAGTAATCTTAACTTTCAGTTTAATGGAATCATTGTTTTGTCTCCTGGTGGCAGCTAATCCTCCCTCTGGAACTAAGACATCTAGGCCAGCAGAACGTAATGTCACAGGACCAGCAGGACGCTGAAAAACCTCCCTTAGTTTTGCAGACTTGGAGAAATCTCTCAGACTCTGCTGAAATAAAAGCATAAATTACTGTCCAAAACCTGTCCCTTGTAGAAAAAAAGAGTTTAAAACACTTGGAAAAAAGAGTGGGAAGGAAAAGAAACTGTGTTACTCCATGGCACAAATTAAGATAAATTGTGGTTGAAAATGTTAAAAAGATTTTTAAAAATACCTTTTATCATTTGGAAATGCCAGAAACATTTCTGGACGTAGGATATTATGCCAATATTATTATAATACTTTTACATTTTTGGAAAGGGGCAAGAAGTGCTCTTCCAAATAAAATGCAGGAAAGAAATTAGACAGCTTGGGGAGGAAAATACAAATATTATACTGTGAGAAATATTTGGATATTATATATCCGAAACTTGTAACAAGAATATAGAAAATATTGTTAAACTCAACAATAACAAACATAATAGCCCAATTAAAATTAGCAAAAAGTAGACATTTTACAAAGAAGTCATACAAAAGACCATTAAACATATGAAGATTCATGATATCATTAGTCATTAGAGGAATGCAAATTAAAATCACTAGACACCACTCCACATTTACTTGAATGGTTAAAATTAAAAGTAAAATAATAAAAATGCTGATGAAGATGTGGAGCAAATGAACTCTTAAAATATGGCACAGGGAATGCGAAGTGGTACAGTCAATCTGTAAAACAGTTTTGCTGTTTCTTAAAGATTTAAATATATACTTATTATGTGACTCAGCAATCTCACTCTGGGAGTGAGATTTATCCAATAGAGCTCAAACAAACACTGTACTTTTAGGTGTTTTGCATATTATTGCATAATCTCCTCAAACTGGAAACAATTCAAATGCTCTTCATATTGTGGGTAGATAAATTAGCTGATCCATCCTTACAATGAAATACTGCTTACCAATAAAACTACCAAATGCAATATACTAAGCAAAAGTAGCCAGGTTAAAATAATCACATTGCAGGGTTTCATTTGCATTCTGTTTTGGAAAAAGACTAAATGATATAGATAGAAAACAGGCCAATATTTGCACAGTCTCATTTTTTGTATTCTGAACTTTGTAGAATATAAATATTTTTGGAAATCCACCTATGAAATAAAAATATATTGTTTTAACTTATTTCACCTAATATTCTGAAATTGTATTCCTTTTTATGTTATATTCCTGAATTCCACTTTGTTTTTTGCTTACTGAAAAACTCTGGGCTTTCCCCTCAGAGATCTTCACCATAGTAAATCTTTTAATTACACAATAATACTATACTTCTTCATGTTTTTCTATCATATTCAATATTATACACTCAGGTCCCTCAATGCCAAACATGATTACACTTTCTAATCATAACTATGAATTATAATTAATATTTTAGAGGGTTATATTTACTGAGACTCTGCTATTTGCAAATCTATCTAATCACCAAAAAGTGAGCTTCATTTTCTCTACAAATTACTGTAGTTTTATTATGACAACATTACATGGGAAAAAATAATATCTTGTGAAGATCAAGAGATGCGTCTCACACGACATCGCCAAAGTGTGGCAGAGTGGACATTTAAATGTAGGAAAACCACATTTTTAAACTACCCTGTCATAGTGCTTCTAGTAGTATATTTAAGTGATAGAGAAAAATAGCACTTCCAAAAAAAATACAGTGAGATGATTTCAAGTATAGCAACATATTTTGATGATTGATTAAATAAAGAATTTATTTTTTGGTTATGATTGTCCAGGAAGGCTTGCCCTCATAATGTAGTTTTTCAAACAATATTAATGAAAAGCTACAAATCAATGCATTTGAACCATTGATTTGCTGAAGAAACAGGTAATGTATGTACTTGGTTCATATTTTAACAGACTTGAATATGTGTCTGAAACAAGAGACACCAAAGGAATTTTGAGTGAAATCCATGTATTTTTCCTGTGCTTCTTAAGTAGTACTTCATTATAATTTTGCCATTTAAGTGATAATATCTCAGTAGAACATGTAGCTTTTTTATCTAGAAGGGTGTAAAACAAGTGATTTGAAGACATTTTTGCACACTAGACGCAATCATGAAACATGTCACTAAATGTGAGAGCTCACACCTGGGGATTGAATAGGTTTGAATTAATTCCATAAATCTGTTTTTGTTAAAAAAAAAAAAGTATACTTATGTGCATCACTTTTAAGAACTACTCTAATCAGTGTCATATTTTAAATAACAATGGAAATGTAATTAGCTATATATTGAAGTGATTTTCTTAAAACAAACAAAAATGACCAAAATATAAATTTCTATTAAATTGCTTCCTTTGTTCTTTTAAGGAGTAAGAGCCAGTGCAAAGTAATTCGGTTTTTGTTCGCAACACTGTTAGTATCTGATAATCAAACTGTAGTTTTAAAAAGCCACATCTCTTTGCTCTTTTATTCTAAACACAGCCCAGGGCAGGCATAGCAGCAAACTAGGCGATTTCTCATTTGCACATAAGTAAGCTGATCTGGCCCTTGCATGCTGGGATTCTCCCTTTATTTGTAGACTGACTTAGCTTTTGCCTTTCCCTATAGAATAAAAATACATAGGAAGCTCTCTCCGTATTTTATGCATGGATTCTGCATCAAATCTAGCAAGGGTCAACAACCAGGCCATTCTCATCAGAGGGAGACCGACATCCTTCAGATGCCCCTGTGTGCTCCACTTGAACAGAGTGGTTCAGAAGCTAATAAAAAAGTTGATCCACTTCGTTAAAATTATGCCCCATAGGCAAATCTTATGCAAAAAATCTTATTCAAAACTTCCAAGAATTTATTGCATATAATCAAATTATGGTAATAATACTGTATATAAAACATAATAATGGCTTATTTAGAATCATGGCTAAGGTTCCTTGTGTTGTGAATGGTCAATGGTAAAGTATAAACAAAAGAAATATTATTCAAAGTAGGTGGTTTTAAAGTCATATACGAATGGGCCGGGAACAGTGGCTCACGCCTGTAATCCTAGCACTTTGGAGGCCAAGGAGGGTGGATCACTTGAGGTCAGGAGTTTGAGAGCAGACTGGCCAACATGGCGAAATCCCGTTTCTACTAAAAATACAAAAATTAGCTGGGCATGGTGGTGGGTGCCTGTAGTCTCAGCTACTCGGGAGGCTGAGGCAAAAGAATCGTTTGAACTCGGGAGGCAGAAGTTGCAGTGAGCCAAGCTTGTGTCATTGCATTCTGCACTCCAGCTGGGTTGGCAGAATGACACTCCATCTCAAAAATAAATAAATAGATAAATAAATAAGTCATATATGAATGGATATTAATAAGATAAATAATAATGAGGAAGAAGTAAATAAGGCCTCTAGGATCTGGCCCTATTTCTGTGTACCACATGCCTCCAAAGACTGCCTTCACTCATTCAGAACTTTCCAGCCCCATTGGCTCACTTTCATTTCCTAAAATATGAGCACACAAACTTTATTTCACATAATTTTAGGTTTTTATTGTACCTAGATTCGTTTCCTCCCATATTTAGCCTTACTACACTTGTTATTGACTTAGGTCTTAGATTAAGAGTGTCTTCCTTTAGAGAGAGCTGCCCTGTCCACCTTGGCTGACTCAGCCTTTACCACCTTTGATTCTATATTATTCAGCTATGTTTTTCTTTATGGTTATTATCAACAAACAAAATAATCTTATGGATATTTTCTGTTTCCTTTTCCTTTATGAGACTTAGTTATGGTTCTAATCATTGTTGCATCTTTAATAACTTGGAGAATACTTGGACCCAAGCAAGTGTTGAAAAGCTTTATTAAATTTACCAATTAATAAATGGAAAATTTTACCTCCATTGTGTTACTTGGCATTTCAAACTTTCATACAGAAGAAATCTTTTAAAAGTTATTATGGAAATATTCTGTTCACCTATATAATCTACATTTTAATAAAGTCTGTTGCCTGGGTGTGGTGGCTTATACCTGTAATCCCAGAACTTTGGGAGGTTGAGGCAGGCAGATTGCTTGAGTCTAGGAGTTCAAGACCAGTCCGCGCAACACGGAGAAACCTCATCTCTACAAAAAATACAAAACTCAGCAAGGCATGGTAGCGCACACCTGTAGTCCCAGCTACTTGGGAGTTGAGGCAGGAAGATTGTTTGAGCCTGGAGGTCAAGCCTGCAGTGAGCTGTGATTATGCCACTACACTCCAGCTTGGATGACAAAGCAAGTCTGTGTCAAAACAAAATAAAACAAAACAAAGTTAAAGTCTGTTAACTTTTTGACTAAAATACTCATTTTAGCAGAAATAAACCTGCTATACATTCTGCCTGGATCAAATTACAGTCTATTGCAATTTAATATTGTACCATCATTTTATTCAACAAATATTATTGAGAAAGCCCCTTCTGTCATCTGTAATATAATATTTTCATTATATTTATCATTGAGTGAAGAATACAGAAAATATTTGTATAAATACAAGACTGAAAAGTTAATTTTCTGATATATTCTGCAATTAAAATATTTCCCAGAAATAAAAATCTACTTAAATTTTCAGAAAAGTTGTAGTTAAGGATTTAAAAAGAGACATTTAGGAGGTTGGTGACTTAGTTAATGCTTCTATAATAAAATACCACATACAATAATTTTTAAAGAACAGAAATGTATTTCCCGTAGTTCTGGAGGCTGGAAAGTCCAAGATGAATCTGCCGATAACTTTGTCGTCTGGCATGTGCTTATCTAGCTTCCAGGTTGATGCCTTGAACACTGCTTCCTCCAGAGAGAAGCAACTCTGTGTCCTCACATGATGAAAGACAGAAGAGCAAAAGGGCCAAAAGCTGCCTGAAGTCTCTTTTATTTTTTTCCCTCTGTTTAATTTGTACAAATGTATGAAGTACAGCCGTAACTTTGTTACATGAATATATAGCATAGTAGTGAAGTCAGGGCTTTTATTGTATCCATCATCCAAACAACATACATTGTACCCATTAAGTAATTTCTTATAATTCACCCTCCTCCCACCCTTCTACCCTTCCAAGTGTCCATTGTCTATTATTCCACACTCTACACCCAGTTTCATACATTATTTATCTTCCATTTATAAGTGAGAAGATATGGTATTTATTTTTCTGTTTCTGAGTTGTTTCACTTAAAATAATTGCCTCCAGTTCCATCCATGTTGCAGCAAAAGACATGACTTCATTTTTTATGGCTAAATAGCACATCATTGTGTATATGTACCCTATTTTCTTGATCCAATTTTATTTATTGCTACACTATTCACAGTAGCAAACAGATGCAATCAACCTAAGTGTCCATGAAGACTATTTTATAAAGGCCTTAAACTAATGCAAGAGGGGAGAAGTCCTCATGACATAATCACTTCTTAAAGGCCTCAGTTCTTCATACCATCACAGTGGTCATTAAGATTCAACACCTGAATTTTGGTGGGGACACATTCAAACCATGGCACGTGGCAGGTGGTGAAACTACTTTGTATGATACCATGTCTGTAAATACATGACATTGCAATTGCCAAAACCCATTGAACTTTAACATATCAGTAATGAAACTTAATGTATCCAATTAAAAATAAACTTAGAAACTGACAGGAATCCTGATATGAAATGCAGAATGTAACAAAAATCTAATTATATAACAAAGCTATAAAACAACGTCACTGAAAAGGATGGCAGAAAGATGTCAACCTAAGAAATTTTGGACATTAATTGTGTCTGTAAAAACCAATGAGGACATAAACTGTGCATAAGAAATGTACATAAGTGGATTAAGTATATCTTATGGTGAAGGGGTTAACAGTGCTGATACTGCTGTACATGTATAGTGAAATAAATTAAGTAAATAGATGACAGATATCCCACTTTCAATAATAGATATAACAAAGACAGAAGAATAATAAGAAAACAGGACATGAACAACACTATAGACAGACCAAGGGATACTAAGAGGCATATAGAGAACATTTCACCCACCACAGAAGAATGCATAGGAAACACTCTCCACGACAGATCATGTGTTAGGTCATAATACAAGTTTTAAGACATTTGAGAAAATTAAAATGAATATATATGAAATATATTTTCTGGCCACCAAATGCAATAAACTAGGGCCAGGAAAAAAAAGCACCTAGAATAGAAAATTCAAAAATATATGAAAATGAAGCAATACACTCTTGAACAACCGATGGGTCAAAAAAGAAATCAAAAGGGAAATTGGAAAGTATCTTCAGACAAACTAAAACCTAAATACAACATAGCGAATGTATGGATGTACCAAAAGCAGTACGGAGGGAAATGTAAATATAAATTGTAATATAAATGTAATATAATGTAACTATAAATGTAAATATAATTGTAGTATAAATATAAATTGCCCAAATTACAAAAGAATAAAGATCTCAACTGAAAAGAAAATCTAATATTATAACTCAAGGAATTAGAAAAAGAACACAAAACTAAGCTGAAAGTTAGCCAAACAAGGGAAATAATAGAGAAATACATGAGACTGAAAAACACTAGAAAAAAAAGATGTTTTAAAAAAATAAACCAAATAGACAAATATTTAGCTAGCCTTAATAATACAAAAAAGAAGACTAAAATAAATAAAATCATAAATGAAAGAGGAGATATTACAATTTATGCCACAGAAATTAAGGGAACACAAGAGACTATTATGAACAATTATATGCTGACAAGCTGGATAACCTAGAAAAAAATAAATAAATTTCTACAAGCATACAACCTACCAGGACTGAGTCATGAAGAAATAGAATGTCTAAGCAAACTTATAATTAGCATAAAGATCAGTATTCAAACTTCCTAAAGGAGGTAAGCCCGGGGTCAGATGACCTCCCTGGTGAATTTTACCAAACATTTAAAGAATTAACACCAATTATTTCAACATCTTCCAGAAAACTGGAAAGGAGGGAATATTTCCAAATTCACTTTATAAGGCCAGCATTACTCTGATACAAAAGATTGACACTACAAAAACAGAAAACTACAGGACAGTGTTCCTGATGAACATAGATACAAAAATATTCAACAAAACGCTAACTAACCAGATTGAAAAGCACATTAAAAGAATCACATATCTGGTAGGCTAACAAAACAGATAAGGCCTTAGCTGTCTATCTTTCTGTCAGCTTGGGTTTATTTCCTTTTTTTCCTATATTTTGCCCTGTTATCTGTTCATTACCTCTTTTAATATATTCACCTCAATATTCAAGTGCCAAAAAAATCACAAATGTTTGTAAGTCACTTGTTACACCTAGGATCATTTAATTATTCCAAATGGCCTACAATATGAAGTCTGTGTTCCTCAGCATCATATTCCATGGATTTTCAGATCAGATCTCAGATTTCTGTTTAATCTTAGATGCATCTCACCTTATGTCCCTCACAAGCTCAGGAATAGCAAATGTGTTCATTTATTGATGTGCTATAGTCTTTCCTACAAGTCATGAACTTGGAAATACTGTTGTCTTAATGATTTAACTCTGCTATCTAGATACATGTGATACATATTATGCTTTCTCTCGCTAATCTAACTTTATTGAAGGGATCATTGCATTGTTATTCTTTGTTTTTTAAACATCTTTGAACAAAGTTATGAACACCTTTTGGAGAAAGACATAAAGTTTTTCAGTTTCTGGGACATAAAAATACTCAATAAGAATACATCTAATTAAATTCCATTTAATTCGTTTGTGCAGTTTGCTTTCTCTCCACTTACATTAGATAAAAAAACTCAAAATTTTATAGTATTTTTAATTTGCTTCTTTTTCTGTTTTAACATAGTTTGGCATATTTTTGAAAAATATTTATGCATCTCAAATAACTTCTTAACTATTTTTAGTTTAGGTCATTATTTATTTATTTATTTTGATTTTGACTATATTGAATTTTACTGTCCTTTCAAATTCAAGTTGTTTGTAAATTTTGTTTTCCAGAGTGTCTTTAAAATTACTTTTAAACAAATTTAATGAATTTATTTATTTATTTATTTATTTTTTGAGATGGAGTCTCCCTTTTGTCACCTAGGCTGGAGTGCAGTGGTGTGATCTCGGCTCACTGCAACCTCTGCCTCCCAAGTTCAAGAATTTTTTTTTTTTTTTAATTTATTTTTTGAGATGGAGTCTCCCTTTTGTCACCTAGGCTGGAGTGCAGTGGTGTGATCTCGGCTCACTGCAACCTCTGCCTCCCGAGTTCAAGAGATTCTCCTGCCTAAGCCTTTGGAGTAGCTGGGATTACAGTCATGTGCCACTATGCCCTGCTAATTTTTGTATTTTTAGTACAGGCGGGGTTTCACTATGTTGGCCAGGCTGGTCTTGAACTCCTGACCTCAGGTGATCAACCTGACTTGGCCTCTGAAAGTGCTGGGATTACAGGAGTGAGCCACCCAAATTTATGTTTTTTATATAATTGAGATAAGTTATTCTTTGAGAGACTTAAATATTGTCATAGTACATGTCTTTTATAAAAAAAGTCTGTGACAATATGAACATGCTCTAGATATTTGTTAATTCTTATAATATCTAAATCATATGGTTGCTCCTTTTTTAGAACTCTCATTTTGTCAACTAAATGGTTCTGCTTGATCATAATTGCAGGTGTTTTCCACCCACAATCTTAAGCATTTTAAGAACTACTCAACACAAAGGAGTATAATAACGATTTACCTTAATTTTAATTTGGTAGTTATACTCTTCATATTTTTTATTCAACTTTTCCATTTCCACTATATAAATTCAGCTGAATTTTAAATAGATTGTTAGAAATAATTTGACTACTTCCAGCCAACAAAAATGTGAATTTTAATCTCATTGAGTAGTTAAAGGAACTATTTGTACATCCAATTAATGTTATTTTTATAGCTTGAGACCAGCTGTCCACTGACAAATCAATAACAGAAAATTTAAGTAATTACTTAGATATTTTAGGGAAAATAAAATGCTTCAGCAACAATGACAAACATTTTGTGTAAATTGTCTTTTTTTTCCTTTTTCATGGAGATACGGATACTTGTTTTTCAGAACACATTCTGAACACTTTTGTTGTCTTGTTAGTCCAGTAAAATAAATTTTCTTTTTTTTGTACTTTTTGACTCATAATAAAAGTATTTATATTAATATAGAGAGCCCATTAGACAAGGGCATGGATGTTGAAACTTATTTAGCAATTCAGATTCAACTATAAAACAAATACTAAAACACAATACAGCAAATTGGAATGCAAAATGTTACAGCCACATTGGGAGATAGTTTGCCATCTTCCTTGCAAAACTAATAATTACCATACCACCCAGCAATTGCACCCTTTGGTATTTACCCAAAGAAGTTGAAAGCTTATGTCCACACAAAAATCTGCACATGAATGTTTTAGCAACTTTATTCATGAATTCCAAAACATGGAAGGATCCAACATGTCCTCTAGTAGATGAATGGATAAACTGTGGTGTATCCTTCTGGACAATGACATATTATTTAGGACTAAAAACAAATGAGCTATCAAGCCTTGAAAAGACATGAAGGAAACTTAGCTGTATATTATTTAGTGGAAGAAGTCAATCTGAAAAGACCACACACTGTATGATTCCAGTCATTTGACATTCTAGAAAAGGAAAAACTATGGAGACAGTAAAAAGGGCGGTGGCTGCCAGGGCTTGGGGAAGGGAGGAATGAAGAGGCGAGGCACAGAGGATTTTTAGGGCAGAAACACTACTCTGTATGGTACTAAAATGTGGATGCATGCCATTACGCATTCGTCAAAACCCTTAGAATGTACACCAAGAATAAACCCTAATGTAAACTATAGGCTTTGAGTGCAGGCTCACTAATTGTAAGGAGTATAGCACTCTGGTGGGGGATGTTGAGAACTGGGGAGGCTGGGGAAGCAGAAGACACATGGGAAAGCTCCGTCCTTTCTACTAAATTTTTCTAAAGAATGTCTCTGTACTCTTCACTCAATTTGGCCGTGAATCTAAAATGCTCTAAAAAATATAGTCTTAAAAATACATTATGTGCACATCCAGCACCCAAAATATCTCCTCCATGTCTTACCCACACTGTGTAAATATCATTGTCCTACTTACTGTATCAGTCCTACTTAAAGAAAATCTTTAAGCCCTTGGAATATTCTGGTATGTCTTGGAAAGGTGTATGTTTATTATCTGGCATTCAGGTAACTCACTGAGAAATAATGCCTATGAAAATGCAACTGAGGAGTAATGAGGTAAAAGGATAGCAAAATAATTTTGCCCCACTGTCGCATATTATATTAAATATCAATTAAAATAACTTTTTAATTTATCATTCACAATATAATTATATATGGGTATATAATTTTATAAGAACACTAAAACATTAAGCATTATGTTTGTACTAAATGCAAGGTTTCCTGATAATATATGCATTTTATAATAGACAATGGCTTAAAATATTAATTCTGAAAAACTATATGATCATTTCGTCTATAAAACTTAAGCGTTGCAGAATAAAAGAAAATATAAAAACTTCACAGAAGCAAGCTTTTCAAAATAACCATCATTTATATGTGCTAAAATTATTCACATATATATCTATTTATAAAAAATACAGTTAGAAATTTAATTTTTATCAAAAATCACATTACCATCTATTCATAATCATCTTTCTCAGCCCTTTATTCTTTTTCAGTTTTACTATCTCTCTCTCTTAATTGATACAGCTTCAAAGAGATTCTTCAGATTTGTTAGGAAATCTCTTCTCCCTTCCTTTTTTTCATCTCAGGAATATATTGGCCATTTTTTATTCTTTGCTTATATTTTTTGAAATTTCACTATAAAAATTTATTTTTTATTTAATCTATCACTTATATGATATCTGCATAATACCGTGCACTTAAATAGAATAGTTTTTATTAATTTCAGGTTTTTTTCCTTTGAAAGAGAGGGCAATTTCGGGTATCTAGTCTGACATATTATATTTCCAGGTATGGAAGCTTGCATTCATTCATTTTTTTCCACCCCTCCCCATGTCATATTCATTTCAATATCTCTATACATTTTAAATCCTAAAGCATCACTCTTTTTCCAATAATTTACCCACATATGATAGAACTACAAGTCAATATTGTATCAAATCAGAATTTAATTAACCATAGCTGTTGATAAAATGGAACAAAATTAATATATCATTATTTAATAAATAGCTCCTGAGTAACTATTGAAAGAAACAATTATCACATAATGGGATAGGACTTTGAGACACTTTACACAGACTGATGTCTCAAATATATTGCTGTTATCGTTTATATGCTGTGTGATTTCTTTTTGTATATAGTCTTTAATTGAAATTCTGCAAAATATTTGTATTTTTGAAAATCTCAGTTGAACTTTCAATGATGTTTCTTTTATAATAGAATGTATCATTTTCTGAAAAATCATTTATTTTCAGCAGTACGTTTTCAGTTTATTATTTATGTTCCTAGGTGTACATTGATGATTTCTCACCTTCTTTTACACTTGCTTACATGATATTGCACCTCCAAACCCATTTATCACATAGATGTATCATTTTTCCTTCCTAATTTTATTCAATTTTTTTCTTACCTTTTAAATAGAGACTACTACATAGACTAAAGTGAAGAATTTCCTGGCTGAAAGCAAATGTGAGTTCAAGGACTACAATTCACAACCTCATGTCAGAAAACCAGTGAACAGGCATATGAATTGTTGTTATTTATTGTCTAAAAACATTCCTTGACTTGAAGTTAGCTTTACATTAGTTCTTTTCACCCACTACATTTTTTTGTGTGTGGAGTATATTTATCACATAAAAGCAGATAGCTTTGCTAAAAAAAGTTCTAGGCTAAAGATTTTGTAGAAAATATACGTTGCGTAGCAATTAATTCTGAGTCTCAGATTGGGAAAAATAAAATTGCACATATTTGGTTATAATTAAATTAGTTTTACAATAGGATGTGTAGAAAAATATGAAACAACACTTGGAACATTCTCTTTGACAGGGCATAATGTTTTCTGAAACAAAATGGTTCCATTTGCTTACTCTCCAATAAAAAAAATTAATTCATATAAAACCTTTTTGCTTAAAATAAATAATCAGATATGTATGTCGAAATACAGTACAATTTTCTCCCTTAATAACTCTCGGTAAAGTAAGTGTCTTAGTTCTGTGACACTGGCTATGGATCATGTAATCAATGCTTACATGTTCTGGGAAAGGGAAGCTTATCAGATTACTTACTGTTTCAGTGTGGCATATATCCTATAAAAATTATTGATTTCTGATTATTCATAACACATTAGTTCCTTCCTGATGCCTCTTTTGTTGTTAAATTATTTTTATCTGAACTAATTCAACATATTTGTTGCGCCTAGGTTCTTGAACAGCGAGGCATGCTTTTACAAATCTGAAGCTCAGATAAATTGCTATTGTGTCCATCTCACTTCTTTTATGCTCAGAAAATCTCCTACCTTCTCTTATTGTGCCCACTTGTGCATATTTGGCATTTAAAAAAATTATTATCTATGCCTAGTTTCCTTTGTGGTAAATGTTTGGTTGAGCAGGTTTTTTCTTTTTATGATCTCTAAGCCCACTTTTCCCCAAGACTCTTCTAAGTTTCATGTGGGTCCTGTACCCACTGCCATTCCAAAGCCCATCCAGAGCCTGCCGCTGACTCCTATGTCAATACTCAAGCCAATTTTCTTACTAACACCAGAAACAACGCAGAATATGATTTTAAAGGTATTGATTTTGATTTTGAAGGATATGTTTTGTGTAATAGTAAGAGTACTAATGTTTAAAGACCTTAGACATAACAATATTTGAGGAGGAGCTATTTGGTGTATTTATACTGATATCCTAGGGAAAAAAATTGAAAATAATTTACTCTTCTGTTCAGAGACCTTAGCACAATTTTTGAAAGCTTGTAGGAAAGTAACCCAATCAAATATCAATTTTTTTTTTAACCAAATGTATCATAACTGTTTCAGGGAGAAAAGTTGAATTTTAGATATGTGACAAGAGTAGGAAAGAATAAGAAAAAATAATACAAAAAACAGAAGAGTAAAGCAATCATTGACCAATTAAATATACTTGGATGAAATTCTTTGGTTTACGGATGAGGATATAAAATTTTATTCGATTTTATGATAACACAAATCATTCAAATCGATTAACCCTTTATTTATGGGTTGAACTCAGGATGGTCAAATACACACCCACATGTTAAACTGCTTTTCTAAACAAAAATGCTCAATAGAATTGCTAGAATTGAGCTCCCCAGCATCCAGTCACCATTATGATGAGATACATTCAACAACTAACAAAGACTAAGAGAAGAACGCTTTCTGCCTTTTCAATCTTGCTGATACAGGAGCTAGAAAGGAATTATTTAGGCAGATAGTTTGAGTAAAAGACTCCTCAGCAAGGTTTCCCTTTTAACAAAAAGCAGCCACCAAATCATTTCTTTTCTAAAAAAGAGCAGCCTGTAAAATCGAGCTGCAGAAGTAGATAAGCAAGTTGGAAGCTTGCATGGGTGAATGCCAGCAGCTGTGCCAATAGGAAAAGTCTACCTGGGGGGCCAGTTATGTTCAAGATGGAGGCTCCATTCTTTCCTTTTCTTGGTCACCATGCGTGCAACAAGGGAAGAGGCAACATGGTGCGGGCCAGGTAGAGAACACATCAGCATAATAAAAGATTAGGGTGGGATGGCATGCTATGTAAATGGCACACCTGGTCCAACCAATCTTTTGGGCCCTATGTAAATCAGACACCACCTCCTCAAGTTCATCTATAAAACCAACCATATCTCTCCACAAATGGGGAGATCTGTTCGGAACCCCTTCCCTCTGGACAAGGGAGCTTCTCTCTTCGCCTATTAAACTTCTGCTGTTAAACTCACTCCTTGTGTATCTGCGTCCTTGATTTCCTTGGTATGAGGCAATGAACCTCAGGTATTACCCCAGACAAATGACTTGACTTCATTGCCAACCTTTATTTTCTCTCTCTCTCTTCAATTTTGCCTTTAAGCCCTTAATTTCATCTGAAGAGAATGCATTTAACTGCTTTATTTTGGAATATATTTTAGAATATGTTATTAAGGGAGTACCCTCCATACATAATATCTTCCTCATATAATAAATATTTTATTATGCTTGAGGTAAAACATTTGCTTTACCTCAAAACACATAAAGATTTAATTAGAACATTTGGACCAAGATTAGGCAACTCACGATGAATATCTACTGACAAGGAAGGGTGATGTTTCCCTGAAACTTAACTAAACTTTAGACAAACTTCTTCCTGCCTCTAGACCTCTGACCTCCCCTCACCACCCCTCATAGTATAGAGCTGTTCTAGCCACAGAAGCCTCTCCCTTTCTTAGAGCATTTAATGTAGAAAACTTTTATCTGTGATTTTTTTCTAGGTTATTTTGAGATGTAAGTTTTTTAAAGCCTCATGTTATTCTCACAACTCAGGAATGTGTTTCTCAAAGACCTGAGAACCATCCTGATCTGGTTAGGCTTTGTGTCCCCAGTGAAATCTTATCTTAAATTGTAATCCCCATAGTCCTCAAGGGAGAGACCAGATGTACGGAACTGAATCATGGGGGGTGGTTCCCCCATGCTGTTTCATGATAGTGAGTGAATTCTCATGAGATCTGAAGGCTTTATAAGGGACTTCCCCCTTAACTCAGGAGTTCTCCTTCCTGCTGCCCTAGGTAGAGCCATTGGTGTCATACATGCAAAAAACCTGAAAATATATCTCAAAAGCCCAAAGTACAATGGTGATGTTATCTGCAGGAGTAATTGGGGAAGTTGCATATCTGGTGTCCTGTAGAATAATGCTTGGAAATCCATACCTTAGCAGAATTCAGACTCCTTTCCTCTTCCTTAGCCTGGTGGTCTCTTATTAGGTTTACCAAGGTGTTTACATTTTTGGGGAAGGCCTTTTATCAGATAAAACTATACATTAAATATCTTCCAAATTTAGCTTGGCCTAAGCTCAGGAATAATTAAAGGCAGCTCGAAGGCTAAAGCAAGAGGGGGAGATGGCTAGATCAGATCTCCCCCACTACCATAATATTCTCACTGATACAATTTTTGCTAAGGCAGTTTCACTTCTTCTACTCTTATCTGGAATGATGCATGTGCTTCTGGGCAGCTACCTATTGGCAGGGCAGCTGTAATGATGGGACTAGGTTCTCTCACACAGTTCAGTTGTGTGGGGTTGGTTTGCAGTCAGCTAGTGTGGAATAGTGATGTCTTATCTGTTTTCCATGTACTCTCACACTCTCACTTCCCCAGTTAAGCAGTCTAGTCCAGACAAGTTCTGTAGCTTGTCCAAAGATGTTGTTCCTCACATGCAGAGAAGCAAGAATGAGTAATTCATCACATGCTCATGTGAAAGGGGCAAGAAAAACATGAATGACTGTTTTTAAACCTTGTGTTTAAATGAGTTGTAAGTATTGCTTTGGTCAAAGCAACTTTAATGGCAATCACAAAGTCAGAATGTAGTAGACTACAAAGTTACGGGGAAAAAGTCATGGAAATAAGAAAGCCATCAATTATCAATTGACCATGTAATTGATTATTCTTCTAACATCTTAATCATTCAGTTTCTTGAATTGCTCTCTTTCAATGAGTTTACCTTCAGCCTACTTCTGGTAACTACAGTGAAGATAATATCATAGATCATCTCATAACAAATAAGGACAATTTATCCATAATCATAATTTCATGCATTCCAGTTCTCCTGTGCCAATACCCAAATTCCAAGATTTTTTTAATCCCACTGGAACCGTCAATCCTGTTAACATATCACTGTCTCATCCCCACTAATGTGTTCATCCCTATTCTTACCCTGCTTAAATTCTCTGGTCAGGTATTATAATCACTTCCTTACATATGAGCTTTACTTTTACATCTCCCTCTCTGTTTTTGCTCTTTCTTTGTGTTTGATAAAAATTTCCATCCTGGTTAAATCAATCTCTCTGTCTAATATATACTAACACTCATGCAACTGAATGTGGCTGGAAAAATATATAAGCACATTGATTGATTTGATTTTTAATTTATATGAACAAAAATCAAGAGGTCAGTTAATGCTGCCAGTCATATTATGTTTCCTTAGTTCATTTACAATAATACTGTCCTCAAATCTAAGGCAGACATGTTTCTATCACACTCCGTGTACTCATCAATCCTTTATACAATTATCCCCTATTCTCCAACCTCACTTGAGAGTAATCATATCTTAATTTAATCCATATACTTAAAATTATATTGATTCTTATTTTTCTCACTTAGTTTACATCCAATTTATTAGAACATACTATGTGCTCCACAGGAAAATATATCCTTATGTTGATCATTTGTCACTTACACTGTTATCCTGGTCTGAGGTGTCATTATCCCTCACCTGGATGACTGTACTTCCCTGCTAACATTATCTATCTATCTATCTATCTATCTATCTATCTATCTATCTATCTATCTATCATCTATCTATATCATCCTTGTTCTTCTACAATCTGTTCTCTCACAAAACCCACTAAAGTTAAGGTGTTCCTTTGTATCCAAATATTCACTATTGACCTCTGTAAAAGGATTATATTTCCTATTCCATTGGCAAGACATTGAACCCAGGGATTTGCTTTGGTTAATAAACTGTGAGAATTGAACTATGCCCCACCCAAGAAGTTTTATGAGGCAGATGATAGTTCAGCTAGTCCTTCGTTCATTCTGCTGGGAGATTAGCAAACTTCAGGTAACTATTACCTCCTCATCCTGGGCCACGGAGAGACTAAAATAGACAGGAGGGTGAGAGCTGACCTGAAAAGGACACATGACAGGAGTGAAGGAAACTTCTTTGTTAGTGCAAGCCAGTGAGAGTTTAGTGTTGCTATACCACTGGCAGCAAAATCCAATAAAATCAGACTAATATAGAAACTCATACATTGAAGTGGAATGCTGCCACAAAAAAGAACCAACATTTTGCAGCATCAGCTCAGGAGGTGGGGTGTAGGCAGGCAAGAAAACGTGATCAAGTCTGTGAAGACAGTATCTTAGTGAAGGGTTTAGTAAAACTGACACAAAGGATAACCTGGATGCCAGAAAATGTTCTTAATGAGCCTTTGGTTCTAGGTGAAGAGGTTTAGAAACAGAATGCTATTAATGTATCTTTGTTATTTTTGTCTTCATTTGACAGGAAATTACATGAGCTAAAAAATCGTCAGGTTTGTAAGCAAAGTAAAAAGATTCATTTGCTTCTCAACTTAATAGTTGAAAGAGAAAATTGAAAACCACTATAAGATACAATAATTGATTAACACTTATCCCTACGATAAGAGCTTTGTTCAAACATTAGAATGTATTAAGCTGAAACCCATTAAATCTTTTCAATAACTTGAGGAAAATAAAGAGAAGATGTTGGATGCAGCTCTCCCAAGAAATTGTAATGAGCTCAAGGCAATTAAATCTAGAAGGAGATGAATGTCTTATAAGGAATTGTAAGCGTGGAGACTCACACATAAAACAGACTGTAACAAAATAGAAAAAAAGAGTAAGATTCAAAAGATTTAACTTCTGAAAGAACAGAGACCGGATTAAAAGACACTGTGACAGTTATTTAGCATGAACTTTGGCACATCCACTTTATACAGGCAGAGCATGTGGCCAAAATTTCCTGCTTAGCTTCCACAGAGAGCACACTCTCAATACACTCTTCAGGTGTGGATGAATACATACGAGGAGAAAGATGGACCTTTCCCAAATGTGGATCCAAGCCCTATGGAGAAGAGACATCTATGAAACTGTGTATAAGAAGAAAACCAAGGTCTCAGCCAGGAACATTTCCTACCACCCCAGTAAGTGGATTCCACCAAATGCTGCCCAACACGCTTCTACTCTTTGCCAGGGACTGTTGTTTACCTTTGTTCTCCCCCTTTCTTGATGGGAGTGTTTAAAGCAGTTGTCCTGTTATGTCCTCACTGTTGGTTATACGAGGAACAAGCACTTTAATGTTTTATTCATTATTTTCTGTTCATAAACGTTCAAGTGTGATATATGGACATCATATAGAAACTATTGTGAGACCCTGTGGTTAGGAGTTTAAGGATATTCTTTTTGGAAATGAGGGAATGTGTTTTGCACAGAGATGAGAGAGATAATTGTGAACAAGAGGATAAACTCTGCTAAATTATATTATCATTCTCAGTTCTTTACTACTGCTCCATATAAAAGACTTATACTGTCTGTCCCATGGATATCATGCTTGTTTCGGCCAGTGGAATGTTAATAGAAATAGCATATGTCCCATCTAAACAAAGTTTTTAAAAACCGTTGCAACTTTCCTACTGCTGTTTGGGCAATAGCAATTACAAATCCTAGGCAGGGGCTCCTTCTTCAGTCCAGGTCCCAGAAGGTACAATGAATTATTGTGAGTTATCATTTTCATAGATAAGTCTGTTTGTGTGTGTGTGTGTGTGTGTGTGTGTGTTTGTGTTTGTGTGTGTCTGAGAGAGAGAATGTCAGTGAATCAGTGGTTGAAATGAATAGCTGTAAGCCTCGATATCTAAATAAAAAAAGATAAGCCAGTTAGTAGGATGAATTACCAATGAAGATGGTAATTACCTTGATAGTACAAACAGTAAATGAGAGTGAAATTTTGAGAACTGTTCAAATATATGAAGGATATTTTTGAGACTTCTAAAATCTATCAAAAGAGAAGATTCGGAAGAGGAAGGAAATAGAGTATATAAAATAAGCTAGTGGTGAACAATGACAAAACACTGCCTTTCAGCTAAAAAAGGGATTAAATTGAAAAGTCCAAGAGTATGAAGCATAATGAATGGAAAATGACTTTTACTTAGAAAAAGTTACAAAAACAAAGGGTATCAACATGTCAAGAAATATCAAGAATAGCTTCAAAGCTATTAGAAAAAAAATGTCCTTTTCCCCCTAGGAAAAAACAATCACAATTGTATCAGAATTACCATCAGCTGCAAAGCATACTAGACAAGAATAGGATAATATTTTCTCATTTCAAATGGAAATAAATCACTGAAAATATTCCATCCCTTCAAACAAAATTCCAATGGGAAGTCGAAGCCTAGATTTTCCATAATGCCAATATATTGTCTAATTCCCAGTAAAGTTCCACTGCTCTTAACAGTCGATCAATGTCAACACACTAGGGATAGAGAGCCTCATCTACTTATTTTTAAAAATGGAGATAAGAGATAATTTCTGAAAATGGTCCACTGATATGGATTTAATATACACTTGAAACAAAAGCTGATTTAGATATATACATATATCTTCAAAGAAGCATTCACATTTTGACTTGTGACTCTTTCTGGTGCTATATTGGAAGAGTCACTTCACTGCAAGAATTCTGAGTTGTTTCCATCTTAAGACACTGACAGCATCTCAATAACATAAGTTATCACCTAACTGACACTTCCACCTGGAGTGCTTGCTCTATTTCAGATCTTCATATGACCAGGCTCTTTTCACCACTTAGATTCTCTCTTTAGAGATCTAAACACATAGTCACTCCTTGAACACACAGTCAATTTTTACCACTTTGCTTTAATTTATTTTATTCATGACACTAGTGACAGTACGTAATAAATTTGTTGATTAGGTTATTTTTACTTATTTGTGTTCATTTTTTTCTACTAAACTATAAGCCATATAACAGTATGGATATTGTCTATCTTGTTTGTTGCTAAAACAAAAGAAAATAAAGTCTAGAACAGAGCCTGGTAAGTAGTAAGAGATTTAGGCATAATTGCGGCTGAATATATAAGTGAATTAGTTATTGTTTTCATCCAATTAAATTTTACTACAATTCTCATGATCAGTTTCTTCAAACCCAAATGAATAAGGTTCTTTATTTCATCAGAATTTGTACTTCATACTTTTGATGACCAAAACTATCACTTAGGTTAATTTAAATTATTGATCTGTCATGAAACATGCTATAAGGTACTTAGTATGAACAGAATCACAGAGAAAAGGTAAAGCATTAAATAAATATTAACATATACATATATAAAGAAAAATAACTGCATAAGAGAATGAGTAAATAGTGCTAAAGGGAAATATCTATATTATAAAATTAGAGATGTAAAATCAGTTTTGTAGAAGAGTGTTGTATATACAATTTATTTAACTATTTGAAAGCAATAAAAACATATCACTCCATTACTTTCTATGTTTTATGGTAAATAAAGGATTGAAATGGTTTTTAAACTGATGAACCAGATCATAATATGTACATGAAACAATAGGTAACCTCTCCAGTTAAATATTAGGAGTTGGATTTCTCTTCCTGTCTCTCTCTCAGTACATGTGTGTATGTATAATAATAATAACAGAAGAAATGATCTCGTCCTTACTTATAGGGCAATTTTTTAGAGAGAAATGGCTTTTCAATTAAATGACTCATTTAACAGTTATAATCTATGTCTAATGTTTCAATTGATTTGGGAATATCACAATTCCAAAAATTCTAAAAATGCAGCATATAAAAATAATAAAATGTGAGCAAATTTGTTCAAAATTTGCTATTAATGTATCAATTTTTACAAATATATGACTATTTTCCATCTCACACTAAAATTAATTATATAAATTCTATATTTTAGAGCAACTACAACAAAAATATAAGGAACCACATTTATTCTGTCACATCAAATTTCAGTTAAGCCAATATTTAGGAAAGCTTTACAGGAGGGTAAATTTAGCCCTCGAATAGCTTTGATTAGCTGTTGTAAAGTTCTTATTTATTAATCGAATTTAATGACTTCTAAGCATGTGTTCTTTCCACTTACCACGGTGACTGCCTCGCCATTTCTTGTTTATATAAATATTCCTCTACTTTGCAAACCTATACAAACTTATAGAGACACATAGGTATTTGGATTCTTTTATACCTAATTTAGGCTATCTAAATTTCAATTCGATATTGAATCATTAATCCCACCTTAATGTATTAGATCAGTCCAAACAAGCTCTTTAATATATCATTTTCCCAGTTAATCCAACTACAGCATCATTAACATATCATCAACTCTATCAGTTTAGAGATTAGAAAATATTTCATTATACCATAACCACTACTAGTCAGTGACTAAATAAATAACAATAAATTTAAAAATACAGTTGGAAATATAGAAGAAACTGCTTTTTAAATTTTGATGTGAAAATTCTGACTGTATACAGGTGTGTAAATGAACATACACAAAATTTGACCTTTGATTTCTATAATCATTGATATTTATGCAATTTATTTAATACTATAGTATATACTTAGATTTATTGTAATATTGATAAAATATATTACAAGCATCATAAAAACATATTTTTAGAAAAGAGACACATTAAAGTTGCACAAATTATGAGAGTACTGATCTCAGTAGCTGTCTTAAAAGCAAAGAAAAACACTAGACAGGTAACTGTTGAATATTATCTTAGGTATGCATATCACATGTAAGTATATGCTCTAAGTAAATATGAAATCATTTATATAAATGATTTATATGAAATTAGATTTTTCTAAAGAAATTAATAGTATATCATTTCTTTAATGAAACTAGAAAAATTAGACCAACAGAAAGAGAATTTAGTAATTCTAAGAAAATTCCTAGAAATGATGTTATTTGACATTTTCATGAAATAATAAGAATGCATTTGCAGCTTACATGAGATTTGAATTTGGTTGGTGATATCCTAAAAAGTAACACCTAAAATAAAAAGAAGAAAAATTTTACAACAAAATTGTAGTGCCCAACTTAAACACTACGAAGTTCACAAAATACCTTTTCTTGACAAAAAAATTAAGAAAAGTATAAAATATAATGCAACTCCCAGGAAAATTAAATCTAATTTAAGAAGCATTTGTAGAAGTAAAATGACCAGAAAAATAGTAACGTTTTGCTATTTTGTTTTGCCCTTTTCATGTTACACCTATTTTTCTCTAAGAAGATCTTCAGTGTAATGTGAAAACACAGAATATTTAATTTTGCTAAGGAGACTGTAATCCAGCAAAATTGTATAAGAGAGAAACCAGTACATTATTCTTTATAGACAACTATACCTTGTATCCAAGCCATCCCCAAATCCTGAGCATTGCATTTTTTCCTCTATCCTATGCCTCACATTCTTTTCTATCTCCACTTAGAGCTTCAACCTCTAATCCTCCATCATCTTTTGCCTGGATTGAGCAAAAGCCTCTTTCTTATTTGATTTGTCCGCATTCAATCATCCACTCCACTTCCAATCCAGTCTCCAGAGTGTAACCTCAATTACCTTCAACATTTCAAGCACATGGTATCCCCCAGCCCCTCGACACAAATCACTCAGCACTTTCCAATTCTCCAATGAAAACAAAAACGAAAACAAAAAAATCTGTACGTGTCCAATACAAACCCATTACATTTTGAACTCTTCTTCATTTCCTGCCATTTCTTACCCTGCTCTTGATTTTTGGATCACCTAGGTTTTATTTTAGGCACTTGAGCATTCATTGCTTCTTCCTGCCTCCACTGGAACTCCGTTGCTCATCTGTGGCCAGAAACTGGGTAAAAGATATACTTTCCCAGTTATTATATTTTGAATGTTTATCTGTCCATAAATGCTTGACTTGTGTTGGAAGTAAATGCTAGCTGCCGCCATGTGAAAATAGCACTCACACAAAAGTTTTCGCAGCAAGGCAATTTATTTCTATAGAAGGGTACGTCTTGCTTGCAGACGGGGCAATGGTGAGAGCACACCCGACTACGGAGGGGAAGGGGGTCTTATTCCTAACGCGGCTAGCCCCTACTGCTGTGTCTTTCCCCCATTGGCTAGGGTTGGATCCCACAGTCTAAGCTAATTCTGATTGGCTATTTTAAAAAGAGTGAGGGTATGAGCTGGAGTGGCGGAGTTAGTTTTGGTGGGAGGAAGGTTACAGAACAGGTGACTAAGGATGCCTAAGGACAGAACAGGAGATAGAGGCTAGGTGGGGGTTGTTTACTGAAACTAGGGGAAAGGAGGGGAAAGAAAGAGGAAGTTAAACTTTAAAATGGAGAACAAAGAACAGGGAAGCCGAACATATTGACATATTGGTTCTTAATGCATACATTAAGGTTCACTCTTTATATGATAAAATTTGATGTGTTTTGACAAATGCATACAAGTATCTACCATTACATTATCATACAGAATGATTTCACTGCCCTAAAATTCCCTGTGCTTCACCTGCTCAACCATATCTCACTGCATCTCTTAACACCTGGAAAGCACTGATATTTTTATCATCTATACAGTTTTATCTTTTCCAGAATTTCATAGTGTTAGAACCATACAGTATGTGTAGTCTTTTCAGTGTCTTCTTTTACTTACCATTACACGTTTAAGGCCTTTCGTCTCTTTCAGTGGTTTGGTAGCCCATTTGTTTATCTCATTGAATAATATTCCATTTTATGTCCATGTCACATTTTGTATTTCCATTCATCCGTTAAAAGGCATCTTGATTATTTTCAATTATTGATCATTATGAGTGAAACTACTATAAATGTTCACATGCAGGTTTTCATATCAACATAGTTTTTCAGAGCAGTTGGGTAAATACCTAGAAGTATGATTTCTGAATCATGTGGGAAGACTAAGTTTATTGTCCTCTCATGAATGTAATTTTAGTTATTTTACTTTGCAACTTTGCAATTACTATCTGGTTCTTTTTAAAAATAATTTCTATCATATTATTGATACTCTGTTTGATAAGATATAGTCTTCAAGTCTGCTTTTAATCCTTTAGTTTTCTTTAGCTCTTTGAGCATGTTTATAATGGCTACATTGAAGTCTGTGGCTGTTGATTTTACGACTTGGGCTTCTTCAAAGCCACTATTTCCTTTCCCCACCTATGTATGGGTCACCTGCTGCTGAATCTTTGCATGTCTTATACATTTTGTTGAAAATTGTACATTTTTTATAACATAGCAGCTCTATTTATCGATTCTCCCTCCCCAAGAGTGTGGATGTTTTTATTGTTGTTTTTATTTGCTTAGACTTTTTCATGTGTTTAGTGACAGGACTCAACTGTCCCTGTCAGGTCTATTTTCCCTGGAGTATGCAGTTTCTGATGTTCTCAGTTGTTTTCCTTGTTTTTCCATTAGCCTGGCTACCTAAGCGCCTCTCCTACATCATCTAAACTTACTTATCAGTCAAAGGTTGTGCTTAAATCCTCTTAGTCAATTAGGTTTTGACCCTTGACCACTGCATGTACATGAGGCTTGAACACTGCGATCACATTTTAAGAATCTTACCTTGTTTTGTCACATCAAGCAGCTACTGGCTTGGATTTTCTCTTTCTGGTTACTGCTAAGAGGGCAAAGCCTGTTCACACACTTAGTGTTCCAGGCCGACAGGGATGTGTGTTCTTTTAATTTGTAAGCCTAGTTTCCCACAAGTTGCCCAAGCTCAGCCAGTGGTTGATCCGAGGTTGTATTTAAACCCGTAGAGTCACTAAGAATTCTGTTGGTTTTTAAATTTGTTTTATTGTGTTGGTCGGTTTTTAATTGATCTGTGTGGAGCTTGAGAAATGTTTCAAGCCTGCCTTGTCCTTCTCTGACTCCTTCAGCATGAGGACTCCTTGGCACTTCTGCATTATCCTCTCAACCCCTAGGGGTGACTGTGACCCTGGGACAGACATTCCAGACTCTTTCTCTGTCTCTCTTTATTAAACTTCTGACTCTGTCATTTTTCTTGTTGACTCTTGTGTCATGGAGTTATGAGTGCCTTTTAATTTTTTAATTTCTCTCCAGTAAGATCTCCATTGTTTTTGACGGTATCTTTTTTTTTTTTTTTTTTTAGACGGAGTCTCGCTCTGTCACCCAGGCTGGAGTGCAGTGGTGCGAGCTCGGCTCACTGCAACCTCCGCCTCCCAGGTTCACGCCATTCTCCTGCCTCAGCCTCTCAAGTAGCTGGGACTACAGGCGCCCGCCACCACACCCGGCTAATTTTTTGTACTTTTAGTAGAGACGGGGTTTCACCGTGTTAGCCAGGATGGTCTTGATCTCCTGACCTTGTGATCCGCCCACCTCGGCCTCCCAAAGTGCTGGGATTACAGGCATGAGCCACCGCGCCCGGCCGACGGTATCCTTATGCATGACATTCTCCCAGCTCTGCTGCAAATGAGTCAGTTGCTCAGGCATGGCTATGAAGCTCTTAAGGCCTGGCTCTCCATCCCAGACAGAAACTTCTTGTCACTTCACAAGACCTGGTGTAGAGACAGCAGCCAGTTGCTATCACAGTGACACCATAGCTCTGTTAGCAGGTGTTAAGGGGGATGGTAACCCAAGTATTCTTGTCTTGTTTTTCCCAACATGAACTTCTGTCCTATGGACAAAGGGCCTCAGTATTCTTGGCCTCCTGTAGCAGGACTAGCCTTCTACTGTATGAATGAGGGGTCAGGTAGGAAAGGGAACCTCCAAACTTTTTTTTTTTTTTTAGACGGAGTCTTGCTCTGTCGCCCAGGCTAGAGTGCAGTGGCACATTCTCGGCTCACTGCAACCTCTGTCTCCTGGGTTCACGCAATTCTCCTGCTTCAGCCTCCTGAGTAGCTGGGATTACAGGCACCCGCCACCACACCCGGCTAATTTTTGTATTTTTTGTAGAGACGGGGTTTCACCATCTTGGCCTGGCTGGTCTCAAACTCCTGACCTCGGGATCCACCCTCCTTGTCCTCCCAAAGTGCTGGGATTACAGGCGTGGGTGACTGTGCCCGGCCTTTTTTTTTTTTTTTAAGATGGAGTCTCGCTCTGTCACACAGGCTGGAGTGCAATGGCATGACCTCAGCTCACTACAGCCTCTGCCTCTGCCTCCCAAGTTCAAGAAATTCTCCTGCCTCAGCCTCCTGAGTAGGTGGGACTACAGGCATGTGCCACGATGTCCAGCTGATTTTTGTATTTTTAGTAGAGATGGGTTGTTGTTTAGTTGGTCAGGATGGTCTCAATCTCCCGACCTCCTGATCTGCCTATCTTGGCCTCCCAAAGTGCTGTGATTACAGGCATGAGCCACCATGTCCAGCCAGGGAACCTCCAAACTTTTGACTACCTACCTTGAATAGAGAGAACTTCTGAATAGAGAGAAGATAACTCTGGGAGCATGAGAGATGCTCATGGCCTGTTCCTCTCTCTCCACCTCCTATATGAAAGAAAGAGAGCTTGAGGGACCAGGAGGCCTCTGTTCAGCTGAGCTTGGAGGTGGACCTCATTCAATGCCACAGACTCATTGTTCCTACTGAAATTTAATTGATTTCTTTTTTGAACGTACGTTTCTGCATTTGCTGTATGCATTAGAACAATTTCTAGAGTCTTTATTATTGTTCTTCAAGTAATTTCTTCCAGTTAAATTATTGTTTGGGAGAAAGTCTTTACTCTTTTTTCTTCATTCCAGCAGTTAGGTTCTGAACTCCCTGTTTTTTTTTTTTTTTTGTTTGTGTTTTTTTTTTTTTTTTGGTTAGTTTATTTTGAGTTTTCATTAGTATCAACTGATAGTGTACTACTACATTTACTATAGAGAAATCTCAGCACCTTTGAATAAACTAAGGTTTGATAAGCTATTTAGCTGCTGTATTCATATTTAAATCAAAAACATGAAGACTTTTGATATTTCACTTGTGATGCAGAGCAGAATTTGAAACACAAAACATGAATTAAGGATAACTGGTCTATCCAAGAGATTTAGTTTTGGGTGATACAATGCAGATTGTTATTCCCAGTTCATGTACAAACTCATAAAGACCCTTTATGTGTATATTTAATAAAAATTGAAATTAGGAAAATTGAAAAGAGGAATTAATATTTCTTTTTGATGAAAATGGAAACACTGGGAGTGCATCTCATTTTCCTGCCATGTCCTCTGATGCACTGGAGAATCCTCTCTATGCCAAAGCACAGCGCCAAGCACACAATATGCACACTAAAACTATTTGCTGAATTTAATTGTCAAGGCACATTTTAGACACTTGCTATTGGAAACACACGGACTAAAATTTGGCCCTTGAGGGTGAGCGGCTGAAATTGATAGGGGCTAGAAAATTTTTGCTGATGTTTCAGCCACAAGATTCAAATTCATTCCATGACCACTGTCGATTTTTTTTTGGTTAATAAAGAAACCAAAACAATGAGATATGAATTAATCTCAGAGTACTTGGGTACCCTCCTAACAATACGTATATTTGTTGAGAACTAGCCAAGTACCATACTAAATGGTGCCCATATATGACCTTATGAACTTAGTCATGTTGCCATTACCCTTTTACAGTAGAGGACATTAAGTTTATTGTCCACAGTCTGCAGCTAAGAAACAGTCAACTCAAAATTTGAGCAAAGGCAGTCTGTCTTCACATGCAGCATACTTTAATGATATTCAATACTAGGAAAGACACGCTTTATTAATAACCGACACAATCCCTCATTTCCAGGACAGCAGTTATCACTGGGTGGGTGCATGTTCTCACAGCCCTCTTGATCAAGGATCACAGAGGTTTTAAGCCATTTTTAAAAACTAATATAATTTGATTGCCTTGCTTAAGTATTTATGGGTAGATAAATAGCTGTGGCCAGTGAAATAAAACAGCTAATAAAATACTAATGAGAAATTTTGAAATGATACTTAGTGTATGTATTGTAAGAAAAAACTCCATTATATTAAAAATTATATTAAAGATAGGGAAAAACTTGCATGTGTTTTGACACATCTGTGGGTATGTGTTTGCGTATAATTAATTTTGGGAAAATATTTTATCTTCTTTACCAAAAATATTCTATTTAAAATTAAGGACGGCATGGTAAAATGTTTTACTAACATACAGATACATGCAAAATGAAAGCATTTGGACCCTTTGTATACATTATTTTTACTTATTATTTTTAATAGACAACAATTACATATATTTATGGGGTATAATGTGGTATTCTGAGCTATACACATTCTAGAAAAATTCATTACAGCTAATTAATATGCCCATCATCTTGCCAATTTCTCATGTTTTGTGATGAGAATGTTAAAAATACATTTTAGCAACTTTGAAATACATAATATGTTACTAACTGTTGTCACTATGCAGTGGAATAAAAACAGAGTAGAAAAGTCGTTATCAAAGACCTACGGGGAGAGAGAAGGATGAGGAAAAGAAAGATGTTAACCAAAGAATACAGTTTTAGACTGAAGGAATAAGTTTTGGTAATCTATATATTACTCATACAAACATTTTAATGCATTTTGGAATCAACTTATCAACTTTCAGCCGTTACCCCCAGGTAATTCTGTGATCTGTCAGCATGCTCTTATAGTTATCATATGAGACCCTATTTGGCTAAATCATTGTTGAGTTCCTAGTTGGCAGATGTATTATATGTTCCTAATATCATAAATAATGATCATAAATAATATAAAAGTGTAGCTCAAAGTTGTTAAAATGCTTGCTGATGATATTATTTGTCCTGTGCTCATAACTAGATTACCATATTACCTTGCACAAGGGTATTAAAAAATGAAAAACCTTTGCTTTGTAAAACGGGATGAGTGAATTAAGCCCAGATTCTGTTTAAAGATTTTTGACCTTTTTCATTCATCTTATCAATTGGGTTTCTTATTTTTTTCTCTAATTGTATTTAAAATAGATATCTAAGGACTAGATTCATTTGGTTATTGATATATCTGTACATGGCTTGTTTTCAATGTCGTGTGTTGCTTTGTTATGGTTTTGTTCATTTACTCTTTTTTCAAGATCGTCCACTGGCATTTATACAGTTAGTTGATGTTCAGAATGATTTGGACATTCACTTAAATCAAAATATTTGGGAAACTCTAACAGTGAGTCAGTGAATAGAAACCACTGTCTAGAAAACCAATGGATATAGTAATATAGTGTTATATGACCAGATTTGCTCACCAAGATTCACAGCATTATAAACGACAGGTAACTTCACCCCTTCAGATTCCTGTGACCTTCTGGAACAAATGTTATAGAATGGCACTAACCCATATATTTCACCCTGTCCCTACATGACTGCATATAACGCTCTGATTGATGACATTTTCTGACTCATTTATGATGGCCCATAGTCTTATCAGAGTCCATTGGCAAGGCAAAGGCACACATCCAGAATCTGGAATTCACACTGTGCTTAGAGGATATCTTTATTGTTCAGTTAGACGTGAAAACATGACAATTCAGTAGGACAACGTATATCTCGAAAGATGAGAATTAAATAAAGAAATTCCCAGCTGAATACCTGCGATTGAGAATTATAATGCCATTTATTTTAAAACTTAGATCTGCCATAACTGAAGAAGAAAAACTATATGTTAGCATTTGAAAGAAAAAAATTAAACTCTCACAGCAGCAGTCAGCCTGTCAGAAAATGAGATTAAAACAATTTTTATTGTATAGCTCTATCATGAAACAAAAATATAAAAAATATTGCTCCAGTAAAATCTATAAAACCTGCAGTTAAATTGTAAATTTAATCAGTATTGATTGAATTAAAATTTAGAATTCTTAAAAAGCCTGGTTTATATTTTTAAATAGGCATTATGACTTTGGGAAAATAAAAAAGATATAAAATCAGCATTGATTACTTTTCTTTGTAAAACTCATTCCCCTTAAAATACAGTCATTAAAATATGGCTTTTTTTTTTTTTTGCTTTCTTGTCTCTAATTGCTTGCTCTGACAATTCTTATGACAGAAGTTGCACCATTTTAATGGTTTGGTTTTATTTTCAATCCATTTCCTCACCACTTTTTCAGAGAAATAAAAGCATTTGTTAAAATATGAAAATGCAATTCTAGTTACTCTTCACATGCATACAACTGACACACAGTTTCCAAATATTAAAATGGAATATTAATGAGTTTTAGACACAGAGGTTTAGTTTAGCCTAGTAAAAATAGTTTTATCATTGTATATTATTACTTTATTAATAATAATTTACAATTCATTACATAGAATTATACGTAAAGCATATCTTTTTTCTTCCAATGTATGCCATAAGATATCAGGAAAGATAACATATTTTCCATTTATTAGAATTAGAAAAAAATCATTATATAGACAGTGTCTATGTAGGTTCAGCAATACAATTATTTCTATCAAACATTTTAATGTAATCTACATAGCATATAAATGTTTTCAAGGCAAAAAATAATTCAGGACTAATTTTTTTTGGACCTATTCACTTGGCTATTGTTTTTAGAATTCATGTACCATGAAAGTAAATTTTTATATTCTTAAATGTAAGGGCCTATTTAAGATAGAAACAACAAGCATTTCACAAGAATCCCTGGTAGATCTACTGCATATGCAATTCACATTCAGTAAATCAACAAAGAAACAGTAAATATTGACAGGAAATATTTTTTCTGATTTCATAGTATTGAATCATTCATTCACTTTTGATTTTGTTGGCTAGGAGATATTTAATATGTTATTGTTAAATTTTATTCTATCAATGTTTAATGTAAATGCAGAGACAAATTTAACCAAAAGCTAGTGGGAATCCTTACTTCCATGGACAACTTCCAAAACCCTGGGAAGGAACCCAAATAGTATCTTCGCTTGATCAAATAAATTTGAAGTTTTTTAAACAAATCAATTTTAACTGCAATGAATTAAGGGTGTTGTCTGTTTTGTGCCCCAAATGCTACTCTATAACATGTCACATGCCTGTTATGGTTGGCATTGGAGTGACTACTGGCATTTGGGGGGGGGGTGTGTCTAGAAAAGATGAGTTGAGATAGATTTAGAGTTTAGTGGAATGTATTTTTATAGTATTTCAGTCACGTCACTGCTTAGTGTCATTATTCCTGCTTGTCCTGGTGGAACCATGGCTCTTAGGAACGCTCTTGTCTCTCACTACTTGGGAATGAACTTTGATGTGAATGATGCTTTCTGCTGCATGCATGGGTAGGACACTGGTAGAAGGAGAAAAAAGATATGAAATGCTTGTAGCCCAGATGATAGCGTGGGATATTCTTCTCAACTTGAAAGCTCATTTACAAAGAAAACTTGGTAGTGGGTGACAAAATTCCAAATATTTCATATGGAGTTGTCAATAAAAATTGTGAAGCAGAAACTAGTTTTTTTGAATCATCACTGATGTTGCAATAATCAAATAACCACATTAGAAAATAAGACTAAACATTTCCATATTCCTAATAAAAATATGTTGCAAAAATATTTACCATTATACTAGAGATCAAAAAGAATCTGAGACATCTCAATCAATTCAGAAATTTTATTTTGCCAAGCTTAAGCACACATGCCTGGGACACAGGTCTCCACCTTCCCTCTCTTTAAAGATAACTTTGAGGGCCTCAATATTTAAAGTGGAAGGGGTTAATATTGAGGAAAGGGGAAGAAATTTTTAAAAGGTGTGGGTAGCTAAGAGACGAACAGTTGCATTCTTTTGAGTCTTTGATCAGCCTTTCACTGATACACTATTTATTGTGAGAGGGGTATAGAGGAATAATCACTTATGCATTAGCTTAGCTCATTGAATCTGCATTTTTATATAAGATAAAATAGACAATAGGGCAGGGGAAGCAATCAGACATGCATTTGTCTCAGGTGAGCAGAGGGATGACTTTGGGTCCTCTCCCTTTTCCTGCACCTGTGAAGATAAGTTGTTTGTTTACATTGCCAGGTGAAATTCAACAGAATAAAATGGGAGACAGGTTTGCCTGACACAGTGCCCAGCTTGAGTTTTTCCTTTGACATAGTGATTTTGGGGTCCTGAGATTTATTTTCCTTTCACAATATGAAGAAGAGCTAGATAATGCAGCCAAAATAAATAAATAATTAAAAGAAAATGGCAAAACTGTATCATAAAGGCATGACAAATAGTTAAGTAGTATAACTTATTATTCTGCTTTATCTAATTTTGCAAATTTTTTAAAAATAAAATTTTAAATTTTTTATGATTTTTTTCAGATATTAGATTAACCTGTCTTTATAATGTTCATATTTAATTTTCTTCTTGCCTCGAAGTACTCAGATTCATATATACATCATATTATTTTTATACACTTCAATTGCTGGTGGATTGTTAAAATGACTGGTTGGAGAAAAACATAAATATTTTAAAAACATAAAAATAAATAAATAAACAAAGTATTTAGTTCTGTTCTCACTGTAATTATCTCAATCTCTCATAGTTTATTTCTATTATGACAAGAATAGTTTTGAAAAAATAAACAAAACAATTTTCTGGGAATATATAAATATTCTATCACAATTACAGCTGGAAACTGAAGATATTTCATTTCATATCCCTAAACATCATGTCTTTATTATATAAACAGACCTCTTCATTGGAATGTAAATATTTTGGGGCCAAAACAGTTGACCATGGGGGACCACCAGTGACAGCAAATATTCTTCAATCTTAAATTACTTGCCTTAAAAACAAAACATGTGGGACCATAGATTCCAAACTTTGGGCAGAGGTTGCACAAGACAGTGATTCCTGAGAAGGGAAACAAATGCAGTGAGAGCGTCCCTAGGCTGCAGTGCAAAGTCCCACAGTTTCCATGAGCTGAGATGAGAGATTAGAGTTCAGCAATACTGAGGCACATAGAAACTGGAGGGCAGGGTATAAGAGACAAGAGCGACCCAGAGATAGAGAATTCTAGATTCTTCACATCGCCAAGAACTGATCAGCTCATATGTATGAGGAAACTACATGAGGCCAGAAAACAAAAAGAAAACCTAAGAAGAGTTGGGCAGAACAGTTACTGGGGCTTACAGAGGGCTGGGAAGAACTTGTGATTCTGTCAGCTAGATCAGAAAGACATCCTAACACCAGAAATATTGAATGGGGTCTGTAGCAGGGTAGGGCCTTCTAGCTCAATCTAAGAAGTCCTATGAAAACCCTCAAAAGGATTCAAACTGTTCCCAAATGAGTTAACTGAGTCCCAAAACAAAGTTTAACATGATTTAAAGATACACAAAAGAATTCAGCACCTAGCGAAGTGAAATTCTTAAGGGTTGGTTCCCAATAAAACATTAGCAAGCATGCATTTAAAAAACAAACAATTCCATCAAAAACTGGGCTAACGACATGAATAGACAGTTCTCAAAAGAAGATATATAAATGACCAACAAACTTGAAAAAATGCTCAACATCGCGATCAGGGAAGTGTAAATCAAACCACAATGCAACGCCACCTTACTCATGCAAGAATGATCATAATCAAAAAATAAAAAATAATAGGTGTTGGCATGGATGCCATGAAAAGGGAACACTTCTACACTGCTGGTTGGAATGTAAAGTAGTTAAACCACTATGGAAAACAGTGTGAAGATTCCTTAAAGAACTAAAAGTAGAACTACCATTTGATCTAACAATCCCTCTACTGAGTATCTACCCAGAAGAAAAGAAGTCTTTATTTGAATAAGATACTTGCATATGCATGTTTATAGCAGCACAATTCACTATTGCAAAAATATGGAACTGGGCCAAATGCCCATCAATCAACAAGTGGATAAACAAATTGTGATAGATAGATAGATAGATAGATAGATAGATAGATAGATAGATAGATAGATAGATGATAGATATGGAATAATGGAATATTACTCAGCCATAAAAAGGAACAAATTAATGGCATTTGCAGCAAGCTGGATGGAACTGGAGACTATTATTCTAAGTGAAGTAACTCAGGAATGGAAAACCACACATTGTAAGTTCTCACTCTTTCATGGGAGCTAAGCTATGAGGATGCAAAGGCATAAGAATGATACAATTCACTTCGGGGACTCGGGATAGGGTGGGAGGGGGTGAGGGATAAATGACTACAAATTGGGTTCAGTGTATGCTGCTTGGATGATGGGTGCACCCAAATCTCACAAATCACCACTAAAGAACTTACTCATGTAATCAAATACCACCTGTTCCTGAAAAACCTATAAAAAAAATTAAAAAAAAACTTGCTATCAGATCCAAAACAAGCAGGAAATTACAACTAATAAAAAAATCCATAGATCAGACATGCAGTATAGACGAAACAAGTAATATACTAAAACATTAAAAAACAACTATTTCAAATACATTTAGGAAAGCAGAGCAAAATAGGAGCATAATAAAGAAATACATGGATGATAAATTGAAGACCCAAATTCAGCTTTAAGAAATGAAAATAAAATGTTCAAGATTGCAAACACAGAATGGGATTAATAGTAGATTAGACACTATAGAATGAAAGATTGGTGAACTTGAACACATAGCAATAAAAACTATCAAAAATGAAAAATGAAATGTCTTTGATCTGAGTGTATTAGAGGCACAGAACTAATAGTTAATACTATTAAGTAGTATTAACTCATACAATCACAAGGCCTCACAATAGGCTGTCTGCAAGCTAAGGAGCAAGGAAGCCGGTCTGAGTCCCAAAGCTGAACAACTTGGAGTCCGATGTTCGAGGGCAGGAAGCATCCAGCAGAGGAGAAAGATGTAGGCTGGGAGGCTAAGTCAGTCTCACCTTTTTACGTTTCTCTGCCTGCTTTATATTCTAGCCGTGCTGGCAGCTGATTAGATGGTGCCCACCCAGATTAAGGGTGGGTCTGCCTTCCACAGTCCACTGACTCAAATGTTAATCTCCTTTGGCAACATCCTCACAGACACACTCAGGATCAATACTTTGCATCTTTCAATCCAATCAATTTGACACTCTGTCTTAACCATCATGCTGTGAGATAATATGTCATGGTGTAATTTATGTTTCCCTGTAGACCCAAACTGGAGGTCAGAGGAATGTGAAAAATAATTCCGATAATAGTGGCTGAAAATTTCTTAATTGTATTAAGACTAGAAAACCACAAGTCTAAGATGTTCAACAAAACAGAAATGTTGATGGCAATTGAGAGACCTCGGTTCTTGTCTTCTTGGTTTAAAAGAATTTAAAGAGACGCACAGCAGTAGAAAGTGGTAGAAATCAGTTTCTTGGAAAAGAGAAAGAACATTCTGAAAGCTAAGTGTAAAAGTGAAAGTATGCTCTGAAAGACAAGTTAGAGATGGCTGACTGAGAGTCAGCAAAGACTGGCACTAGGGATACCCCCTTTATGGGAGTCTTACATGATTATTCATAAGGGAGTAATAGGTGTTACTGGTAAGCATGTTGTGGGTGGCCCTCTAGGTGCACATGGACAGTAGCTGTACGTGCTTGTTCACACATTGTGTGGCTCATTAGCATCATCAATCTCTATCCAGGGGTGTGTCTTCATTATTATAATGAGCAAAGAGTCAGTTTGAGGACAAGAAAACCCAAAATGTGCATTCTCCCTGCAGGAGATAGATAGTAGCAGAAGTCCCTACTGGAGATAGTTCTGCATAGATGAGCATGACCGCAATGCCAGTGCTCGGGCGCTTGGTGTTGACAGTGCTATGGACATGGTTGCCACATCCCAAGGACATGATTATTTCCTTGACTACCTATCCTGCCTCAGAGAAAAAAATGCAAAGAAATCACAAAAAGTTGTAATAAATTGCTGAAAAGAGTGATTAAGAGAAAGACCCTAGAGTAACCAGAGAAAAATAATACCTTACATCCACAAGAATGAAGGAAAAAATAACTTCAGGATCTTAGAAAATAGAAATATTTTCTGAGAAATATTTTCTAAGAAAATAAGAGAATGATCTCTCTAAAGTGCTGGAAGATAAAACAAACCAATGAAATTGTGCTTCAAAAATGAGACAAAATGAGTACTTTGTTTGAGACAAGCATGAAGAGAGAATTTTTAACAGAATGAATGACAATAACTGTGGAAGATAGTTTGGTGGGTGAAAGAAAATATTCCAGCTGAGCACTTCAAAGAAAAGACAGAAGAATGTGAAAAATAGTAAAATGGGGTAAATAGAAGACATTTTTCTCATTTTCAATGTATTTCACAAGTACCTACTGAAGCAAAAAGTAATACAGTGTTTAGCAGAATTTATAGCATATCTAGAAATAAAATATGTGACACAAAATCATACAGTCAAGGAATCAAAGCATAACGTTGTTAACTTCCTGTATTATACTTGTAATGGTATAACATAATTAAAAGTAGGCCTTCTTCAGGTAAAAATCTATATTTCAACCCCTAGAAGTTCCACTAAAAAAAAAAAAAGAAACAATGTATAACTATAATAACTATATATAATAGTAGATGGTGAAAATAAAAATATTCTAATAATACAAAAGACAAAGAAAAGAGCAAAACAAATGTAATAAATAGAACACGAATATCCATGCTGAGAATTTCCCAAAGCTTACTAGTAATTTGAAAAATAAATGTCCTAACACTGAGTTAAAAAACAGATTTTCAGATCGGATGTAAAAGCATCCCTCAACTGTATATATGTTAACTAATTTGATGTAGTAATTATTTTACAATGTATAAGTGCATCAGATCATTATATTGTACATCTTAAATATATGCAATTTTTATGTGTTCATTATATCTCAATAAAGCTGGAAAAATAAATTTTAAAACTTTAAAACAAAAATACATACAGAGGTACAATGGGCAGAATTCTGAACATGCCAAACCCAGGATTCCTATACCTTAGCAATTAAGCACTAATCTAGGTAATGCTGAAGGAACTTTGCAAATATAATTAAGCATCTAGACTTTGAAATAGAAATGTCATTTTGGATTATGCCAGTGGATCCAATTTAATCACCTGAGCTCTTAAAAGCAGAGTTTCTCTAGCTGGAGTAAGAGAGACAACTGGCCGGGGAGGCCGAGGGGAGAGTCAAAGATTCAATTCTCAGTGCTGGCTTTGAGGCTGGAGGAAGAGGGCTGTAGGCCAAGGGTGCAGGTGGACTTGAGGATCTGAAAGTGAGCTCTTACTGCAATCCAGCAAGAAACAATGACCTCAGGACTATCACAAAATACAAATACTTACTTAGGCTATTGTTCTGAATTTCATATAAAAAATAGACTTATGAGAGTGATGATGTTTTCTGTCACAATTATGAAAATTTTATCTTAACTCTTACACGTTGCCACTTTTAACCAATAATAGAAAAGTGAATGTAATCTTTAAGTTAGTGGATCAAGGAGTGTATTTGAAAGCAAAGAAGTAAACATTTTAAATGTTGAAACTGAAAGCATACAACATTAATGTGTTAGGATATATTTAAAAATCTGTGTTTTGTAACTTAGTGACTGTTTTGGCTTATGGACAAAATAGACATTCATTATGGTAACTGCAGCATTTGAAAAACGCAGCACCCAGAGGTAATTTCAGTTAACTTAGATTGTGTGTTTGGGAAGCCCTAGTCACCTATTCCAGCATTATGTTTAATCTGGAGATAATAAGCCAAAATCGACCCAGTCTTTTTTTTTCTCTCTAACTCCCCAGTACACCCATTACATAATAATTATTTTATAAGTCATTTCCAGGTATAGTCTTATCAGAAATAAAACACATTGCATCTAGTTATCTTTTAAAGATAATTTGAATGGCTTCATTATTGTGTATATACAACTTACCAAACCTATCTTGTAAATCAGTATGCACTTCAACACCAGCAAAGCTTGCATAAACAAGAGCTTTATGAGTCTTAAATGATAATTACCACAATCTAATGAATTGCATAAATCATTTATAATGAAGATAAATAAAAAAGTACTCTGATATGTGCACATTAATAACTTAGGTTTTTCAAAAGCAGTGAGTAATTTAATTTAGATGGTATGTCCACAGACAGTAACAACTTGAATTTTATTTGTGAAATAATTAGCCGTTAATCTAAAGGGATACAACTTATCTACTGGCAAGACATTAAACTGAAAAATGAAGATTAATTTTGTCTTTGATGGAAATTATTCTGATAATATCTCATGATTTGAAAGTCACTCTAAAGAGGGAAATATGAAAACTGATTTAAGTTCATTCTGACAAACCTAGAATTTATTCCAAAATATGAATTAGCATGCTTTGCAGTTCCAAGTAATTTGTGATATGCTATCATTTTTAGTGATCCTCTCACTGAAGTGCTAATTGGAATTTTATTTATATATATTTATGAGTAAAGATAGAGGTTCATAACTTCTCTTCTATCTGTAACATCATAATTTGGGTTACAAAAATACATTATTCATTCTTGAGGTTCTTCATTGGTTAAAAGGATATTCACCCAGGTAACAAAAAATTTAAACTAGCAAAAAACTTTTTTTTCTTCCAGTAACAGTCTTTATCTTTGCTAATACATTTTTATAAGCATTTCATTTTCCTTGACTTTAACTAACCATCATCTTCTCTTCTGCAATTAAGTTTGAAAGCTGAACTTTTTCCAATCTATTAAGCTTCCAGTTACTTCCTTCTTTGAAAGATAAACAATATATTATAGTAGGATGGTCTCAAATTTGAAATCTATGCATTTACTCATCTGTTGGTTTATTCAACAACATTTACCACATCCTATGGTAAAAATGGTATAAATGGAAGATATAACTAAGGACATAACAGCTAACAATGAAAAATGATTATATTAATATTATTAATTAATTAATATAATTAATATATTATATTATAATTATTAGATGATAATTATATAATATTAGCATATATTATCTATTAAATAAATAATTACTATATCAGTAGCATATAAATGTATAATAGTTATTAATTATATAATATTTGTAATAAATAATTACTAATAACCAACACTTTAATGTAAATCTTCTTTTGGGAATGATTTATGCCTACAACTTAGTATTGAAAGAGGAGTCATACCCTGCCTAGGCCATTGAGATTTTATTCACTGAGGAGTTTTCCAATTAAGTCAATTGGCAATTGGCAAAACCAATAGTATAAATGGAATCCAGTGCCATTTTATAAATGGAACATACGTCTGGGCGCAGTGGCTCACATCTGTAGTCTCAGCACTTTGGGAGGCCGAGGCGGGCGGATCACCTGAGGTGAGGAGTTCAAGACCAGCCTGGCCAACATGGTGAAACCAGTTTCTACTAAAAATACAAAAATTAGCTGGGCGTGGTGGTGGGTGCCTGTAATCCCAGCTACTCGGGAGGCTGAGGCAGGAGAATCGTTTGAACCTGGGTGGTGGATGTTGCAGTGAGCAGAGGTCATGCCAGCACTCTAGCCTGGGTGACAGAGTGAGACTCTGTCTCATAAGAAGTAAAATAAAATAAAAAATAAAAATGGAAGATACCATGCCTCTCATTATAACAAGTGCACATGGTCGTAAAACCAACAGCAAAATAGCAACAAACTTTAGGACTTCATGGCCTTCAGAAATAACACTGAATAATGCAGTAGAGCGGAAGGAAGGGAATACCTGAGAAAGAACAGCTAGTATATGGACGACCATATCAAAGAGAATAATGATTACCATTTAGAAAAGTGCTACTGTTCATGACTTACCTTCATAAGTCAGCCTACTTGCTGAGGTAAACCAGTTAGGCTTAAAAACAAGAAATGAATAGACACATTTCGATATTTGGAGTTGAATGAAAATGTGTCTTGTTACAGTATTCTTCTCCACAAGTGTTTTTTTACAATGATGACATCATTTCTGGCACCAAATTATTGACTGCAATTTTATTCAAGCTGAAAGGCATTAGAATACTTATTACTTTTATTTCATAGTTTTATTGTTTTTTCATACAATGATTTACCAATTGGAAACTATAGTTGACTTTATTGATAAGTTTTAGGTGAGCAGCATCTTCTTAAAAATTTAATCTTTTCATGGGGAGAGCTCCAGGGCCACTTCTCTTTGATCACTCCTTCTCCAGATGTGTCAATATCAATGCCTATCATTCCAATTTGTAAAACTCATATATTCTAGTAAGTATACGGAATAGCCTCTGTGAAAAGAAAAACAGTAAACAAATTAAATTTAACAGAGTTTAATTGAGCAAAGAATGATTTGTAAAATGGGCAGCCCCAAACCCGAATAGCTTCAGGGAAATTTCAGCCTGCTTAGTGGTCAGAGATTTATGGACAGGGAAAGGAAAGTGAGGTACATAAAACAAAAGTGAGGTACAGAAACAGCTGTTTTGGTTACAGCTGTGTTTGCCATATTTGAACATGATTTGAAGAATTGGCCACCTTTGGCTGACATTTGGTGGTTGGCACAAGACTAGATTGGCTAAAGATTTAATTAATTATGCCTGCTAAATAAATTTTCAATAAAAACTCTGAAACAATGAGGCAAAGAAGGCTTCCAAGTTGGCAAATACATCTAAGTGCTAGGAAGGTGGCACACCCCAAATCCATGGAGATTGAATGACCTGTCCACACCTTGCCCTATGTACCTCTTCATCTAGCTGTACTTTGATCTTTTACAATGACCTGTAACAGTAAGGATAGCATTTTCCTGTGTTCTGTGAGTCGTTATAGCAAATTACCAAACCTGAGAGAAGGTCATGAGAACCTCTGAATTTGTACTCAGCAGATTACTTAGCCTGGGCACACATTTGTGGTTAGTGTCTGAAGTGGATCAGTTTTGTGTGACTGAGCTGTTAATTTTGGGGATCTGTACTAACTCCAGGGAGTTAAGTGTCAGAATTTAACTGAATTGTAAGACAACCAAATGGCGTCAGAGAATTGGAGAATTGCTTGGAAAACCACAGAGGCATGTACAAGAAAGCTGGCATACTGTGACAGAGCAGTAGGTAAGGTTACATACATAGTTTAAGAATATTAAATACATAGAAGATATTTAATGAAATATTAAAATATAAAAATATTCAAAATATTCTTAATAAGGGCAGCATTTATTTGGAAAAATAATTTGTCAGAATCAGAAATACTGATCCCATATAGTTTGCTAAGGAGTTTCACTGAGCTTCATTTGGAAGGGTATATGAGAAACCAAAGAAAGCAAAGATGACAGCGTTTCCCTACATGTGGTAGAGAAGAAAAGGAAAGCATTTAGGGAGCAGTTCAAGGTTTTCAAAATTCAGCAGTGTCTACATTGAAGAAGACTGGGATGGAAAGGGAACATCAGAGGAAGCAGATGTGGGGACAGTGCTCCTGGAATACAGATGGGAGTGAGGGATTCCTCTTGCGATTGAAGTTCTAGGAAATTCAAAATTGAGAGAAAAAGTTTTAGGAGAGAAAGGATTATAAAACTCTAGGCATGGAGGCTATTGAGGACACAGAGTTTGGAAGTTCCAACGACAGCTATAAATAAAAAATATTTGAATGTGACTTCCAACTGAGACAAATGTGGAGACCAGAGACAATTCCATCTTGAGGGAAGGGACACACAGATGCTTGGAATCCTGGACCAGAAGGGACCGCAGATTATTGTGTTGAAATGTGAAAGAAGCCTTGGTTTCCTTGTGAGGTTGGGGAGTTACAGAGCTAATATAAAACACGCAAGGCTAAGAGTGATTCCAGAACAAAACATAAACCCTGATATTAAAAGACAATAAAAACTGTTTCATCAAGTCTTCATCCAATTTAGCATCATGATGCCAGAAATAAGGGATGAAAAGGGAACATAGAAACAAGTTAATATAGAAACATGTGGTTTAGTAATAAAAAGAAATCAAAAAAGAGCATCCATTATGAAGAATTATTAAGTTTTCAAGAAAACTGGACTGTTTAAGATGCCATTTTCTGGGAGTAAAAATGCTTGTTTTGGTCAATGCCCATGATACACTGTAATTAATATAATAAATACCTATTAGTTGGTGATTTTTCCCAATTGGGTTTTAAGTGAGAAGTTAAGAGGCACTGAGCATTAATAGAGCATCATTCTGGCAAAACTGCAAGCTATAATTTCATAGGCTGTGCTTTATTTTCTCTGCCTTCACACTCCCCTAGAAAAATATACACAGAAAAATAACAAACACATACATATCAAAAACAACAATTAAATTTCGGTTAAACGCTGGGTAGTAAGGGAAGACAAAATCCAAACTCCAAACAATTGTCTTAATAAGATATTTCTTCCTGGGAGTAATTAGACAAAGAAAAAAATGAAGAAAGGGATTTTCTAAGAAGGTAATTTATTCAAGACAGTACAGATAAATTGAGTTATTTCTCTTGATAAAGTATACTCCTAACAATGTTCAATGAGTCAGAGAGCTAAATTTGATGACAACTTTATATGATTTTCTTCTGGAATAACTCCAGAAGCTCTTATTTTACACTCCACATACCTCTTCCCTTTTGCTTGTGGATCCACTAGAAGAGCTGAGAAGAACGTGAGAAAGACATAACAGAAGGGGAGGAAACAAAGTTAACAAAAAGAGAAGAAAACAGTGTTTGAAAATACATAAACAATTTTCTGGATATCTACTTTAAAATCTTTGATTGAACCTGTACCCATTTTTGACTTCGTGATTTTTTTTTATTATACTTTAAGTTTTAGGGTACATGTGCACATTGTGCAGGTTAGTTACATATGTATATTTTATTAAATGTCCTTTCCTTCACATAGTATCATATTTCTATACTCAACTAAGTATTGTATACATGAAATAAACTTGAAGTTAACAGGGAAATTGCAGACATAGGGAAACTGGTATCACAAACACCTATACACACACACACATACACACACACACACATACACACACACATCACAGGAGATGAGGTCCCTTTATTTGTAGCCTCATTACAAAACTCAAATAAAGTGAACCTTCTCTTTTGAATAAGTTTTGCAGTAGGAGTTGTATAAAAGGTAAATTTTTGGTTTAGTTTTCTTATGCTAGAAATTATTATTCAAATCTTTTTCATAATAAAATAACATGCAACCTTAGTTTAATGGTGATAGTATTTGGTATATGAGAAAGTCTTACAGGATTCCTTAAACAATACAATTTCAAGCTAGGTTAGTAAAATGTAAAGCATGAAAATGCAATTTTTATTAAGATGTTGAAGAAAACAGAATTGTATTATTTTATGTTTAGCTTTTCACCATAATAAATTATTTTACTAACTGGTAGCAGTTAGTAGAATAATAAAACTGGCAGGTTTTTGAAAATAATATATTAGAAGCATCATTTTTGTTTCTTTTCTCATGCATGACTAGCAAAAGAAAAGGTTCTGTCTACAGTCAACAAAGATGAGCATATGGCTTCCTGTAAGTTTCAGATCTATTCCCTTTGAATTGCTCACACACACACACACACACAAAATAGTAAAAAAAAAAAGTCAACCCTATTCATGAGTTTTTCTTTTCCCCTTTAACTTATTTCAAATACGTAAGGCGCATTCTTGTGGGATTCATTCAGTCAAATTTTACACACATTTTCATTTACCTATACAATATTAAATAGAATTTTTCAGCAGAAAATAAGTTGCAAACAATAAACAGCATATTTATTAACTGTGAAAAAAGAAAGTGCCACATTTGTCTAGGGAGTAAGCACTTTCTATACCTGAGAACATTGATCCAGTAATTCAAATATTTATCGATACTTACTACATCCTAGAAACTGGAACATAATTGATACACTTCTTGTTCTCCTGCAGTTTATAATCTAAGCCAACTAAACACGGGATTTCCAAATGTGCATTAAAAGTTCAAGAATCGGGTCTCTGGTGGAGTCAGCTTCTAAAATATTAAAAATAAAATATTGAATTCAGAGATCTGTAAAGTGTTTATGGTTAACTTTTACATTAAAAAGTCTATTGAACATTAATCTTAAAAATACAAATGAGCAATACATTTCACAATGTTGTCCAAGAACATGTTCATGTTTTTTTTTCTTTCTAGAAATAATTTATTTTTATGTTAAGTTATTCCATAGTTTCCTTTAGACTTCTGGCTTTTACAATTTGTTTTAAAAATTTATCCTTATTAACAATGTAACAAATGTTCTGTATTTTCTTCTAATATTTTATCACTATTTTTATTATATTTAAAATATTGAAACACATGTGATTTATTAATAAATTATGATGATTAGTCATATGTGTCCTGAATGGGCTTCAGGGTGCCCAGATACTTGTTCAAACATTATTCTGGGTGTTTCTGTGAAGGTGTTTTTGAGTAAGATTGACATTTAAGTTGATAAACTGAGAAAAATCAGAATGCATTCCCTGATGGAGGCAAGCTTCATCCAGTCAGTTGAAGGCCTGACTGGAACATAAAAGCTGACCCTCCCTTGAGCAAGAGAGGATTCAGACTCAAACATCAGGACAGGAACCAGACCATCAGCCCTCCTGGTCTAAGCCTATGCCATTGCCTCTCTTGGGTCTTCAGCTTGTCAACTCCCTCTGTAGAGCTTGGGACTTTCCAACCTCCATAATCATGTGAGCCAATTCCTTATAAGAACTCTCTCTCTCTCTCTCTGTCTCTCTCTGTGTGTGTGTGTGTGTGTGTGTGTGTGTGTGTGGTGTGTGTGTGCTGTTTCTCTGGAGAACCCTAATACATATGTGATTTTTACAATATTATTTTTTATTTGAATGAACTACTATTTCCTCCCTCTAAACTGGATATCATTTTTATGACATATTAAGTTCCCACTTGGATCTGTCTTCAGAATATTTTATTCTTATTTACTGGTCTATTTGTCTTTTTCTGAACTCATACGATGTGTTTTTATAGAATATTTTTATGGTATAGTTTAAACCTATTTAATATAGTCCCTTAAATTCTTCTATTTAATATAACTAGCAAATCACATATATTTACTCTCCTATATAGATTTTGAAATCAGCCAGTTCCTATTTTAAAATGTTATGTCAAGTTATGATGTTTAGGGATATGAAATGAAATATCTTCAGTTTCCAGCTGTAATTGTGATAGAATATTTATATATTCCCAGAAAATTATTTTATTTTTTCAAAACTATTCTTGTCATAATAGAAATGAACTGTGAGAGACTGAGATAATTACAGTGAGAATAGAACTAAATACTTTGTTTTTTTGTTTTTATGTTTTTAAAATATTTATCCTTTTTGTTGGTGAGTATCCTTCTTCCTGATATTACTGGTAGGAATTTTAATATTTCACTATTTAAAGTGGTGTATTGAAACAGGAGGCAACATGAACGTGCTCCCATTGACTAAAAGCTGGAATAATGTGAGCAAAATATAACTGCAGTAATATTGCATCTTAAACATAAAGATACAATAGATATTCATAAGCCCACACTGATATTAATAAATACTTAAAGAAAGAAAGAAAGAAATGGGGGAGAAATGACTCATATTCCTTAAAAGTGAATTCCAAATAATGCCTATAGAATTTATGAGTAAAATAGAACATCACTTTTTTAAACCTCAGTGACAATTGCTTCAAGTAAAAATCTAACTATGACTTCTGAAACTGGTGGTTGAATCTTGAAGAAACAGGTTATTCATATAGCCTCTAAGTAAAAAGTCCAAAATATTTATTAATGTAATGGCCTTAACATATGTCTTTGATATTCCTCAGCCAACCTTAGTAACTAAAGCAAAATACTAAGAAAAAAAAATGGTAAATTTATAGTAGAGAATCCCGGGAGAGATACCATAGCCAAGTAATAATAAGTCATGATGATATTAGGTATCCCGTAATACGATTTAATCAGAAGAGCACTTCAAATCCATAGTATTAATGCCTTAAATTCTAGTCTAACCATGAGAAAAGATTGGATATTCAAAATAAAGGACCCTTTATAAAGTGAGTCATCAGTAGTCATCCGAACTTTCCAATCATAGGCACAAAAACATACACACATACAAATCACTGAAAACTGTCATATGTTGGAAGAGACAATAAGTAAATGAATATGACTGACATAGAAAATGTATAAGTACAAATTTTAAAAACCTAAAATATTAATATGATAGCAATGTAAAGGTATTAAATAAAAAACTAAGTCAATTAATAAAAAGCAATCTTAGTCACAATCCTGACCTTCACTCTAACATTAATATTGCCAGACATTTAAAATTTATACATTTGAATGATAGTTAAAATTTACATATGAGCAATATATAAATTTAAAGCACTTTGAAATGAGATTACTTTTCATTCTATTTTGTTTTAGACATTTTCTAAAATATTATTTATTGTTAATTTAAAAATAATATAATTATTCTCAAAGTAATTCATGTTTTCTGAAATTCTATTTAGACTTTCAGAATTATTCACAAATCATAAGAAGCATTTATACTTGTAAGTATTATTCTAAGGTTTTCTGAAAGGTCAAATCTAATTATAATGAAGAACAATTTGAGCAAAATACAATCATGAGACATAAAATAATGGTTTTTCTAACCATTCCCAGCAAAATAAGGTAGAGAAAGCTAAATCCTTTCCTTATAAAAATAAAATGAAATAAAATATAAGTCCACATGAAGTACCCAATGATATAACCATATTATACGATCATGATGCTGGGTAAATTTTTATCTGAATTAAAGCATAATATAAAAATAGAAAAGAAGATTTTAAAAAGTATATAGTTAAAAAGACATATTTCACTTGCAAAATTAACCATTACACTTACTTTTAAAATATGCATAGACTAATAGCAAACAATTCAACAAAAAGGCCTAAAATAATTATACTTTTATTTTTAATTTTTGAGACACTCACTCTGTCAACCAGGCTGGAGTGGTATGGCATGATTATAATTTACTGCAGCCTCATACTCGTGGGCTCATGCAATCCTCCTGTTTTAGCCTCCCAAGCAGCTGCAACCACAGGTGTGCACCACCACACCTGGCTAATTTTTAATTTTTATTTTCGTAGAGATGGGGTCTTGCTATGTTTCCCAGGCTAGTCTTGAACTCCTGGCCTCAAGCAATGCTCTTCCCTTGGCCTCCCAAAATCTGGGAGCACAGGCCTGAACCACTTCCATGGGCCAAAAATAAATAAATTATCCATAATATGAAACAAACACAGTAAAAACAGCTAAATACAAATTAGTTTGTTGTTCACCTTGTCTATTCCAAAGAGTAGAAACACTGACAACATTCAACAATGATATAAGGGTGCCGAAAATGCTCTTTAATGCTCTTTAAATACCCTTTAATGCTCAGTAGTAGTCCAATGTTGGAGTTACACACATTTATATTTTAAGCAACACGAAGTTAAATGCTAAGTTTGCAATAAGAAAGAACATTTCAACAAAATCAATGTTTGGAAGAGGTCTAGAAATCACACAAATATAACTTTGTCACTGATGATGGGTTCTTTCCTTGACTAATCTTTCCAAATTTATGTTTATCTCAGTAGAAGTTAACTCTTTAACAACAATATTTGACGTTTAAAAAATTTTTGCCAAATCAAGGCAAAGCCTTTCAAACTCTCATATTAAATAGATGATAGACAACAACGAAAGTTTATCTGACATTATAACCCACATCTAAAATCTTTCACATTGTATAGATTTGACCTGACCCAAATTTTGCCCTCCCAACACTCAGATGCCACCAATCACATTAGTATGTATTATAGTTCTGGTATTCATTAATTTTAGCAACTTCTACTCCCATTTTTGTGTTTTCTTAGCTGATATTACAAGTCAAGACGATACCATTTTTTAAATACAAAAATGAGATGTGCTAGTTTCTCCATTTGCAAAGAAACCAGCACAAGAATTCTGGCACCATGAAAAATCTGAATACAGTGAAACCACAAAAAGACCGCACTAGCTCTCCAGCAATGATCCCTAACTGAAATGGAAACTCAAAATGACAGATAAAGAATTAAATCATGGATTGCAGGAAGCTCAATGAGATCCAAGACAAAGTTGAAAATCAGCATAAATAAACTTATAAAGCAATCCAAGAAATGAAGGAAGAGATAAACAGTAAAAAAAAAAAAAAAAAAAGTATTCTGAACTTCTGGAGTTAAAAAACTCATTTAAGGAGTTTTTATAATACAATTGAAAGTTTTATCAATAGACTGAACCAAGCAGAAGAAAGAATTTCAGAGCTTAAAGGTCTTTCAAACTAACTCACTCAGACAAAAATAAAAAAGAATGTTAAAAAAACAGTGTTTTAGAAATATGGGATTATATAACATGACTAAACCTACAATGTATTGGTATTCCTGAGAGAGAAAGAAAAAGTTAAAAACCTAGAAAATATACTTGATGGAACAATTAATGAAAATATCCCTAATGTTGCTAGAGGTTGACATCCAGATACAATAAATACACAGAACACCAATGAGATATTATACAAAACAAACATGACCAATGTATATAGTTACCAGACTGTCCAAGGTCAACACTGAGTTAGAAAGCCTTAAAGGCAGCTAGAGAAAATGGTCAGATCAAATACAAAGGAAACCCCATCAGGCTAACAGCAGACTTTTCAGCTGAAACCTTACAAGCCAGAAGAGATTGGGAGTCTATTTTAAGCATTTTTAAAGAAAAGAAATTCCAACCAAGAATTTCATATCCTGCCAAACTAAGCTTCCTAAGTCAAGGAGAAATAAAATGTTTTCCAGACAAGCAAGTACTAACAGAACTTGTCTTATGTTGGTTACCATAAGACAAGCTTTACAATAGATCCCTAAGGGTTTTAAACGTGTAAACAAAAGAACAATACCTCCTACCACAAAAACATGCTTAAGTACATAGCCCTCAGACCCTATAAAGCCACCAGCCTAACAACCTCACAATAGGAACAAAACTTCAAATCTCAATATTAACCTTGAATGTAAGCCAGCCTAAATGCCCCACTTAGAAGGGACAGAATGGCAAGTTGGATAAAAAATAAAAGCCATCTGTCTGCTGTCTTCAAGAGACCTACTTCAAATGTAAAGATGCCCAATAGGCTCAAAGTATAGGGTTGAATAAAAATCCACCATGCAAATGGAAAGCAAAAAAGAGCAAATAAGAATGATAAGATATTACTACTCTTGTATCAGATAAAAAAGACTAAACCAAGAACATAAAAAGGCATGAAGATGGGCATTACATAATGTCAACGGGTTCAAATCAACAAGAAGAATTAACTATCCTAAATATACATGCATGCAAAATGGGAGCAACCAGATTCATAAAACAACTACTTCTAGACTCACAAAAGGACTTAGACCACCCTACAATAATAGTGGGGGACTTAACACCCCACTGACAGCATTTGACAGATCATTGAAGCAGAAAATTAACAAGAAATTCTGAACATAAAATTGACACTTAAACAATAGGACCTAATAGATTCAGAACACTCTACTCATCACCCAAAAAATACACATTCTTCTCGTCCACACATAGAACATGTTCCAAGATCAATCACATGATCAGCCATAAGGCAAGTCTCAATACATTCAAAAACACCAAAATCTTACCAACCATAATCTTGTACTACAGTGGAATAAAAATAGATATCAATACCCCCCCCAAAAAATCCTCCCAAACCATACAATTAGATGAAAGTTAAACCACTTGATCCTGAAAGATTTTTGGATAAATAACAAAATTCAAGCAGAAATAAAAAAATTCTTTAAAATAAATTAAAACAGACATTCCAAAATTTCTAGGATACAGCAGAAGCAATGCTAAGAGAAAAGTTTATAGTGCTAAACGCCTACTCAAAAAATTAGAAAGATCTCAAATTAATGATCTGACATCACACCTAGAGGAACTAGAAAGACAAGAACACACTAACCCCAGGTCTAGCAGAAGAAAAGAAATATCTAAAATCAGAGCAGAACTGAATGAAACTGAGACTCAGAAATCCACACAAAGAATCAACTAACCCAAAAGTGGGTTGTGGAAAGGAGAAACAAGGTCTATAAAACACTAGCTAGCTCAACAATGAAAAAGAGAGAAAAATCCAATAAACACCATCAGAAACAACAAAGGTGACATTGCAACCAGTCCTTCGGAAATACAAAGGATCCTCAGAGACTACTATGATCACCTCTATATTAACAAACTAGAAAATCCAGAAGAAATGGATAATTCCCAGAAATGCACAACCTTCCAAGTCTGAATCAGGAACAAAAAACACTGATAAAAGATATCATAGATTGGAACAAACAAATGGAAAAACATCCCGCGCTCATGAATTGGAAGAATCAATATCATTAAAATGGCAATACAGTCCAAAGCAAGCTATAGATTCAATGCTCTTTCTATCATGCAACAATGTCATTTTCTTCACAGAACTACAAAAAGCTATGCAAACATTTATATGGAAGCAAAAAGGAGCCCAAATTGTCAAAGCAATCTTCAGCAAAAAGAACAAAGCCAGAAGCATCACATTACCTGACTTTAAACTACACTATTCGGCTATAGTAGTCAAAACAACATAACACTGGTTAAAACAAACAAACAAACAAAAAAAGCTAGAAACATAAACCAATGGAACAAAGTAGAAAACCAGAAATAAAGCCACACACCTACAGGTGTCTGATTTTCAATACAGTTGACAAAAATAAGCAATCAGGAAAGAAGTCCTTAATTAATGGTGCTGGGATAGTTAACTAGCTATATGCAAAGAGTGAAACTGGACTCCTACATTTCACCGTATACAAAATTTAACTCAAGATGGACTAGAGATTTAAATATAACACCTCAAACTGTAATAATCCTAGTGGAAATCCTAGGAAACACTATTCTGGCCATTGGCCTTGGAAAATAATGTATGTCTACGTCTTCAAAAGCAATTGCAACCAAAACAAAAATTCACAAGTGAGGCCCGGTTAAACTAAAGAGCATTTGAACAGCAGAATAAACTGTCAACAGAATAAACAGATAACCTACAGGATAGGAGAATTTGTTCACAAACTATGCATTTGAGAAAGTTCTAATATTGAGAAACTATAAAGAACTTAACAAGCAAAAAACAAATAACCCCATTAAAATATCAAGAAAAACATGAACAGACATCTCAATAGAAGATATACAAGCAGCCAAAAAAAAGAAAAAAAATGCTCAACATGACTAATCATTGGCGAAATGAAAACAAAACCACAATGAGACACCATCTCACGCCAATAAGAAAGACTATTATTGAAAAGTCAAAAAATAAAAAAACCAACAATAAAAGAGAAAATACCATTTCTTATGAAAGTTTCACTTATTCAATTAAGAAACGTTTATTGAGTACGTATGAGTTAGTACTATTTTTGCATTTTGGAGAATAGAAATTTAAACGAGATTATTTCTTTGTTCTTGAAGATATTACAATATAGTTAAAATATAAGGCAGATGTATGTATCATATATAATGAATGCCTCAACGAGTGTCTGTACAAATTTATATGCTAGAATAGGCATTGGATAACTTGTTTTAAAATGCAATCAAAAATAATAATTAATTTGTTTGTAATTACTGTTGTTGAGGGGTATGAAATGCATGCATATACTAATTTAATAAGTACAGAATATGCAAAGACCAAAAAATATAGGAGATCAATCAATAACATATTGCGAAAAAGAAAACATTAGCTATGCTTGATAAATGAGATGTCTGAATTTTTTGGATATAATATGGCAAGTTGAATGAAAACAGTTGGTAGAAATTCTTAAACCAATAATCCCCGTGATAGCCATGATCACAAATTATTCTATTACTTTTAGTGTTATTGAAAGTGTTGCTGAAAATAAAATGAATCCTTAGCTCTACACCATCTATATTAGTAAATTTAATCTGGTAGAATGAGTTGGAGACTGCTACTTCTGTATGCCAATTGCCGTAATCAGGACAAACCTGAAGGTTTCCCTTTTTATTCACTGTGAAGCTTTCCACTCCCCTGCCGCCTTTAAGTCTCTGTGAAACACAAGATGCTGATGCCCTTAGTTTACCAAGCTCAGAATGAAATTTCTGCTTGTTCTCATTTGTGTGGTCTTTATTTATGTCCACAATGGAAATGAAAGCAAGGATGTCAAAAGGGGCAATGCCAAAGCAAACAAAGAGGTTTTAGCGATTATTTAAATAAAAGGTTTAGAGAATGGTTGAAATAATGGTTAGAATATTGCAATATTCCAATTACTCATAATATTGTAAGTATTATGTAATATCAGGGAATATTGCAATTATTGTATAATATTAGGGAATATTATAATTGCAGTGTTACAGAATATTCCATAATAATCGTGATGCAAAATTATGGAATATTATAATTGCAATATTATTTTAGTTACAACATTATGAATATTGGAGTTTCCAAGCAGGGATATTTAAGGCAAACATGTTCTATATGTTAAGACTGGTTAAGTCAAATTTTTTAGTCCCAAATATAACTCTTTGAATATATAGTTGATATTTTCCCTAATTCAAATACTTTAATAGTTATTTTAAAATGTATTCATTAAAGATATCATACACTTTGATATTTTCTCTTCCAATCATCCCCAATATGAATAACATTGGGCACTGATAAGAATCCAATCGCCCTTCCTCATTGCACGTTATACTCTGTCCTCCTATGGAGTTCTGATATATGAAAAGCATATTGGACAATTCGTCGTAGTTTTATTCAAAAATAAGAAAATATTATATACATAGACCTAGAGTGGGCACAAACTCAAATTTTAGGGCTTCTGTTTCTATCTGTCTGAAAAGCAGTACTTTTAAATGCTTTATTTGTAAAAAGAAAATCACTTTTTCCTTTCAAAATATATTAATGATGATACCATAAAGCAGCTGATATCACATGTGGAAATGGTATTGTTTTGGCACATTTATATGATGAAGCTCTCTAAGGCTGCACGAGAATGATCAGTTTAGGGAATAAATGTTCTAAATGTCTAACTGTGATACTGATCAAGTTTGCTGGTGGCTCCTGGGTTTGCATTTTCATGACCATGGGAAGGGACCACATGGAGTTGCCCTGTTTGCTTTTCTGAGGCTGTCTTTGGACATAATTGCTTCTTGTTATTTTTTTCCTCTTTAATCAGGCACATGACTTACACCCTAACACACATATAAAATCTCTGTCTCCAATTCTATGCCCATTTTGGTCCATTTATGAGCATCTGGTAAGAGTCCAAAAGCAGTGGAAAACCATTTAGAAAATATTTTTCACAGTTGAATCTCATGTTTTATATATATATATGTATATATATATATATGTGTGTGTGTGTGTGTGTGTGTGTGTGAAGCTTATGAAACACTAAATAAAATTATGTAAATATTCTGAATTTAAGACAATGTATTACATAAAATTGCATATTCTTCCTGTTTCCACTCAAAGAATATGCAAACTCCATTTACAGTGAAAAATAGCAATATGGTTTTTGAAAATGATTGGAATGCTTTAAACATGTTTATATTAAAAATATATATCTTATTTTTAAGGAGATTATATTTCAAACATTTATTAATATTTTGATTGGCTTTAAAAAGTCAATTTCATAAGGATGGATCATTGTTAATGTATATTCTATTGAGGAATTTATGTGTACTGTTTTTGAAATAAACAAAATGTTTGTTTGAGGTTAATGTATGTGGCAACCAAGGAAAATGTGTCTTGCATTCACTGTTCTCCATCTTGTTTTATTACTTGAGGAGTTTTACCAAAGATTATGAGAAGTGTAAGTCCCTGAGTGATTTTTTGTCACTTAAAAACTATTAAAATTACAGTTACTCAAGTGCCATTTTAAAACTCATCTATTTAAATGATTCTTTGTACCTCAAATAAATTGTTCCGTGCAATGAAGCAGCATCTTCAGACATAATTCACCTTTGCTCTATTGATTCAGAATCAAGTTGATACCCTCTATTTTCCTGGAAAAATGTTCACTTGAAGTACTCTAATACATATGTCCTGTTTTCATGTCCAAAAAGCTTTAGAAAAATATTTACTGAAAAATAAACATATGTACCTGTATTGTGAAATCAAGGATCATTTAGTAAACTTTATCTGAAATAAATGCCTCTTTGGCTAAAATTTATGTTTGAAATTAAATCTAGATCCCTGGCTTTATGTACCCCAAAATAAATAATTATTTTGTGACATGTTTTGCATTTTTAAAATTTCTACAGTCATATAGCCTGACAACTTATTCTCCTTAAACTGGCAAATCCAAAAACACAGGGCAGAGGTTAAATCATCTATATCAGATATTCAAGGGCTATATAGTTTATCCAAGTATATACTTTATTCCCCCCAGGGAAAAGGGACACAGAAGTTAAACTTTAAAATTTCTCTCTTAATTGCTGTGTTATTAAACCTATCCTTGATCTCAGTATAAGTTTTCATGAAAACATCTGACTTCATCAATTCCCCAATCCATATTTTTATTCTTCATTCCCTCTTTAATGGTTCAAGATTTTCTTATTTTTACAGGTAACCATGTGACCTTCGAGTGATATTCCTAGGTCGCTATTCCCAAATAAACTTCTTTCTAAATCATAATGGCAAACATTTTTATTACAAAGCAAATATGTATAATTATTTGCTAAGAAGTAAATTAAAAGTTATTTATCTCCCCCTGATTTTTAATCATGTTTCTTATATACTCAAAAAGAAATTACCTTGTTACAATTTTGTGTTCTTTTTTCTATGTATTTTGTAAAATCAGGATATATGTTACATATTATTAAGGACATGGCTTTATTATTTTACATTATTATGGGCCTCTTTCTTTGGTAAGCATACGGATATGTATGATAACTATATCACATTTCGTCTTATGAGTTACCATAATAGGTTAACTTTTTACCCTTTGCTGGGTATTCAAGTTTTTTTCCAGGGCTGGATTACAATTAACACTGTAACAAACATTGTTAAGATAATTATTTATGTATTTTCTATCTCTAAGTCTTATTAAAAGTGGATGTGTATAGGTTTCATTGAACAGGCAAGACTAAATGATAATCCTAAAATCAATTTTACTTTTGTTTCCAGCACTCAAGAGAGTGTTGATACTTGCCCTAGGGGATATTTATTGCCCTGTAACTGGAAAAAAATTTTAGTAGCCTGAATGAACTTTATGATCACTGTTAAGTAACAAAAAAGCTCCAGTTAATTGAATTTATAAACCATGTCATTTCAGTAATTAAAATTGTCCACATTATAATCAAATCTAAATTTGATTATTTTCCATGTAAATCAGCTTTCCTTTCTGTTCTTCCTTGCCGTAATGAAAACTGAATTTTCTGACCCTTTGGTGTACGGTAGTCAGATTAAATGCAGGATGTCCAGTTCACTTTTAATTTAAGAGAAAATTTCTTTAGTATTAGTATGTCCTACGTAACGTACAAAATATACTCATAATAAAAAATATCTTTTTTTTTCTTTTTTTCAAAGTCTCACTCTGTCACTCAGGCTGGAATGCACTGGCACGATCTCAGCTCACTGCAACCTCCGCCCCCTAGACTCAAGTGATTCTCCTGCCTCAGCCTCCTGAGTAGGTGGGATTACAGGTGTGTGCCACCACAGCTGGCTAATTTTTGTTATTTTTTGTGGAGATGGGGGTTTCATCATGTTGGCCAGGTTGGTCTCAAACTACTGACCTCAAGTGATATACTCTCCTCGGCCTCCCAAAGTGCTGGGATTACAGGTGTGAGCCATCTTGCCCAGCCAAAAATATCATTTTTAATCTACAGTTTACATTTAAATGGTCATTCTCTATTTTTATTTGCAGATAATTTTTTTTGTTTTTTTTTTTTTGAGACAGAGTCTCGTTCTGTCGCCCAGGCAGGAGCGCAGTGGCGCGATCTCGGCTCACTGCAAGCTCCGTCTCCCGGGTTCACGCCATTCTCCTGCCTCAGCCTCCCGAGTAGCTGGGACTACAGGCACCCGCCACAACGCCCGGCTAATTTTTTGTATTTTTAGTAGAGACGGGGTTTCACCGTCTTAGCCAGGATGGTCTCGATCTCGTGACCTCGTGATCTGCCCGCCTCAGCCTCCCAAAGTGCTGGGATTACAGGCGTGAGCCACCGCACCCTGCCATTTGCAGATAATTTATCTGTTGTCCCTATTTTTGGAATGAGTACCACAAACAGGGATAAAGGAAGATAAAAAGTAAACTATTTATTTGACTGATATGCTTACAATTTGATTTCATGCTTTTATAGCCCCAGCTGCGCACCCCCAAAATTCACAGGAATGTATTTTGAGATAGGGATTTTAGGAGGTTATTAAGGTTAAATGAGATCATAAAGATGAGCTCTTCAACTGATAAAATTGGTAGCCTTTTAAGAAGAAGACGAGAGAGAGAACTCTCACACGCTCTCTCTGGTCTCCATGTGCATGCACCAAGGAAAGACTATTTCAGGCCCTAGTGAGAAAGGAGTCATCCAAAAACCAAGAGAAAAGGATGCACCAGGAAATGAATTGGTCAGCACCCTGATCTTGGACTTCCAGCCTCCAGAACAGCGAGAAAAATACATTTCTATTGTTTAAGCCACTCAGTCTGTGGTATTCTATTATGGCAGCCCGAGCCGACTAGGATACCTGCATTCTGCTTACAGCAGATGTTTAAATGGACTCTATAGTCCATTTAACGCTCTGGTCGGAAAATGCCTTTTCTGAACTGTCCTTTCTGCAGCACATGGACTAGGTGCTGCCTCTGTTGCATGTATCCTTCCTAATCCTCTTGGAGAGGATCTAATAACCTGACTGAGAGCCAACGTTCCCATTAGAATTAGTATTGAGCCTGGTTCCCAGGTTTCACGGAATTTTGGTCCATGGTCAGGAATGGTCTGTTCTTTTCCCAAAGCATCTCTTTCACAGCTGCCTGTGTCTTCCGTCAGTTTAATTTTTTCAGACCTGAATTAGGCACAACTACAATATAGCCCCCCACCTGCAGAAAACACTTCTCATTCCATGAGTTTCCCCTGAAGCCCTTTTTCTAGACTTTGAGTTAAGTGTTAGCATCTGATTGCTCTTATTATCCTTTCTCAGAATTAAATGTAACCAATTTTTGTTTTATTCAAGACAACTTTACAAATCCTATTTTTTTAAAAAAAAATTCTTTCTAAATTAAAACCAAACAGACTCATTTGACTAAAAACGTCTCAGGAATTACTTTTAAATCTTCACGTGGTAGCAGGGCATAGTGGTACATGCCTGTAGTCCCACCTCTTCAGAAGGCTAAGGCGAGAGAATCACCTGAGCCCAGGAGGTTGAGGCTGCAGTGAACCGTGACTGCACTACTGCACTCCAGCCTGGGTGACAGAGTGAGACCCTGTCTCAAAAAATAAATTAATAAAAAAAAATCTTCACATGATATTCTATCTCCCACCTTACATTAAAACATCCAAATTAATAATCTGATGCAATGGAGTTGTTAAGTCAAAGTATGTGCACATCTGTATATTAAGAAAGCATTTGGCTGGAAATATAAAAACTTCCAACAATCAATCACCAACCTAAAGAGTGCACATGTTCCAGCTGAGGGATATGAAGGTGGACATTTCAGATTAGTATATGCGTGTAAATATATTAAGAGAAAATTATGCTCTTTCTGGTTTCCTGCTTTTGATCTTTATTGTGTTGGTTTTGTCTTCATGGTTGCAGACTGGATGTTCTACCTTGAGACAGTGTTTCTTCATTCTAGGAAAGAAGCTGAAGAAAGGAGGACAGTATGGAAGTTAAGTCTTCCATATAACAGGTTTTCATTTTGCTTTTATTTAATAAATATCTCCTATGTAATTATATAATACAGTATATAAGAATCAGAAATACAATCCTACCCTATAGGCTTGTACTACTGATTTTCTTAATCGTAGATGAGGTATGTTAGGTCAGTCTTCTTACTGCACACAACTAAAAAGACTAGATGTCATACTTAAAAAATTATTCTCCAAAACACTAGAGGATAAACATGATAAAGAACAGTTACCTGGAAATACATGGATTTCAAAAATAGTTTTATAAAAAAAGTTGAAAACCAATCTAAATGGCTGTCAAGTGAACATTTAATAAATAAACTGCAAAAGTTGATAAATAAAAGATTCACATATCAATATAGATAAATATAAAAATCTAATTTTGAGGCTGGGCACGGTGGCTCACACCTGTAATCCCAGGGCTTTGGGAGGCCGAGAGGAGCAGATCACTTGAGGTCAGGAGTTTGAGACCAGCCTGACCATCATGGTAAAACCTTGTTTCTACTAAAAATACAAAAATTAGCCTAGCCTGGTTGCATGAGCCTGTGATCCCAGCTACTCAGGAGACTGAGACATACAGAATCATTTGAACCCGGAAGGTGGAGGTTGCAGTGAGCTGAGATGGTGCCACTGCTCTTCAGCCTGGGTGACAGAGTGAGATTCTGTCTCAAAAAAATAAAAATCTCATTTTGAAGTAATATGTTGCAAATGAACACTTTATTCACTTCTTTCAATGTATTGAGGACCTATTATAGTCCAAACTTTGTGTCCAGGGTTGGATATAAAACTGGTAGGAAACCGACATATATCCTAACAGGGAGGGTAGAAAGTCTCTCCAAGGTAATAATTATTGAAGCTATTATCAGACAAAACGAGGACAACTGATGAAGCTACATCTGGGAGAAATACATGCCATGCCTGTCTAAGGAGGATGAGGACCAGCATGTGGCCAGAGAAGAGGGAGTGTGGGAGAGTGGTGGCCAGCATTCTGGAGGCAAAGACGGAGGCTCGACCACACAGGACCTTGCAGGCCATGACAGCATTATTGCATATTGTTCTGAAGCGTTCCGTCTATCTAAGACCTAACTAATACAGTATTTTGGTCAGGGAAAAACCAAGTCCAATTGGTATTTTAGAAGATCTAATTTTTATTGTTTCCTTTTTCCTGCTTGCTTTGGGCTTAAATTGCTCTTCTCTAATTTGCTAAGGTAGAAGATTAGCTTTTGATTTTTGATTTATTGTTTGCATATATATGCACAAAATGATATAAGTTTCCCCTCTGCTAGAGCCATAGGGTATTATTCGTGTCTCTTCACAGTGAGATCTTGTAAGGTCTTTACTTCGAGGAAGTAAAACCCAGGAGCTTGAGGGGACCACCCTAAGCCTACAGCCCCAAGAAGTTCTCCTCTCTCATGAGTCCACACTTGGCCTCCAGTAAATAATGCAATGACCATTTATTTACCTGTTCCTATCAGTTTATGCTTCTGGCAGCTTTGCTCCAGTGAGCTAATCTCTTGTGAGAGTCTCTGTTTCCCCCTATCTCTTCAGATGGCGTGGTGGTAGTTTTTGCTGTGCCTTCAGTTATTTGATGGATCTAATAAAAAGTTTGAATATTTAGCTATTTACCTCTTTTCTTCTTGTCAGTATGGAACTGACACCTTATAAGCTCTTTACATATTGGAACTTAAAAAAGAAATCTCTTAACTTTTAGTTGTCTTATGGAGTTTCAAGGAAAGTGTCATCTTGGTTTAATGTGTGCTAGAAAGTGTTATGCCTTTGTGCAGCATAACGGTTTTCAATACAAATTGCTTCATACACTTATGTCCACCTACAGGCTCCACAGCCTTTACAAACTAAGTATCAAATAAGTCTCACTTCTGGCCCTGCTCTTACTTTAGTATTTGGTCTTTATGTTTGGACAATTATATCCTTTGGTACAGTTCCATAAATTCTACTTGCTTGGACCTGCCTGAGATGCAGCTTGATCTTTCTGAACCTTCCTTTGGGAATTAGGTTTTTACCTCTGAACTCCCTTTGTTGTGGGTGACATCCCTACCAGCTATTGCCAACATTTCTTATGTAAAGCTGATCGCCTACTTTGACGTTTATCTAATACCTAATGCCATAGGACTCATGACTAAGTCCCCCTGACATATTCCCAAAAGGTCTGATTCAACGAATTAATCTATTCTTCAGGTATGTTATCCTTCTCATGATTGCATGAGCCAAAATATTTATGCATCATTCCTTTTATAACAGAAAAGTTAACTGTCAGTAGGGAAATTCTACACCCATAACAGTTCAATTTGTTGGTTGATGAATAAACCTCCTTTGCTCTCCCATTTTTCTTTCTTCTCTTTGCATTCACATCTATCTCAGTTCTTTGCTAAGTTAAAATGATCAGTAGTGGTATTGTTTTGTAACTTGTCTGTGCTCCTGTAGCATATGTGACATTCTTATTTATCCTCTCAAGAGTTTTGCCTAAATGAATAAATCATTGGCAGCAACATTTCTTTTTTTTCCTTTTTTATTGCCTAATATATATGAAGCTCACTCATGTACTGTTCATTATTATGCCTTCTGTATTAGCAACAATGATACGGATAACTGACTCAAGAGTATCTGTTCATTTTATGCTTCATTTAGTAGGTAATAGACGTGTTGGTAGATTTGTGCTGTTGAAAAAATCCTCTCATGGTTTCTGAGTTGCTGCTGTATAACAAAATATCATGGCAAATGCCTGATTGAAACAATAATTGAATTTTCGCACAGTAACTTTCCTTGGGAAATAAATAAGTTAGAAAGCAAACATTCACAACTATTTTTTAATGTTGAAGACAGACATTTAAACTAATATTTGGATGCTGAAAAGCAATTAAAGGCGATAGCAGAATTGTGGATTCTGCATGGTGGATAACTAACACATATGTGATTTGATTAAATTGCAGATTTTTTTAGGGTGATACCTTACTGGAAAACATTTCCAAAAACATTTTTTCATTTCATAGACTCATTGAACAAAATATAGACTCTTAAATGTCTAGAAACTTTCATATGTAAAATTAAAACTCCAAACTAACTCATCTCTATCATTTTGAGCAGGTACTCATGTTGATAGTACATATTGCCACATGGAAAAATGTGTCTAACTTATCTTATGCCACTAGTAAGAAATTAAAAGTTTTTAGGGGAACCAGATAAAGATACATTTTAGTTGTAAACATGTAATACATTATATATAAATATGTAATGTTACATAATATATTTCATACAAATATATAATGTTATATATTACATACAAATATATATAATATATGAGAAAACTATAGAAGTTTTTTAAAAACATGGAAAATTCTTGTTATATTTCTTTTCTCATGTTCCAAAAATAATGCAAGGCCTCATGTTAACATTTTTTTATTGTTATTTTTGTGTTTTTAGGTATTGAGGTTATTACTGCATTAATCAGGACAGGCTAGTTTATCCTACAAAAACAAACAGTGCCAAACTCTCAGTAGCTTAACACAAAAATGTGCACTATTTTTCCTTTCAGACTCGCAGAGAAATAAGCTATGAATTTCTGTCTTGATGTGTGTTTTCATATCTATGATGGTAAGAAGTGTGTATATGATGAAAGAGTGATCATTCTTAATGACCTCTAAATGAGATACTTGTTATGTCTGCTCATACTATTTAGTCAAAGTCAGTCATGACCTTATCTAATTTGAAGGATGTAGGACAATGAAATTCAACTATGTGTCTGAAAACTGGAAAGTTGAAATATTTGTGAAAAGCCCAATGCTACTAACTTGGGATAAGTTAAAAAGAAACAAATGAACATACACTAGTTTTCTCAATTCTCAATTCTCATGCCTTCTTCAGTGAAAAAGAAAATCAAAATGAAGGAATACAGCAGCTGCTACTGGCAAGGCCTCTCTCCATGGCCAAGTGCCCCTGGAACCAAGTGGTATCAGAGATTTCAGAACAGAGTCTTTACACGTAATGCACTTGTGTTTACATGACTGCATAGTTGCTGAGAAGACAAAGTCATATCCAAGCTCTCAGGTTTTCATAGACATTTACAGAACATTCCAACCTGAAACAACAGCATAGACATTTTTCTCATCTACATATGGCACACACTCTAAGATAGACCACATGTTTGGCCATAAAGCAAGTGTCAACACATTCGAAAAATCAAAATCATACCAACCACACTCTCAGTCTACAGCATAATAAACATAGAAATTAACACCAAGAAGATCTATTAAAACCATACAATTACATGGAAGTTAAATAACCTGCTCCTAAATGACTTTAGGAAAAAAAATAAATTTGATATCAAAATATTCTTTGAAACTAGTGAAAACAGAGAAGTAGCATATCAGAATCTTCAATGCCCAGACAGCAGTCTTCAGAGGAAAGCATATAGTGCTACATGCTTACAACAAGAAGTTAGAAAGGAAGGTGGCGCAAGACAGCAGAAAAGAAGGCTCCACCAATCAGAGGCGGTGGATCACCCGAGGTCAAGAGTTTGTGACCAGCTTGGCCAACATGATGAAACCCTGTCTCTACTAACAGATAGAAAAAATTAGCCAGGCATGGTGGTGGGAATCTGTAATTCCAGCTATTTGGAGGCTGAGGCAGGAGAATTGCTTGAACCCGCTAGGCAGAGGTTGCAGTGAGCCAAGATCACGCCACTGCACTCCAACTTGGGTGACAGAGTGAGACTGCATCTAAAAAAAAAAGAATAACTTAAAAGAAATGATCTAACATTCCACCTTTAAAAACTAGAAAAATAAGAGCAAGCCAAACCCAAAATTAGAAGAAAATAAATAAAAAAAGAGAAGAAATAAATGTAATTGAAATAAAAAATAACAAATAATGAAATAAAAAGCTGTTTTTTAAAAAAGTTAAAAAATTGACAAATCTTTAGCTTAAATAACGAAGTGAAAAAGAGAAAAATCCAAATAAAATAAGAAATGAGAAAGGAGACATTACAACTGATACTGCAGAAATTCAAAGGATTATCAGTGGCTACTGTGAGCAACTACATGCCAATAAATTGGAAAATCTAGAGGAAATGGACAGATTCCTAGATACATAAAATCTACCAAGACTGAACCAGGAAGAAATCCAAAACCTGAACAGACCAATAACAAGTAATGAGGTTGAAGCTGTAATAAAAACTCTCAGGACCTGACGGCTGGACTGCTGAATTTTACCAAACAGTTAAAGAAGAGTTAATACCAATCCTACTCAAACTATTCCAAAAAATAGAAGAGGAAGAAATACCTTCAAACTCATTCTATAAGGCTGTTATTACTCTGATACCAAAACCAGACAAAGAAACATAAAAAAAAAAGGAAAGAAAACTACAGGGCAGTATCTCTGATGAATATTTATGCAAAAATCCTCAACAAACTACTAACAAACCAATTTCAACAATACATTAGAAAGATCATTCATCATGACCAAGTATAATTTATCCCTGTGATGCAAGGAAAGTTCAACATATGCAAATCAATCAATTTGATACATCATATCAATAAAATGAAGGATAAAACCAATATGATCATTTGAATTGATGCTGAAAAGCATCTAATAAAATTCAACATCTCTTTATCATAAAAACCTTCAAAAAAACTGGGAAAAGATGAAACATAACTCAACATTATAAAAGCCACGTATGACAGAACCACAGTTAGTATCATATTGAAAAGGTGAAAACAGAAAGCCTTTTCTCTTAGATGTGGAATACAACAAGAATGCCCACTACCATCACTGTTCTTCAACATAATACTGGAAGTCCTAGCTAGAGCACTTAGAAAAGAGAAACATATAAAGGGCATCCAAATTGGAAATGGAAAAGTGAAATTATCCTTGTTTGCAGATGATATAATTTTATATTTGGAAAAACCTAAAGACTCCACTGGAAAACGATTAGAACTGATAAGGAAATGAAGTAAAGTTGCAGAATACAAAATCGAAATACAAAAATCAGTAGTATTTCTATATGCCAACATAAATGCTGTGAAAAAGAAATAAAAAAGTAATCCCATTGAAAATAGCCACACAAAATTAAGTACCTAGAAATTAACTTAACCAAAGAAGTGACAGATTTCTATAATGAAAACCATAAAACACTGATGAAAATAATTGAAAGGACAACAAACATGGAAAAATATTCCATGCTTATGGATTGGGAAAATCAATATTGTTAAAATGTTCATACTACACAAAGCAATCTACACATTCCATGCAATTCCTATCAAGATACTAATGACATTCTTCACAAAAATAGAGAAAAAAATCCTAAAATTTTTATGGAACCACAAAAGACCCAGAATCGCCAAAATTATCCTAGGTGAAAAGACCGAAACTGGAGGAATTATATTGAGTGACTTCAAATTATACTTTAGATGTATAATAACCAAAACAGCATGGCACTGGCATAAAAAAAGGCACATAGACCAATGGAACAGAATAGAAAACATAGAAGCAAATACATACACCTGCAGTGAACTAATTTTTGACAGATGCTAAGAAGATACACCAAGGAAAAAAGAAGTCTCTTTAATTAATGGAACTTATAAGTTAACTGGATATTCACATGCAGAAAAATGAAAGTAACCCCAATCTATCACCATATACAAAAATAAAATCAAAATGGATTAAAGACTTAAATCTATGACTTAAAACTATGAAACTGCTACAATAAATCATTGGAAAAATATTCAGGACATTGGTCTGGGCAGAGATTTCTTGAGCAATACGCCACAAGCACAGGCAACCAGAGCAAAAATGAACAAATGAGATAATATCAAGTTAAAAAGCTTCTGCACAGCAAAGGATACAATCAACAAAGTGAAGATACAACCTACAGAATGGGAGCAAATATTTGCAAACTACTCACCTGACAAGGGATTAATAATCAGGATAAATAAGGAGCTCAAACAACTCTATAGGAAAAAGTCTAATAATCTGATTTTTAAAATGGGCAACAGGTTTGAATAGACATTTCTCAAAAGAAGATATACAAATGGCAAAAGGGCATATAAAATGGTGCTTAACGTCATTGATCATCAGATAAATGTAAAAACTACAGTGAGATATTATCTCAACCCAGTTAAAATGGCTTATATTCAAAATATGGGCAATAACAAATGCTGGTGAGGATGTGAAGAAAAGGGAACCCTTGTATACTGTTGATGGGAATGTAAATTAGATACAACCACATGGAGAACAGTTTGGAGTGTCCTCAAAACCTAAGAATTGAACTACTATATGATCCAGCTATCCCATTCCTGGATATATACCCAAAAGAAAGGAAATCAGTATATCAAAGAGCTATCTGACTCCTGTGTTTGTTGCAGCAGTGTTTACAATATCTAGAAGTTGGAAGCTACCTAAGGGTCCATCGACAGATGATTGGATAAAGAAAACGTGGTACATATACACAATGGAGTACCATTCAGCCATATAAAAGAATGGATCCAGTCATTTTCAACAACATGGATGGAACTAGAAGTCACTATGTTAAGTGAAATAAGCCAGGCACAGAAAGACAAGCATCACATGTCCTCACTTATTTGTGGATCTAAAAATCAAAGCAATTGAACTCACGGAAGTAAAAAGTACAAACATGGTACCAGATACTGTGAAGTGTAATGGGGGCCTGGGATTAAGATTAACATTTCATTTCAGTGTTGCATTGAACATACTCATCCACCTGTCTATTGAGTGTTAACTCAATAAAAATTCTTAAAATTCTTAAGTCCAAAATATGGTCTCAGGTCCCAATACGAAAAAGTAGACATATCCATTTATCTCCACTGTCTCTGAAAAATGCAGGCCTCTATCTTTAGGCTGTCTCACTTTAGGTAGAACATTTTAGTAAACTGTGGTTTTTTAACTCCTTTTCGCCCCAGTATTTTAGCCCAAGCTCCTTAGGATGTGAGTTCATTCAGTTATTTTGTCCTCTAGAGGCAAAGTACTTTTAAGAAAGAAGTCTTTGGGCCATAATTGAAAATTTCCTACTTTCTTTCTTTATTTTTAAAGACAGGTTCTCACTCTCTTGCCCAGGCTGTAGTGCAGTGCATAATCATGGCTCACTGCAGCCTCAAACTCCTGGGCTCAAGTGATTCTCAAACCTCAGTCTCCTGATTAGCTGGGACTATAAGCACACGCCAATATAGCTGGCTATTTTTTAAAAAAATACATTTTTTTGTAGAGATGGGGTTTCACTATGTTGCCCACGCTGGTCTTGAACTCCTGGACTCAAGCGATCCTTCAACCTTGGCATCCCAAAGTGGTTGGATTACAGGCATGAGCCATCACCTCCAGACTTGAAATTTTCTTGATTTATTTTGTGACATACCCTCCTTATATTGTTTCCCTATTTATGGAAGCTGACTGCTTTATTCAGCAATTAGACACTAAAACATCTTAAATATTTTAATTATCTGAATTTAAATAATTTAAAGTTTAAAATGCTCCTTTGCCTATTAAGTGCAAATATCTGAAAAATGAGTGCTCAACATTCTGATTTTAGCTTTTTAAAATCAAATGATTGAGATGAATTAAATCATAAGCCTATTATTTTCATCCGTTTTATGAAAATTTAAAATAATAGTACCATTTTAATTTTACCTAATAAAGATAATCAAATGCAGGAATGCTTTATCAGAAATAGCATGAGTTTTATACTTTTAAACAATTAGATTTAAATTCCCAATTGACAATGCATACTCTTTTGAATAAATTTACTTTCTGTGATCTGAAACAAATTATGTAGCCTTTCTGAATCTCTATTTTCTCATACGAATAATAAAATCATATTTTTTTAACACATAAGAGTGGTCAGTGAGAGCACTAAATGAGATTTTACATAGAAAAACAAACACTGTTGGAAACATAGTAGATGGTCAATAAATGTTTCTTTTATTTTCAACATTGCATTTCTGACAGTAAAAAATATATTGATAGTATAAATGAAGACAATTTGAGTTTGCTGCACTAAAGAACGTAAAGCAACACACTTGTTCACATCCCATGTCCCTCTCAGCAAATAAACTCATTCCTTAACAAAAACGTATAATACACAAGAGGTAAATTTAAATAGACAGTACATTATGCCACTCCAATTACCAAAGGGATTGAGAAGCCTGCTAGAGGGTTTGTGCTCTCTAAATATAAAATGGTTATTGTTTTCTATAACTATGTATTCTTTAGTTTATCAGTTCCAAAAAAGTAGGGCTAAGAAAAATTAATTTCTCTGAGTTATTCTTTCATGATTTTCCTGAATCCAGAAGGCAAGAAACAGCAGCTGCAGTATTCATTAGTGCTTTAGGCAGAGTTGGTATTATGTGAAGTTGGAAGAGCAATGAGTGGAAGTAAATCCAGTTTTCCTAGTGGGGCTTATGGTAACTGAAATAGAAATCAGCTCAATTCCAGATAGGACATGCTAATGAATCTGATTTCTAAAGCTCATGCTGATAATAAATCATTATTTTATAGAGATCATTGCAATTTACCTATTGTTTTCTTATTTTTACCTCCATTTAGTTAAAACAGCCAAGGACTCAAGAAACAACGATTTTCATAATTAACCAGATAATTTAAGCTAGTATTCCTGTTTTGTAATTAGGTAGACACTCATCATAATTTTCTTGATGCTTTTACCTAATACCTGAATATACTTAAGCTTACAAATTAGCAGCTTTCAAGGTGCTTAGCATATTTTTCATGTAACATTTGATATTTTTAAAGCATTTCTAATAAAAAACTTTGAAAACTGTCTTTGAAATGTTAGCACAAGTATTATGTATCCATTTAACATAAGACAAAGTTGAAATTCATTATTTATGTAACTTACCTAAAAATTCCTACCCAGAAATTTATTGACCTAGATTTTAAAACCACATTCCTACTCCAGTATTATATTTATTGAAAAATATGTTATATAGTGTATTCTTACAATAAATTAAGCTACAGAAAATAAAATGTTATCAAGAAAATCAAAAGGAAGAAAAAATACATTTACCGTACTGCATTTATTGATACTGTACATTTATATCCTCTGTTTACAAGAAGATTCGTCTGTCTGAAATGGCAAGCAATTACAGCTACACATCTCAATCTATGGTACATATTAAGCAATTCTACTTTTTTTGTAATGTCATGACTTTTCTCTGCTTCTTGGGAGCACTTTCAGCACCAATAGTGCTTTGTATGGGTCCCAAGATGTTATTCAAGGTTTATGGTATTGCACTAAACACGGTGAAAAATACACAAGAAGCTCGAGAGAGCACTTTTTACTGTGATGTGCAATTTACTGGAGAGACAAGTGCTCACACGGAGGTGATCAGCATGAAAGGCGTTTTAAGTAGATACTCACACTTGAGCTCACCACAATAGCAGCAGGAGATGGCTACAAAATTATTTTAGTAGTACTGTGTTTACTGCAGTTAATTTCATGCAGTTATAATTAATGCTGCGTCTTTACATTTATTTACCTTTCTCTTGACTGTTAACGTACAGTCAAGGCTGTACATAACTTGGCTGTTATGTACAGCCTGTGTGTGCATACATTTTGATAAATTTTAACTATTTACAACAGATTTGTTTATAGTTTTTGGCAATAAATTCAATAATAGACTTTATCTACATATATTTTATGCATTCATGACATATCTAAATTTTTCATAATTTTCTCAATATTTCTTGGCCACATAGTTTATCTGTAAGTTTTTCAAATTATTCTAAATCCCCAAAAAATATTCCAATTCGTTTATTGAAAAAAATCGTATGATTGTGTCCACACAGTTCCAACCTGTGTTATTAAAGGCTACACTGTATACTTTCGGGGAGAAAAAATAAGTCAACGAAAAATACATTGGAATAAGTTGGTTCTTTTGCCTTTGTTTTTCAATCATTTAATCTCCTATCTTTGTATGCAGGAGAACATAAGACAAAACAGGAAAACAGAAACTAGCGAATGTTAAAATTTGAAAATACTATGAAGCAGAACTATGTAGCAGATCTTTATCAAGCACCTATGATATATGAGGTACTATACTAAATGCTGGTGAATCAGTTAAAGCCAGTCAGAACCCAAGCTCTATGTAACAATATCTAGAAAAAAATAATAGACTATGTTTACTGGCTCAAGACCAAGAAGAGAGAATGACATATGACATGTTACAGGTTTCTCTTTGACTGGAATCCAAATGCCACAATTTTGTAGTACATATTCTTTAGCCATAAACAGTTGCCATTGTTTAGACAACATTGGTTTAAACAAACATATACAGTTGTCTTTCTCCTCAAAAGTCTGACAGTTTATTCTGTTTTTTTAAAAAATTTTTTTATTTCCATAGGTTATTGGAGAACAGGTGGTGTTTGGTTACATTAGTAAATTCTTTAGTGGTGACTTGTGAGCTTTTGGTGCAGCCATCGCCCGAGCAGTACACACTGCACTCAATTCGCAGTCTTTTGTCCCTCGCCCCCTTCCCACCCTTTTCTCCTGAGTCCCCATAGTCCATTGTGTCATTCTTTTGCCTTTACTTCCTCACAGCTTAGCTTCCACTTATGAGTGAGAACATACGGTGTTTGGTTTTCCATTCCTGAGTTACTTCACTTAGAATAATAGCCTCCAATCTCATCCAGGTTGCTGCAAATGCCATTAATTCATTCCTTTCTATGGCTGAGTAGTATTCCATTGTATACACATACCACAGTTTATTTATCCACTGGTTGATTGATGGGCATTTGTGTCGGGTCCACATTTTTGCAATTGTGAATTGTGCTGCTATAAACATGTATAAAATGTTAATTATGAATATCCAAAAACAGTGTACCTGATTTCTCAAACTCAGTTTTCTTTGAAATTCTTTCAGAAGAATGGTGTCCTATGAAACAAATTTTGGTTGAGCCTTATCTGTAACATTTCTTTTACCAAACTTGTTTGAATCTTATTACTCAGCCCTAGGTCTTTCTTCTCACACCAGTTTTACTGGATTCCTAAAATTAGTTATCACCTATCCAGAAATTAGTATGTTTTCTTACTTATGTTCACAATGTCATTTTGAAAAGAGCAAACTGGGACGGGTACAGTGGCTCACACCTGTAATCCCAGCACTTTGGGAGGCCGAGGCAGGCGGATTAGCCAGGCGAGGTGGCGGACGCCTGTAGTCCCAGCTACTCGGGAGGCTGAGGCAGGATAATGGCATGAACCCGGGGGGCGGAGTCTGCAGTGAGCCGAGATCGCGCCACTGCTGCTTTCCAGCCTGGGCGACAGCAAGACTCTGTCCCAAAAAAAAAAAAAAAAAAAAAAAAAAAAGAAAAGAAAAGAAAATGAAAGGAAACGAGCAAACTGGTAAAACATATAGATGGCATTTTCAAAACAGATTAAAATTCTTTAATATACATTTTTTCACTTAATGATAAGAACAATTCAAAATATATACTGGTTAACTTCTTTATTTCTATTATAACTTTGTTGAATAAAATATTTACTCTGGCATTGCCTATTTCGATATGGTATGTTACTTTGTAAATTGAAAAATAAACGAAGAACTTTATTAATGTAATTTAGGGTAGCTGAGTAGTTTTCAAAGAGGATTCAATATTTACATATAAATATTTTACAATTTCAAAGCAAATTTTAATACTATTTTTTTAAACAACTTATGCTTTTACAAACTCTGTGCTAATATGCAATGGAATGATTGAGGCATAATTGCTTCTCTTTCCTATAGCCGTCTTGTATTAGTTCATTTTCACATTGCTGATAAACATACCTGAGACTGGGTAATTTATAAAGGAATTATTTTTAATGGAGTCACAGTTTCATTTGGCTGGGGAGGCCTCACTATCATGGCAGGCAATGAAGGAAGAGCAAAGGCACATTTTACATGGCAGCTGGCAAAGAAAGAATGAGAACCAAGTGAAGGAAGTTTTCACTTATAAAATGATCAGATCTCATAAGACATATTCACTATCATGAGAGGATTATGGGGGAAACATCCCATGCCCCATGATTCAGTTATCTCATACTGGGTCCCTCCCACAACAGATGGGCATTATGGGAGCTAAAATTCAAGATGAGATTTGGGTGGGGACACAGCCAAATCATATCACCTCTACTTTTAATAAATGAACTAAGTGCTGTTTACTACACTTGGATATTCATTATTGTTACTTTCATATGTTATTCCTCCATAGTTTTATTTTATATACTGTTATGGCGTTATTTTATTATGGTTTTTGCTATCTCACTATCCCTTCCCTATGGGTTGCTGCAACTGACTGAAGATTTAGAAAATAGAAATACAGAATTAATTATTTTTTACTCTGCCAATAAAGCCATCATGAAAAAAAATAATAAGGGAGGGTGCTCCAGCCCATTTACTGAGTGACCGGAAAGGCTGCCAGTTTTGAGTAGGGTCCAGAACAGGAGAAAGCTCTGCAATAGGTCCAGACTGCTGTGCGAGCTGCTCTGCCACTTGGGCCATATGACCTAGCAGATCCAATGGTGCTTGAGGTGTCAGCAGCAGATAGGGATACTGTTTGGAGCCTTTGGCAGCTGCCCATAGGTGAATCACAGCTGAGGCCTCTAGGATTTTGGAGCAAGACGCTGTCATCTTCTGCAGATAACTACTCTACTTTTGAGAGACAACTCTTGGTTTGTTACTGGGCTTTTGTAGAAACTGAACGTTTGACTATGGGTCATCAAGTCACCATGCAACCTGAACTGCCTATCATGAACTGGTGCTTTCTGACCCATCTAGCCATAAAGTTGAGCATGCACAGCAGCATTTCATGGTCAAATGGAAGTGGTATATACATGATCAGGCTCAAGCAGGTCCTGAAGGTATAAGTAAGTTACATGAGGAAGTGGCTCAAATGCCCATGGTCTCCACTCCTGCCACCCTGCCTTCTCTACCCCAGCCTGCACTGAGGGCTTCATGGGGAGTTCCCTATGATTAGTTGACAGAGGAAGGGAAGACAAGGGTCTGGTTCACAGATGGTTCCACACGATATGCAGGCACCACTCGAAAATGGACAACTGCAGCACTACAGCCCCTTTCTAGGACATCCCCGAAGGAGAAGAGTGAAGGGAAATCTTCCCAGTGGGCAGAACATTGAGCAATGCACCTGGTCATGCACTTTGCATTGAAGGAGAAATGGTCAGCTGTGCGATTACATACTGATTCATTGGCTGTAGCCAATGGTATGGCTGGATGGTCAGGGTCTTGGAAGGAGCATGATTGGAAAATTGGTGACAAAGAAATTTGGAGAAGAGGTATGTGGAGAGACCTCCCTGAGTGGTCAAAAACTGAAGATATTTGTATTTCATGTGAATGCTCACCAAAGGGCGACTTCAGCAGAAGAGGAATTTAACAATCAAGTAGATAGGATTACTCTTTCTGTGGACGCCACTCAGCTTTGTTTCCCAGTCACTCTTGTCATCACCCGATGGGCCCATGAACAAAGTGGCCATGGTGTCAGGATGAAGATTACACATGGGCTTAGCAGCATGGACTTCCACTCACCAAGGATGACCTGGCTACCGCCACCACTGAATGCTCAAGTTGCCAGTAGCAGAGATCAACAATGAGCCCTCATTTGACACCATTCCTCAGGGTGACCAGCCAGCTACTTGGTGGCAGGTTGATTATATTGGGCCTCTTACATCATGGAAAGGGCAATGGTTTGTCCTCACTGGAGTAGACACTTCCTCCGGATATGGGTTTGTCTATCCTGCACTCAATGCTTCTTCCAGGACTAATGTCTTATCACATAAGGGATGCCTTACCACTCACAGAATGCCTTATCCACCGCCACGGTATTCCAGAGAGCATTGCCTTTTCAGGGCTGGGGCACAGTTCTCCAGGAGGCTGTGTATGCTCTGAATTAGCATTCAATATGTGAAAGGAAATTATCTTGGGCCCCCAATACCACTAAGGAAAACTCAAGCTGAAACTGCTTAGGCCAACATTGCCTCCCGTTCTACTCAGTTACCCCTCTGCTCACTGAGATAGATGCATATCTGATTTGCCTCCTTTGGAAAGGCTAATCAGAAACTAAAAAAAAAAAAAAAAAAAAAAAAAAAAAGTAACCATTTATGTATCACCTAAACATGACCTGGAAGCTCCCTCCCTGAGCCTTCCTGCCTTTGCTTCAAGTTGTCCCGCCTTTCCAGACAGAACCAATGTACTTCTTACTTACATTGATTGATGTCTCATGTCTCCCAAAAATGTATAAAACTAAGCTGTGCCACACCCACCTCGGGCACATGTCCTCAGGACTTCCTGAGACTGTGTCATGGGTGCGTCCTCAACCTTGGCCAAATAAAATTTCTAAATTAACTTAGACTTGTCTCAAATTTTCAGGTACTGTTTCTCCCATAGCCAGGACTCCTGGGTCCAGGAATCAAGGGGTGGAAGTGGAAGTGGCATCCCTCACCATCACCCCAGTGACCCACTAGCAAAATTTTTGCTTCCTCTTCCTTCAGCATTACCTTCTGCTGGCCTAGAGGCCTTAGTTCCAGAGGGAAGAATGCTGCTGCCAAGAGACACAACAAAGATTCCATTAAACTGGAGGTTAAGATTGCCACCTGGCAACTTTGGGCTCCTCCTACTCTAAGTCAACAGGCTAAGAAGGGCATTACAGTGCTGGCTGGGGCGATTGACCTGGACTATCAAGATGAAGTCAGTTTACTACTCCACAACAGAGGTAAGGGAGAGTATGTATGGAATACGGGAGATCTCTTAGGGCATCTCTTATTATTCCCATGTCCTGTCGTTAAAGTCAATGGGAAACTACAACAACCCAGTCCAGGAAGGACTAAAAATGGTCCAGACCTTTCAGGAATGAAGGTTTGGGTTACTCCACCAGGAAAAGAGAAAAAAAAAAAAAAAACAACAAGACCTGCTGAGGTGCTTGCTGAAGCCAAAGGCAATACAGAGTGGGTAGTAGAGAAGGTAGTCATCAATACCAGCTACAACCATGTGCCCAGTTGCAGAAACGGGACTGTAATTGTCATGAATATTTCCTCCTTCTTTTTTTAAAAACATGTTTGTGCATATATACACTTGTACTAAGAAAATATCTTCATTTTATTTCCATTTTCCTTTATCATATGACATAGATTTATTGACTTCATATCAGCATTTAAGTATTGTTAACTTTATGTAATAGCATTTGGGTTGGGGATTGGTGCTTTTCTGGTTGTACAAATGATAGTTGTATTATATTGGGTATAATTATTACCTTACTTTTGTCTTTATTTGAAGATTATGTATGATCTCAGGAGATGTGTATGGGTTGAAGTTGACAAGGGGTGGACCTGTGATTGTTAATATTGAATGTCAACTCGATTTGGTTGAAGAATGCAAATTGTCATTGTTAGGTGTGTCTGTGAGGGTGTTGCCAAAGAATAGTAACAGTTGAGTCAGTGGACTGGGAGAGGCAGACCCACCTTTAATGTGGGTGAGCACCATCTAATCACCTGCCAGCGCAGCTAGGATTAAGCAGGCAGAAGTTGGAAGTACCAGACTTGCTGAGTCTTCTGGCCTGCACCTTCCTCCTGTGCTGGATGCGTCCTGCCCTGGAACATCAGACTCCAAGTTCTTTAGCTTTTAGACTCTTGGACTTAAACCAGTAATTTTCCAGGTGCTCTCGGGCCTTCAGCCACAGACTGAAGCCTGCACTGTTTGCTTCTCTGCTTTTGAGATTTTGAGATTCAGATTGGCTTCCTTGCTCCTCACCTTGCAGACAGCCTATCGTGGGACTTCACCTTGTGATCGTGTAAGTGAATACTCCTTAATAAACTCCCTTTCGTATGCATCTATCCTATTAGTTCTGTTTCTCGAGAGAACCCTGACTAATACAGTGAGCAACAATGTGTCACTAAATATCTTAGTTTTAGTTTCCCAGAAATAAAACCTGGGACAAAGGTCTATGTCTGATTATCTTATTAAAGAGTTAAATTTAAGGTAAACCAGAGAGAATAAAAAGAATAAGGCAAGCGAAAGGGGAGAACCAATGATATCATTAAATTCTTTATTCTACCCTCTCAATAAGGCGAAATGACTGCAGCATGTATAGCATGTTCTCTCTAGTTATTACTCTTATATGTAACCTCATATTCATTTTTCTGTCAAAATTTTCTCATCCTATTAATTTATAGTCTGCAATGTTCCCCCAAATTAATTTAAAAGACAAATACAAAAAGAACAAAATGTTTGATTTCTGACAGGATCCATTAACATATAGCAGATTTACCCTTCTACTGAAACTACTAAAATAATCATAATAACAAAAGTATATATATAAAAAAATGTGGTCCAGACTTTGGATGTCAAGCATTATAGGAGAGCAATTCCTGAGAAATAGTTTCCAAAATGGTGACTTCTACCATTGCCCTACTAACTGCCCTGAGCAAGTTTCCAGGCCATTGCCTAGGGAAGAACTCTGGTCTCTCTTAGCTGAGGAGACGAAGCTGTTGGTCTAGGGAAGCCATGATGGCTACAGTTTACAGAAAAGAGTACCAAATAGGAGAGAACTGTGCACAAAGAGAGGAGGATGGTGAAGGAGGAGAGAACACATGTGCTAGCTTTTGAGTCTTCAGCTGAAAAAAAATCAATGCCTGTGCATGTGAAGGGTCAGAAAATAACTACTGAAAAGGATGAGCAGTAACAATCCCTAAAGTTTGCAAGGGGCCAGGGATAGCTTGTATCACTATAACAAGACTAGAAAATGTAATACACAGGATTATGAGTACCAAGAATACTAAGAAAGATATTATGGATTACCAGACATTTTAAGAAGCAGGAGAATACAATCCACAGTAAGGACACAAATAGTAAATAGAGACACAACTTAAATGACACGGATGATAGAATTAGTAAACCAGGATGTAGAAACTATTATAAATTCATCACTTATGTTTAAAAAGACAGATAAAATATATGAAGACAAAATATAACTTCTAGAGACAAACACTACAAAGGCTGAGACAAAAAATGCACCATACGAGATTATCAGCAAATTCAACACTGCGGAAGAAAGTAGTGACCTTGAAGAGAGAGTAATATAAATAAATATTTTAAAAAGATGAAAAAATCCAACAAGAAAAAATGACAGAAAGATTACCATAACAATCACAACAGAAGAGTAACAGAGCATGATTACAGTATGAGACAATTTTAAGTGGCCAAATATATGTGAAATTAGAGCCCACACAAGAGAAGAAAGAAGGGAATACAGTAAAGAAAATACCGAAAAAAAAATAGATGAATGTTTTTCGAATTTAATGGATAATATGAACTCTCAGAACAAAACAGCTCAATGAAACATACCCACAATATGAGTAAAACTACTCCAAAACACATATCATAATCAAATTGCATGAAAACTATGATAGAGCAAGATTAAAGTGTCCAGAGAGAAAACATTATATACAAAAATCAGAATGAGAGCATTTTCTATTTGAAACAATTCAACCTGAAAGACAGTAGATTATCATCTTTAAGGCATTGCCAAACAGCGGTAATTTAAGTTACAGCAACAACAAAACCCTCAAATTAGAAATATCTGTATTTCAAAAACAAAATCAAAATGAAGTTTTTCTTGTGTATGCCAAAGCTAAATCAATTCATTTCCAGAGACTTGTGTTATAATTACAATGAAAGACCCCTTCCAAGAAGAAGAAAAACAATACTTAATGCAAATCTTGCTTTTCACAAAGGATGAAAAGCATCTTAGATTGTAAATATATGAGTAAATGTATTTTTCTCCTTTATCTCTTTAAATACATTAACCTGTTCTACTCAACATCAATTGTAATAGTAATCACATCAACTGTAGGCACAATTTATACTAGATACTAGATAGAATAAACACATCATATATTGTAAATTATATACAGAATATATACTGCCAAAACAAAAACAAAAGCAAACAAACAAAAATTCTACTTTCAATGTGAATACATAGTTAAAAGTAAATGGGTAAGAAAAATACCATGCTATTACCAGGCAAAAGAACTCTGTAGTGATCATATTAATAACAAAATAAATAGATTTTATTTCTTACCAAAGATAAAGAGGGCATTTTCAGAATTATTAAGAATTAATTCATCAATAGATATAATAATTCCAAATATTTACACACCTAATAACAAAGCTTTTGAACACATAAAATAAAGACTTACTTACAGAAATATATGGAAAAATTGACTCGTTCATAAGTATAGTCACAGATTTTTAACACCCTTCTCCACATAATTGATAGAAGAAGGTTGACAATCAATCTGTAAGGGCATAGCAGGTTTGAACAACACGTTCAACTTAAAATGTTTAACATTCTGAGAACACTTTCCCCAGAAAAGCGGGATACACATTCTTTTCTGAGTGAGCAGATCACCATTTTGCCAAATTTCCAAAAGTCATCAATCAAGTGCTTGGCAAAGACTGAATTTAATCAATATTTTACAAATGAATATATAATGAATGACTATATCTATGATATCCCCACAGTATCAGATGACCTTTAATATAAAACAATATAATAATGATACTAATAATTGGATATATTGGCATATATTTACCATTATTCAGATTACGAGCACAGCAACACACACATGATTAATTTTATTTAGGTAACATTTGAGTTTAGGTATGTGTCCTAATATTTAACAAGATAGGACTGCATTTAAGAAAACATCCTTGATATTTACATATAATCATTGTATAGCAGGGATAATTGCAGTCTTCAACTCCAGAATGAAATCTCTCATAAATGACAATTAACTAATGTTCCAATTTAGGCTACTCAGTGAAGTTTGATTAATTTTCCTAAAACGGATGCCATTTCCCTGAATGCAAAGAAGGTAAGTGGGTTGCCCATGCAAGTAAACAGGAAGGCTGAGATTTTTATCTCAAAAGTTTGAAGCCACTTTATACACTTTCAACCACTATGCAATCTGGACTGTTCCTGGTTATTTTACTACATGTGAAAGAAAGTGTTACATGTGCTATGATAGCATTGTCCAGGGGATAGTGGGGAAATAAAGGACAGAGGCTAAGATACTTCCCAGTTGAATGTGTCTTCCTCTGTGTAGTTTACTTGGTTGACCTGGCAGAATAGACCTGTACTTCCCCTAGGGTTCAAATGCAAATACATCATGTATCACATCCTATTATGTTTAGCTACATATGACTGAATCCCTGGTAAGATTATGGATTCTATGAAGACTGTGTTCGGTTGACTGTATTGCTTTATCCCTTCGATTTTTCACAGTGCCTGATCCAGAATATACAAAATATACTGAATGATTAAACCACAGGAAGAGCAACAAGCAATGCAGACATCTTCAAATGCAGCTCATCGTTTGGTCATATCCAATTGTAACTGCTCAGATTTATCATACGGATAGTTTAGCCTTTCTAGAATTTCCCTATTAATGTATTTTCTTCTTATTACATCTAAGTGAAAAATTACAGTCACTCACTGTTATAATTCTGTCTAGCTTCTGAAATCATTATAGTTTTGAGTTAAATCTCTTCTCCCTTTCTGACTGCATAATGAAGCATTGGGTCATCAGATTATGGTAATGCAAAATAAAAGATTTGTATGATTTAAGAAGTGGTATCATATATTTACTTATAGCATTAGGTATATTTGGTCATTTAAAAATGCATTAGCTAATCAGAATCTATTGCCTTGCTAAAAATCTATGTTTCAACTTCATTTTCTTTGCTATAAATTGTTTAAGTTTTCCATTGGGCATGATTATTGTTGATCTCAATCTGCACAACTCTAAAATACTGAGAATACAGTAGTTTCAGATAGCCTATATATTTGCTGCAAATTAAGTTTAAAGTGTTACTAACGTAGTGATTCTTTGTAGCTAAGGCTACATTTAAATGCTCATCTTAAGCCAAAGTTATTCTGCAGTTCAATTTAATATTTTAAATTACTCCTTTTGAATTTGACCATGTGACATTTATTAGGACAGTTGCTCATTTGTGTTCTGCGGAAAAATAATATTTTAAATACTTCTTGTACATTGTCCTGCTTCCAAAGTACAATAGATTCTCTTAAGATGTGGTTATCATTTGGAGCTGGGCTATGTAATCTTTTTCTCCTTTTTCATCACACCTCACCTCAATTTATAAAATCAGAATAAAACATGTTGTTTATTATCATTCAGTGTAATTCTTATAACTTCCATCTTCTATATATGCATAGTGTTAAAACAAACCAACATGAGATTTGAGAAAAGGCATAACTAGCCTTCATTTTATTCATTGCATGTCCACAGTTCAGTACGTGGTTGTGATTAAGTTACTTGTCTCTTTGTGGACACAATGGACACTTAGGAGTCATGCACTGTTCTGACACAGCAAAGGATAGGCACTGCCTATCCTAACCAGTCAGGAAACAGCACAGGAAGTGGAAACCAATCTAGTTATTTTAATTAGTGAAATATTTAATACAGGAATTCAAGACCTTACAAAATCAGTGTAATGGCCTGACGGTTGACTTGCCCTCTAGGTCAATCACTGCAGCAATACTAGCCCATTTTGGAAACTTTTCGCTGCTACAGTAGAAAGCTGGAGAATGGGCACAAGAAACAGCAATCCAGGGATTATGAACTCATGTCAGAACTCATACCCACCAATTTGTTTGAACACCTGAGGCTGGAAAACATCCTATAGAATTCGCTTCATGAAATCATAATGATGTAAGGACAACAGCAACGAGGGTTGCAGATAACTGCATCGCTCCTGCCAGCTGAAACACATGCAAAAGCATCTCGAAGCCAAAACTGGTATTCCTCTAGAACCCTATCTGAAAGAGAATCTGCCATGTGTTCAGTATAGCTTCAATACTGCGGAAGACAGAAAAAAAAATGTTTTGGAACATCAAGAAGTCAATCACAATATTTTTTGCTCTTTCACAGAAAAAAATTCAGCGAGCGTTTACAGTTCACCTTAATTTATTTCAATTGATTCTTTTGAATCAAACTGAATCAGGCTTTTTTCTTAGCACTCCTTTTAAATTGGTATCATGATCTTTAATAACGAGTAGGAATACAGTTCTTAGTCTTCATCTGACCGGACTCAGCAGGACTGAACAACGTTGCTTTCCCTTCTTATGGATAAAAGCAGAAAACCAACTTCTTTTTTATTATTAACTTGACTTCAGTAAAACTGTACTCTCAAGGTTTTCCTTTTATTTTATAGTTATTCTTTCCCAGTCTTTTTCTTCAATTACTCCTCCAGTATTTGCCTCCTAGATGCTGAAATTCTTCAAGGTACAGGGTACTTTGACTTCTCTTTTGTAAATCCACATATTCCCCAGGTGAATATCTTGTCTCATGATTTTGAATACGATCCTTTCCAAATTTAAACCTCCACACTATTCTTCTATACAGCATCCTCATTTGGATGTTTAATAATCATCACAGGCTTAACATTTCCCCAGTCAACTCTTTAAAAAAAAAAAATCTTAGATTCAGGAAGTACATATGCGTTTTTGTCTCAAGGGTATTATATGTGTGAAAGGAAAATAAATCTTGGGACCCTGAACTCACTAAGCTGTTGGAAAAAGTCAACCTGGGAACTTGGTCACACAAACCTGCCTCCCATTTGATTCCTAAATAAGATGACTACAGAGATAAAAAAAAAAAACTACACACCTCCCTTACAACTTGCTGACATGGAAATTCCCTGTGGTTCCAAGATCTTCACCCTAAAACAGTTGTGTTGAATTTCACCCTGGCAATGTAAACTGATAGAGTATCTTCATAGGTACAGGACAAAGGACAGAACTCAAAGTCACTTCTCTGCTCACCCGAGACAAATGCATATCTGATTGCTTCCTCTGCCCTATTGTCTACATTATGTTATGTAAAAATGCAGATTCACTGAGCCAGGGCATGGCATAAGTGAGTATTCCTCAACATGCCCTCACATGTAAATTGTGTATTCAGTGAAAGGCTCATCAAAGACTCAAAAGATGTAACTGTTTGCCTCTTATCTATCACACCTTTTAATTTTTTTCCCCTCTTTCCTCAATGTCTGCCCTTTTCTGTTTTTATTTTTATACACATTTTTTGAGATGGAATCTCACTCTGTTGCCCAGGCTGGAGTGCAGTGCCACAATCTCGACTAACTGCAACATCTGCCTCCCGGGTTCAAGCGATTTCCAGCTAATTTTTGTGTTTTTTATAGAGACGGGGTTTCACCCTGTTTGCCAGGCTGGTCTCGAACTCCTGACCTCAAGCGATCCACTGGTCTCAGCCTCCCTAAATGCTAGGATTACAGGCGTGAGCCACTGCGCCCAGCCTTGCCCTTTCCTCTTTAAATATTAAAGCCTTCAAAGTCATCTTTGGAGAAAGACATAGATTTGTCTCCCTGTGCTCATCTTTAACTTTGCCAAATAAACCTCATAAAATGATTCAGACTTGCCTCAGTCATTTTCATGGATTTACACATGTATAATGTGCAGATTGGGGTTCAAATTCCCCCAAGACCCAAATATTGAACATTGTAACCAATAGATGATATCTGAACCCTAATTACCCCGCCCTCCCCCATTTTAGTTTCCAGTGTCTATTATCTCCATCTTTGTGTTCATGGGTATCCACTGTTTAGCTGCCACCTATAAGTGAGAATATGCAATATTTGATTTTCTGCTTCTGAGTTAGTTCTCTTAGGACAATGGCCTATAGCTCCATCCATATTGCTGCAAAGGACATAATTTCATTTTTAAATGCTGCATAGTATTCCATGGTGTATATATACACCATATTTTCTTTATCCAGTCAACTATTGGTGGACACTGTTTAGTCCATGACTTTGCTATTGTGGACAGTGCTATGATAAACATGCAAGCGCAGGTGTTTATCAATTCTAAATCAAAATGGAGCTCTTGCACCCACACTCAGCCCTTTAAAAAATTCTATAAACACTGTTTTTAAAATACATCCTAAACAAAATATCTTCTCACTACCCCCATCATCACTTCCCTAATCCACCCTACCGTCTTCTGGTGTCTGCACCTCAGTAAGAGTTGGTCCCTCACAGCTTCATACATAGAATAACACTTCCTCGAGGTAAGTTGTGTCCTATTTGCTGGGTGGGATTCTCTCATCATGGTCCTATGTCCATTCAGGAAAGTGTCCAGAACCATTGTAAGCAGATCGTGCGCCAGGTAGCTGGAAGGGGGAGCAGGTATGGAGACAGTTTTCCCCAAGGTCTCTTCTACTTTACTTCTTGATTGTCTACCCTCTATTTAGCTATGTTCCTCCTTTCTACCATGCCAATTTCATCGTGTTTCCAAAGACCAAAATTACCTCCAAAAGATTAAAGTTCACATTGTCATCATAGTAGCCATTTATTTGAACCTTTGTTTTGGTTAACATGCAAGTACACATACTAGATGACACGACGCACAAGTTACAATAATGAGAAAAGGAGTGAAAAAATACCGATCAATACTTTGGGATCTAAATCATCGATCATTTCTGGATTTGCAAAAGCCTCTTACCTGCCATTATTATATCTATACAATTTCACACAGTGATCTCTTTAAGGTTTTATTAAAATTACTCATTTCATGCCGCTCTTTTTCTGTAAACTCTTCTTTAAAACTTTAAACTTTCCTCATGACTTCTTATTTGGCCAGAGTAAAATTACATTTTTTTAGCTCAAGATGCCTCATAATCTGATCGTGTCTCTACTACTCTGACTTTGTCACTTGTCATTTTGTTCATCTCTCTATGACTTCTTCATCCTTTAAAGCCAAACACATCCCTATTGATAATCTTTGCACTTGTTCTTCCCTGTGCTTGAAACACATTTTCTTTACGTGGGCACATGGCTTGTTTCTTCATTTTCTCAGGACTATATTCAAAGCCACCATTGTACAGAGGTACTCCCCATGTATTCCCACTAAAATAAAAAGGAACTTTAGTCTCTAATTAAAAATATCTCTATAGTTTTATTCATAGCACTTACTATAATTTCATTTCTTTGAGCATTTTTAAGGTTTATTATTCAAAGATTCTGTTATTCCATAGCTGTATGAAACCAGATGATTTAATTAAGATTTATGTGCCTCAGTTTCCAAATCTGTATAATGGAAGTTATAATATTTCACCTTCATAGGGTTATTATAAAGATTACATGAATTTTAGTAGTGTAAACAAAATCAGAACAATATCAGGCACATTGTAAATCCTCAGTAAATATTAGCTCACCTTGTCGCATATTTGTTACTCTCTTCTATTCCTCATGAGAATCTAAGTTCCCTTCAGGTAAGAACTAACTGTGTTTTGCTCACTGCTTGTTACATTAAATTTGGCAGTGATAAGTAGCAGCAGGCATTTCTTCTATGAACTCAGAATAGCCAGGGGAAGAAATCCCTATTGTGAAGGGATAAATTATCATCAAACTGTTCACTCTTAACAGAAAGCAGAGAAGAGAATAAATTCACCGCCAGGACTAGTTAAACTTCTCTCCATGTGTGCTCTGTCATTTATGTGAAATGATCATTATTTGCTTGTGTAAACGTGCAGCATAATACTGGTGCTCTTTCACTTTCTAGTTTTAAATGTCAGTTTTCAGAGAGTCTTTTGGAGAAACATGATTGAGATCTGTGGAATCCATCTAGCTTCTGTAATTCTGGCCTAAAAGCTTGCTTCGCCTGGATTAGTGATGAGCCCCAAAGTTAGAATCTTAAACATTGCCTACATGTGGCACAGTGAGGTGAGGTCATGCAGATTAACGACAACAAAAAAAGTAATTTTATAATTATAAACTCCCAATTATTGCTTGTAATTAAGCCTACTATGTAACTTTAAGCGCTCATGATTAAGAGCAGCCTGTTCACAGGGTGACAGACCCTTCGTAGCAGGAGGATGTTCAGTCCATGACCACAGAGCTAAGAGGACTGAGCTGTGCTTTTCAGATTCAGGCTGGGAGTATAAACAGAAGACACAAAGAGTTTATTGAAATGGCTATAAAATATGAACAATCATAAATTTGTTTCCAGTATGGGCTAAATTCATATGTAAAATAAATACATATAGTGTCTATTTTGTAAATGTAATCTCTCTCTGTTTTATCAATTTTAAGTATAAAATTGATAAAATTGACCTCTGAGTCATAGCTCTTTCAAGTTGTTTTTGTTTGTTTGTTTGTTTTTGAAACGGAGTCTCTCGCTCTGTCGCCCAGGCTGGAGTGCAGTGGCGTGATCTCGGCTCACTGCAAGCTCCGCCTCCTGGGTTCACACCATTCTCCTGCCTCAGCCTCCCCAGTAGCTGGGACTACAGGAGCCCGCCACTACGCCCGGCTAATTTTTTGTATTTTTAGTAGAGACGGGGTTTCACCGTTTTAGCCGGGATGGTCTCGATCTCCTGACCTCGTGATCCGCCCACCTCGGCCTCCCAAAGTGCTGAGATTACAGGCGTGATCAAGTTTCAATGGTTCTACAGAGAAGGTGCAATGCAACAATGTTCTATCCTGCATAATCCATAAGTTAAAATGAGAACATTATATTCTCATATTTTTTACAGTAGCAAACAAAGATGAGTAGAAAATTTTAATCTCCATTTTAAGACGCAAACCTTATTTGAGATTTGTTAAGAAAACCATTTTGATGTGAGATACATTTGTTTTGAATAAATATTATTCATCTGTCCTATGTCATGATCAATTTGTGAGATAATATATTTGAAGAGCCTATATAATATTTTGTTTTCGGAGTTAAATTTCTTTTATGTCACCAGATTGTTTATTCCCGAAAAACCACAATTGTTTCTATTTCTATTAGTAATTCTCTGATTTCTGTAGATGAACTTAACTTGCACTCAGTTTTCTCATCTATAAGATGAAGACAGTAATATTAACTTTGATGATAAATTAATATAATATTTGACAACTTTGATGAAAATTAATTTTAAGCATCCATAATATTGGTTTTCATGGAGAACATTTCTCAACATCTCATTTGTACAAAAAATTTTTTGTAAAATTTTGAAGGATACTTAATACCTGTGGCATGCTAAATACATCTTCAAAACAGTACATGTGTATAATTTATGCTAAGCTTTGTGTTGAATTCTGGAAACACAATGAAAAATATGACAAAACTCCTGCTCTCAAAGTGTCTCACTTCTAGTTGGCAGGAAGAAATTTGGCAGTAAGTATACCAGGTGGTAAGTATTGTATCTGATAAAGGTGAAGAACGGGATGTGTGGAGAGCCTAGCGCATGGTGCTATACTTGAGAAAACCCAAATGTTTCATTATGACATAATAATGACATCAGTAGATACATGGTGGTCATATTCTCATTCTGCCAAATCTTTGACTGTTTTGTTACTGTTGTTTTTTAAGGCAAACTCTTGCTCTGTCACCCAGGATAGAGTACACAGTGTCACGATCACAGCTCACTGCAGCCTCAAGTTCCTAGGCTCAAGCAATCCTCCCACCTCAGCCTTCTGAGTAGCTAGGACCAGAGGCTCATGCCACTATACCCAGGTAATTTATTATTGGTATTATTTGTAGGGATGGGGTCACTCCCTATGTTGCCTAGGTTGGCCTTCAACTCCTGGACTCAGGCAATCCTCCTACCTCCACCTGCCAAAGTGCTGGTATTACAGCCGTGAGCCACTGCACCCAGCCAAAGCCTCCACTTTAAAAAATTGGTTGAATTTATGCAATTCTTAGATTCATTTTAAAAGTCATATTTGAAAACAAATAGAGAGCTATTTTTACCTTAAACTAAAGCCTGTTGGACCAACATAACACAGGTTTTGCTGCATATTACAGGTAGTATTTTCATTCTCCTACATTTGTCCCTCACCAGGCTAGTAGACAGGGGTATAGAATACAATCAAATAATTTCTAATATGGTGGAATCTCTTGGGAAGTATTGTACTGGTACTCAGCAAAATCATTAGCCCTCTCATGCATTATTTAATTTCCTTTCAAAGAAAAGGTGTTCCTTTTTTTATGCCCTCCTCCATCCACTACAGGTAAAAGTTCTACAATGTCCTCATAATGTTTATTTAGCCTGTAGAAGATCTGAAGCAGGTTGACACGACACACTCTTTGAATTATGATGAGGAAGAAATTAGTGAGCAAAGGTCTTCTGGCATCCATATTGAGAACTGATCAAGTGTACTCCATTTCACACCCCACTGAATAAAATCAGTGGATTATTTTTTGCACTTACCTGTTATTCTAAGTCTAAAAATGTATCATTTAGGGAAGTGGACCTGTAGTAATTTGTAGTCTAAATAAATTAGAACACTTTATGTTGACTTCATCGATTTCTGTTTTAATAAGATACTATCATGAAAATGGAGAATTGTGTTGATGATTATGAGTAAGCAATGATTAAATATTTGAGACTACATTATATTTGCCTGCGTTTGTATCACTCACCCATTTTTTTTTGCTTTGAATTACTCTGCAACAAAAATTGTTACCTCAGAAAGCAAATACTTTGAAACATTGTTCATATAATAAAAATAATGTTATTATAATATAATTAAACATCCCATATTTTCTCAATTATAGCACAATGTTTCTCCCTGTGTGAGGCGCTTCCTGCTTACCATCCAGTGTATTTACTGCCAACTTTCTTCCTCCCAACTAGAAGTGAGATGCTTTGAGAGCAGGAGTCTTGCCATATGTATCGTTTTGTCTTCAGAATTCAACATAAAGTTTAGCGTAAATTGTACACACAATACATGTTTCTTGGGCTTGGATTTTAAACTGAATGTAAAGGAAATATATCATAGAAGTCAAATTATGTGAAACTGACATTGTTGGTGTTGACTACACTGTTAATGTATTAGTCATATTTATATTTAACATTTTGTAACATCACACATAGAAGGAAGTTTTATTATAAATAAAATATAATTCAAACGAAAGCCTTATTACAGAGATAAAACAAAAGAAATTCCAACTCCCAAGAACAAGTTGCTTTCTAGGAGCTGATAAAGAACTGCTCACACTTTTGGATTGTTTCCTTCTTTTTTTCTGTCTAACGTATTAAAAGCCACACTCATTCCAATCTCAATTGTTTATTTAATTGGCAGATTTCATAGGAAAGTTGCCCAAGTCTCCATAAACTTTCCATTCTACCTTGCAAATGAAGACAGTAGGATTTTGCAAAATGTCAAACCAAGAAAATGCAACAGAGCTAACAGTTCTTAGAACAATGTTACAGAATATCCAATTATTCTTCTCACAATTCTCTTCCTGGAAAATGTCAATCAAAGTCCACATTTTGACTGCAGCAGCAATAAAAACCTATTGCGATGGCAATTTTTAAAAATGTCAGCAATCATTTTTAAATACATATCAATATTTTATAATGCCCATTTTATAATCATCTAATAAAATAGTAAGCAATATCAATACATCTGTGATCTTTCTGTAGTACAAATTTAAAGTTAATAAAAATAGAAACTTTCAGCTGGACCATATCTAAGTTTTCATTTATAGGAAAAACAGAGTGGATCTGTGAAGAGCCGGAGGGAAGTGACTGTCAGGTTTCCAGAAATCTATTTTTAATCAATCATCTGTATAAATTCACGTAGAAAAATTACTTAAAAGAATGTTTAATTGAAATCTTTACTGTGACTCTATAATATCAAGTTGTCTGAACATGAAAAGGTAGTGATCAAGCTATGAATTCATTATTAAGATCTAACATGTAGATAGAAACAAATATTTTATTTGGTACAATTTTTAATACTCAGACTCACACTCTTGTATTGTCTTTTTAATTGGATAGGGCAAAATTATCTTATCAGAACTAACAACTTTCATTTGATAGGGCAACTATTTTTAAGGATTTTGATTACCAGGAGGGTTTGATCCATGTCTTATATTGTTTCTTACATATTTGTGCTAGGTATAATATCAAATGTAACATAGAGTGGTTGTTCGGGATGTGGTCAATGCACAGGATTAAAATTTTTAAAAAGGTCAATGTAATTATTTGCTGAGGTAAAGAACTCCAGACAGTTCTGACATACACTGGCTTATGATCAGGGTTGAATTTTGTGTTCACTAAATGTGGTTTACAGTATAGTCCAGAATATTTTTACCTACGTATCTGAGATAGAAGTATATATTTTCAATTAATGTTTATGAATCATATTTTAGTGAAAACACAGTTTTTTACCGACTCGTGCTAAAAGCATTTATAGAAGATTGCACTTCATGTCCACTTACAAAAATGAACACCACTTTTATTTATATATTTTTGTTTATGTAAAGCTCCAAAGATAAATGTTAAGGCTAACGCATTTTAAGTTTGCCTGTTAACAACTGCATTAATAAATACATTTTTCTCGCTGGTAAACAGGTCAAGGGAACCCAGCTTGTCATTTGGGAACTGAAACTTGTAGCCGTAAGCACCCCTCATTGGGTATATTACCATACCTCAGGCAAAATATGAAAACCAAGTTTTCAGTTCACTGTAAAAGAACTAATGGGTAGTAGATTTATAAATGGGTCAAAAAATAATGTTTAAAATTATAACTACCTGTATTGATAACAAACTCAAATGAAAAAAAGTACAACATATAACGACAACATAAATACTATCTCCAAAACTATTTCCAATAATCATTACATTCTTAAAATCAAAACTTGTTATTTAAAAAACATATATTTTCCATATTGTTAATGCAAACATATCAAGTATATATCCGTGAATATTAAAATTACTTTTCTTCTGACATAAAACAAGATTCCTTTAAGTGTTAATAAAACAAAAAAATTATTTACCTTTTCCTTGATTCCAAATCCTAAGCATAGCATTTAATTATTAAGTTTATTCAGTAATCTCTGTGGCATTTTTAAACCAAATATTACAATCAGTGTTTGATGGTACATATATCTGGAATTTCATAACATCCCTTACTAAAGAGAGCATATAAATTTAATATAAATCATAATAAATGTATGTGATAATAAAATTATCTCCATACTATATAAAAGTATTAATTAAATTAAGCAATAATACCCAGGGTAATATTTAGGGAAATATTTTTCTGAGGGATTTTGTTTATCATATATAATTAAAATAAGATGATTCATAATCCATTTTTATACTTTAATCAAATAAGTTTATTTCCTTATTAAATCAATATTATATTTTAATCACGCACAGAGAGAAATAAAGATTTAACCCTTCAATGTCATTGTGGTAATGAAAGCCATTCTTACTGTAATTTCTAGGCAGATTTTATAGCAATGCAGAACTTAAAGAAGAACTGCATATTCTTAAAGTACTTTAACCCAGGATTTATGCATATGGAGCATTTACGTTTCATAGAATTTACTCCAAGAAAAGGTGATATGATTTTATTTAGTTTCCACAATGCTGTTGTAACTTATTGTAAGCCAATTAACATTTACTGAGAACTTACATTTGATAGAAATGCGTCCAGTCCTTTCTTATACAAGCAGAATGATATTCTCTCTTCTGACCCTCAACAGTCAGATGGAGAGATGTGAAAAATCATTAAATATTTTATTTAAAAACTCATGATACAATTTATTCTAATAGAATTTCATTTAACGTGAATAAAAAGCATAGTGTAAGAAACTGCTTCTTGAAAACAGGAAAGCCTTTGCACATTCGTCTGTCATCTCGCCCCAGAAAAGTTAATTTTATTTTCCTTACTTAAAATATTATCTGGCATCCTGATGATGAAGGAGTCTCAGAAATGTAGTTTCCCAGCCTCCATTCCTTGTAATTTGGGGGAAGAACTGTAAGAATTACAAAGGATGACAAGCGTTAATGCAGACACATTTCAACATGGAACACATACTACACAAATACCAAAATCACTGGATGGAAGCCCACGTCGTAGCACTTAGTGGCTTCGCTCAGTATTTTTTTAATCTACCCAGTCCTGCAGAGTAGATACTATCCTTTTTGAAGGTAAAGCAGTTTAAGAGACTTAACTGAGTATACTGGGCTCAATCTAGCTTTCAAATAGAATCTATTAAACACATGATATTTCTCCCTGTATATAGCTATTGATGACTTATTTGGACTTCATGTATTCATCTCAATATTGAATTACTAGCAATTTTCTCTCACATCTCCATTCTAGCATTTACATAAATCATAATATTTATGATTCCTTCACATCTTCAGAGGAGCAATTTTGTTATCACCCACTATGGTACTAATATTTGAATATTTCAAAAATATGAAATCTAAACATGTTTGTTTTAAATCAAGTTACTATTAATAGGAAACATTTGACTCAATTTTGTTAATGCTTATTAATTTCTCAGTTACCTTCCAATAGTTCATACATAGAAATTAAATTAGGAATGACTCTCTTAAATATAAAACATTTTATATAAATATATTTAAGAATCTGTTTTTAATTATTTGCCATTTTATACATGAGTATAGTAGAGATATTGTGCTTATAATAAATATGGAAAATTTAGAAAAATAAATGAAGCCAAAACATTAAATGTATATTCATGTAACAGAACCATTGTGCCTATTGTTAACTGGTTTTAAGAAGACTAAGCCAATTATTGTAATAAACATCAACATTCTAGTAATAAAATAAGCTTCTTGATGTTACCTTTGCTTCCAATTTTATTTTAAGTATAGGAATTCACGAAGATGCTATACAGGTGGATTTCAATGAATTTTTCTCAATGCAAACAAAGGTAAAATATGACATTTGAAACTTGTCCTCTGTCATTTTCCCAGCTGCTTACATAGTAGAGAATCTGCTCAAAGTCTCCATGGATCATTGTTGATGTCACAGGTGACTGCAGAAGACTTAGTTCACATTATAAACACTATTACCTTCACAGATAATTCAGTATCAGAGAAGGTCTTTTAGCAAAGCTTTCTGTTTAGTAATTTTTCTTTTTTTTTTTTTTTTGACACAGTCTTACTTTGTTCCCGAGGCTGCAGTGCATTGGCGCAAAGTCAGCTCACTGCAACCTCTGGCCCACTAGGTTCAAGCGATTCTCCTGCCTCAGCCTCCTGAAAACTGGGGCTACAGGCACACATCACTACACCTGGCCAGTTTTTATATTTTTAGTAGAAACGAGGTTTGGCCATGTTGGCCAGGCTGGTCTCAAACTCCTGACCTCAGGTGATTCACCCGCTTCAGCCTCCCAAGTAAAATTTATTTTTTTAATAAAAAAATTGAATGGCCCTTATATATGGCATTTGTTAAAATAAGTTTACTTACAGTGTTTTATCATTCCCATTGGTTTTAAACAATCTTTGCCTTTTTGTTTTCAAATAAAAGTGTGTACAATTGTGTTAGTCCATCTTTGCATTGCTATAAAGAAATACCTGAGACTGGGTAATTTATAAAGAAAAGAGTTTTAATTAGCTCATGGTTCTGTAGCCTGTACAGGATGCATGGTGACAGCATTAGCTCACCTTTTCAAAGAACTCAATTATACTTAGACTTGAAATTATATACCTATATTTCTAAAATTATACTTTTCTCAGGTTGGAACCACTTGTATTTTGTATTTTAACTTTACAGACTGTCATTTACAGTTTGCTAACTAAAGAGTAACTTGGACTAAATATTCAAAATGCTCAAAGTCTAGATTATAAAGTGCCAACTCATTTAGATCTAGTTTCAAAAACATTGCTTATTTTGTTTCTTTCATGAAATACCCCGTATGAATATGGATAACACACATACACACACACAATGCACTTGTTTTTGTGCATATATGTAATTGTAACAATAATGTCATCTTTTTTTTTTTTTTTTTTTTTTTTTTTGAGAAGGAGTCTGGCTCTGTCGCTCAGGCTGGAGTGCAGTGGCGCGATCTCGGCTCACTGCAAGCTCCGCCTCCCGGGTTCACGCCATTCTCCTGCCTCATCCTCTCAAGTATCTGGGACTACAGGCGCCCGCCACCACACCCGGCTAATTTTTTGTATTTTTAGTAGAGACGGGGTTTCACCGTGTTAGCCAGGATGGTCTCCATCTCCTGACCTCGTGATCCGCCTGCCTCGGCCTCCCAAAGTGCTGGGATCACAGGCGTGAGCCACCGCGGCCTGCCAATTTCATCTTAAGCAGTTTATTTGCTGCTGTTTTATGTGAGAACTTGGAACTGATGCAGGTAGGAAGGTCCTTCTCTTCACCCAGGAAAGAATTCAAGGGCCAGCTGACGTGACAGAAAGCAACTTCTATTGAATCAGTACTGCTCCTTGAGGAGCAGGGCTAACCCACAGGCAGTGTGGCCAGAGTCAGCAGTCTATGGGGTTGTTGGCAGCTGTATTTATATCTGCTTTTAATTATATGCTCATTGAGAGGCATTATTCAGAACTTTCTGGAAAAGGGGCGGGAAATTCCATAACCATATAAGATAACTTCTGTGCAGTATAAGGCAAGTGGCCACGGCACTGTACCTTTATTCTAATGAGCAGTGAGGGCAAATTGAGGTTGCTTTTGTCACCACCTACTGGTGTGGTTTCTTCACTGCATCCTATTTCCACCAGCTCCTGCTTCAATCATGGAGACAGAACCGGAAAACAAGTCCTGCTGGCCTCCTCCCTCGGAATTATTTAAAACTAATCATTAAAATATTAATTAACCTCAAGTTTTAGTTGCTACTTTTAATTTCTTGAGGATATTATTTTAGAATAGAATGTTTCATGTGGAAGAATTTAGGAAAGAACATTCTTTTCTATACTAAGTAAGCCTATATTTATTTGTGGCTCTCCAAGCACTGAGTAATCTGATTTTCAAAATGTTGAGCTCTTAAATCATGAAAATAGACAAGCAGATGTTTTATATTTTAGGTGTGTATCCAAAGTTGGGGTCATGCATTGTACCTGTAGGTAGACTGAAGCAGGAACTGTTTGACAAAGTTTGTGCATTTCTAGCTGTCACTATCAGACACAGCTTTTTAAAAACAGGACTAAATAATTATTTTCTAACATAAGATAACTTGTTGCACACAGTAAAAATCTGATTTAGTCATTTTAAAAGGGCTACGAGTGTCTTTGACTGAATATCTAATTTTTTTCCACGTTAGACTTAGTTTTCCTAATAAGAATAGAAAAAAAAATCATTATTCAATAAATTACTCATTGAAGAAATTGGTTAATGGCCATCTCCTAAGAACTATGCTAGAGGTCAGGTGTCTAAAAACAAATATGATCTATTATGTACCCTGAGGAATGTTAATATCTAGTTACAGTGAGTAGAGTCAATAGAATGATAAATGGGACAAATACAACCATTCGCTGTTAGGTCAATTAATTTTCTTATTGTGTTAGGTTATTTGAAAAAAAAAAGAAATTATTTATCCCCTCCTGATAGCCAAGCTTCTTTGCTTGGTAACTTTTCAGCTCCTTCTATCAACAGTTGGAGTGTGTTTCTTCCCAACCTCAATTGTGGTTGTCCTGTAACTCATTTAACTGATACTATGCAGAAGAAATGAATGCTGAACCAGTTCTGAATGTAGGCCTTAATAATCACTCACATGCTTACAGAATGCAAGGTCTGGGTGACTTCCTAGCTGTCACAGTACATTTTAGTAGAAATAAAAAGTATAAAAATTCTCTGAATTGTTGGTTGCTTCAAAGAGTAGTGTAGAATTTGGTAAAAAGGAAATAAGGAACTCAGGAATTTAAATTTAAATTCGAATTTAAATTTGAAAGGAACGTCTGGGTAAGATACTATGAAACTTTTTAAATAGCTCCAAAATAAATATTACATCCTGTTGTCACAGAATCATTCTGAAAAACAAAACCCAGTCTAATTCTGTGGGTTGCTGAATTTACATTCCAATTTAATGCACAGTACTGGGTATTTAATGCACATAGTTTCTTATGTGAAGTTATGACACTGATCTGAAAACTGGGATCAGGTCATCTGAGCAGACTTCAATGAAGCTAAGACCCTGAACACTCTACCACACCTCTTTGCCCTCAACAATAGCCTTTCTTCCCCTGTTAAATATACTGCCCTTCTTTCTTGACAAACCTGCAATGATTTCTCTTGAGGTGTTTATTTTGCAGGTGGCTGCTGATTCTCCACAATATCACAATGAACTCTCATTTATCAACCTATTACTCTCTGCAACTTCTTGGTACCAAATATAACTAACGAGAAGGGAGAAAACACATCAAAACAATTAAAATTTACCAATGTGTATTCATTGAGACCTGGAAATATGTAGGGAATTGGATCTTACAGATGTTATATAAGGATGGAAGTGATATAATATTGGATCACATATATGTATCAATTGAGTTAGGATTTAATGTCTTAGCTTGAGAGGATGGAAGCTGCTTTACCATTGTCCTCAACTGGTTTACATAAATATGTACTCTAAGGTGTTCTACTTAGCAGGAAGTTGAGATGATAAGTATTCTTCCCTGGTAGAGGAAGATGTTGAAAACTTTAAGGATATTGAATATAGAAGAAAATTTATTACATAAGATCTGCTCACTCACCCACCATCTACTCTGGAAATGTCCAGGAGAGATTCTTTTCATCAAGGCTTTGGGAGATATGTTGAGGAAGACAATGCTGATGTCCTTAAAGTGATCTGTGCAGATAATTCACTGTAAGGCTAGAGGTAACACTAAAATGCTGCCATAAAAACAGAGCTTTCGGAGTTTAATGTGGATATTGGGATGTGTAGCAGAGGTCAAGTGGCAGGATATATCTGATCTGCCAAAGACATGGTAGTCGTAGTAACCATAATGGGAATGAGTCCCAAGTCAATAATCAGAATGAGCTGACATGCATAAATCTTTAACACTGGCTCATTGAGCATGGTATTCAAGTTGTCATTTAAGCTGAGTTTTATATCACGAATTTGATGTAATCTGATCTACTGAGTCATAAAATTGGATGTGGAGAATAGCTCTTCATGCTCAAGTAAAATGGTATATACAATAATGGACTAAAGCAGTTTCTAAAGGTACAAGCAATTTGCACATGAAAGTAGTTCAAAATCACAAGATGTTGCATCTCAGTCATATTGTCCTTTTTTTATAATACACACGTACATCTTGCCTCAAAGAAAGTTTTCAATCAGCAGCTCATTAAAGAAGAAAATATTCAGATCTGGATTTGAAATATTTCTCCACTATCATATACCCCAAAGTGGACATCTTCAACATTATAATTCAGATAACAGTAGCCCTGAATGATGGTGCTGAAGGGAAATCATCCCAATGGTCAGAACGTCTAGCAGTGGACCTGTTTTTTTTTTTTTCCTGCAAAACAAGATGTATAGAAAATAGATCTATATTGATTTTGGCCAATGAAAAATTGTTTGGCTGGGTGGTCAGAGATTTAGAAAAAATACAATTGAAAAATTAGTGATAAGAAGATCTGGTGAAGAAGTGTCATGTATTAACCTCTGAATGAATATAGAGTAAATATAGGTCTATGACTTGTGAAAATGCTCATTCAGTAGTAATTTCAATTGTAGTTAATAATTACATTGTAGATTAGTTTGGGGGATGTTATTAAGCCTACTTCCCTAACCAGCCCATTCTTGCCGTATGAAAAATACGGCCATGTGGCACGGTTAGAAGTTGTGCATGGGTTCAACAATGTGGATGTTCACTCACCAGAGGTGACCTGGTGTCAGGCATTACTGAGTGTACCACGTACTACAAGCATGAAGGAACACTGAGATTCTAATATGGCACTACTCAGGAAAACCAGCCAGTCACCATGGTAGCACCCATTTCATTCCATTGTGATACAATACTTTGTATAATTTAAACTTCCTAAGAATTGATTAAGATTTCTGTTGTGTCTCCATACATGGAGGGTTCTGTATATGTCTGAAGTCCAATTGATATATGTTTTTGTGCAAGTTTTCTATGTATTTATTAATCTTATGTCTGATTTCTTTATTCTTAATGGAAAGTAGGGTTTTTGAAGTCTTCAGCTATTAGTTTAGAGCTACTATCCCTTAAATTCTGTCACTGTTTGCATCATGAAGTTACTAGGAAGTTCATTCATATTATAAATGAAATATAAGTACACTTTAAAAATGTATTTAAAGTGTATTTTTACAAACTTTAAAATTTAAATTTAAATTGTAAAAATACAATTTAAATGTGCATTCTCTTTTTATTACTACTTGCATGAAATATCGTTTCCCATCCTTTCACTTTCAACTTATATGTGTCCTCATATCTAGAGTTATTCACTTATAAATAGCATACAGTTGGTTCCTGGTTTGCTTTGTTGTAATACTCGTTTTGCAAATCTATTTAAATTATTGGGAAGTTTAATCCATTTTCATTTAAATCAATTACTGATAGGAAAGAACTTACTTTTCTATTTTTCGATTGGTTTTCTGTATAAAGAAGCAACATTTTTAAGATGTTCATTCGTTCCAACTTGGTCTATAGTCTCAACTCTGCCAATTAAAATTTCAGTAGGTTGGCCAAGCATGGTGGCTTGCACCTGTAATCCCAGCACTTTGGGAGACTGATGCAGGCAGATCACCTGAGGTCAGGAATTCAAGACCAACCTGGCCAACATGGTGAAACCCTATCTCTACTAACAAATACAAAACTTAGCTGGGCGTGGTGGCAGGTGCCTGTAATCCCAGCTACTCAGGAGGCTGAGGCAGGGATAATTGTTTGAACCTGGGAGTCAGAGGCTGCAGTGAGCTGAGATCTCGCCATTGCACTCCAGCCTGGGCAATAGAGCAAGACTCCGTCTCAAAAAAACAAAACAAAACAGCAAGTTACATTCTGAATATCAATGGACAATGGACTGAGACTGTAACTTATAAGGAAATATGTAAGATCCAGAGTAGCCAGCAACGTACTGAAGAAGAACATATTCAGAAAGCTGATGGCTGACCAATTTCAAGAATCACCATAAAGCTACAATAATCAGGACAGGATGGTATTGGTGAAAAAACAGGCAAATGGATTAACAAAGCAGATTATAGAGCCAAAAAACAGACGTATAAAAATATGGCCAACAGGTTTTTTTTTCCTAAGAAGCAAAGATATTAAATGAAGAAAGTACAGTCTTTCTAACAAATGATGCCAGAACATGTAGGCGCACACACACACACACACACACACACACACAAAAGGTTCTAGACACCGACATTAGTATTTACACAAAAATTAACTCAAAGTAGATCACAGACATGAATATGAGAAGCCTAACTATATAATTTATAGAAAATAATCTAGGGAAAAATGTTTACAGATTTGAGATTGGTATTCTTAGTTGGCATTCTGGGAATGGGCCTTACACTATGTTGTGGAGGGTATTATTGTCAAAGCTGTTTCAAAACATTCCTTGAGTTCACACAATTATGTTTCAACAGGCACTGCACTTGGAACAGGACAAAATTATTTTTTCAATAGAATAAAATACATTCTTATATTCTTATTATTAGCTTGGTGCAAAAGTAATTGCAGTTTTTGCAATTACTTTTAATGGCAAAAATCACAATACTTTTGCACCAACCAAATATAACCTTCCTTACCAAGATACAACCTTTTTTGTACATATTGCGTATAGAATTGTGTCCCTTATTTTTAGCCGTTTTAATTACATAGGTTAATTATATGTTTAACTCTTAGTAATTCTAATTTCCCATAAAAAAGCCAGGAAATAATCCATTATAATTATGTACCAAAACATTTTATGAATACATATTTTGTAATTTCTAAAAACATAGATTTTTACAGAACTTTTAAAATGTTGAACAGGACATATTTACTAACAAACTCAAATTTTTTTTTGCTTTTCTGTAATAATAATCCAAAATACATATGTTTAAACCTATGTTAGTAATTAAAATTTAGCATTATATTTTATTTGGAAATGAGCTAGATATGCAGTGACTATCCATTATTTAATCTGGTTTAGCAAAACTCTAATGAAGTAATTACCAAAGATATTAGGAAATAATTTTAAGTAAACATATTGTAAAACATTATTATTAAAAAACTTATTTATAGATTTTACTCCACTTTATCTCATTTAATTTACTCATTTTTAACAATTATGTTGGGAAGATTTCATGAGAGATTAGATGAAGTTAATCCTCATAAACCAAAAAAATGCTTGATTTTAGTTACTGTAGTCAAAACGCTATCAATCCAGAACCCTCCCACTCCCACCCCACACTATCTTGGCTGCTATGTCAAGAGAAACAAAACTTCCTTTGGAGGAGGAGAGGCGCTCTGCTTTTTAGAGTTTCCAGTTTTTCTGCTCTGTTTTTTCCCCATCTTTGTGGTTTTATCTACTTTTGGTCTTTGATGATGGTGATGTACAGATGGGTTTTTGGTGTGGATGTCCTTTCTGTTTGTTAGTTTTCCTTCTAACAGACAGGACCCTCAGCTGCAGGTCTGTTGGAGTTTGCTAGAGGTCCACTCCAGACCCTGTTTGCCTGGGTACCAACATCAATAACAGGCTCTGAAATTGTGGCAATAATCAATAGCTTACCAACCAAAAAGAGTCCAGGACCAGATGGAGTCACAGCCGAATTCTACCAGAGGTACAAGGAGGAACTGGTACCATTCCTTCTGAAACTATTCCAATCAATAGAAAAAGAGGGAATCCTCCCTAACTCATTTTATGAGGCCAGCATCATCCTGATACCAAAGCCAGGCAGAGACACAACCAAAAAAGAGAATTTTAGACCAATATCCTTGATGAACATTGATGCAAAAATCCTCAATCAAATACTGGCAAACCGAATCCAGCAGCACATCAAAAAGCTTATCCACCACTGGGCTTCATCCCTGGGATGCAAGGCTGGTTCAATATATGCAAATCAATAAATGTAATCCAGCATATAAACAGAACGAAAGACAAAAACCACATGATTATCTCAATAGATGCAGAAAAGGCCTTTGACAAAATTCAACAACCCTTCATGCTAAAAACTCTCAATAAATTAGGTATTGATGGGATGTATCTCAAAATAATAAGAGCTATCTATGACAAACCCACAGCCAATATCATACTGAATGGGCAAAAACTGGAAGCATTCCCTTTGAAAACTGGCACAAGACAGCGATGCCCTCTTTCACCACTCCTATTCAACATAGTGTTGGAAGCTCTGGCCAGGACAATTAGGCAGGAGAAGGAAATAAAGGGTATTCAATTAGGAAAAGAGGAAGTCAAATTGTCCCTGTTTGCAGATGACATGACTGTATATCTAGAAAACCCCATTGTCTCAGCCCAAAAGCTCCTTAAGCTGATAAGCAACTTCAGCAAAGTCTCAGGATACAAAATCAATGTACAAAAATCACAAGCATTCTTATACATCAATAACAAACAAACAGAGAGCCAAATCAGGAGTGAACTCCCATTCACAATTGCTTCAAAGAGAATAAAATACCTAGGAATCCAACTTACGAGGGACGTGAAGGACCTCTTCAAGTAGAACTACAAACCACTGCTCAATGAAATAAAAGAGGATACAAACAAATGGAAAAACATTCCATGCTCATGGGTAGGAAGAATCAATATCATGAAAATGGCCATACTGCCCAAGGTAATTTATAGATTCAATGCCATCCCCATCAAGCTAACAATGACTTTCTTCACAGAATTGGAGAAAACTACTTTAAAGTTCATATGGAAGCAAAAAAGAGCCTGCATCGCCAACTCAATCCTAAGCCAAAAGAACAAAGCTGGAGGCATCACGCTACCTGACTTCAAACTATACTACAAGGCTACAGTAACCAAAGCAGCATGGTACTGGTACCAAAACAGAGATATAGATCAATGGAACAGAACAGAGCCCTCAGAAATAATGCCGCATATCTACAACTATCTGATCTTTGACAAACCTGAGAAAAACAAGCAATGGGGAAAGGATTCCCTATTTAATAAATGGTGCTGGGAAAACTGGCTAGCCATATGTAGAAAGCTGAAACTGGATCCCTTCCTTACACCTTATACAAAAATTAATTCAAGATGGATTAAAGACTTAAACATTAGACCTAAAACCATAAAAGCCCAAGAAGAAAACCTAGGCATTACCATTCAGGACATAGGCATGGGCAAGGACTACATGTCTAATACACAAAAAGCAATGGCAACAAAAGCCAAAATTGACAAATGGGATCTAATTAAACTAAAGAGCTTCTGCACAGCAAAAGAAACTACCATCAGAGTGAACAAGCAACCTACAAAATGGGAGAAAATTTTCGCAACCTACTCATCTGACAAAGGGCTAATATCCAGAATCTACAATGAACTCAAACAAATTTACAAGAAAAAAACAAACAACCCCATCAAAAAGTGGGCGAAGGACATGAACAGACACTTCTCAAAAGAAGACATTTATGCAGCCAAAAAACACATGAAAAAATGCTTACCATCACTGGCCATCAGAGAAATGCAAATCAAAACCACAATGAGATACCATCTCACACCAGTTAGAATGGCAATCATTAAAAAGCCAGGAAACAACAGGTGCTGGAGAGGATGTGGAGAAATAGGAACACTTTTACACTGTTGGTGGGACTGTAAACTAGTTCAACCATTGTGGAAGTCAGAGTGGCGATTCCTCAGGGATCTAGAACTAGAAATACCATTTGACCCAGCCATCCCATTACTTGGTATATACCCAAAGGACTATAACTCATGCTGCTGTAAAGACACATGCACACATATGTTTATTGCAGCACTATTCACAATAGCAAAGACTTGGAACCAAGCCAAATGTCCAACGATGATAGACTGGATTATGAAAATGTGGCACATATACACCATGGAATACTATACAGCCATAAAAAATGATGAGTTCACGTCCTTTGTAGGGACATGGATGAAATTGGAAATCATCATTCTCAGTAAAGTATCGCAAGAAAAAAAAACCGAACACCACATGTTCTCACTCATAGATGGGAATTGAACAATGAGAACACATGGACACAGGAAGGGGAACATCACACTCTGGGGACTGTTGTGGGGTGGGGGGAGGGGGGAGGGATAGCTTTAGGAGATATACCTAATGCTAAATTAGGAGTTAATGGGTGCAGCACACCAGCATGGCACATGTATACATATGTATCTAACCTGCACATTGTGCACATGTACCCTAAAACTTAAAGTATAATAATAATAAAATAAAAAATAAAATAAGAAAATTCTTAAGATTTAGGATTCCACTACTTGCAAGTAAAAAAAAAAAAAATAGAGAAACAAAACTTATAAGTTGTCCTGGAAATCACAAATTCTTCTTTTCTTTGTCTGCAAGTTTGGCTAAGTGACCAGCCAGTAGGGGTGAGAAATAATTTAGGAATGGCTTTTAAAAGTTTACTTTCCTGTTTAACCATTTTTATAACATAGTATACTAGGCAAATAAGTTAAACACATGAGTTAAATACAGAGTTTAATCACTGTGGCTGGGGTTTAGTTAAATGTAGGAGTCTCTGTAACCAGTTAACCAATTAAGCTGTAACCAACTAAGTTGTCTTAATACCTCACTTCTGTTTTCTATAAATGAGGTCAGATTAAGTTGTTAGCTGAAGTTATCTGAACTTGTTTTGGTTTTAAGAGCTGCCCGATTTGCATATCAGTTTTGTTTTGTTTCTGCTTTGTTTTCTTTGGCTTTTGCTTCATTTTTAATTTCTCAAATAAACTCTAATAAAATTAAAGAGTCAAAAGGATTTTTTCCTTTAAGCTTTATCTGTAAGCTATCTATCGTCCTATCTATTTATCTATTATCTATCTAGTTTTAATCAGGAAATTAATACCTAGTTTTACTATGTGATATCTCATGTCTACCCATTTAAATGGCTATATTGCCTATAGATGAATTAGAGATAGACATATTAACGGCTAAACTGTTAGGTAACTTAAAAGTATATATTGTAATCTGTCTCAAGATGACAGACACTTATTTCAATTCAATCCATACAGTTTCTTATAGTTCAAAATTCAAATTTCTACCAAGATTTTTCTCGGTTCAATGTCAATGATTTTTCCTCCACTACAATCTTGTAACATTTATAAACAGAATCTATCACATACGTCCCTTCATTTTGTGCCCCTAGTGTTTTTTGTATGTCCAGCTTACCCTTAACATAAAGCACGGAATAATTGAGAGGACAATGAATAATTTGTTCTCTAACAGTAAATAGATAAATGTGGTTGCTTGCTTAATAAATGCTGACTTGATTGAACTGACTTGTATTGAGTTGAATCTAATTGAATTGCCAGTGATAAAGATGTATATTTTTAAACTCGCATTGCTTAATAAGAGTAAGGGACTCATTCACAGTTTGCTAAATTAATGAGAAAAGAACAATTTATTTCCTCTTGTTTAAGCAATTTTTATTTTTAAAGCATGTTATGCATTATTTATTGTTCTAAGTACAGTGTTAAAGAGAAATGATCACCTGTTTAGAGACCTTCCAAAACACATCGGATTCAATAGGCTAAGTGAAAGGTGGTAATCACATGCAAGCAACCTATTTCCCTTTTTAACCTTTACATTTCCATTAGTTTTGAAGTTATTTTAATAGTGACAAGATTGGCTTAACTGGTATGTTACAGTATTTCTGAAAGATGGGAAATAATAACAGCAGAAATGATACAAAGTCAAGCTTGGAATAGAATAGTAAATAATGGTGCCTGCTATAATAATCACGAAAACAATGCAATGTATTCTATATTTATGTTATATCTTTCATCATATCAGTATTCATTTTTATCTATAAATATGACAATATACATGTGTACTGCCCTGGCCTGGTATAATATTTATCCTTACTTTGACTGAACCGCTTATTCAAAGAAGTCTATTTTTTGTTGCATTTGCATACAGCTGTGCATTTCCTTTTCTCTATTTACTATACATAGAGGATGTTGTTTCAAATTATTTCCATTGTTAAATAAGCTGTTAGTTTTAAATTTATTCTGAGGAATACAGAACATTAAATCAATTAGTTTATTAATTTTGCTAATCGACTTTTATTAAACCCTGTAATTTCAAAAAGCAAAACATTTTAGAATATTGTAGTCAAGCTTTGGGGCAATAAAATTATCTCCACAGTTTAGATGATGCATAATAAGATTAGTGAATAGCATTCATTTGTATAACAATTTCCTTAGGAATCCTTTATTGTTTCAGTGTAACTATACAAAACTTTTGTTATAATACATGACATGGATTAAATATTAGGAACACTGGGTATTACTTGGGTGTCTGTCACTATAGTTATGCAATTGTAAAAACTATGTGGTGATTATTTGGTGCCAAAGTTAAACTATCATTAGATAGTAAAGGAATTTTATACATGCATTCAAATTACACGCTGTTATGGACTGAGGGCATCTCCCCAAATTCAGGTGTGAAGCCTTAGGGCCAGCCTAACAGTATAAAGAGCTGGGATCTGTCTTTAATTGTCCCGAGGTGGAAACTGCATGAATGGGATTAGGACCCTTATAAAGTCTTCTGCTCTTCTATCACGTGAGGGCACAGCATTCCTCCCCCTTGCCCTTCCATTTTTTTCACCATGTGAGGACATAGCTTGTGTCTTTCACGGGGGCTGCTGAAACATAGCACCATCTTGGAAGCAGAGAGCCGCCCTCCCAGACACTGAACCTGCCAGCACCTTGGTTTTGGACTTCCTATGAAAAATAATTTTCTATTACTTATAAACTCCACAGTCTCAAGTATTTTTTTGTAGCAGAACAAATGGACTAATACAGAACATTGGTACCAAGAAGTCAGGTGTTGCTATAACAGATACCTAAAAATGTGTAAGCAGCTTTGGAATGTGGTAATGGGTAGAGGCAGGAACAATTTTGAAGTGTATGCTAGAAAGAGTCTAGATTGCCATAATGGATCATTAAGGGAGACAGACTCTGGTGAGGGCTCAGAATAGGAGAGCTATAGAGAGAGTCTCGGACTTCCTAGAGATTATCTAACATGCTCAGGATCAGAATGCTGGGAGAAATATGGACGGTACAGGTAATTCTGATGTGACCTCAGACTAAAATGAGGAATATCATATTGGAAACTAGAGGGAAGACCATCCTCATTACAAAGTGCCAAAAAACTTGGCTGAATTGTTTCCATGTCCAAGTACAGATACTCCCTGACTTACAATGGGGTTATGTCTCAAATATCCAATCATAAGTTAAATATATCATTAAGTTAAAAATGCATTTAATACACCTAAAGTAACAAACATCATAGCTTAGCCTCGCCAACTTTAAACACGATCAGTACACTTATATTTGCCAACAGTTGGGCAAAATCATCTAACACAAATCCTGTTTTATAATAAAGTATTGAATAGGTAATGTAATTTATTGAATAATATTCTAAAAGTGAAAAACAAAAAAAAACTTTATGGGCACTTGAAATACAGTTTCTATGGAATGAATATCACTTTTCTATCATTATAAAGTCAAAAAATCATGTAAGTCAAACCGTCTTAAGTTGGAGACTGCACTTTGTGGAGGGCAGAATTTAAGAGTGATAAACCAGGATATTTGGTGGAAGAAATCTCTAAGCAAAATATTTAGGGTGTTTCATAGTTTCTCTTGACTGCTTATAATAAAATGTGAGAGGAGAAACAAATTAAAGATGGAATTTATAATAAAAAAGAAGCAATACTTAAAGATTTGAATAATTCTTTACCATTGTGAAGAATAAAAGTGTGTCTCGAAGAGAATACCAAGGGTGTGGCCAAGCTAACATCTGGATTTGAAAATAACCTTAGAATGGAGACAAAGAAGCCAAATATTATTCATCAAGACAAAAGAAAAATGACCCCTAAAGCATTTCAGAGATCTTTGAGGCTCCCATTCCCATCAGAGTTCCAGGGTGCCAGGGCCATGAGCATAGAGGAGTTTCAAGGGAGGGTCCCAAGGTGCTTGTTGGACCTTGGGTCTCACTGCCCATGACCACCTCAAGTCTCTGCTTCCTGCATTTTAATTCACTAATCCTTGACCACAGCAGTTGTGGCTCAAGTGGGCCCAGGTGTGGCTTGAGCCACTGCTCTAGAGGGCATGAGTGGTAAACCTTGGCAGCTCCTGATGGTGCTAACTGCAGGGGATCAGAGTGCAGGAGCTGTGAAGACATGGCTGCCTCCACCTCCATGATAAAGGATACTTCAGAGTGCCTCGAAGCCCAGGTAGAGAACGGCCAGAGGTTTGGAGATACCACAGAGAACCCCCACTGGGGCAATACCTAGTATAGTAATGGGGTCAGGTTAACCACAGTGAGTCTTCAGTGGTGCAATGTCTGGCAGAGTCATGAGCACTGAGTCACTCCCGAGACCCCAGAACTATAGAGCCACGGACGTGCAACTCCAGCCTGAAAGCCACAGAAACTGGACCCCACACCGTGAAGACTGCAGTGTGGGCTACACCCGGCAAAGCCATAGGAGTAGGATTGCCTGGAGCCTGAGTGTCAAAATCTCCACCCCAGTGTTTCCAGAGATAGGATACTGTTCCCAGAAGATAGGAGTCAAATTAAATTATTCTCAAGCGTCAAGATTTAATGCTGTTTGCTTTGCTGGGTTTTGGAATTGCTAGGGACCTGTTGCTTCTTTCTTCTTGCCTATTTCTCCCATTTTGGAATGAAGATATCTATGCTACACCTGTTCCCTCATTATATTTTGGAAGCACATAACTCGTGTGATTTCATAGCCTCACGGCTGGAGAGAAATTTTTGTCTCACTCCGATCTAATTTAGATGAGACTCTTAGGCGTTTAGATGCTGGAGCAAGTTAAGATTTATGGGGCTATTGGGGTGGAATAAATATATTTTCCATGTGAGAAGGACATGAATTTTTGAGGCCAGGAAAGGAATGCTATGGGCTGAATGTGTTTTCCAAAATTTATAGTTAAAACGTAAGGGGCCAATGTAACACCTTAAGGGGTGATTAAGTCACAAGGGCCGGGCACTCATGGATGGGATTAGAATCCGAATAAAACGTTTTAAAGGAGTGAATTTGTTCTCCTTTGCTCTTCCACCATGTGAGGACACAATGTTCATCTCCTTTTCCCCTTCCATCCTTTCTCCTAGGCAAGGACACAACATTTATCCACTATGCAGGATGCAACAACAGGGCACCATCTTGGAAGCAGGGAGCAGCCCACACCAGACATCAGACCTTGGACTTTCCAGCCTCCACAACTGTGAGAAATAATTTTCTATTATTTACAAACTATCCAGTTTCATCCATTTTATTATAGCAGCATAAATGGATGTATGCATTATTATAATTATTTTTTAAAGGCTGGTATTTGAGAATGAACCTGCTATTTTAGCCCTTATTTTTAAATGGCTATTATTCATTATTAATTTTTAATTCAAATAAGCCACTTAAAAACATTGTATCAATTTCCTAGGGCTGCTGTAATAAAGGCCCACAAACCGGTTAGCCTGAAACAAAAGACATTTATTCTCTCACAATTCTGGAGGCTAAATGTATAAAATCAGTTTGTCAGCTAGGGCATGCTCCCTCCAAATCCTCTAGAGGAGAATCCTTCCAAACCTTTCCCATAGTTTCTTGTGTTGCCAGCAATCCTTGGAATACTTTGGCTTGTAGACACTTTCCTTTAAACACTGCCTTTCTCACCACATGGGTTCTCCCTGCACGTCTTCCTGTGTTTCAGCTCTTCTTTTTTAAGGACACAGTCCTATTGGATTAAAGACCTACTCTCCTACAGGATGACCTCACCCTAACTAGAAACATCTGCAGTGACCCTATTTCCAAATAATTTCACATTCTCAGGTTCCACGGTTAAGATTTCAACATACTTTGGATGCAGGGAGGAGCTCAACACCCGGCAAGCATATATTTTATTTATTTCAGCTTCATTGAAGTACAGTTGACCAAAAAAAGTATATATTCAAGGGGTACAATGTGGTAATTTGATATATGTATACAATGAGAAAATATTACCACGTGTATTACCTACCACACATAGTCATCATTTTGTGCATGTGTGTGTGGTGATGACACGATTCTGTCTCAGCAAATTTCAAATAAACAATACAGTATTACTAACTACAGTCACCATCCTATATTAGATCCTTAGAACTTACTCACCTTATAACTGAACGTTTATGTCCTTTAACCAACATGTCCCCATTTTCCCCAGCCTCCAACCCTTGGCAGCCACCATTCTACTCTCTGCTTCTACAAGTTCAACAACTTCAACAAGAAGTTCAACAACTTCTACAAGTTTCAGAATTTGCTACCTTCTAACCATGTGACTTTGGGAAATTATTTCATCCACCTATGTGTTCAGTAAGATTGAAATAATAATATAGTAACCCCTACAAATTTTGTTGAAATTATTAAGTAAATTAACAAATATAAAGTGCTCCGGAGGCTATTGGATCCTGATAAGTATCTCATAATTATAAATGATGATAATCATCATAATAGTGACCGTGAAGTAATACTTCCCCGGGTTGTGCTTGCAAAATACTTTTTCATATAGATTGGACTTCAAAATATTTTTGCAGGAGTAGAGGAAGATGTGAGATATCTAAATCCCTCTCTCAGCTTACATAAGCCTGTGTTACTGGTTATAGAAGGTGTACTTTTTTAATCCTTCAAAAGTTTTAGGCTCTGAAAGGTCACTTCTTTTGCTTGACAAATAATGTTTCTTGTCTGTACATTTTTCTGATTTTTATTATATTATAGGGTTTTTTTTAGAGACAGGGTCTTGGTCTGTCACCTGGCTAGAGTGCAGTGGTGCAATCATAGCTCACTGCAGCCGCGAACCTCTGGGCTCACCTGCCTCAGCCTCCCAAAGTGCTGGGACTAAAGGCGTGAGCTACCATACCTGTGCCTGGCCTGACTACACATTTTTTAAATGAAGTATTCTATCTTGTTCCTTGAAGATAGATGATGCTGGGTCTTCCAGGGATAGTCTGAATTACTGATGTTTATAGATTATCTTCCTAAGAATATTATATTTAAAGCATTACCATATTTGTTGATAGAAAAAAATTACTTTTAGAATAACTTTACTGACACTGAATTAATGGTTATTCAATAAATAAAGTAGCAGTTCTCATTTTGTACTTCTTCCAAAGTAATACATCTTAAAATCAAAATTCTCATGATTACAATGTAGATGAGAAAAAGGAGGTTAAAAATACATAATAAAGTTTTCAAATGCCAGCAACTCATTTTTAGATGAATTTGAGAAATATGTTACTTATGATGCTATTGAAGGCATTTAGTGTCTACAGCCTTTGTGCTTATTATTTTTATTATAAATAAATGTAAGCATATGTGTTCAAATATTTAGGAGGTTGCAACTATTTTCAAAGAAACTAAAGACAGTCATGGAAATCATTTTGAAACAGTAACATCAAACAATTTCTCTGAGTCGTCAACAAGAAATTTGGGAGAACTTTGAAATTCAAAACCAAGCAAAAATCTTTAGACATGTAAAAACAGAAAGGATTTGTAGAAAACGTGTGAAATGAATGTGTATTTTCCTACTGGTTAACATTTAACAGCAAATATGGCAGGAAAGAGATGAAATTGTTTTTTTCTGGGGGGGTGGGTATAAAGCCCTAAAGTTTTAAAAATTTTGCTTGGTATCTGAATTAATAATAAACCGAAAGTAAAATAAGTCTAGTTATCATAGTACATAAATAAATAGTGCAAAAAATGACGCTTTTCTAGCAAACTTTGTTGTATGTATAATACTGTTTGCAAACAAGCAAATTCAAAGCAATTAACAAGTAAACAATTAAAAAACATAAGAAAATCATTTCTATTTCCACCAAATCATTGTATATTATATTCCTGAGTGTAAATAATACTACAAGGAAAATTGATTAGATCACACATGTTTCTAAATTTAAATATTAGGATTTGGGGCAATGTTCTCAAACCAATCTGTGGACTGAAATCTCCATATGTTGAATGTAGAAAATAAATGAGAACTTTTGTCTTCTGTACTTCTTTCTGGTTTTCATGTTTATTTGTTTTTCTTCTCTTCAGAAAGGGACATTGTATTAGTCCATTTTCACACTGCCATAAAGAACTACCTGAGAGTGAGTAATTTATAAAGAAAAGAGGTTTAATTGACTCACAGTTCAACAGCTGTGCAGGAGGCATGGCTGGGAGACCTCAGGAAACTTACAATCATGGCAGAAGATGAAGGGGAAGCAGGCATGTATTCACATGGTTCCAGGAGAGAGACAGAGTGGATAGAGAAGTGTCACACATTTTTAAACAACCAGCTCTCATGAGAACTCACTCACTATCTCGAGAACAGCAAGGGGGAAATACACAGCCATGATCCAATCACCTCCCACCAGGTCCCTCCTCCAACATCAGGAATTACAACTCAATGTGAGATTTTGGTGGGGATAAAGAGCCAAAACATATCAGACATATTTTCTTGATTTTTCCTATGTTAAGTAAATTTGGATTATATCATGCACCATTTGAATGCTATATTCTGAAAGTAGAGATAAATTTGACATGAGTAGGAAGAGATTCACATTATTGGGAAGTTAAAAGTTATTTTAAACTATTATTAATAAATAATTTTTTTTGTATTTTTTGTTTGTTTTTTTTAAAATTTTCTAATTAATGAATAATAATTGTATATATTTTTGTGGTAGAAGATAATGCTTCTATACAAGTATGGTATACATTATGGAATGAGTAAATCAGATTAACAAGTTAATCAACTAAAAAACTTATTATTTCATTGTGAGAACATTTAAAACCTACTCTTAGCAGTTTTGAAATACGCAATACATGATTATTATGTACAGCCACCTTGTTGTGTACTATGACTTCTTCCCTTTGTCTAACTGAAACTGGCTCACTGCAACCTCTGCCTTCCCTGTTCACGCCATTCTCCTGCCTCAGCCTCCCGAGTAGCTGGGACTACTTTTTTAGATTTCACATATTAATAAGAACAAATGATATTTATCCTTCTGGGCCTGGATTATTTCACTTAGCATAATGTCCTCTAGATTTATTCTTGTTGTCAGAGAGTACAGAATTTTGTATTTTTTAAAGGTTGAATAGTATTTAATTATGTATATATACCACTTTTAAAGAAATCTATTCCTCTCTGGATGGACACTTAGATTATTTCCATATCTTGGCTATCGTGAACAATGTTGCAATGAACATAAGAATGCAGACAGCTCTTCAACATGCTTATTTCAATGACTTTGGGTATATACCAACAAGTGGTATTGCTGGAACATATAGTAATTCTAGTTTTTATTTTTCTTTATTTTTTTGTAACCATACTAAAAACGGTTATACAAATCTACATTCCCACCAGTAGTGTACAAAGGCATTCTGCCTTTCAAATTCTTGTCAATACTTTATATATATATATATATGTATATATATATGTATTATATTAAAAAAAGAAGTCATACAAAAGGCCAAACAGATATATGAAGAGATGTTGAACATGGCTAGTCATTGGAATAATGCCACTGGAACCAGAGTGGGATGTCACCTCATGCCTGTTATAATGGTTGTTATCAAAAAGATAACATGTATCAAAAAGATAAAATGTATATAATGTATATATACACACATATATATGCATATATACATATATCATATATACATATATCTTATATGTATATATACATACATATGCATACATATATACAGGTATGTGTATATATATCCATACATACATATACATATATCTTATATATACATATATGCATATATGCATATATATGTGTATATAAGTATATACGTATATATACACATGTATGTGTGTACACGTGAGTGTGTATATATATATTCACAGAGGGAGAGAGAGATAGGGTATCAGTATGTTGACCAAGCTGGTGTCAAACTCCTGGCCTCAAGCGATCCTGCCATGTTGGCCTCCCAAAATCATGGGATTACAGGCGCCCAGCCCCAATTCTTGTCAATAGTTTTTATCTTTTATCTTTTTGATAACAACCATTATAATAGGCATGAGGTGACATCCCACCCTGGTTCCAGTGGCATTATTCCAATGACTAGCCATGTTGAACATCTCCTCGTATATGTGTTTGGCCTTTTGTATGCCTTCTTTTTCTAATTTTATTTTTGACTGACAAATAATAATTGTACATATCTATGGGATACAGTATGATATTGTGATATGTGTTTACAGTGTGAAATGATTAAATCAGACTAATTAACAAATCCATTCCCTCCCATATTTATTATTTTTTTTGGTTAAAAATGTAAAATCTAGTCTTTTAGCAATTTAAATATATTACACTGCATTACCATTTAGTATAGTCACCATTCTGTGCAATGTGACAACATGAACTGGAGGACGTTATGCTGAGTGAAACAAGTCAGATCAGAATGACAAATGCTTCATGATATCATTTCTATGTGGAATCTCAAAAAGTTGATGTGTTAGTTTGTTTGCACTGTAACAAAGAAATAATCCAAACTGGGTAATTTATAAAGAAAAGAGGTTTAATTGGTTCATGGTCCTACAGGCTGTGTAGGAAGCATGGCGGCAACATTCTTTCTGGTGAGTTCTTCAGGAAGCTTACAAAGTGGTGGAAGGCAAAGTGGAAGCTGATGTATCACCTGATGAGAGCAGCAGTGAGAAAGAGGGGAAGGTGTCACACACATTTAAAAATCAGATCTCCTGGGAACTCAGAGGAAGAACTCATTCATCATCAAGAGGATGGCGCTAAGCCATTCATGAGGGATCCACCACCATGATCCAGACACCTCACACCAGGCCCCGCCTCCTGCACTGGGATTACATTCCTACATGAGGTTTGGAGAGGAGTGGAGAGTACAATGAGAGTTACCAGAGGCTGGAGGAAGGGGTTTGATGGGGAAAAGGGAGATGTTGATAAAAGGCTATAAAATTTCAGTTAGACAGGAAAAATAAGCTTCTTTTAAAACATTGTGGCCAGGTGTGGTGGCTCACATCTGTAATCCCAGCACTTCAGGAGGCCGAGGCAGGCAGATCACCTGAGGTCAGGAGTTCAAGACCAGCCTGGCCAACATTGTGAAACCCCGTCTCCACTAAAAATACAAAAATTAGCTGGCAGGCATCTGTAATTCCAGCTTGTCAGGAGGCTGAGACAGGAGAATTGCTTGAACCCAGGAAGTGGAGGTTGCAGTGAGCTGAGATCGCGCCACTGCATTCCAGCCTGGGTGACAAGAGTGAAACCCCATCAAAAAAAAAAAAATAATTAAAAAACCCACTGTTGTTTATTTTTTATTTTTAATTGACAAATAAAAATGGTGTAATTTATGGAGGACAATGCTATATTTTTATCTATGTATATATATTGTAGAAAGATCAAATGTAGCTAATGCAAGTATAATCTTTGTGAGCCCAGAGACTAAGATGGAGAAGTAAGCTAGGATATCCCCATACAATTATCCTCAGTTAATTCATTTTAAAGTACACCTAGCACGTGTCTGTAGTCCCAGCTACTTGCGAATCAGAGGTAGAAGGATCAACTGAGCTCAGGAGTTCGAGGCTGTAGCAGGCTATGATTGTGCTGCTGCACCACAGCCTGGATGACAGAGTGAGACCTTGTTTCTATATTAAAAAAAAAAAATTAAATCTCGTATACACGTGTTATTCTTAACATTTGCTTCCATTGTTAAACTTTAAGTTGTAATAAGGAGTGCATTTCTCATTTGTTCACCATTGAATCTATAACTGACTAACTTCTAAGTAAATACATTTCGATTCGCTATATTAATTGGGTGTACATATGAGAATGTCGATTGTGACTCTTATAATAGTGTCTTCGGTGTGACTGGGGGGGAATTATATTGGACTCAGATAAAAACTTGTACAAGCAGAAGTTGGTAAGTGCAGATAAAACTTTAAAGAGGTTTGGGCATGAAAGAGAAAAGAGAAATAGATTTGTTATAATGGGAGGATGGGTCTAAGGAGAGTTTGTTTGGAGTCCTGAAAACTTTAATGCATTGGTAGGCTGAACTAACCTTTGTATAAGTGGCCGGTTATTAAAATTCCAGATTGTGGGTTCATTTGGTAATGCATGGAATCACCTCATCTGAGGCCAATAAAGAAGGCCTCACATAACAGAGTTATGTTAGAAATGGAGCTACTCCTGGCTGGGCGCGGTGGCTCACGCCTGTAATCCCAGCACTTTGGGAGGCCGAAGCAGGCAGATCACAAGGTCAGGAGATCCAGACATCCTGGCTAACACGGTGAAACCCAGTCTCTATTAAAAATACAAAAATTAGCTGGGTGTGGTGGCGGGTGCCTGTAGTCCCAGATACTTGGGAGGCTGAGGCAGGAGAATGGCGTGAACCAGGAGGCAGAGCTTGCAGTGAGCCAAGGTCACGCCACTGCACTCCAGCCTGGGCGACAGCAAGACTCTGTCTCAAAAAAAAAAAAAAAAGAAAAGAAATGGAGATACTTCTTAAAAGAAGACATACAAATGGCCAACAAACACACAAAAAAATGCTCAACATTATTAATTATCAGAGAAATGTACATATAAGCCACAATGAGATGCCATGTCACACCAGTCAGAATGGCTATTTTTAAAACCTCAAAAGATAACAGATGTTGGTTGGGCTGCAGAGAAAAGGGTTGCTTATACACTGTTGGTGGGAATATAAATTAGTTCAGCCACTGTGGAAAGCAATTTGGAAATTTCTCAAAGAACTAAAAATGGAAGCACCATTCAACCTGGCAATGCCATTACTGGGTATATACCTAAAAGGAAATAAATTGTTCTACCAAATAGACATGTACTCATATGTTCATTACAGCACTATTACAATAGCAAAGACATGAATCAACCCATGTGCCCATCAACAGTGGATTAGATAAAGAAAATCAGGTACATATATACCATGGAATACTATGCAGCCATAAAAAATGAAATCGTGTTCTTTGCAGCAACATGGATTCCACAAGAGGTAGAAACAGAAAACCAAATATTGCATGTTCTCATGTATAACTGGGAGCTAAACTGAGTACACATGGACATAAACATGAGAACAATAGACACTGGAGACTAGTGGAGGGGCCTGGGAGAGGTGGGTAAGGTGTTGATAAAGTACCTATAAGGTGCTATGCTTATTACCTGAATAACAGACTTGATTGTACTCCAGACCTCAACAGCACACAATATACCTTTGTTAACAAACCTGCACATGAACTCCCTGAATCTAAAATGACAGTTGAATAATAAAAAAGAAATCAAGGTCACTAACATAATCAAATGTCTTATGAGTGACTCTATTGCCTTGATAAGTAAAAGATTTCACAACCCAGCAAAGGTGGGAGTGCAAGGGAGGAGTTGATGTTTGAGGGGACGGATACAGTATTGTGTCCATCAGTGCGAACCTGGAGATTTCTACTGACTCTTAGGAAATAATGTGCAGGCATAGAAGTTCAAATAAGTAGAAGAACAATGTCTGATAGGAGAAATAAAGTAGTTTATGAAGCAGATAAGAATAACATGTTAATGGGAGAATGGATTTGATTTTAGGACGGAGTAACAACAAGATTTAAGCAGTGAATGGCCCAGGGCAGAATGTTGCATCTTTATAAAACAGGCTGAATTAGTGATGAGTTCATGTCCTTTGTAGGGACAAGGATGAAGCTGGAAACCATCATTCTCAGCAAACTATCACAAGGACAAAAAACCAAACGCCGCATGTTCTCACTCATAGGTAGGAATTGAACAATGAGAACACATGGACACAGGAAGGGGAACATCACACACTGGGGCCTGTTGTGGGGTGGGGGGAGGGGGGAGGGACAGCATTAGGAGATATACCTAATGTAAATGACGAGTTAATGGGTGCAGCACACCAACATGGCACATGTATACATATGTAACTAACCTGCACGTTGTGCACATGTACCCTAGAACTTAAAGTATAACAAAAAATAATTAAAAAAAAAAAAAACAGGCTGAATTATAGGGAGCTCTTGAGGAAGATATAAGGACAGGTTGAAGGTGAAAACACTCAAGGAGATTTTTAAAAGGCTGCATTATTTTGGTGAACAAATACTTAGTACTGAAATACAAAATGAACAAAATTCAATCGTGTTGAAGTCTAATTTAATTTTATACTTTTTAAGTATCAGGAACATCTGCAAAGAAAGATGTTCCATTCATCTTATTAGTCAAATTAAAGATTTAAATGTTGATCTGAACTTCAAATAAGTACCGTAGCTTTTCTATAGAAGAACAACATGTTCTCTGTAAATCTCTAGGAGAGATTTTTAAAAAGTTGTTTATCCTATTCTATTTTATTATGGTTTGGAATCAAGCCACACCAGTAAGTAAACTATCTGCAAAATGACTCAATAAGGAATCTGAGAACTTTCTTTTCTGACACCATTTCCACAAGATTTTCCTATGCAATTTGTCCCCTATATCTATAAATATCCTCCATCTATAGATGTTAAGGATACTTACTCAGGTTTCCTTTGTTTATTGATTGTGAGCTAATATGCCACTCTGGGCAGAGCACATGTTTGCAAATAGAACTTATCTATTTCTTGACATACATTAATAATTTATTGGTATAACTTTTAAAGTATTTCCAAAGGGGAATGCTGACCAGAGGAAATAATATATGTGAGCTACTTACTGTGTTTTTTTAAAAACAATCATTTGAGGCTATAAAGATATATAGATACACTTTTTAAATAATCAAAACACATTGTTTATTATAAGATGCATAACAAATATAAATTTTTAAATACAACCATAATTATAAAAAAAGAAACAAGCACAAATTTAAAGGGAAGAGTTGCTTTTCTCTTAACATGATAAATATATCATGCTTTGAAATTATGGAATCTCTTCACTTCCATTAGTATTAGTACAAAACATTTTATAGTTAGAATTTGTCTAATAGATTGCAGGGGAGAAAACATATAATCCTTCTCAACCCTCTTAAGCTTGTAGTGGAGACCCTCTTCTGAAATAAAGGACAGACTATCAGGAGAAAAATATGCAGGTTTAGTAATATGTGCTATGCCCATGATGGGGGAAAAAAGTAACTCTCTCAACTCAGTGGCTTAAGAGCTGTGCTTAAATAGTATTTTAGCAAAGAACAATAAATCTCACCATGGTGAGGAGACAAAGGAGTTGGCAGTCTCAGGTTCTTAGACACGGGACACCGTGGGAAGGATGTAAAATCTGCTTCCAGGTTCCCCTGGCCCCACTGGGCCACCTTTGAGATGAAAAGGAAGCAGCATTGTCATCTCTATCTGTAGGCCAAAAGTCGGGAAAGCGGGCAGGACAACTTTCTATTTTTGTGAATCGGGCACACAGATGGGAAGCAGACAGTTTTCTTGCTTCCTTGCCACAGGAATTTTTATGGCCTGCCCTATGTGAGAAAGGGTAGCTCAGATGGATCCCTTGGTATCTACTGCTTTTTAACTACACATTCCTCAGAAATATTTATATCATGGAGGCATATTCTCTGGTGAAGTACTCCAGTTTTCTTCAAAATTCCAGATACCATTGTTTACCCTGTGGTCCAAATGCTGAGAAATACATCAATTATTACACATAAATGTAACAAGGAAAGTAATAGAGTAACTATGCCTTAATTTTTAACCCAACACACCACATTAATTTGGCTCTTTTTCACAGAATTCCAGATTTTCCTTTACATAAAAAAGTTACTATCGTCTTCCAGAGTTTATTTGGTGGAAAATATGGTTAGGCCTATTGATACATGATCCACATTTGCATGTCTTTCTAATGTACCTATGAACTCTTTAATAAATGGACAATGACATTTCTCCTCTCCAAAATCGCTTGCTAATAAGCAAAATTGGATGGTAACTTGCTAACTGTACACCACTGTGTAGAATACCAATGGCAGAAAGACATAGGAATACATTCTGTCTTACTGAAAATTTATGGTGAAAATAAAATATTAGAGGATGTACTAACAATATTACTTCAATACCTTTAAAAAAGCAAACTGGGTGATGTCAGTCAATGTGGCAGAGTAAGAAACTCTGAAAATCATCCCTTCAAAGATAAAACAGAAAATGACAAAGATTGTCAGAATCAACTTTTCAGAACTCTGGAAACTAATTAAAGCTATGCAGTTATGTATTGACTAACCTAGAAGCACTTATTCAAGAAAAGAGCTGGATCTTATTAAGGACAGTGAACTTTGTCACATTTTAATTTGTCTTAGCCCAATCTTTCCATCCCCAGTTCAGCTGCAGTTTTGAAAAATAACATCCCACATTTCTGGTACCTAGAGTGCAAAATGGAGCTGCTGCTCTTTCAAAGATTCATTTCTTTAAAAATTGTTACTATTTAATCTGTTTGGTAGTTTGCTAGACGACCCCCACCTGAATGCTTGCCTTTACTTGACCTGACTCAGAGACCTGCTGGTGCTAAAATTCTCTTCCTAGGGAGTATTTGCCAAAAACATGTACAGACACGTTTAATGTGGTTGCAGCCTGAAGCAATGAATAAATGTTGGAGCAAACAATTGCTTAATCAAAGAGTTTCAGAGGAAGGGTTTCCAATGAAGTACACATAAAGACCCTTAAAATATTAAATAGAGATACTTTTCTCCATGGGAGGCACCCTCAAGAAGAATCTGAGAAGGCGCTAAACATTCTCATCCAGCTGGTTTTGAAATGAAGCCTGAAGCAGAGCCGTAACCTGCCTGCCTCAGTGTCAAAGGTATGTCCCTAGACACACAGAGAGCCCCTCAGCAAACACTGAAAGACTTATTGATTCCAAGGATTTAATGAAAACTTTGTTCAATTATTATCTGACCAGGAAGTTAACTGAGCAGAGACTTTAGTGGACACACATGACAATGAATATAGATTATATAGAATTAGTTATAAATAGCCACTAAACAAACAAGCAGCACCTACTGTGACAAGCAGAAACAACAATAAAGAAGCAGAGGCTACAGGACAGTTATCTGGGTGACCTTAGACAGGCCAAGTTCTCCTTTCTTGCTTGTAGTTAAAGTATAACCACAGAATGTGCTGAGAATATAACATCTTGAGATAGGGAAGAACTGCCTGAAACAGCTCAGGGCTTGTTCCTCTCTTTGCTGAGGAATGTGACATCTTGAGTTAAGAACTGCTTTGTTCTTCTCTCCTCTAGAAGCCAAATGTCCTCCACAGCTTTGCCCAGTGGGACACATGGCTCCTGACATACGTAACCCAGGATGGGATGCCTTGTTGGAGTCTCTCAGATATGGAGCAAAATGGGCCATGTGCAGTCAAGACGCCATCTACCCTGGGCAGCTTGCCTAAGCCTCGAGGGACCTGCCAATGATGGATCTGAGACCTCTTCTGTCCCTGGCTGCCTATCTGTAAGTATCAAACTTGCTTTGCATAACATGCTTCATTTTATGTGTGTGTTCTGTCTCACAGGACTCAGACAAATAGGTAAGCAGTGCAAGGAGGACCTAAACAGTAGTCAAGAATACAGTTGGCATAAGTGCATGGATTCTTGTTCCTGCTGGTTGGCATAATAATGACCTTTGCTATTCTCCAAACAGTAAGAATCGTCTCTTGAGATTGGTAATTAGTAAACCTGCTTTGCATGAGCATGGGAATTTGCAGCATTGTCATATAATGTTATTTAATGTGAAGTTTTCAACAAAAATTAAGAAATGCAAAGAAACAAAAATTATATGGCCTATAGCCAAGGGGAAAAATCAATAGAAATTGTCCAAGAGCAAACCTTAACATTAGACTTAAAAGACAAAAATTTTAAACTAGCAGTTTAAATATGTTCAAAGAGCTCAAGAAAACCATGTATAAAGAACTAATGGAACGCATAGAACAATGCCTCAAATACCAGTATCAATAAAGTAAGCTCAGAAAATTTTTAGGGCTATGTAAATACTCCTAATAATACTAGAATGGTAATACCTTTGCCCAGACCCATAAAATGTACAGTACCAAGTGTAAACCCCAATGTAAACTATGGATTTTGGTGCTAATAATGTGTTGATGTATGTTTATCTTTTTTTTTTTTTTTTTTTTTTTTTGAGACAGAATCTTGCTCTGTCACCCAGGCTGGAGTGTTACGGTACGATCTTGGCTCACTGCAACCTCTGCCTCCCAGGTTCAAGTAATTCTCCCTGCCTCAGCCTCCTGAGTAGCTGAGATTACAGGTGCCTACCACCACAACCGGCTAATTTTTGTATTTTTAGTAGAGACGGGGTTTCAGTATGTTGGCCAGGCTGGTCTCAAACTCCTGACCTCAGATGATCAGCCCACCTTGGCCTCCCAAAGTGCTGGGATTACAGGTGTGAGCCACCGTGCCTGGCCAAGTTCATCAATTTTAACACACTGGTGGATAATGCTGATGATGGGGTAGGCTGCGCATATATAAAATGGTAGAGAGTATATAGGAAATTTCTGCACCTTCCTCTAAGTTTTGCTATGAATCTAAAACTACCCTTAAAAGGCATTTTTAAAAAGTGATGGAAATTATTAAAGGATACCAAGTAAACATTCTAAAAATCTAGATTCTTTAGAATCCATAAAACATCTTTAGAGCTAATAAACCACTTTAGTAAGTTTGAAAGATGCAGTATCAGTAATCAGAAATTGGTTGTATTTCTGTGCAATAGCAATAAACAATCCAGTCATAGAAGCAAGAAAGCATTTCCTTCTACAATATCATAAAAATAATCAAATACCTAGTAGTATATTTAATTAGAGAAGTTCAAGACTTATACATTAGTAACAAAAAAAAGGAAAAAGGAATCAAAATGCTGAAATAAATTACAGACCTAAATGAATGAAAAGACATCCTGTGGTCATGGATTGGAAGACTTAATATTGTTGATGGCAGTATTTTATAAAACGTAACTGCAAACCTGCAGAAATCATAACAGAGTGAAACTGGCATGGGGATAGACATATAGATTAATTAAATAAAGTTGACTGTCCAGAAACAGACACACAACTTCCATAGTCAATAGATTTTTATAGCTGTGTCAAAACCAAACAATAAGACAGAAATAATTTTTAACATATTGTGGTGGGACAACTGGATAGGCACATCCAATAGAATACATTTAGAACCCCATAATAGACTATATAGTAAATATTGACTCAAAATGGACTAAAGAGCTAAACATAAGTGCTATAAGCTATATGGACTCTTAGAAGAAAATCTTTGTAAAAATCCTTGTGATCTTTGATTAGCCACATTATTAGACCTGTCAGCAAAAGTTCAAGCAACCAAGGCAGGGAAAATGTAAAATGAATGTCATCACAGCTGAAATTTTTGTGTGTCAAAAATAAACAACAACAACAAAAACAATGGGGTAAAATATTTAAAAATAGTACGTAAGTGTCTGCTATCTATAAAGTAGAAAGAACACTTACAACTCAGCAATAATTTAAATGTGTCTACCTCTCTAGCAAGATTAGGAAAATCTTCCTAAATTATTCCTTCAAATGTTTTCCAGGTTGTTTACTTTTTCTCCTTTTTTCTCAAGAATGCCAATAATTCAAAGATTTGGTTACTTTACTTAATCCCATATTTTTCAGAGACTTTGTTCATTTAAAAAAAAAATTCTCTTCCCTTTTTTTGTCTGACAGGCTTAGTCTGAAAGACCAATCTTTAAGCTCTGAATTCTTTCCTCTGTCAGATCTAGTCTATTGAGAAAGCTTTTGATTGTATTTTAAAAATTCTTAAGTGTGTTTTTTAGTCCCAGTAGCTCTGCTTGATTTCTTTTTAAGATGTTTACCTCTTCCTTTATTTCTCTGATTGCTTTAGAACTTTCTTTGTGTTGATTTTCAACCTTGTCTTGGATCTTGTTGAGTTTCCCTGAAATCCATGCTTTGCATTCTCCATCTGTTATCTCTCTGCCTCCATTTTGGCTAAGAACCATGGCTTCACTGCTAGAGTGAAACTTTGGTAGTGTCACAACATTCAGATTCTTATGATGGCAGAATTCTTTGCTGGTTTCTTCTCATCTGGAGAGGGCTGTGTCGGATAGGGTCTTTTGGCTTTCCTTCTGTAGTCCTGTGGACTTCTGTCAGCAGGTTTTGTATTGAGCTGGGTGGTCTAACCTAAAGTCCATTAAATTGTATTTGTAGGTAAATGCCAGCTGCCGCACAATCAGGTGTGTATGGACCCAATCTTTGTTTACTGTGAGGTGGTCTCTTGTTTCCGGTGAAGGATTGGACAATGGGGTGGCTGGTGCTCTGAGCTTCCTATTCCTTGAGGCCACTTTCACAGGGGACACAGCTGGACCATGCTGGAGCCCTCGGCTTGCCCATAGATATTTCAGTGCTGAGCACAGGTACTAGCCCTGATGAGGGTGGCTGAGAGAGGCTCCTGGTGAAGTGCACTGAGGTCTCTGCAGCAGGATTGGGAAGCTGCACTTGTTTCCTATCCTACATAGGCAGGAACACAACCTGTTTCCCCATCCACCCCTGTTTCAAGCTCATGACTCCTACTTCACATGCACACTGTAGCCTATCTCCAGTCCACAATGTGGTTCAGAGCCACAGGGAACACTTATTCTGTGAGAGTCTGTGGGACTGGTTTAAAGGCGTAACCTCATCACTCAACCTGATACACAAGTGTAGACCTCCAATTATAAAAATCCTAAAAGAAAACCTAGGAAGTAATATTTTAGACATAAGTCTTGTCAAAGAATTTATGACTATGTCCCCAAAAGCAATTACAACAAAACCAAATATTGACAAGTGGGACCTCATTAAACTAAAGAGCTTCTGCACAACATAAGAAGCTACAAACAAAGTGGATAGCCTACAGAATGGGGGAAAATATTCACAAATGCATCAGACAAAGGTCTAATATCTAGAATCTATATGTAAGTTAAAAAATTCAACAAGCAAAAAACAAATAACCAAATTAAACAATGTGCAAAAGGCATGAACAGAAACTTCTCAGAAGAAGACCTACATGTGGCCAACAAATATATGAAAAAATGTTCAGCCTCACTAATCATTAGACCGATGCAAATAAAAACCACCCAGAGGGAGCATGTGACACCAATCAGACTGGATATGATTAAAAAGTCAAAAAAAAAAAAGAAAAAACAGACAATGGCAAGGTTATGAAGAAAAGGGAACACTTATACACTGTTGGTGGGAATATAAATTAGCCACTGTGGAAAGCATTTTGGAAATTTCTCAAATAACTTAAAACAGAACTATCATTCAACTTAGCAACCCAAATACTGGGTATATACCCAAAGGAGTATAGATCTTTATACCAAAAAGACAAAGGCACTCACATGTTTGTTGCAGCACCATTCACAGTAGTAAAAACATAGAATCAACCAAAGTCCTGGTAGCCTTCAATGATGGACTGGATGAAAAAAATATGGTACAAATACATCATAAAATACCTTGCAGTTATCGCATAGAATGAAATCATGTCCTTTGCAGAAACATGGATGGATATAGCAGGGAGCCATTATCATAAGTGAACTAGTTCAGAAACAGAAAACCAAATACCTCATGTTCTCACTTTTAAGTGTGAGCGAAACATTGAGTATACAAGGACATAAAGGTGGAAACAACAGGCACAATACAAGAGGGTGGACAGTGAGAGGTGTGAAGTGAAACACTGCCTATCAAGTACTAAGCTCACTATCTGTGTGACAAGATCATTTGTGTACCAACCCTCGGTGACACACAATTTACCCGTGTAACAAACCTGCACATGTACTTTCTGAACCTAAAATAAAATTTGAATAAAAAATTAAAAATAAATAAGTAATTAAAATATAGCAACTTATTTCAATAGAAATTTCAACAAAGAAGCTATACAATTGGCTAAGAAGCATATGAAAAGATATTCCACATCATTGCATTAGAAAATACAAATAAAAACCAGAAGAGATATCACTTAATATTCCATGCTGTGGCTATAATCAAAAAGTCAGACAAAAACAAGTGTTGGCAATTCCTTGGAAAATTGGAACCGTTATAAATTGCCAGTGGTAATTTAAAATGATGCAAATGCTGTGCAAAACAGTTTTACAGTTTATTATATGACTCAGCAATTTTACTCCTATCAATACACTCAAGATAATTAAAAACAAACATCCACACAAAATTTGAGCACGAATGCTCATGGAAGCATTATTTATAAGAAGCATAAAAATTAAAAACAACCAAAATGTCTACCAACTAACAAATGGATACATAATATCTGATATATAATGAAGTATTTCACTTATACAATGGACTGTTACTTAGCCATAAAAATATAAAAGGTCCAATATATGCTTCAACATGGTCCAATATATGCTTGAGAACATTATGCTAGGGGAAACAGCCAGACATAAAAGGCTGTATAATGTATGATTCCATTTATATTAAATGTCCAGAATAGGCAAGTTGGTAGAGAGAATAAGTAGTTTAGATACACGGGCAATCAAGTAAATAAATGATTTCCCCATAAATTGTGCTTTTAGGAAAAAGCTTTTTGTGAGAAGTCATTGTCTCTCTTGCCTATGCACCATGATCTGCAATATCATTATGATTTTCATACAGGTCAGTAGGACTTTTATTGTGGTAAAGAGTCTGTTTTGTCAGTATTGGGATTTTTATTTTTATGTTAGTGCTGATTAGTTGTGCCTAAATTTTCAAAGGAGGAAGTTATAGTGAGACATCTCTGACTCCTCACGTCCCATTATGGCCACAACTAGTTCGTCTGGTTTCTTTGGGATTCCCTTTGGGCAAGAGCAGGGTTCAGTAGTCAATTCAGTCTTTGGGGGTCTTTAGGATTTTATTTTTTAGTTTATATGTCTCCTTTTTTGTCAAAGTATGCTAGTAGTGGTACTGATGGCTAAGTTTTTATTTTTGTCTCATGCCGATGCCAGAGTGGTGTGTGGCCTGACCTGGTTCTATCATGGCCCTAGGTGGGTCCCCTATGGCCAAGGAACTTACAGCCAGAAGACTCATACTCAATTACATGTTCTAGGACAGATGGGAATGGAGGAGGGCAAGTATGCATTAACCTTTAAAACCCATTTTAAACAACATTAGAGCCAAAAATTAAAAGCCAAAAGGCAAGGATACAAAATTGACTTATTTATAAATTTTATGAATTGAGCTACTGTAATCTTGGCTTGTAGCAATTAGTTTTACAAAATAGAAGCATTTTGTTCAGCTGTTCAGGCATCTGTGTGCCTGCCCTTGATTTGGAGGACATGAACTAATTATATCCTTCAAAACTGCCCCTTACAATCTCATGTGATGGTTCCTGGGCCTGAAGAAATTGAATAGTTTCAAATTCTGTAGGTAAAACAAAATATAAAGAATTTGCAAAGTTTTCAATAAAGATGTCATAAGCCCTGCCTAGTTTTGAGAATAACAGAAAAGGAAGCTTATACGTGGCTAAATATTTACATTATTTAGTATTAAGGCATAGAATAAATTATGTTAATTTAGATAGAGGCAAAAGTATTAAATGAATCTTAATGTTTTTGAATACAGACCTGTCCCTGCATTGCATGAAAGCAGTTTACTTTGATTATTGCCTTTGCCTGTGTCTAACGACAAGACTTTCGTTAGCCTGAGTTTGAGTCAGATACCAGCAGGAGTCAGCGCCCTCCTTAGATGAGATACATGTACCCAGAAGTCAAAGCCCTATAATTTATAACACAAGTATTAGTTAATAGCACATTATAAGGACCTTTTCAAGGGGCTTGAGGGCGTGATACTGGAGTACATGGCCTGACTAGAAACTGTAAAAAGATTCTGTAAGAGCATGGTGATGAATTTTTATAACTTTGATAAACCCCAGCAATAGATCAGAGACTTAATTTAGGATTTAATTTTGAGCACGTTTGTCAAAGATGTTAAAAGGCTTACAACATTTGATCAAAACAGAACCATGGGTCATTGTAAAATAGTAGCTACTCATTTAACTGAAGTGATAATTAAAAATCCTTAAAGGCAACACAGAAAATTATATCTATGTAAAAACCTTAAGCCTCTTAAATCTCAGTTTTTTAAAGCAATTAAAACTCTAATAAAGACAGTATAGGACCTATCCTGATAAAGTATAAATTTTGTTTCATAACAAGTTACCAAGGAAACAAAAAAATAAAAAAAAATCGTTTTGCAGTGTGACTGCCTCTCCTTATGGAAAATCCATTTAGATAACCAGGAAGTCAAACGTGATTTAAAAAGTGGTTGAATTTAATTGGACACAGGAAGAGTACGTTTAAGGTTATGAGTGAACCTTATATTATAGACGAAACAAGAGAAAGGAAAATGGGTACCTTGAGCAGTGGAACACAGGACTCTTGGTAACAGCATGACAAGTTTTCTGATTACTTTGAAAATTTAGACCTATTAAGAAAAGCCAAGAGCATAGAATTAAGTTATACATTTTTGACCTATAAGATAAAAATATTTCAGCATCAGGTCAAAATAATGGTCAGAACCAGAGGCAAAAATTTAGAGAAGCTAGCTAAAAAGCTGAAGGCGAGAGTTTTATCTCAGGCCCTTTTAAAGGGAGACAAAGTTGAAAACAGCAAGGCACGATAAAAGTTGAATTTCTAACATATGAGTCTGATAACTTTTTAAAAGAAATAGTTTATAGAATTAAAATCAAAACCTCTTATGATTGTATTAAGAGTAAATCAATACCTTAAGAAAACATTATTTGAACATAGGGGACTAAACTTTAGAAGACTATTTTAAATAATTCCCTTTTCATTATAACTAACTTAATCACGTTCAAAACTCCTTTTATAAACTCCTCTTCATGAAAGTTATTCCAGCTTATACAGATTATTTATGACACAATTGGACTTTCTAACTTGTCCTATACTTCCCTTATTCCTAAATAATTATTTTTCTTGAGGACAAAATTCACCACATAATACACTTTCCTATATAAAATTATACTTTTTTCTTTATAACCCTCCTTACCAAAAATACATAATCATATTCATAACTTTATTCACATCTCTCTCCCCTACTTACTGATTTCTTTTACCTTTTTCATAAATAACTTATAAATAACCCTCAAGTTACATAAAAATATTTTTTCTCAATAAGAACATAATTTATAGAATTATACATTAACTAGAATGTTTATTTTTAGTAACTTTAAATTTTAGTGAAAACTTAGGAAGCAAGAATTCCTAAACTGTTTATTAGATTTCAATATTTTGTAGATGCAACAATCTGAGAAGTTTTAGAAATATATTCCCACATTATAACTTTTTTAAAGTTGTAAATAACCCAGACACCCAATGAGCATCCAAAAGAATTTTAGTTTTAAATTACAAAGAAGTCCATTTACAAGCATTTATTTCATTTACGTGTATTCAATTTAAAAAAAAATTTAAGCTTAGATTTAGATTACTTTTGAAAAATGAGATATTACACAAATCTAGTCATTAAAGTTATTTTTAGTCATTAAATTATTTTTCTGTTAACCATTTTTAAAGTCTGTGAGCATTAAATGTTCACCTGAGAAACTTAAAACATATGAGCATTTTGTCTCTTTTCATTGAACTAGTAATTTGAAATTAGACTTATTTATCATAAAAACGCTGAAGATTATTGGTTTTGGCTGGGTTTATAGAGTCAACCTGAAAACATTTAGCACAGGCAAATATAAAACTTATTTATCCAGACAAAATGTATGCTGACAATTCTGGAGATATTTTTATTTTTATCTCATCAGGGATTTTAAAGCCAGTTTATTTATTGAAGATTATTAAGTTCATGTGACCTTGAATATCATTTGGACTTATTTAAGAGTTCTCATCTATTTATAAGCCAACTTGGTAGGATGCTGGACACAATAAAGAAGATAATACATGTACAGACACATAAATGTATCTATACATGTATGCACACATACAAACAAAGATCCAACAGTTTTTTCCTCAAAACTCTACCCATGAGACAGCATCACAAACTCACTGAACAATAAAAGATAGCTGGATCCAAGTTATTTCTGACAAAATGGTGACCTGTCTAAATGGCTAAACATTGCTTAATAGGTGATCCAATGAGGGCCATAAAGCAAAATTTTGGGTACAGCATTTTAACTGGCAGTTTTCATTTTAAAACTTCTTTTACTTCTGTTTACTTTTTAAAGTTTAAATAAGATTTTAATGTTTTTATTTTAGCATGAACTGACTGAGCTGTATAAAAAAACCAAAATCTCCAAGTAACCTTGAAACAATGAATTTTATCTCAACACTGGTAGCTTAATAACAGCAGATTCAAATCAGGCAGGAAATAAAAATCAGAAATACTGAGCTTTAGAAGACTGTACCTAACTCTATTGTTGTAGACGAAGCATTTGAGCTCTGGATTTGTCTTTCTGTTATTCGATCATCAGTTTAAATTGTGCACAAAAATGAGCCATATTATATAACTAGCTGGAATTTCAGATAGTTTAGAAAAGAGTTCACATGCTTTCTCCCCTAGAACACTTGCCATAGATACAAGGAATACTCTGGAGTCCCAAAGAGGATGACAACATGAGGGCCAGGAGTTTGGAAACTGTTTCTCCCCTAACTAGGAGAGAGACAGCCTCTCTTGCTGCCTTCTGACAATCAGATGGACCTGGTCTTGGCCAGTGAGATGGAGACTATGCCAAAGCACCCTTGGAGGGTGGGGGTAACACTAAACAGACACATAAATACAGATGAATCTGATGCAGATGAAGCACTCCAAACTGATTCTGAAAGAGGGGAGACTGAAGCAAAGTCCTGAGATCTTAACCTCAAACTCAGAGAGCACCACAGAGTGACCTGCATTAAGTCCACATGGCACCACAGATGACATATACTAGGTCTAGATGGCTAGAGAGCCCAGATGGCAGAGACAAGATTTCTGGGTGCACTTTAGTTGATTTACCTAGTTCTGAGAGCCTGCCAACTTCTCAGATGTTTCTTTTTTTACACTGACAGAATATTGGAGTGGGTGATGCCATGAAGGGGAGAGAAGGGACGATCTCTGAGCCAAAAGCACTCTCAACAGCTGCTGGGAATTCCCTGAGTTCCCAGCAAGGGGGTCACCAGGCCACCAGCAACTGGCATTTGCAAGTGGCTGCCATCCCACCTGGTAGCATGAATGGGTAAGCCCTGGTACATGGCTGCAGCCAATGGTTCCATTCATTGGAAACCATGTGTATAGGCTAAGCTGCTTGAACCAGACGGTTCCTCAAATGGGGCACCAAATTTCTACCTAGCTCAAGTCCGGCCACTTACTGCTCAGAAGCTGACCATATGAGAAGCAACGTGTCGTGAAAGGAAAGCAGTTTTATTAATCAAATGCTAGTAGTCAAGGATTGGCCAGGCTCACGTCTTTAAAAGATCATTCCAGCTTTTGGGGCTTAATGAAGGGGTTTAAGAAAGAAAACTTGGGGTGCGAAACATGGGTGGTGCAGGAGGGTGCAGGTCTGTGTGTCTTGTTCTGATGGCTATCTTAGGTAATCGCCCATCCAGAGGTCTGGTTGGTGTCATCTCATTTTTGTCCTTGTAGTGGTGGACTAACTCTTCATAACTCCACCTAAGCAGGAGGATAATGCAGCTAGGTCTCTATGCCTGGTTTGTTTCAAGATTAGCCCCCAGAACTTTTAAGAAGCACATAATTCGATACAAGCATATAGTTAGGTAAATGTGTATGTTGTAAGGGAGTGTATGGTGAGAAAAGGAAGATTGTAATTTTCAAAGAAAATATATTTCAAAGCTGTATTCCAACACTACAGAGAAAAAAAAGAAGGGGGTTTCTGTAGTAACATTCAAGTTTATATCTTGAGACTAGGGAGAAAAGAGGAAAAGAAAAAAAATAATTAAAGTATAGTTCTAGGTTGAACTGTTCGTTGACGTTGACATTGACAGTAGAATTTTTATAGGTAGCATTATTAGCAAAAATTCTTCCTCCTAGTTGCTAAGAGTTTTTATCCTAGATTGATTTTGCTAATTTTCAAATATTTAATACATCTTGCACATAATTGACAGGATCATGAATATTTCTTTTCTTTTACTGGACTGTTATGATAAACAATTATCCATTTCACCTTTTAATGTGAAACCTTTCTTCCATTCCAAGTATGTATTATCCTTTTTATATATTCCTGAATTGTGTGTGTTGATATGTTGTTACAGGTCTTTGCATGTATGTTCATGAATAAAGTCAATCTACATGTTTGTATGTATTTGCTTTAATAATGTTTTGGTCTGGTTTTGGCGTCAGAGTAGTGGTGCCCTCATAATATGAATTGAGAATTATTTCCTTCTATTCTATTTTGTGGAATATTTTGTGTAGAATTCATACCTTTTCTTCTATAAATGTTTGCTAAAGTTCATATTTCAGCCAGGGGATTATATTTGTTGGACGATTTATTCATTTTGTTTGTTGTTGTTGTTGTTGATTTTCCTACAAATGGACTCATGTGCATATAAACATTTATCCAAACAATGAAGGCATCCCTCTGCACATCCTTCTCTCTTTTTCTCTCTGCAGCTCCCTTCTGCCTGGCATTCTATCCTACAAATGCTAGCCAATTTGACATGTTCCAACTTCAACTTTTGTCTCCTTGATTCAAGGTTATTGTAAGACTCTGTTTGGGTGTCTGCTCTCGGTCTGATTTTTGGTCACTGCCTCCAAATGATAATCTAGGGAAATCATGTTATTTATATTACTTGGTTTGTCTTCTATTGGGAATCACAGTCTTGCATAGCCTGTGGTACAATGTCCAAAACGAGTCATTTTATATTTTTGTCAAGTTTCCATTTGTTTAAGCCAATATGATTTGTTTGTTCCCTCAACAAAGCAAAATAACATGTTTTTTATAAATGAATCTCTTCACTGATTTTCTATTATTTTCATATTATCAATCAAATTTTTTTGATTAGTTCAGCCTTATGACTGTGCTTTTGAGAATCAAAGAAAACAGCTTCCAAGCACACTTGGAAAATAAGTGTATCTAGGAGTGGAACTAAAATATCTTGGAGGATTTTTTGTACTACAGAAATAGTATGCAGAAAACAATGAAAAACTCTTCTAAATTAAAAGCGACAGGTGACAATTAAGATAAATTTTCAAAATACTCCCTGGCATTTTCAGAAATTCTCAGGATCAGAAATGATTCAATAAGGAACAAAGATTTCTTGTAGTCAGGCAGACATAGTTGGTACTATAGTATTTGGATATTAGAAGAAAGAGCTGTTAGTGAGAGAAAAATTGGAAATTTCACAATTTTTTGAAACCTTAGTCTTAAATGTTAAGACTAAGTTTACCTTACCCTTCAATTTGACATTTGCAGTTCATCACTTTTATATAAATATAATTTTCAAATATATCATTTTAAATTTTGTTATCAGATTACTTTTTATTCTTTGACCAAAAAGTATGAGTCATGGGAATTTGACTTGTAGTTTAATCAAATTATAACTTATTTGCTTAAGTATACTCTGAATAAGTTTAACCTAGAATTGGACTTACATGAAATTATTACTTCTTTATATGTGAGTTCATTCAATGAGAGAATTGTTAATTTTCCTGAAAAGGTAGCATTTCCAAAAACATCCACAAATATTAGATCAATGTCAAGCTCTAATTGCAGGTTTCAACATGTCCAGCATACTTAATCACTAGGCAATTAAGTTTAATCTGTCAATTCTGTTTTTGTAAGTGCATATTATTTTATTGGATTAAATATTGGTTTGAAAAAGGAACTCCAGAAATTTAAAACTAACCTAACCTGATATTATGTAAGTCTTTACACAGTAATATAAGAAAAATCTTTTGTATTATTCTGCATATGCATTGATTGTCAATACAGATGTAGAGCCTCTTTTTCTCAAAGAACATGATTCCATGAATATGAGATTATTTTAATCATGAGGACACTAACTCCAGTCTACAGGTGTCAGTACATATCTATATCTAGACATCTATACCAATATCTATATCTAATCTATAGGTATCTATTTATATCTAAGATTTCAATGACAAGATACTACTAATTCCTGGGTAGTTTTTGGTAAGTTTAGCTTTCTTGAGCAAGTCTAGCATTATGCAGCTGTTGTGTGATGCTTCATCTGAACAAAATAGAGCACACTCTTTTGTGAAATGCCAGGGTTTGAATCATGATGTACTCTCCAACATTTATTTTGAAATTAATTCCCAATACAACAGTATTAAGAGGCATGGCCTTGGGAGGTGATTGAGTCATGAGGGCTCCACCCTCATGAATAGAATTAGCACCTTCATAAAAGGGCTTGAGGTTGAAGGGAGCTCTCTCTTGCCCTTCAGATCCTTGGACCATTTGAAGACACAGCACTCCTCCTCTACAGAGAATGCCGAAACAAAAAGCCAGCTTGAAAACAGAGAGGAGACCTCGCCAGACACCACTCCAGACATAAACACTCAACATATTAGGAGATAAGGCTTGAGTTACATATCATTTCTTCCCAAAGAGGTTTTGTTAACTCCAAGAGTAGGTATCGTATTCCATTAATTTCTTTCATAGGCCTTTTTAAAAATTATCGTTAACAAGGCCGAGGCAGGCGGATCACGAGGTCAGGAGATCAAGACCATCTTGGCTAACACGGTGAAACCCCATCTCTACTAAAAATACAAAAAATTAGCCGGGCGTGGTGGCGGGCGCCTGTAGTCTCAGCTACTCGGGAGGCTGAGGCAGGAGAATGGCGTGAACCCGGGAGGCGGAGCTTGCAGTGAGCCGAGATTGCGCCACTGCACTCCAGCCTGGGCGACAGAGAGAGACTCCGTCTCAAAAAAAAAAAAAAAAAAAAAAAAAAAAAAAAAATCGTTAACAGCAAATTACATCTCCATTAATTTTTGTGTCTCTGATTTTTGCTACTCTCCTCTATTAGGAAGTAAGCTCAATGAAAGCCTATGATTTTTTTTTTCTCTGCACAGATCTGAACAATGAAAACAAAATTGAGTTAGTATATACTGAATCTCAGAGGGTGCAGCGGATTAAAGCATCAGTTTACACTCATCCCAGTACTGGAAAGCAGAATAGAATTTTAAAATGACATGACCACGGTGACGATGATGGAGGGTTGAAGAACAGCCACCAGATGTTGATGCATCCCTGTGCTGTGGCAACTCCTTAGCCAAAGGAGAGATTTTAGTTTGACATTGTTATTGATAAAATAGACGATTTAAAAAATTCTTCAACGCCATAAGGAGAGTAAAGGATACTACTCAACCCTGAGATATTTAAACTTTAAGCAAGCAAAGAAATGAGAAGAGCAAAGGTAAAGAAAACAAAGAAGGTAAAGGGGAAAAGGAAAGTGAGAAAAAGACGTCGATACAACTGAACTAAATGCAAAAAAAGAAACTCAATGGCAAAAACAGAGATCTGTTCATTGTGTAGTAGATGAAATAAGACATCTTTCAAGAATGATTCACATTATGGTCTCTGAACATAGGTCGCCTCAAAAAATATACTACATAGGAGTTTAAAGGTCCCACAATTTTATGCATGAAGCAGGTCTAAAATCTCCAGCATTTTATTTATGAATGTCTTTACTTTGTTAACTCATCAAATCTCTTGTTAATATGGAATATCTCCTTTTGTAAAAAATAAATTTTATTTTGGTTAAGAGAGGATTATTTGTTCTTCCAGCTGTCATACCCAAACAGCCAATTGCTCACTGAAATATCCCTGCGAAAGCTCCTCAGTCCCTGTGCTACTGTGGGTAATTGGCAATAACGTCTAAAAATCCACTGGAAAAATATTTTGACTGTTCATCAAGTATTCCAATGAACTGAGATTATGTTATGTCATTGTGAATTCAATTATTAATTGATCAATCACTACACTCTAAAATAACTGATGGTTTAGGATTTTTCTGTGCCTCCAAGGAAATGAAATGCAAATCCATGTCAGTCATCTGTTAACAAAGGCTCCTTTAAGGAAGCCACTGGAATACGAATGGGAAGCCCTGCAGCAGTTTTGGTCAACTCTAACTTACTGTCTTTTATTTTATTTTTCCTTACTAACCTTTTATTTAAGGTGCCTATTTGATTTTCCTCTGACTTTTCTACCTTAAAAAGGAAATTTGCTTCAGAGGTAATATATCAAAGCACTTAACACTGATACAAATTAGGGTTCTGTCTATTTCTTTTTTTATACACGTTTCTAGTAGATACAGGTTTTGAGAAGCCTGAGGATAGAAAAAGCACTAAATTCTCAGCTATTTGAGACTTCAGTGGGAGAAGAGTTTATCCCCTCAAGATCTTTTCTTTTTTAAATCACAGAGAGGCATAGTCTTTCCCTGAAAATCTCAAACAAAAAGATTTTTCTTCCCTCCCAGTAACCCTGTTACTGAAATTTTATTTTATGTCAATATTTTGGCAACCCAACCCAACGTTTAAAATGCATTAATTTTTTATATAATCTATACCATGTGGAATGACACTTCCTTACACTAACATTAGAGCCTGTGTTAGCACACTTGTTCTGGAACACGCATTGTCCCTTCTTTTCATCATTGCTAAGATGAGAAGGAGGACAGCAAGAAGAACATTCCCATTCATGCATTAAAATACTGACTTCCTCTTCACCTTGTCAAGCAAGGGGCCAGATTTTGAGATTAAAAAAACAATGGAAAGCATCAAACCTGGGCAATTGATGAGCTAGCAGTCTACTGGGGAAGACTCACTAAAGCTTATTTGCACAAATTATTAAGTGCTGTGGTGCACACAATGGGAATTAGACTGTGATATTTATGTATCTTCTACTAACAAGCTTTCCCATTTCCTGAGAAAGGGCCTTGTCCACTTCTTGATTATTGTACACCATCACCGCACTCCAAGTATGACTTAATGTAGTTAATGTAGTGATTTACGTAAAGGAAGGTATTATTTCCCAAACTTTTGTTAGGACTGGAATCACCTGAGGCAAATATAAAATATGAACTCCCTCAGTTGAGAGTTGTCTGGTATAGTGATTAAAATCTTTGATCTGGTGTCAGAGTGCTTGGGTTCAATTCTCAGCCCTATTGCTTACTAGCTGAGTGAACTTGAGTAGATTATTTAATTTCTCTGTAACTCAGTTCTCTCATCTTTGAGTGGAAAAAATGCCTTCATAGTATTGCTAGCAAGATTAAATGAGTTTTATATGAAGAATTCTTAAAGTTATGTTAGACCCACGGCAAACATTCTCCACTGCTGCTAGGTTTTACTAGGGATGCCCTGAATCATAATGAACAAATATCATATCATCAGAGAACCATTCTAAGGTGCCGACACTCTTTATTTTTTTACTGTAAATTGTTTTTCTTCGTAGATAGTTCACCTGACATGTTATTTATTTCTTTAATTTTTTACATCTTTCTTACCCTCAATATAAGGATTTTTAGAAAATGATGAATTTTGTCTCACTGTAATATTTCTTGAACTTAGAACATTGCCTAAGTGAACACACATGAAAGATGTGTGATTTATTTTATTTGACTAAATTAAAAATAAATTGTTGAATAAAGAATACATTTCATACTAGCTTAAATATTAGGTTGGTGCAAAAGTAATTGCGGTTTTTGCCACTGAAAGAAATGCCAACAATTGAACTAACTTTTGCACCAACCTACAAGCAAATATTTAAAAAAGAAAAATTATTCCTTAAAAGGTAATAAGGCATGACCCACACTGCCTTGCATTCCCCACTGCTTGACTATAACTTACAGGATCTTCTTCCTGCCGCCAGGCTCCTGGCCTCCCTAACACCAACACTTCTAGAATCCAGATGGCCTAACCACAATTGTCCCTCTCCTCAATTTTCTTAGAATATTTACTTTAGAAAACTTTTATTTTCTGTACCTCTTTGAAATGGTAGTTTTTAAAAAGCCTCTTTCAGGTTTTAAAACCCAACTTTATTTTTTAAGGACCTGGGAGCCATCCCTTTGAAATGCAATCATCAAGGAAGATAGCGCCTCCCTGGTCTTGTCTCCATGGGAGGGGAGGAGCCTAACTTCCTGGGGCCCTTGCTCCAAGGTCTAAAACTACCTCCCACCCTGAAGATGACTGCTCCTTTGTGGTAGTCCAACTGGTAAGCACAGATGGGCTAAGTTCCCCACACCCAGCTCTTAAAAATCCTCTAGCTCTTTGTTTTTGTACAACTGATAGGCATGGCCCCTCTTTGCTATTGCAATAGCCTTGAATAAAGCCATCCAGCCAATGCTTTGACAACGGAAACGTTTATGACTCAAGTTGTGTGGAGAATTCAGAAAGGACTCTTTGAGAGACAGTTCACATCAAAGTTTTGTGGTGTTTGAGAGATGGATTACTAGTAATTAGTCAGTAGCTTTATTTTTAATTTTTTTCAGTTTGAAGATAAGGTAATTATACGTTGCTGAGCAGCTCTTGTTCTGAATGTGGTGCTCCAGACTGGTAATTCTTTTGGTTTGTTTTGTTTAATCCTGACTGATTTAATGAAAAGTTATGAGGTAGGCTGCCCCAGGGTTGGTACAGTGTCTCAGTCATGTAAACAAGGACCCAGATCTTTAAAATCTTTGCATTCTACTAACCTCCACATCCCAGCTTTTGGCTTCTATGCCCACACTTGTTTCTGACATTCACGGGAGGGCTGCTCAGCTCTAGACACCAGATTCAACGTCCGCAGCCAGAGGGTGAGGTGTCGGTAGGAATGAGGAAGAAGAACTTTTTCCTCACGTGACTATTTCACTCATCTCCCGCCCCTCAGGGAGGACTTTCTCAGAAGCCTCCAGGAGATAACCTCTTATATTTTATTGATCAGAGCTTGGTCACATGTTCATCAGTAGACAAGTCACTGGTAGAGGGCATGAGATTTTTGTGTATTGCTTTGAGTATGGCTGGACACATTGTTAACACAAGCAAAGGTGGCATTCTGTTATCAAGAAAATGGAAAAAACACTGGGCAGGCACATCCCACTCATCTAGAAATTCTTATTCAGTTCTGTAATGCCAAAGACAGCACCTCAGCCAGGTAATTCCTGATACAGAGAAGAAATGTTCAACCTCATTTTAGCAACATATTTTCTATTACTATACAGGTAAATCTCTTCCCAATGCCTAACTGAAAAAAAAAAGCAACAGAGCACAATTATATGGACACAATCCCCATTCTTCTACTCTCTGAGTCATCTTTGACCCTTTCTTTCCTAATACCTCACATACAATTATCAAGTCTTGTAGGTTCTACTCTAAGTATCACTAATATTTTGTAAACATTACTTATCTGTGGATCCAGGAAAAGTTAATGAACTCCAAAACTCAACTGTCTATACCTCTTTGACACTTTATTTAAATCTAGTATCTACTTATCTAATTTAAGGTCATTTTTCAAACTTGAGGTCTCTCCCCATCACTCACTGAGAAACACTGTTAACATCAATGTCTACATTTTTCTTTCTACTCAGTTATTTTTTCATTCCATGAGATTTAACATTCATGCCCATGACTATTGTAAAGGCTTGACCTCTCAATTTCTTGGCATCCTCATCTCCTGTGACCTGTATTTGAACTGAAACAAATTCACATATTACCTTGCCCAGAAATTTGCAACTTGCAGGTCTTGTAACATTTGGAAACATTCTCAAATATATATTCTCTATCTATGCTTTTATATTCACAGTGTCTCACTATATGTAATCTAATGATAACTATTCTATAAACTCACTAAAACCAGCCCTTCTTGTCTAATGGATGCTTTCTTTCTATATTAGCCACTTCTTTTTATTCCATGTACCTATACAATTTCATTTCTTTAATACAACATTTAATCAGATTATCTCAAATCCCCTGTGTTCCCCTAACATCATGCTGCTTTGATCATGTCTACACGAAGTCCAGCTGCCTGCTCTTTCCATGTCTATAAGATTTCAAAAGCGTGCTGCAGAAGACAAGTTTTATAACTGTGCTAAATATATCAACTATTAATCCAGTTTCCAGTTCACCCTCACTCTCAGCTGATTAATTCAAAAATCACATCAGATGAAATAGAGGCTGCAGCAGCTCAATTCTGGAACTTTTTTTTTTTTTAAATCACCCAACATAAAGCTTCCCAACATGATGTCTATTCTTTCCTTTTGTCCTCTGGTTCATATGGATGAGGTGTGTCTCTGGAGAACCAGTTTTTTGAATGTGTTATTTCTTAAAAGCATGTAGAATGTGGAGTTAGCATTGCTTTTGAATCTTGACTTTGCCAAGTCTGCCTGATGTTAAGAAATAATAATTGTTCAATGCCTCTGCTTTCTCGCCTCTAATTGTGGATAAGTGAGAAATACCATTGCTATTGCCATTGTCACCCTTTCCTGAAGTGACAACCCTTTGACAACTCCTTCTGGTAAAAACAAAGACATTCCAGGTGTCTTTCTCTTTCCTAATTCTGTCTATCTTTCCCAGACATAGTTTGACTATGATTGCTATAATTCCTTTTCAGTTTAAGGGAAGTTGAACTCTTTCCCATATAATCTTAACGCCAATTTCTGAACTATTGATTTGTACTTTTGGCTACAACGGCTTATGTGGTTTTGTAACAAAAAACAGTGATCCTGCTTCTTTGTTGTTTTACACTATTGCTGTTTTACAATTGAAACAGTTTTAAAACATGCTGTCCCTTAATCACTGAAGCACATTTTTTTTTTCTAAAACTTGACATAGCTTGTAAACTGCTTCCCACATGAGACAGGTTCAAATAGATATTTATTCAAATAAAATATAAATAAATCAATCTTATTTCAAAAAATTTAAGTTAAAAAGGCAAGTGGCAAAACCACTTTCATCATGTCAAATGATATGTAGGAAATTTAGTTTCTCATAACATTGGAGCTTATCTCAGTTACTTCAGTATGACAGGAAAAATATTTTGAACAGAAAATTCCTGCTGGGTTGCTTTTGAAGAAGGATGGACTCTCCTACCATTGTTGCTGTAGTCCCATTTATGGGCTATCCCATGAATTTGTAAGATACATGTTTTATGTGATAACAATGCTATTTAAAGTAAAAGTAATTTCATTCCTCTTCTTCTTTGTTCCATTTTTATGGATTCTTTTAATTTTAATCTAATCACATTGAAACTTTCTCGAACTACAGCTAATTTACTTCTGAAAATTTACTTAATGATTAAAGTGAAAGTGATCCAGGAAGGGGAATAAGGACAACAGAAAGTAGTGAACCCTTTCTCATTCCATCACTTATCATGGCATAAGCCTCAGAGACCAGAGAGAATGAGACTGTTCTTCACATCTTTGAGAGGCTGCTTTTCTCTGAGGACATTCAGGGCCCTTTTCCAATGAACTATTTTTTTTTTTACGGGAAGACTTTACCCATTTTTTTCATCCAAAATATTTCACTCACTGTCGAGGATTTACCTATGGATTTTATGTATATGCAATTCGTCAGTTTGAATCCACACTTCATTGCATGCTTCTCACAGATTATTCCTGGGTGCCTTGATGAAGACTAGGTTATGGCAGCATTCCACCTCTCTTTGGGAAGTGTGTGAACGATATTCTCAAGTTGTGTCACATTTTCCTTCAGTGGAATATATAATTAAAACTCTCCTTTAAACCCTAGTTTAGAATAACTGGCTCTGGTTTGTGTTAATTAAGCATTTCAAAGACTCAGGGCACTCATGGTTTGAAATCTGTGTAGATGCTGGAAGAACAATGTGGCTTAACTCCAAAATAAAAGTCAAAACTCTTGGACCATTATCAGTAGGACACAACCTGTGCCTGTAAGCTGTAGAATGCATATGCCAATATTTTTAAGAGTTTTATTACTCAACACTAAACTATTCTGTTTGTCATAGTTTTCTGACACATTTGCAAATAAAGCTAGAACAATTGGCCATTTTCCCAGTTCAGGTTTTACAACTTGGCCCAGTAGAATTAACTTCCCAGGCCATTTTCCCTTGTGATAAGCTAAATGCAAGTTGTTCAGAGGGTCTGGTAAACTCTGGTAAATATACCATTTCTCTCTTCTGATGGGTTCAGCCTCATTTATAAATACCCCTGTAATAGTTTGCTTCTGAAAAAAGATACATATTTTACATATTATGTAGTATATTATAAGGTACTTACTAAGAAGTCAGAACTAAGATTGTAAGGACTTTATAGAAATTTACTAACTTAAGCCTCATAATCAGCCTACATATTAAAAACTATCAATTTGTTTTCTTTTCATATGCATGAAATTAAAACCCAGAAATGTTTCTTACTTTCCTTTGGGGCCACAGATTATTAATAGTGTCTCCAAAACTAATAGCTGGTGGTCTTTAATCCAGTACTGTCAGTGAATTATTAGAGTCATCTTAAAAGACCTGCTACCCCACTTATAAAAGATGCTTTGTCATATGGTATTTCAAGTATAGATTTTAATTTAAATATTGTCATCTCAACCTAAGCAGTTTGTCAATTATGGTTCAACTGTCAACCATCTGTATTGACCTCAAAAATGTCACGTTTATAATTAATAGTCACCAGAGATAAGTTCAGATTTAATTGTGGGTCTCCACAATCTACATTACTGTCACCCATCCTCTGTTTCAGAGAGCTAAGTATTCATTTTAAGACGACATTTCTCTCTTATACTTTTAAAACCTGTAATACAGATATTAAAAGCATAATAATTCTATCACCTTATCAGATACTATCTTATTTCATCAATCCAGGTTTAAAACCAACTAGACTGTAGCAGTGCATGGCATGATATCACAACATGTAAAATTATAGCACCTAAGTTAATGTATGTACCATATAATAAAGGAAAATAATAATATATAGAACACGACTTGTCTATATGTCTTCTTATAGATATGTATCATTTTAATTTTATTAAATAAATTAAAATTAAGTACTTAGAATTTGTATTATTCTATTTTAATATATTGTAGGTTAACTATTGGATTCAACAAATATTTACCAAGAAATTTAAGGCACTATGTTCAGAACTGAATACCCAGTGCACTCATGAAATTTATGCTACTAGGGAAAACAGATATTACTAAAAAATGTAAAAACTCATACTTAAATATAATAAAGAGAAATACAGGGAAATATCCAATTCTACTGGGGGAATAGGCAGGGTTTTTTCGAAATCTTCCCTGAGTTGAAACATCAGTGAAGAATAGTAATTGCTGGGTGTGACGGGAGTTTCATTGGAGAAAGAATTCTGAGCAGAAGAGGCATCATATATGAAGGCTCTGAACCAAGGCGACAATTAAGAAATGGAAATAAATAAATAAATATATGTATACACACATATGTATATATACACACTTCACATGTAAAATAAATTCAATAAGCATAAAGCTAAATTTTTGACACTAAAATCTTCAGCTAATAATTATGGCAAGTAAACAGAAATGTTAAGTTTTTCATATATAGTCAACATAAGAGGTGAGATAGATCTTAGTTATTAATCGGACAATGTAGGCACACATAATTTCTCATCTTGTTAAAACATAGTTTCACTGCCCTGATCAGTTTGGTGAAGATGAAACTCATTTTTCTAGCAGCAAAAATGAGATTTTTGCTGTCTTCTCCATAAGCCTTAGTATGAAGTATTTGGCAGTCAATATGAGAGTGTTAACACTAATTCCTTGAACATCTATGCCAAAAGCGATTACCAGTGTTTCATCTTCCATTCTCAGGTCTGGTCCTCATCAAGAACCCAGTGTTCCCACCCGAGATGGAGACGTGAATAATCTTCCTAAGCCTAATCCTGCCAGAAGCGTGAAGCAAGGGGGAATTTGGAAGGCGGAACAGGAAAGAGTGGAAGTTTAGTTTACCGCTCTCCAAAATAGAAGCTCTTTTCCCTGAGATAGAAGCAAGATGCTGCAAGAGAAAGGGTCAGAGAAACTGGATTCAATTTTAATTTAGCCTGGATGCTGAAATAACCCTATCTCTACTAAATGCCAAATCTTCACATTCTCTTGGCCAACAAAGTGACTCCAGTGTTGCCACGGCAACCGTCTGTGGGTAGGCATGAAGGACAGCACCTCACCTTAGCTGCAGCAGCCCACACACACAGCTCACTTTCTGCCTGGACTCCTCTGCCTGCAGCTGGTATCGGGCCTGTTGGAATTTGCTCATCCATTTCATCGTGGGCCAGTGTGAAATGGTGAGGGAATTGAACAGCGTCACGAGAATCCGTGGATGAGTACCTATTCTTTCCCATCTGGAGTATATTCTTTTATTTATTTATTTATTTATTTATTTATTTATTTATTTATTTATTTATTGAGTCTCACTCTGTCCCCCAGGCTGGAGTGCAGTGGCACGATCTCCGCTTACGGCAACCTCTGCCTCCTGGGTTCAAGCAATCCTCGTGCCTCTGCCGCCCGAGTAGCTGTGGTTACAGGCTCGCGCCAACACACCTAGCTGATTTTTTTTTTTTTTTTTTTTTTTTTGAGACGGAGTCTCACTCTGTCGCCCAGGCTGGAGTGTAGTGGCGCGATCTCCGCTCACTGCAAGCTCTGCCCCCCGGGTTCACGCCATTCTCCTGCCTCAGCCTCCTGAGTAGCTGGGACTACAGGCGCCCGCCACCACGCCCGGCTAATTTTTTGTAATTTTAGTAGAGACGGGGTTTCACCGTGTTAGCCAGGATGGTCTCGATCTCCTGACCTCGTGATCCGCCCTCCTCGGCCTCCTAAAGTGCTGGGATTACAGGCGTGAACCACCACGCCCTGCCTGGAGTATATTCTATACAGCATCTCAGAGGGCTTCCAGAGGGAGTGCAGTCCACTTGTCCACAGAGATGCTCATTTTGTCCTACATGATAAACCCCAGGAGAAATGACTCCAAAAAAGATATCCTTCCCTTTTCCATAACATTCTTCCTAGATTCACATACCTTTTCCCGATAGCATTTCTTAAAATAAAGCCCCTGCACACATGTGAAGAAAGCACTCAGTATGTAACATGAAGATCATTCAGGATTAAATACATTATCATTAGTATTATCATTAATATGTCCTAGAAAAAATGGTAAATTCTTTGTAAGAAATCTGAACTTGATACAGTCTTACACAGAGAAATAAATAGATATTAATAAAAAAGATCTGTTTAGTAGGTGACCATTCATTATCATGCACCATAATAATTTTTCAACTAATTCAGAAACTTCACAATCACATCACTATTACATGATATAAATGTAATTTATGTCTCCAAATCCCAATTTGTTCTTTCTGAATATATACAAACCCAATAAATCCATTGATAATTTTATAGAAAACTGGGATTCAGAACTATTACTGTTAAAAGATGCAAAAATACAATGTGCTAGGTTTCTCTTACCGCAAACCTTTGCGTTTCCATCCATTCAATTTAATCCACCACGAGTCTTTACATCAGGTCAACACTTTAATCCAAGATCACAAAGTAACTAGTTCTCATCCTCAAAGTATGAGCCCTGTTTCAAGAAAGTCACACATGGAAATGGGAAAAACAAAAAAACAAAAACCCATAAATAATAGAGCAAAAATCAGCAGAAAAGCAGACAAAAATTGTTGAATACAGATGAAAACGACCAAATACCTGGCTATAATTTACTATCATCTTCCTCATAAATACAAATTCAAAATTGATAGCATAATCTTCTCAAATTTTATTTACAATCTGGTGTATATCATCACATTACATTATCTCTAAAGTAAAAGTATATGATTCTCAACCTAGAGTATTTTCTAGTAGCAGCACACTGCTGCTATAATAAATACGTACCTATTTTGTGATTATTAGTTTAATGCGTGTGTCTTCAACTAGGGTGTGTTTTGTGAGGTCAAGGTTTATGTTGATTTTGTTCACCATTAAATCTTCAGAATATATATGATTTAACAGACAATGTGATGGTTAATACTGTCAACTTGATTAGATTGAAGGATACAAAGTATTGAACCTGGGTGTGTCTGTATGGGTGTTGCCAAAAGAGATTAACATTTGAGTCAGTGGGCTAGGGATGGCAGATCCACCTTTAATCTGGTGGGCACAATCTAATCAGCTTCTAGCAAATGTAAAGCAGGCAGAAAAACGTGAAAAGGCGAGATTGGCCTAGCCTCCCAGCCTACATCTTTCTCCTGTGCTGGAGGCTTCCAGCTCTCAAACATTGGACTCAGTTCTTCAGTTTTGGGACTGGGACTTGCTCTTCTTGCTCCTCTGCATGAGGACAGCCTAATGTGGGACCTTGTGATCGTATAAGTTAATACTTAATAAACTCTCTCTCTCTCTCTCTCTCTTTATATATATATATATATCCTGTAAGTTCTGTCTCTCTAAGAGAACCCTCGTACAGTCAGTAAATGTATGTTTACAGAAGGAATGTGTGTTAGCATCGCCAGTAAATCTTACATTGTTTTAACAGTTTATGATAGAAGAAGAATAATTTTTGGCTGTCTTTATAAATTGAAATCCAGAAATTAAAATTTTAGCACTAAAATTAGGCCAATCGACTTAAGACCCAACTTTATGAAATTTTGTTTCAAGAAATCATTTTTTTTCTGCTCATGGCATGTCTTACATTAGCATTACCAGTATTTCAGAATAAATTTTAAACTATATTTGTCTCAATTAAGTTTTAAAAATATACACACATATACAAACACACATTCCTGGATTTTCAGCTTGGGGGTTGTAACATGTGATTATATAAAACTGAGTTTTTATCACCAAAGTAAGTTAAATTTGAAATAAATTTATGAAGAAACTCTCATATATAAACCACCATTAATTAGACAAAACTAAGTATGTCAGTTCCAGATGCCTAGTTAATTACTTGACTTTTGGATCCCAAAAAGTATTAGACACTTGTATAAGCAGCAGAAAAAACATATGGAGGAAACCTTAGAGATCATGTGCTGGCAACGTTTTTTCCCAATGCAATTTTCATAATTATTTCTAAGGAAACACCATTTGACTAACTGTTACTTGGTAAAATTATAATGTATAGGGGAAAGATGGATTCTGGATGCCGACTGATCTGGCTTTGAAATTATTTTCCTATCTAACATTACATTAGACAAATAACGTTTGTCTCATTAGGCATCAATTGCCAATATGTTATATGAAAATAATATTCTCTAAGCTATTGAAAATCTAATGATAACAATATATGAGTAGGTTCTAGCATATTCTGTCGTATACAATAGATGGTCAACAAATACCATTCATTTATTTAATACTACAGCAGTGGTTCTCAAAGTGTTGTGTGGGGATGCCTGATGATCCATGCCCTCTTTTAAAGGATTGTACTACTTTCATACTAACCTGCTTGCTATGTGAATTTTTCTACTCTCTTTTTTCCACAGGCACAGTGGAGTTTCTTTGAGGCTACATGGTGAGAGAAGATGTCACCGCTCTGACTGACATACATAATGATGTGTGTGTGTGTGTGTGTGTGTGTGTGTGTGTGTGTTTAGTTTTAATTTCAAGTATGGGAAATATAAAGAGATATAATATTTTAAAAACCAATGGTTTGGTGGCTGTCAATATTCTTTAAGACTGCAAAAGTGTTCAGAGACAGAATTTTGAGACTAGAACACTGTATCAGAATTTTGAGACTGAAACAGTGTCCTGTACATTCAGAGTTGAAGACACTCCCATGAGCACTAGATATGAATGTGGGTGGATAGGCCATGACAGCAAATGGCCCTGCCTTTATTACCTGACTCACTTGTACCACAATAGTCCCAACATCACTCACTCCTCATTTATTCTTTAGGGAACTATTTGAACTCTTTCAGAAGACGGACTCCTCGATAAAGCAGTAGTACTCCTGTTTCCAACATTTCACATTATTGTAAGTTGCATTACAGTGAACAGAATTTTATTGAAGCACAAGGGCTATATTTCAGGTTCTACTGAGTGTATCATTTTGTTTTGTCAGACACTTTTATGGATAATTATGGATGAAAATTTATAAAAAATCTAAAAGTCATCATTGACTCTTTTCTCGCTTAACCTGCGTAATCAATTGGTCGAGTCCTATTGATTTTTCTCCTCAATAGCTCTCCAATTTCTCTTCTTCTCTGTGTCTCCACCGCATCAATATAGTTCAAGCAACCATCACTCTCCCCTAATTCATTAGAGCAGCATTCTACCTGTCACCAATCCACTGGGATGAATTCAAAGGAACTGATCTTAGTATTTCATTTCAACAATTGTCTTCTTGAAATACTGTTAAAAATATTGTCATTTTTTGCTTTGCCCCCACTCCTGGGTGGGCCAAACTCTCAATGAATCATGACATTGAACCCTGCTTGGAATGGGTTGTTCAGCAGTGCATAGAAGGTGCCTGACAGCTGTGTGCATCAATCCAGATCCTTTCAGTCTGTGCCTTGCACCGAGTCTGCATACATCTAGATAAAATGAATCTGTCAGCCTACTTTGACAATAAAATGATGGGGATATGAAAAGCTGAATTAAATCTAAGACCAGGTGAATTCTGAGAGAAGTCAGGATAGAGAATAACCATCATAGAGATAGGAAATCTTAGACTATTCCAATTCTGAATTCTAATAAATGTAGCTAAAAAACATCAGATTAAAAGTGTTTGTCAGGTATGTGTCTTGGAACTAAAGGTATTTTCCATGTTAAATATAATTAAATGATCTACAGAATAAAAGAATGTCTCAAAAATATTTATCAATATTTCCTATCAGAGAAATGTTACTTATAAATATTTATTATATTTTGGATAATAAATGAGTATAAAAGGTGACTTAAGGAGTATGTTTCTCTCTATCAAATTAATAATGTGTAAATTATATAAGCAATTGTTTAAAAATTTTTTTTTCAATGGATAAATAAAATATATATTTTTTCAATGGATAAATAAAATATTTTAAAAGGTAAATTAGTAACTTACACAAATAATCATACTGATTAGTTTAAGCATTCATTAGAAAAATTACTTCTGAGGCTTTCATAAAAAAAATACTGTGTTATTCAACATACCTTTACATACCATTTATTATTAGTGTCAATGATATAACTTTCAATTAGACCTAGCTATGTTCTTGAAGGACTTCATGGTCCCTTAGCAGAACACGAGGCAATAATGATCACTTTCTGGGAAAAACTACACTAGGAAAATGTGAGAATCTGATGCACTAAGCTATCCTAGCTTTTGGGATATGCACTGTCTAGCATTATCAGCATTGTTGGTGAGATCTCACTAACATGCAGACGTGTGAAAAGTAAAATCACATTTTGTCCTAGTAGAGATACAAATTGGATTTTTTTTCCCCAGTAAGTAATCTGAATGAAATATTTCTGAAATTAAAACCTCAAATGTAAAGGAGGATAAATGGGTCTTATTTTATTTAATTTATTTATTTTTTTGTAGCCAGTTTGGAACAGAGCAGTTAGTTTATGGCTTAAGACTGTATAACATCTTGAAGGACTGATTTTCAGTAAATGTACATGATATAGGACTGTATACAACTCTTCAAAATACAAATATTTCAACACTGTCAATTAAATAAAACCTGCAACAATTGATAAGAAAAAGTCTCATTTTAAAAATTCCAGGTTGCGTATCAAAGCAAGATGCTATACTCTTTTTTTGGAGCCTCTTCAATTCTAAGGAGTCCTAGGGTCACTTAATGGAACTCTACACTTAGCAAGCTGTTAAAATTTCTTCTTCCTTAGTAACTGAGCAGCAAACGTCCTACTTGGTTTGATCTGAGCAGCATAAATGAATATAAAAAACGAGAGGGAACAAATCTTTAAAAGATCTAATAATATCAAAATATGGTTATGCTGTACGAAAGTTATCTAGTTCTTTAGTGATATGTTTTACTCCTATTGTAATCAAGTTATGAATCATACATCTAACTAGATCTATGTAAACTGGTAAATATAATAAATGGTTTTACCTTGAACTTATTAGACAATGTCCTAGTGATTTTCTAACGATACATATTGTAACAAAATTCCTATAGAAAGACACACCCTTGGTGTTCATCAAAAATGTTTTGGTTCTGTAATGTCAAAGCAGATTACTTTCCCAACATAAATATTATTTTCACAATGCTTCTAAAAGGTACAGAACATGTCTATAAGGGATAAAGAATGAGGAGGTTATTTGCAGTAAATCACTCATTTTAGTGCCAATTTAAATAAACTTCAAGGAGGAAAGATGAATTCACACTGCAGTTACCTTTTTTATCTTGGACCTCATGTTTTTCATTTTATTTTCTATTTTTTAAGATAATTAGTTCTCATCCTACTCTAAATGCGGAGGGAGGGAGCTAATAAATAGATCCTGAAGAACAAGAGGACCAGTAATGGGAAGTGTCATGCTGCTTGCCTGTTTCCGAAGTACTGTTTTATTTTATTTATTCTTTCAGTCCCTGTCTTTCTGACACTTTTTACATCAAGAAAATACCGTGACTAATACTGAGAAATTGGAAGAAATTTTTTTAAGGACAGTGAAGTATGACGCATAATAAATCTCAGAAAACTGTGGAGCCGTAAACGAATCAACACGATATTCTGGATATGTCTACACTCTTAACTGCTGCTGAAAAATTCTTATTAATAAGGACGCAACTTACCAAATCACATGCTGCAACTGAAATTTCAACAATTAAGGCCACTTTTTTGGTTATCAGAATAATAAACTCAGATGGAGATACTATATTAACATAGCTTTAGTCAGGCATGGTGGCTCCTGCCTATAATCTCAGCAATTTGGGAGACTGAGGAGGGCAGATGGTTTGAGGTCAGGAGTTCAAGACCAGACTGGCCAAGATGGTGAAACCCCGTCTCTACTAAATACACAAAAAATTAGCCAGGCATGGTGGCAAGCACCCGTAATCCCAGCTACTCTAGAGGCTGAGGCAGGAGAATTGCTTGAGTCTGGGAGGTGGAGGTTGCAGTGAGCTGAGATTGCGCCACTGCATTCCAGCCTGAGAGACCGACTGAGACTCTGTCTCAAAACAAACAAACAAACAAAAACAAAGAAAACCCCAATAAACATAGCCTCTACTGTTAGCCTAAGTTTTTTTAAAAAATTGTGATTGCTGTCACTGGGGAGCAACCCATGTCCCAAGAAAATTATATGTGTATAATGCTGATAAGTATCATTGAACTACAAAAGGAATTTTGAGAAAATAAGGTATGATGAGGGAGAGGGCACTTCAGAGAACCCAGAAGATGAAAACATTGTCAAGACAAATCTCTACAAATGATTTTACCCAGAGCTAATTCTACATCTCAGAAAGAAAACAACGGTTTGAATAAAAAGCAATATTATACATAATTTAAAAGCTCTTAGTTCCTTGGAATGGATCTACATTCAATCTCTTAGAATTTGTAAGTCATAATGCACTATATATAGTATTGGCTACCATTGCAAAGATTAATCATAATTTTATAACTTTTCAGTATATAATTAAAATATAAATACATCTTCCAAAATTTCTAATTGAGCCTTTTATTATCTATTTTCAAAAACATCTGCATATTATTATTAAATGTAGCAAAATAATGTAAATTGTTATCATGACATTTGATACCTTCCATGATCTGGTCTTTGCCCACGTTTTAAACTTTCACATGCTGCTTCCCACATAGATGTTTCCCCTCTCTCTATTCAGGACAATCTAAATAATTCCATTTCTAAGTTATGGCAGTTTGTTTCATTGCTATAAAAATCTAGTCAAGGTATTACCTCTTCTTAAAATCTCTCCTGTATTCTGGCTGCCACAAAATACCTCATTATCTTTAAAGTGTTAGCAGGTCTCTTTGCTGTAAATCCTATTCTGACCCTGATGCATGAACTGACCATTATCTTTAATTAATCCTCTCCCTATCCCTGACACATATCATGGTGAGTACCATATTCAATTTCACTTCATTGCTTAAATGTTGGTCTCTTCTTAATAAACTGCAACTAAGGCAGGGATAATATCAAATTCAACTGTGTAAATCCAGTATATAGTGCCCTGTCTCATAGAAATGAAGTCCTCAAGAGATGTCGCATGAGTTGAAAATAATAGATAAGATACTAAATAGGTTGACAATAGATAGGACAGTGAGTGGTTGAGAGCTGGAACTCTAGATTTAGAGCTATGAATCCAAGTGTGTGTGCCCTTAGAGAGTTAAATACTATTTCAAACATTGGGCAATATAGGTAGTGAGATAGTGCATGCAAAATAGTTTTCAGGGAAAATAGCTTAAGGTAAGTCTTAAGTAATATTATATTACTATGATGAATTAACAGTATAATTATCTGCACTATTTCTATAAACTAGTGGTCATAAATTACAACCAAGGGCTAAGAATGTATGATCTCTTTCAAATTCTTGATTCATGTTGCAAATAGCAATTATCTGACAGCTGCATTGAATGTTGCCATCAAAGCCACTGCTAAGACTCAGGGATGAGTTACCTTATCCTTAGCCACTTAATCAAAATTCAGACATGGGAGACAGCATGTGTTGGGCATTACTGTGACCCGCCTGCCTCCCGCCTCCCATCTATCATTTATTTTCCTGGAAATTGAGCAAGGGAAGGATCCGGCACTTTTGTGATTCCATAGAGGAAGGATAGCAAATGGGATAAACAGTCACCAAATACAACACAGAACCAGAAAGAAACAACTTCCCTCAGATGAAACTTGATACCTTTGTGAAATATGAGTACTGTATACACTAGACAACACATAAAGGCAAATATCTACTATATTGACAAAATAAGGAAGTCTCATGGAGAATTTTTATCCTATTATTTTAAAATATAAATAAATTAGAAATTTTATGATAGTTTTTAAAATATCTATTTTTATACACATATTTATTGACTATGTAAGACATTTTATTGGAATATATGAATTTTTTTTTTTGAGATGGAGTCTCACACTGTTGGCTGGGCTAGAGTGCAGTGGCACAATCTCAGCTCACTGCAACCTCAGCCTCCCAGGTTCAAGCGATTCTCCTGCCTCAGCTTCCCTAGTAGCTGGCATTACAGGCACCCGCCACCACACCCAGCTAATTTTTTGTACTTTTAGTAGAGACGGGGTTTCATCATGTTGGCCAGGCTGGTCTCGAACTCCTGACCTTGTGATTCGCCCGCCTCGGCCTCCCAAAGTGCTGGGATTACAGGTGTGAGCCACCACGCCTGACCAAAAAATATTTTATGTTTATTTACACAATGTAGCAAAATGGAAGCATGGCTTTATATAAATATTAAGGAAATGAACAGTTAAAATTTAGGAAGTAGAGAAGGTTAACTTAGAGATAAGATTCTGTAGAATAAACTGGTATAAATCAATCTGAATTTGTTATTCTGGCCTGTCAAAATAAAGAGATAATTAAAAATCATCGTAAGAATTTCATGTGACTAACGTAAGTATATATTTTCATCGAAATAAGAAACCGTATGTTTGAGGAATAAACTCAATCTGACATTCCAAGAGCCAGGAATTTCAAGCCTCAGGCTTTTTTGCAAGAGATAGTCCGTTCCACCTGTAAGAGAGTGTTAATCAAGGAAAGGAAAGCAGCCAAAGAGAGATAACATTTACAAGTACAATTTCATACATTAGGAAGTTTCCTCTTGGCCTTTTCAAACATATGGATGTAAAAAGGGATGATACAATTTTAGTCATTCAACTAATCTTAGATATAAGATAGTATCTCAACAACACATTTGCTTTACCATTAAGCTTTTCCTAAAATTTATTTTGCTTAGTGTAGAAAAATGTCTTAGACTTTTCCCCAATAGCATCAAATGATGCTCTCTAAATATCCAAACAAGGAGAAACTGGCTAAATAATTTATGGGACATTAAAAAACTAGAAAATTACTATGGATATAGGTTTAGAAACTAGTTACATGAATATATGCTAACCTTAAAATATTTAAAATAAACATTACAGAATTATATATATATAATATGTATAATCCATAATATATATTATGCATTGAAGATATGTACTTGAGCTTACATATTTTTAACTGCTCACAATTATCTGAAAGATCATGTATTGTCTTAAGGCAAGAGAATAAAACTCAATTTTATTAAAAAGGTAAGTTTCTAAGCAAGTTAAAACATATGAATTAATTTTATACTATGATGGTCTAAGCTTGTTTAACACATGAAAAATATATACAAGTTTTAAATAGATTGCTTCTCTTAACATTGGGACTCTTATAACTATTATTACAAATGAAGTGTTTTGATTTTAAATTATTTTCACCATATCTAAGTAAACCAAACTTTAAGCACAGTCTTCTGAACAATTTCTTTAAGCAAATCTCATGAGGAATTATTAGCCAGAACTTCATATATGAGTTTATTTTCCCTATAAAACAAAACAATCAGTAAAATCTTAGTGAATTAAAGTAAGCTAATTTATATAGAATTATTTTACAGAATTCCATTTTAATTTTTAGATTTAAGCATACTAACCCTCAAATTGAAAGGACTGCTAGTTTGTAAAATACTGTAAAATGACACCATTATTGCAAACACTATTTTCTGTAGACATTATTTGCCGCTCAGAAATGTTTTTAAACAGTAGCTTAAAGTTTACAGTGCCCAAAGCACAAATATATATGTTCATAGGCAAATATTTTTTCAAGATGAGTAGCTTTTGTTATAAAAAAATTTAAGTTAGTTCTATATTTTTCAGCCTCTAAATTTTATTGAATTTCCTCAAATACCTGGACCATGATTTTAGACTTTAGCTAGCCTACTGTGGGATCTAGAAAAATTACTTAACCTTGATAAAAATCAGTTTCCTCCCTCTAACATGGGAGTAACAAACTGATATGCAAAAGACCTATGGGGATTAAATTAGTTGAATACATGCAAAAAGTGTTTATCAGATTGGCCAGAAGATTGTTAGGATCCAGAAAGTAAATTGGCTGTTGATAATGTCATTATCATGATCATCATTATTATTTAGGAGACGCTACAATTACTCAATCTAATTCTCATCTGTAAATATGAGTTTTGAGTAAGGTATACTTGGTGTCTTTTCCTATAATAAGCTGTCTACAATTTAATGTTAATTACATTTTCTGCAATAGAAAACATTTTCTGAATATTAAAGGAAAAGAGTGTGTATTCAATCACACTCAAAACAGTGGAAGGTGGGCAGCTATTTTCAGAGGCTGAGCAGGCTTTATGCCTAAGCTCTGAATCTAAAAGAGAACAAAAATATCTTTTTCTCTGTAAATGAATATTTCTCTAGTCTTTGATAAAGAAAAGTACAATTAAGCCTTATTTAAAAGTTAATTTTCATGATGGAAACAATGAAAGTTAAAGACTCTCACCTCATTACTGTTGAAAAGAAGAAACTCATAAACATAACATTTAATTCAGTGTAATAAAATCGGAAGGGATCTTTTCTTCAAGACTGAGAAAAGTCACCAATATCTACCGAAAAGATGGAGTACTTCCATTAAATCTATTTGTTTCAATAAGAGGAGATTATACAGTGACCTTTTCTGTAGCTGCCTTGGTTTCTCCATTTTTAATCATTATGCAAGATTCGGTAGAAATTCTTGCTGACAGTTTGCTCTTCCGGGGGCAATTAAGAGAGCAGTGAATTCACTGGAAACTGAAAATCATTTCACTTTACTACTGAAAATGACAGGAGAGAGGCCCACATACTCGCACTGTCAAAGAACTCTTCCAATGTTAAATAACACAAGAATCCAGAAAGTTGTTCTTAAGGAAAATTGCATATTGCAAAGAACGTACTAAAAAATACATCACAAATAGAATGACTGTTAATAGTTATAATTAATGTTATATTATATTATACAAAATATAGAGCCATAGTCCTATATTTATTATTTTGTATATTTGTATAAATTTGTTCCTGGAAAATCTGCTATATTGGTTTTTGTCTACCTTGCTCTATTTTATACTTCAGATATAGTTTTTCTAAGGATTTCATTATTCATAGCTGAAAAACCAATAACTGCACTAATATGTTTAACCAAAGCAAATTAATATGAACAAAACCATTACAGTGATTATTTATGGAGTATTTGCATATGTTTTCAAAAAAATATTTCAGAGTAAGATGTAATCTTAAAGACTTTATTTTTTTTTTACTCAGCCCGTTTTTTATTGGACATTATTATACTTTTTGTGCTGTAAGAATATTTATAACAATCTGAGGTGAATGACTTTGAGCTAAAACCTTAGATACATATCTGATTTTCTCCTTTACCAAAAATTTCTAAAAATATATAACTGATCAAAGGGCAAGGAGACTTTCGCAAGGTTTTCAGCAATATTGCGATATTGTTAGCACCAGTTTGCACCACCATGAACATTATGCAGGCATGCCTTTATTATTTTTGAATTACATATATTTAATGTGTACAACATGAAGTTTTGATACACATATACATAGTGAAATTTTAGATCATGCAAAAGAAAAATCCATCAGCTCACATAGTAACTGTGTGTGTGTAGGTGGGGGTGTGAAAGTCAATGTGTGTGGTAAGAGCACCTAAAATCTTCTCTTAGCAAATCTCAGGTGTACAATATTTTAAACGGTAGTCTTTATTTATAGATTAAATCTTCATACTTATCCAACCCACATCACTGCAACTTTTACCTTGTGACTTACATCTCCACATATTCCTAATTCCCTTCCCTCCCTGCCCCTGTTAACTATTGTTTCATTCTCTGTCTCTATGTATTAAACCTTTTTTTTGTTTGTTTTAGATTCCACATATAAGTGGCATCATGCAGTATTTTTCTTTCTATTTCTGGCTTGTTTAACTTAGCATAATGTCCTTCGGTTTCATCCATGATTTTGTAAATGGCAGAATTGTTTTCTTTTTTGTCTGAATAGTATTCAGTGTTTGTGTGTGTATATGTGTGTGTAAATATATACACCACATTTTCTTTATCCATTTATCTGCCTAGAGATATTCAGGCTGTTTTCATATCTCAGAAATTTTGAATAATGCTGCAATGAATATGAAAGTGACGTTTTCTCTTCAACACATTGATTTAATATCTTTTGAATATATACCCAGTAGTAGGATTGCTGGATCACTGGAGTTCTGTTTTTTAATTTTTTGAGGAATTTTTATCCTGTTTTCCGCAATGACTATTGCAAGGTACATTTCCATAACAGTGTAGGGGTTCCCTTTCCTCCTCATTCTCACCAAAACTTGTTATCACTTTCTTCTTCATATAAAATGTTATTTATTCCGAGTGTGTACCACCAGAGGCTGTAAGAAACAACCACCTCCACCCCGAAATCTTGGCAGCTGAACACAGCAAAGATTGCTGTTTATCTTATATTGATGTCCAATGAAGGATGACAAATGGGATTCTTTCCATCCTGTGGTTTCTTTGTCCATTAAGTCCCCTGATTTTCCTATTAGCTCTTCTGCATCAGAGAGGGGAAATGGGGTGAGAAAAGAGGACTGTGCAATGAGCAGTTTAGAGGCCAGGCTTGGAGACTGCACATGCCTTTCTCCTTGCATCCAGAAATCAGATCTCCAGCTCCACTTAATAATCATCAGCGAAATACATGGGATTGACCTTTTCCCAGAAAGAAGATAATGAACACAGTTGTTAGTGAATATTAGTGTGATATGGCTTGGCTGTGTCCTCACCCAACTCATCTTGAACTGTAGTTCCCATAAGCCCTACGTGTCATTGGAGGGACTGGTGGAAGATAATTAATCATGAGAGTGGTTCCCTCCATGCTATTCTCGAGATAGTGAGTAAGTTCTCATGAGATCTGATGGCTTTATAAGGGGCATCCCCATTTTCTCAGTTCTCATTCTTCTCTCTACTGCTGCCATGTGAAGAAGGACATGTTCACATCTGCTTTCACCATGATTATAAATTTCCTGAGGCCTCCCCAGGGATGCTGAACTATTAGTCAATTAAATCTCTTTCGTTTATGAATTTCCCAGTGCCCAAGGCCATGGGAGCCCACCTCTTGCATCAGTGTGACCTGGATGTGTGACATGGAGTCAAAGGAGATCATTTTGGAACTTTAAGGTTCCAAACGGTCCTTTTGGATTTTAGACTTGAATAGGGCCTGTAGTCTCTTGTTTTGGCAAATTTTTCCCATTGGGTGTATTTGCCCAATGCCTGTTCCCCTACTGTATCTAGGAAGTAACTAACTTGCTTTTCATTTTGTGGGCTCATAGGCGGAAGGGACTTGGCTTGTCCGACCTTGGACTTGGACTTTTGAGTTAATGCTGAAATGAGTTGAGACTTTAAAGGACTGTTGAAAAGGTATGATTGTGTTTTAAAATGTGAGGACATGAGATTTTGGTGGGCCTAGGGGTGCAATGATACGGTTTGGCTGGTCCTCACCTAAATTACATTTTATTTCATTTTTTATTTTTATTTTTTCAAGATGGAGTCTTACTCTGTCACCCAGGCTGGAATGCAGTGGTACAGTCTTGGCTCACTACAACCTCTGCCTCCTGGGTTCAAGCAATTCTGCCTCAGCCTCCCGAGTAGGTGAGATTACAGGCACATGCCATCATGCCCAGCTAATTTTTGTATTCTTAGTAGAGACAGGGTTTCACCATGTTGACCAGGCTGGTCTCGAACATGTGACCTCATGATCCACCCTCCTCAGTCTCCCAAAGTGCTGGGATTACAGGCATGAGCCACCATGCCCGACCTCTAAATTACATTGTAAATTATAGTTCCCATAATCCCCACGTGCTGTGGGAGGAGCCTGGTGGGGGGTAATTGAATCTTGGGGGTGGTTTCCCCCATGCTATTCCCATGATAGTGAGTGAGTTCTCCTGAGATCTGATGATTTTATGAAGGGCTTCCCCCTTCAATTGGTTCTCATTCTCTCTCCTGCCACCATGCAAAGAAGGGCGTGTTTGCTTTCACTTCTGCCATGAGTGTAAGGTTCCTGAGGCCTCCCCATCCATGCTGAACTATGAGTCAACTAAACCTCTTTCCTTTATAAATTACCCAGTCTCAGGCATGTCTTTATTAGTAGTTTGAGAATTAATACTGCATATTGGTACCACAGAGAGTGGGGTGCTGATATAAAGATACTCAAAAATGTGGAAGCAACATTAGAACTGGGTAACATGAGAGGTTGGAACAGTTTGGGGGGCTCAGAATAAGATGGGAAAATGTGGGAAAGTTTGAAACCTCCTAGACTTGGAGGGCTCAGAAAACAGGAAGATGTAGTGAGGTTTGGAACTTCCTGGAGACTTGTCAAATGGCTTTGACCAAAATGCTGAGAGTGATATGGATAATAAAGCCCAGGCTGAGGTGGTCTCAGATGGAGATGAGGAACTTGTTGGGAACTGGAGTATAGGTTACTCTCACTATGCAAAGAGACTGGCAGTATTTTATCCCTGACCTAGAGATCCCTGGAACTTTGAACTTGACAGACTTGATCTGGGTACCTGGTGGAAGAAATTTCTAAGTGGCAAAGCATTCAAGAGGAAGCAGAGCATAAAAGTTTGGAAAATTTGCAGCCTGATGATGCAATAGAAGAGAAAAACCCATTTTCTGAGGAGAAATTCAAGCCCACTGCAGAAATTTTCATAAGTAATGAGGAGCCAAATGTTAGCCACCAAGACAATAAGAAATATATCTCTAGGGCATGTCAGAGACCTTCGCAGCAACCCCTCCCAACACAGGCCTGGAGGCCTAGAAGGAAAAATGTTTTCATGACCTGGGCCCAGGGCCCCCCAACTCTGTGCAGCCTCAGGACATGGTGCCCTGTGTCCCAGCTACTTCAGCCTCAGCCATGGTAAAAGGGGTCAATATCCAGGCTTGGGCCATTGCTTCACAGGGTGTAAGCCCCAAGCCTCGGCAGCTCCCATATGGTGTTGGTCCTGTGGGTGCAAAGAAGACAAGAATTGAGGTTTAGGAACCTCTGCCTAGGTTGCAGAGGATGTATGGAAATACCTGGATGTCCAGGCAGAAGTTTGCTGCAGGGATGGGGCACTCATGGAAAACCTCTGCTAGGGTAGTATGGAAGGGAAATGTGGGGTTGGAGCCCCCACACAGAGTCTTCACAAGGGCACTTTATAGTGGAGCTGTAAGAAGAGGGTCACCATCCTTCAGACCCCAGAATGGTAGCTCCACTGACAGCTTACACCATGTGCCTGGAAAAGCCGCAGGCACTCAATGCCATTTCATGAAAGCAACCAGAAAGGGCGCTATACCCTGCAAAGCCACAGGGGGAGCTGCCCAAGGCTGTGGAACCCCACCTCTTACATCAGTGTGACCCGGATGTGAGACATGGATGCAAAGGAGATCATTTTGGAACTTCAACGTTTAATGAATACCCTATTGGATTTCAGACTTGCATGGGGCCTGTAGCCTCTTTGTTTTGGCCAATTTCTCTCATTTGCAGTGGGTGTATTTGCCCAGTGCCTGTTCCCCATTGTATCTAGGAAGTAACTAACTTGCTTTTGATTTTGCAGGCTCATAGGCAGAAGGGACTTGCCTTGTCTCAGATGAAACCTCGGACTTGGACTTTTGAGTTAATGCTGAAATGAGTTGAGACTTTAAAGGACTGTTGGAAAGGCATGATTGTGTTTGAAATGTGAGGACATGATATCTGAGAGGGACCAGGGGTGGAATGATGTGGTTTGGCTGTGTCCCCACACAAATCACATTTTGAATTATAGTTCCCGTAATTCCCATATGTTGTGGGTGGGACCCAGTGGGAGGTAATTGAATCATGGGGGCCATTTCCTTCATGTGATTCCTGTGATGGTTTTACAATGGGCTTCCCCCTTTGCTTGGTTTTCATACTTCTCGCTCCTGCCATGTTGTCAAGAAGGACGTGTTTGCTTTCCCTTCTGCCATGAGTGTACGTTTCCTGAGGCCTCGCCAGCCGTGAACTGTGAGTTAATGAACCCTCTTTCCTTTATAAATTGCTTAGTCTAAGGTATGTCTTCATCAGCAGTGTGATAACAGACTAATACATAGTGTTCTCTCTACGAATAAATTTCTTTTTTTTTTTTAAGTAGATTTCAACTTGAGTAACATATCTTCTTTGAAGAAGATATTTATCATTGGATCTTTTTTGAAAAATATGATCACTATGGCCACATCCTTAAACTACTAAGAAGGGACAAAATATGAAATAAAATATATGTACAAATTACATACATTTGTATGTGTGTATATATATATTAAAATATATATATTTCAGTTTCCTAAAAGTTTAGACCTTTCCTCTGAACTCCCAAATTTTATATATAATTTCCTATTGATGTAGTCACTTTCATGTCCATTCTTTTGGAAGCTTGACACTATGCCTTCCTTAATATCCTACTTCTATAAGCACACTTGGTAAATACAGGCAGAAAAGAATTCCTGCCTGTGACATATATCATCAATCAGCGTGCATTGCCTTCAAATAAAACCAGCATTTGACTCTTCTCATTGATACCTTTCTGGCACATTTTACTGTCATGTCTACTAGCTGGTAAAAAATAACCTCCCAACTGTTCTCTTATTTGATTCTTCATAATTTTAGTTTACTCACAAAGCATCCAGAGTGGTCTTATAAAAAATTAAGTCACTGTGGCACTTCTATGATCAAAACCCCACCATATCTTTTCATCTCACTACGAGTAAAAGTCAAATCCCTTAAACTGATCTTCAAAATCCCACTTGATCCACCTCAGACAGTTCTTCTCTGACCCCTGACTTTGTTTCCTGTTCTTCCCACCCTTTCTCAGTCAGCTTCACCCACACTGTGCTCCACATGGGCTCGTCCTGCAGAGTATGCTTCCGCTCCACTCGCTCACCTCCCTCAAGACTTCACTCCAAAACTGCTATCTTGGGTCCCCTTTGACTCATCTACTTAATTTTTAATACCACAACCCCTAACTCCTGGCATGCCTCAGCCCCATCTCCATTTTATTTTTCTGTGGAGCTCTTAACCCAGAAACTTGCTACCACTAGTTTGAAGTACTATTTGCAGACTTTCAGTATTCCTGGTGTGAAGATATATATCCCTGTTTATTCCTAGGTGCTTGACAGTCTCCCGTGATTGGAGAATGCATCTCTGCCTCCCATTTGGTCCTGTGGCCTCACTAGTCCAGTGGAGTTTAAAAGAAGGTGACATACATTACATTTAAGTAGAAACAATAAGAACAATGATCTGCCTTCACTATTAAAATTTTTTCTGCCATGAGAACCCTTTCCTCCAATTAAAGAAACACTCCCTTATATTAGTACCTGCAGTTAGCTCGTAACTACATGTAACCAAGGAAATATAATTTTGTTTTGTCAGCCACTCAGACTTCTTCTTCCTCTTTTTGGTTTTGTTGTTCTTGTTGTTTCTGAAATATGTGCCAAAGCAAGATAATATACTTAAAACAACCCCCATTTTAATTACTTTGTAAATTGTCTAAATCTGCACTAGAATGTATGTTTCATAATAGCAGTAATTTTGTGGATTTTGTATTCTGATTTACCACTGAGGGTACTCAGTGCCTCGAGAGTAATCACTGTTATAAAGTGAGGTCATCTCAATAAATACTTGTTTAAAGAATGAATATCTAGGATGGAGTCTCTCCCCATTTATTTTTATTTTTTTAATTTTAATTTTATTTTTGAGGCAGATTCTCACTCTGTTGCCTAGACTGGAGTGCAGTGGCACAGTCTTGGCTCACCGCAACCTCCGCCTCCCAGGTTCAAGAGATTCTCCTCCCACAGCCTCCCAAGTGGCTAGGATTACAGGCATGTTCCATCACACCTAATTTTTGTATTTTTAGTAGAGAACGTGTTTTGCCATGTTGGTCAGGCTGGTCTCGAACTCCTGGCCTCAAGTAATCCACCCACCTCAGCCTACCAAAGTGCTGGGATTGCAGGTGTGAGTGACTGCTCCCAGCCCCTCCCCATTTACTTAGGGGAGGGACTACATTAGAACTGTCCAAGCATTGAAATTAATCTGATCCCAAGTTCACTCAAGTTCACCCAAAAATAGAGTTAAATTTTATATACTATTTCTTCAAAATCTGCTTCTCAGATGTCTTTCAGCCCCTCACAGATATATTAATTCATTTGATAATTTTAATTTCCAGTTGATTACTTGTGTGCTAAGCAACAACAGCAAAAATCTGAATGGATTTTAATCCTTCATATAAAAAGTCTTTAGACAAGAAAGCTTTGGCCTAAATAATAAATTTAGAATAGAGGGTAACCTCTAGAGATTCCTAAAACTTAGTATCATAAAAAAAAAATGTAGGTAATAAGGTTCCATTTTGTAATTTTGGTTTCTGATTAAAAAAAAAAAGCTTTTTGTTATTATGGACAAGTCCTATTTAATTCCCTAATATATAAATTGAGTGGTCACTTTACATCAGTACATTTCAAACGTGTTTTAAATGCACTAGAATGTTTTATTCCAAATAGACCATTAGTAAGTAACAAATATATAGAATGAAGAGTGTAAGGTATTGTATTTTCCATTCATTCCCTTGGAGGAGATTGTCATGTATGCTACCAGAAATGCTGAAATTAGTGATTGGTAAGATTCCTTTGGCTTGTAATGTTCTATGATTCCATAAGACTATGGTCTTTTTAGAAAATCATGAGGCTTTTATTGCCAAGAGCTGCTATGGAAACCTGGTTATTATTTCTAAATTGTTGAAATGAAAAAGATCTTTGAGGAATCCTGTTGTTCTATGAGAAGCATCTTGCGCTGTTATGTAAGAATACAATTGTTGAAAGTGATAAATATTCCCAAATATTCTTTGGAGAAATCTAGAGTTCTAGGAGATCAATCTTCAAACTCTTCATCTTATAAAGCTATTTTTGTTGTATATGAGGTTAGAAAAGCAACATTTTAGAATGTTGCTATAAACATTACATAAAGATATGACGTATTTTAACATGTTTTTAAAATGGAAGCAGGAGAGAATCAGCTCTGTGTGGACTCTCGGGTGTGGTCATCACATAGAACTGCTTGTGCTTTCCATTCGTGGTTTCCTTTATTAGGATGATGACAATTCTTTTTACCTTTTGAGGTTTGTTGTTTTTGTTGTTGTTTTGTTTTGTTTGTGATTCGATAGATTAGAACATAGATTTCTCATAGATACTGTATATGTTTTGAATAAATAATGATAGCCAATACGAAAACGTCACACACAATGCCCATGTAATTGACAGCAAAAACCTAATACCCCTGAGAAAGAGAAACTGGTGAGATCTGAAAGGAAAATGGATGTGAATGCTGCGTGGATGAACCCACAAACACTTCCAGCGCTCCTACATGGTTGTTTCCAAAGACAAGTGCTAGAAATAGAGCAAGGGAAAGAGAGAATTTGCAGATTGGACAGAAAAGTTATCATATGAACTCTCACTTCCTAAAAGAAAATTGTTGATAAATTTAGTGATTTATTTTATGCTCCCTCACGTGAATTTAAGCTATTTGTGATTGTCCCCCATCATCCTGAGTACTGTGTCCTCATATTATAAAACAATATTTATAAAGCAGTATTTATTCAGTAAATCCTTATGGAGGAGCTATGTGAATTGATCAGTTAAAGAGGAGTACCATGGAAGATTAATTCAGCAGGGAATAAGCCAGCTAGGACTCATGTTAGAAGTATAGAATGAACTTCCAAAATTTATTGAAATAATGATGTGAAATTAAAAGGATATAATCAAATTTTTCTCAAAACACTTCCGGATTACTTTGTAGAGGCAGGATTTTAAAAATATTTTGAATAACTGAAGGAATATTAAACAACTGTATACAACATGACTCACTTCGGCAGTATAAATTGGGAAAATTTTCTGAAAGTAATATAAATGACTGAGGAGTGATAGCAAATTAGTTAATCATTAAAAGGAAGGTGCTATAATAAACCCAATAAAAATGAAAGAAATGCCAAAAAGGTACGCAAGTAGAAAATTAAATATAACTAATTAATTAATTCAATTGTAAAAATAGATTAAGTACTGGAGATAATTTTTATTACTGTGAAATTTTTTAGGCAGCAGACTGAGCTCTTCAGGGAATGGCTGTAGATTTTTGAACTCTGAATCATTTAATGAGTAAATTGAACACTTTACAACACCCTAAAAGGAACATTCCTTTATTAGGAACAGCACTGAGTAGACAAGCTAATATAACTTCCATTCCTAATGTTTCTTATGTTATCAATTTTTGGCTAGAAAAACTGTGTAGATCTAATAGTCTCCTGATTGCTACACGGGTACCTGGAATACATTAACTTGAAAAATTGGTATTGTCAACCAAAATAGATAAAATATTTGTCAAAAAATATAGATAAAATATTACATTAAATATTACATCTCATATTATAGTAAAATATAATCTGTAGGTTGTGGCAGAAATAAATTTATATAAGTGCTAATATAAACTTTTTTGATCAGGTTTTATTTTTCTTGAGTGACACAAATATTCAATTAAATTTTTGTGACTTAATTTGATTAATAAAAACTAGCAGAATTAAAATCAGAAGAAAAGCTAATTTATGAATTAAAAACAATAGAAAAATTTTGTACTTAAAATTGTATTTCATATATATATATATATAGAGAGAGAGAGAGACTCTATATTTTAACATAAGTTAGTTTGAATCATGCTTAAAACAGAGATGATATATCATTGCTTTATAATGTCAGAGATTTTCTGTGAGGTAAATGAATATATTTCAGAATTACTAAAATGTGGAATTTTCTAGAAATGTTTCAAAAGATTGACTTGAAAATTTTTGGTTCAAATTATAGCTCACATAATTTTTAATTGCATAATGTAAGGCAAATCATTACCTCTTTCAGCTTGGGTTTCCTATTTGGCGGGAAAATGAATAATGTTTTCCTGTATGATATGACAATTAAAGCCAAGGGAAATACGTTAAAAATAATAAACAGTTAACAAACACAAGGAATACCTTAAAGAAAAATAATGCTGTGTTATTGATGAAATAACACTAAATTCTAGTTTGTGGTCTGATATATTCATATGCAGCAAGTGATTATCAACCATTAGCACATGATAATACATAAAGTCTTATTATCAAGAATTCCTTTATATTTCATAAACAAAGTCTCAAAATAGTACACTAAAAAGCCACAGGGTGTCTAGGAAAGACAAATTTTAATTGTCTCTATGAAAGAGAGACAAATTTTGTTCGCTCTGTATATTAGTCCATTCTCACACCATCATAAAGAAATACCTGAGACTGTGTAATTTATAAAGGAAAGAGGTTTAATTGCCTCACAGTTCCACATGGCAGGGGAGGCCTCAGGAAACTTACAATCATGGCAGAAGGGGAAGCAGGCATGTCTTACATGGCAGCAGACAAGAGAGAGTGTGTGTGAGCACAGAAAAAAACTACCATTTATAAAACCATCATATCTTGTGAAAATTTACTTACTATGATGAGAACACCATGGAGTACATGGCCCCCATAATCCAGTCACTTTTCTACAGGTCTCTCACTCAACCCCTGTGGATTACAATTCAAGATGAGATTTGAGTGGGGACACAAAGCCTAACCATATCACTCTGTAAGGAATAAAACTGAGGAAAATTAAAGATCATATTTATAATAATTTTACTTTCAAAATATTTTGGTTTTTTTTTTTTTGTTTACACTTTCTGGAATTTAGAGCTGAGAAATAATGGAATGTTATATATTTTTATTTTTTAAAAAAATCAGCTAGTTTGTATAGTCTAAAAATGTATAAAATGTTTTCTCACTAAGGATAAATTTCTATACTTAAATTTATATATGTAAATAAATATATAGATACATATACAGGTAGAGTTGCATTAAAGCACAATTTTGATGGATGTGCTAATTATTTTTATTTAGCTCAAAGTAATTCAATTTGCTAATTGGCATTAGCTTTATTTCTTAAATTTAATAAAATATTAATGCATTATATAATTAATTTTCATATATATATCATCTTCCATAAAATGCAAGCAAATCAAATTCAGCAAGGTATAAAACATTAATATACAATAATCAAATAGGGTTTATTCCTATTTGAAAATACACAGTCAGAGGAGACAAAAGAAAAGGAATTTTTAAAATGAAGCACACCTGCAGGATCTAGAAAATAGCCTCAAAAGGGCAAATCTAAGAGTTATTGGCCATAAAGAGGAGACAGAGAAAGAGATAGGGATAGAAAGTTTATTCAAGGGGACAACAGAACTTCCCAAACCTAGAGAAAGATATCAACATCAAAGTACAAGAAGGTTATACAATACCAAGCAGATTTAACCCGAAGAAGATTACCAGAAAGCATTTAAAAATCAAACTCTCAAAGATCAAAGATAAAGAACGGATCCTAAAGGCAACAAGAAAAAAGAAACAACATACAATTGTGCTCCAATATGTCTGGCAGCAGACTTGTTAGTGGAAATCTTACAGGCCAGGAGAGAGTGGCACAACATAATAAAAGTGCTGAAGGAAAAAAAAATACCTTAGAATAGTATATCCAGCAAAAATATCCCTTAAACAAGTTTGTTTTGTTTTCCAAGACAAAAGCTGAGAGATTTCATTAACACCAGACTTGGAGAAATGTTAAAGAAAATAATTCAATCAGAGAAAAAGGATGTTAATGAGCAATACCTAATCACTTAAAAGTACAAAGTTCACTGGTAATAAACACACAGAAAATCACATAATATTATAACTCTGTAATTGTGGTGTATAAACTACTTGTATGCTAAGTAGAAATACTAAACCATTAAACAAAAATAGTAGCTACAACAAGTTTGCAAGGCATATATAGTATGATCAGATATAAATAGAAACAAAAAATGTTAAAAATCAGGGGACATAGTTAAGATATAGATATTTTTATTAGTTTTATTTCTGCTTATTTGTTGGTTTATGCAGTGTTCAGTTGTTATCAGCTTGAACAATTTGTTATAAGAGAGTATTTCCAAATCTCGTGTTCACCTCAAACCAAAAATGGTTTGAGTGAATGAATACACAAAAAGCAAAAAGAAACTAAACAATATCACCAGAGAAAACCACCTCCAGTAAAAGAGAGAAGAAAAGACCATGAAACAACCAGAAAATAAATAACAAAATGACAGAAGTAAATCATTACTTAGCAACAGTAACATTGTATGTAAATGGACTAAACTCTCCAATCAAAAGGCATAGAGTGGCTGAATGGATAAAGAAAAAACAGCCCATTGATCTGTTGCCTACAGGAAACACACCTCAGCTATAAAGACACAAAAATAGTGAAAATAAAGGGAGATATTCCATGCCAATGGAAACCAAAAAAAGAGCAGGAGTCACTCTACTTGTATTAGAAAAAATAGATTTCAATGCAAAAATTCTGAGAAGTGACAAAGAAGGTGACTAACAATAAAGGGGTCAATACAATAAAAGAATATAACAATTTGAAATATATATGCACCCAACACTGGAGCACCCAGATATATAAAGGAAACATTATTAGAGCTAAAGAGAGAGGTAGACTCCAGTATAATAATAATTGGAGACATAAACACTCACTTTTAGCATTGGCCAGATCTTACTCACAGAATATCAACAAAGAAACATTGGACTTTATCTTTGCTATAGACAAATAGATCTAATATAAATATACAGATTTCATCCAGTGGCTACAGAACACACATTCTTGTTTTCAGCACATAAATAATTCCCAAGGATATATCATTTGTTAGGTCACTGTATTAGTCTGTTTTCACATGGCTAATAAAGACATACCTTAGACTGGGTAATTTATAAAGGAAAGTAGTTTAATTAGCTCACAGTTCCACATGGCTGGGGAAGCCTCACAATCATGGCTAAAGGTAAATGAGGAGTAAAGTCATGTCTAACATGATGGTGACAGGCAAGAGAGTTTGTATAAGGGAACTCCCACTTATAAAACCATCAGATCTCATGAAACTTATTCACTACCATGAGAACAGTAGGGGGGAACCACCCCCATGATTCAATTATCTCCATCTGGCCCTGCCCTTGACACTTCAGGATTATTACAATTGAAGGTGAGATATGGGTGGGGACACAGCCAAACTATACCATTCCCATCCTGGCCCCTCACAAATCTAATGTCCTCACATTTTAAAACCAATCATGCCTTCCAAACAGTCTCCTAAAGTCTTATTTCAGCATTAACTTAGAAGTCCACAGTCCAATGTCTCTTTTGAGACAAGGCAAGTCCCTTCCACCTATGAGCCTGTGAAATTAAAAGCCAGTTAGTTACTTTCTAGATATATTGGGGGCTATAGGCATTGGGTAAATATACCCATTCCAAATGGGAGAAATTGGCAAAAATGAAGGAGCTACAGGCCCCATGCAAGTCCAAAATCCAGTAGGACAGTCATTAAGCCATAAAGTGATAAAATGATTGTCTTTGACTCCATGTCTTGTATCCAGGTCACAGGGACGCAGAAGGTGGGCTCCCATGGCCTTGGGCAGCTCCACCTCTGTGGCTTTGCAGTGTATACCCCAACTCCTGGCTGCTTTCACAGGCTGGCTTTGAGTGTCTGTGGCATTTCCAGATGCACAGTGCAAGCTGTCAGTGGATCTACCATTCTGGAATCTGGAGGATGATGGCCCTCTTCTCACAGCTTCATTAGGCAGTGCCCTGGTGGGGACACTTTGTGGGGGTTCACACCCTACATTTTCCTTCCACATCATCCTAGCACAGGTTCTCTAAGAGTGCTCTGCCACTGCAGCCAACTTTTGCTTGAACATCCAGGTGTTTTGATACATTCTCTGAAATTTAGGTAGAGGTTCCAAACCCTGAATTTTTGGCTTCTCTGCACTGACAGGCCCAAAACCACATGTAAGCCACCAGGCTTGGGGCTGGCACCCTCCAAAGCCATGACTCAAGCTGTACCCTGGAAACTTTTAGACATGGCTGGAGTAACTGGAACAAAGGGCACCAAGTCCCTAGGCTGCACACAGAAAGGGGACCCTGGGCCTGGCACACAAAACCATTTTTTCCTCCCTGGCCTCTGGGCCTGTGATGGGAGGGGCTGACAGGAAGTTCTCTGACATGGCCTGGAGACATTTTCCCCATTGTCTTGTTGATTAATATTCAGCTCCTTGTTACTTATGCAAATTTTTGAGCCATGCTTGAATTTCTACTTAGAAAATGGGTTTTTCTTTTCTTTCACATCATCAGGCTGCCAATTTTCCAAAATTTTATGCTCTTCTTCCTCTTGAACCCTTTCCCACTTAGAAATTTCTTCTGCCAGATACCCTAAATCATCTTTCTCAAGTTCAAAATTCCATAGATCTGTAGGTCAGGGACAAAATGCTGCCAGTCTCTTTGCTAAAGCATAACAAGAGTCACCTTTGCTCCTGTTCCCCACAAGTTCCTCATCTCCATCTGAAACTACCTCAGCCTGGATTTTATTGTCTATAATACCATAGCATTTTGGTCAAAGCCATTCAACAAGTCTCTGGGAAGTTCCAAACTTTCCCACATCTTTGTGTCTTCTGAGCCCTCCAAGTCTCTAGGAAGTTTTAAACTTTACCACATTTTCCTATCTTATTCAGAGTCCTCCAAACTGTTCCAACTTCTGCCTGTTATTCAGTTCCAAAGTCGCTTCCACTTTCTCAGCACCCTTCTTAGCAGCAGCACCCAATGCCTGGTACCTATTTACTGTATAGTCAGTTCTCATGCTGCTAATAAAAATGTATCAAAGACTGGGTAATTTGAAAAGAAAAAAAGGTTTAATTCACTCACGTTTTCACATGGCTGAGAAGACCTCACAATAGTGGCTAAAGGTGAATGAGGAGCAAAGTCTTGTCTTATATGGTAGAAGGCAAGAGAACTTGTGCAGGGAAACTTTCGTTTATAAAACCATTAGATCTTCTGAGACTTATTCACTACCAGGAGAACAGTATGGAGGCAACTGTACCCATGGTTCAATTATTTCCACCTGGCTCCACCCTTAACATGTGGGAATCATTGCAACTCAAGGTGAAATTTAAGTGGGGACACAGAGCCAAATTATATCAGTCACAAAACAAGTCTGAAAATGTTAAAAGAAAAAAAAAACTGATATAACATCAAGCATCTTCTCTAACCACAATGTAATAAAACTAGAAATCAATAAGAAGAATAATTTTAGAAGCTGAAACAAGAAAAAAGTAATTGAAAAATCTTCTTTTCAAGAGTGAAAGCAATCAATAGTACCAGACTGAAACATGACTAAGCCATTGGGATTACTGAAGACATAATGTAAAATAACTATGAATAATATATTGAAGGCTGTAGTCGAAAAAGTGGGCATAGTGAATAACCAGACAGCTAACTTTATCAGAAATGTGGAAATCATCAGAAATAATCAAATAAGAATGCTAGAAATGAAAACCATAGTAAAGGATATGGAAAACATTGACAACATGTTAATCAACATATTTTTAATAGTTTAGAAAATAATCATTTAACTTGAAAAGAGGCCAATTCAAAGTGTTTTATTTGCACACACATAAAAGTTAAAGAGAAAAATGAATCACATGCACACAGAAAACAGAGCACACAAGATCAAAGGTTACAATTTACACGTAATTGAAAGTCTAGAAGTTGAAGAACTAAAATTTGGCAGAAATATATGTGAAGAAGTAATGGCCAAGATGTATGTTAATAAATGTGAAGAAATAATGGTCATCTGAAAAACAGATACCAAGTCACACATTTCCAAAGTTCAGAAAACAACAAATTTTATAATTAAAAACAGTCTTGAAAGCAATCAGAGAAATGAAAAGCTTATAGAAAAATAAATATATGAATTAGAGCAGATATCTCATCTAAAACTAAGTATTAAAAACCTTACATACCATTAAGAGTTAAAGATAAATTAATATCATAAATAATAAATTAATAATATTAGCCAACCAGGAAACAAATTTAGGACATCTGTAATGATTTCAGAAATTACCTAATCAATTATTTTAAAATGGCCATAAATTCTTGTTTTCCAGAAATAAATATTTTTAATATAATGCAGAGAACATAAAATGGCCTTATAAACCAGAATTTGATCTACCATATTGTAGGAGTGTATTAATCTGTTTTCATGCTGCTGATAAAGACATACCTGGGACTGGGTAATTTACAAAAGACAGAGATTTAAATGCATTCACAGTCCCACATAGCTGGGGAAGCCTCATGATCATGGCAGAAGGCAAGTAGGAGCAAGTCACATCTTACGTGGATGGCAGCAGGCAAAAAGAGAGCTTGTGCAGAGAAACTCCCAATTTTAACACCATCAGATCTCATGAGACCCATTCACTATCATGAGAACAGCATGGGAAAGACTCGCCCCCATGAGTCAATCATCTCCCACTGAGTCCCTTCCATAACACCTGGGAAATATGGGAGCTACAAGATGAGATTTGGGTGGGGACACAGAGCCAAACCATATCAAGGAGCTTTCACAAACTTCACATTATAAATTACCATAAACCATTTATATGGATATTATGCTTCTGAAAGCATGTTTATCTAGTCTTTTTTTGAGTCAATACTTTGCATTCCACTTTTGTATGTATATGTTCTCAAAGAAACCTATTAGATACCTTTCCTGTCTATATTTACATTCTTTTCAAATTAAAAAAATTGTTGAGTTACAATTTATATACAGAATTACACACATATAAAATATAGCATTTGATGAGTTTTGATAAAAATATATACTCAGATGCATATTCATTAATATAGAGAACTTTTACACTGCTCAGGAAATCCCTTTGAATCCTCTCTATTCAATTCTTGAAATTCCTTGCCCCAGGGAACCACTGATCTGATTTTGTTCACTGTAGATTTGTACTGGTTGTTCTAGAATGTCATATAAATGCAATCATACACTATATTGTTGGTTTTTATGGGTTCTGTCACGCAGCATATGTTTTCGTAATTAATACATATTGCTGTGCTTGTTCCTTTGTATTGCTGTGTACTTTTACTCAGTGTATTTACTCAGGCTATTCTCTAAATATACAACTCTTTATAAGTATAGTGTTTCTGTGGAATGTAAGACAGTAGTACAAGTTTATTTTGCTCTATATGGCCATCCAGTTGTTCTAATATCATTTGCCAAAAAATGACTATATTTTCTTCTATTGAATTACTTTAGTACCATTGTCAAGAATCTACTGACTACATCTGTGTTTCTCTTTGTCTGCTTACTCCAATACCATATTGTGGTAATCAGTGAAGCTGTATGTAAAGACTTAAAAGCAGGTAGTATATGTTCTTCAAATTTTATCATCCTTTTCAAAATTATTTTGGCTAATCTAGGATCTTTGCAATTCCATACATATTTTAGAATTAGCTTATCATTTTCTACAAAAATGATAAGCATTTTTTGCATTTTGATTGATTGGGACTAATTTTAAAAAAATTGGGGAACAATAGGCACCCAAAAATATTTAGTCTTCAAATCTAACAAAATATGTCCTGTGATTCTTTAAGGTTTTACATTTACAAATTTATGTTGTGTGCTTTTCAGTGTATTTTACAAATCTGTATTTAATTTACATGAAATATTATATGGTTTAATGTTATTGTACTTTTATTTGAATTTTCTATGTTTGCAGCTAGTATATAATAAATGTGTGTCTTTAAATTATGTTAAATTTAGTTAAAAATTCTATGCATTAGTTGGTGATCATTTGGGATTTTCTACATACATGTTGTGTGCACATAGAGACAGTTTTCCCTTCCATTTAAGTTTTTATGCCAATTATTTCATTTTTCTGCTGTACAGCACTGGCTAGGGTTTTTAATACAATATTGAAGAAAAACGTGAGTGCAGGAAACCTTTTCTGTCGTCAGTCCAATTGGAGAGAACAGGAAAGCATTCAGTCTTTAACAATTAATGATGTTAACTATAGTTGCTGATAGTCAACAATCATTTATAGCTGTCAAAATTTGCTAAATACTTTCTGTGCATTTATTGTAAAATTACTTAATATTCTCAGTTATTCTGGCAATTTTTTACGGCTACATTGTATTCCATGGGGTATATGTACCATATTTTCTTTATCTAATCCACCATTGATAGCCACATCAGTTGATTCTGTGTCTTTGCTATCATGAACAGTGTTGTGATGAACAAATGAGTGCACGTGTTTTTTTGGTTGAATAATTTATCTTCCTTTGGATATATATACAGTAATGGGATTGCTGGGTCAAATGATAGTTCTTAGAGAAATCTCCAAATTGCTTTCTACAGAGGGTGAACTAATTTATATTCCCACTAACAGTGTATAAGGGTTTCCTTTTCTTCACAGCCTCACCAGCATTTTTTTTTTTTTTTGACTTTTTAATAATAGTTATTCTGACTGGCATGCATGATATCTCTTTGTGGTCTTGATTTGCATTTTTCTGATTATTAGTGATGTTGGCCACTTTCTCTTATGTTTCTTGGCCACTTGTGTGCCTTCATTTGTGAGGTGTTTATTGATGTCTTTTGCAGACCTTTTAATGGGGTTGTTTTTTGCTTATTGAATTAAGTTCTTTGCAAATTCTGGATATGAGACACTTGTCAGATGCATAGCTTGTGAATATATTCTCCCATTTTACATTGCCTGTTTACTCTGTTGACAGTTTCTTCTCCTGTGCGGAAGTTTAATTAGGTCCCACTTGCAAACTTCTATTTTTGTTGCAATTGATTTTGAGGACTTAGTCATAAACTATTTTCCAAAGCCAATGTCCAGAAGAGTGTATCTTATGTTTTCTTTTAGGATTCTGTTTGATGTTTTGAGTTTAAACCTTTAATCCACCTTGTGTTAATTTTTATATATGGTGAAAAGTAGGTACTGAGTTTTATTATTCTGCGTATGGCTAGCCAGCTATCCCAGCATCATTTATTCAACAGGGAATAATTTCTCCATTGCTTTTTTTTTGTTGACTGTCAAAGACCAGATGGGTGTAGGTATGTGGCTTTATTTCTGAATTCTCTATTCTGTTCCATTGTTCTATGTATTTGTTCTTGTAACAGTACCATACTCTTTTGGTTACTGTAGCCATATAGTAGAAGGTGGGTAATGTGATGCCTCCAGCTTTGTGGTTTTTGCTTAGGATTGCTTTGGCTATTTGGGCTCATTTTTGGCTCTATATGAATTTTAGAATAGCGTTTTTTCTATTCTAAAATGTGAAAAATGATATTGATAGTTTGAATAGCATTGAATTTGTAGATTCAATGGCAGTATGGCCATTTTAACAATATTATTTCTTCCAATAAATAAGCATGGAATATGTTTCTATTTGTTTGTGTCACTTATAATTTCTTTCATCAGTGTTTTGTAGTTCTTCTTGTGAAGATGTTTTACTGCTTGGTTAGCTATGTACCTAGGTAATTTATTTTATTTTAATTTTGTCACTATTGTAAATGAGATTCTATTCTTGATTTGGTTCTCAGCATGAAGATTACTGGTGTACAGAAATGCTACTGATTTTTGTACTTTGATATTGTTTCTTGAAACTTAACTAGCGTCGTTTATTGGTTCCAGGAGCCTTCTGGCAGAGTCCTTAGGGTTTTTTACGTATAGAAGCATATCATATGTTAAGAGAAATAATTTGACATCTTCTTTCCCTATTCAGATGACTTTTGTTTCTTTCTCTTTCCAGATTGCTCTAAGACCTCCAGTATTATGTTGAAACAGAGTGGTGACAGTAGGCATCCTTGTCTTTTTCCAGTTGTCAATGGTAATGCTTCCAGCTTTTGCACACACAGTTTGCTGTTGGTTGTGTATTTGCCATAGGTGGCTTTCATTATTTTGGAGTATGTTCCATTGATGCCCAGTTTCTTGAGGGTTTTCTTCATGAAGGAATGCTGGATTTTATTGAAGACTTTTCCTGTGTCTATTGAGATGATGATTTAATATTTGTTTTTAAGTCTGTTTATGTGGTAAGTGGCATTTATTAACTTTTGTACGTTGAACCAACCCTGCATCGCAGAAATAAAGCCAACTTAATTGTGGTGAATTAACTTTTTGACTTGCTGCTGGATTCAGTTTGCTAGTACTTTGTTGAGAATTTTTCATCTATGTTCATTAGGAATATTGGCCTTTAGTTTTCTTTTCATTGTGTCTTGGCCACATTTTGGTATTAGGGTGATGCTGGCTTTACAGAATTAGTTAAGGAGGAGACCCTCTTGCTGTTTTTTGAAATAGTTTCAATAGAATTGGTACCAGCTCTTCTTTGCCCATTTGGTAGAATTTGACTGTAAAACCATCTGGTACAGTGCTTTATATGGTTGGTAGGTTTTTTTTTTTTTTTTAACTGATTCCATTTTAGAACTTGATATTGATCTGTTCAGGGTTTTAATTTTTTCCTGATTCAATCTCGGGAGACTGTATTTCCAGGAATCTATCCACATTTTCTTAATTTTTAATTTATGTGCATAGTGGTATTCGTAATAGTCTTTGAGGATATTTTGTATTTCTGCGTTATCAGTTACAATTTCACCTTTGTCATTTCCGAATGTCCGTATTTTGATCCTCTCTCTTGTTTTCTTTGATAATCTAGCTCAGAGGTCCCCAACCAGGTAAGAATCAGGCTGCACAGCTGGGGGTGAGTGTGGGGGCAAGTGAGCATCAACCACCTGAGCTCTTCCTCCTGTCAGATCAGCAGCAGCATTAGATTCTCATAGGATCGCGAACCCTACTGTGAACTGCGCAACTGAGGGATCTAGGTTGCGCAATCCTTATGAGAATCTAACTAATGCCTGATGATCTGATGTGGAACAGTTTCATCCCAAACCCTACCAACTTTCTCTCCAATCCTTGGAAAAATTTTCTTTCACAAAACCGATTCTTTGTGCCAAAAAGGTAGGGGACCACTGATCTAGCTAGCACTCTATCAATCTGCTTGTTTATCCTTTCAATTAACAAACTTGTGGTTTCATTGTTTCTTTGTATGGATTTTTGGGTCATGATTTTATTGAGTACAGCTCTGATTTTAGTTGTTTCTGTTCTGTTAACTTTAGGGTTAGTTTGTTCCTGTTTCTCTAGTTCAACCAGGTGTGATGTTAGATTGTTAGTTTGAGATCTTTCTGTTTTAAGGTGTTTAGCACAATAAGCTTTCCTATTAACACTGATTTTGCTACATCTCAGATATTTTGGTATGTTGTGTCTCTGTATTCATTCATTTCAAGGAATGTTTTGATTTCTACCTTAATTTCTTTGCTTCGTTTGCAAAGTCATTCATGAGAAAGTTGTTTAATTTCATGTAATCATGTGGTTCTCAGAGATATTTTTAATATTGAATTCTATTTTTATTCCACTGTGGTCTGAGTCTATGAGTGGAATGATTTTGATTTTTTAAAAATTTATCAAGACTTGCTTTATGGCTGAGCTTGTGGTCTATCTTAGGGTATGTTCTGTGTCCAGATGGGAAGAATGTATATTCTGTGGTTGCTGGGTGGAGTATTCCGCATATATCTATTAGTTCCACCTGGTCAAGTGTTGAATTTAAGTCCTGAATTTCTTTTTTATTTTTATGTAGTCTCTGTTTTTGAAAGACATTTGTATCTATGTTCAAGAGGCCTATTGTCTGTCATTTCTTAGTGGCTTTTGTCATTTCTTAGTGTTTTTTTTTTTTTTTTTTTTTTTTTTTTTTGCTGTTTTGGTATTAATATCTTAGTTTATAAAGTAAGTTGAAAAGAATTTGCTCTTATTTTCCCTAAAATTTCTGTAAGATTGTTATTATGTCTTTATTACATGTTAAATAGGATTCACCAATAAAACCATCTGGTGCTGGAGGTTTTATTGGGAAGGGAAGAGGAAGGTTTTATTTATAAACGTAGTTACTCTAATAAAAGAAAGCTGTTTATATTTGCAATATGTTCTTGAGTCTAATTTGTTAAGTTATATCTTTCAAAGAATTTGTTCACCTCACTAAAATTGTCAAATTCAACGATATGAAGTTAGTCATATTTTGTCATCATTTTATGAGTGCTTACAAATCAATATTAAAAAGTTATTTCATTACTGATAATGGTATTGTTTTTCTTTTTCTCTTCACCATTTTACATATATCTTTTTCAGTTTTAGTATTCTCAAAGAACCATTGTTGGGTGTTATTAATTTCTGTAATTTTTTCAACTTTTATTTTAGATTCTGGGGGTACAATTGCAGGTTTGTTACAAAGGTATACTGCATGATGCTGAGGTTTGGAGTATGTTTAAACCCATCACCCATCAAGTGGTGTATTTTTCTGTTTAATGCTTTTTGTTATCTTTATTATTTCTTGGCTTCATCTAACTAGATTCAGTTGGTTGTTCTCTATAATCCTACGATAAAGTCTCAGATAATTGATTTTAAGGATCTCTTTCATCTGAAGATAAGTCTTGCAAGTCTTAAATTTCTCTAAGAGCACTGCACTACCTGCATTCCATGAATTTTGATAGACTGAATTTTAAAATAATCATTATAAAAATATTTTCTAAAATTTTTGGTTATTTGTTTGGACACACATGTTATTTAAAATTGGATCGTCTCATTTCCATATACATTCTATATGTACCTTGGACATTTGTTTTTTCTCTGGACAGCTACCCTCTAGTATTGGTGGTGTCTACGTGTTTCCTGTCTGCTTACATAATCAGTTGAAACTAGCTCTCCTTCTTTGCCAGAATATTGAACTATATTATCTTACTCATGTGGCAACATGAATTACATTAGAAAGGAGAAACACTTTCCTCAAACGTCTTTGTTTTTAGTCCATTTAAAGCTGTTTTGACTAGAATGCATTTCAGTATCTTGAAGAAATATAAAAAATTATAAACACCAACTAACAAAGCCACAACTGACCTGCAAATCAAAATTATAGTCTAAAGTCTATAAGTGTATGCAATCCTATAAGTAAGTCCTAGTAAAACCAATTCTATACATTTGTAGTCACTAAAACAGACTGAAGGTATTGGTAAGGTTTACTCTGAGCTTTACTGATGAAAGTTTTTGTGTTTGTGTTACCTTGTTTGATTTTCACAATAATATTGCGAAGTTTTTATTAATATTATGCTCACATTGCATATTTTTATTTCTGAGTCACAGAAACAAAAAAGTCTTTAGTGCTTAGACAAGTTTAGAAATAAATTTTGAATTCAGTTTTGTATCCTATATTTTTTATGTCAATTTGTAATCATTCAGTACAAAGTTTTTCTCCTAAAATATATTGCCCATTTTACACGACAGACTTGGGATAAAAGTAAACTCTTCTACACTAAATTTGGTAAAAAATATCACACACTTATCTATGTAAGTTTATAAATGTGTACCTTTTCAGAATTACTGTTCTTGACTTACCATCAGAGAGGTTAAATAATGAATAGTGAATTATTTTCCCTAACTCTAAATATAATCTCAGCATAATGAAAATTTCAATTTGCTATTCATCAATAACCTGATATGATATAAAACTTCTTCCAAAGAGCCCTGTTAAGTGAATTTTGCAATAAATGTGATATTAATCACAGGTTTCAAACATGTCATGCTTTCAATTTCCTGATAATCTTCAACATGCTTGTACTCCATTTTAATGTTTCAAAGGGAGAATTTAATGACAATTAGTTTTCAATGACAGCTGATAACTCTGCATGAAGGCATGAAGGTGTGTACTGCCTCTCTTTTTTTAAAGAAAGCATCCACTGATCTGATATGTTTTGATTCTGCCAGGAACATTTCTTTTATGGCTGTCCTAAAAATAGAGAAAATCTGACCCAACACTAATGTCCCATTCTATTTTCAGTGAGTGACTTTGGTTTGTTTTCTTGATTGATTTGACTGGGGCACGAAATGTAAGCCTATTTACACTCGTTACGAAGAAAGAGGATGAAGGATATCACAAACCCACAAGGGGACAGCACTGGTGATTGTGAAAAGATACACAAAGAAGAATACGATGGCTTTCCCCTTTCCATCTGTGTATCAGTGTAGAGAGGCACGCTCTTGAACGGTTGCTGCTGCTCAAATTGTAATGGAGCGTTGTGGAGTAGCACTCCTTGGTCGTTATGAGAACACAGTTCTGAAAGAGTAAAACTGTTTTGGATCGTGGGGCTTGCTGTTTGTTTTTTGTTTTGTTGTTTTGTTTCTTGACTGTGAATTTTTTTCCAATATGATAAAGAGAAAATACAAGAAAAACATTTTTTTTCTCTTACTTTTACTTGGGAGTCATAGGTTACTTATTCCTCAATCTGGCAAAAATCATTTAAGAGCTATTTGTTTGTTATTAGGTGTTCATATCATCAAATCCGTTTTACAATAATTTATCATTAAAGTACCTAAACTATAAAACAGACTTGATGCCATAAACATCTAATAATAACATATTTTTGGTTAGCTTCTTTTATCCCCAACACAGTCCATTCAGGAAGCAGAAATGAGCAATCCTAATTACCACCCCAACTCCAGGATGCTTAGGAAAGCCTTCCTCCCAAACACATTATTCTATGTAAGACAAAGTCCACAAATAAAGTTCTCTTTAACTTGTACACCAGATGGAAATCGCTGGCAAAATGATCTGAAAAATATGTTTATGTCAATAAAGTTTTATAGTGTGTGATTTAGTGAAGACTTTTCAATATATTACAAATAAAATATATATCATATTTTATGAATAATTTTTCCACTTAAATGAAAATAAGTTACCTTGGATTTCTGTAAATCATCTAAAATTAAAATCAATGTATAGCAAACACATGCATACTCTTTAATTAATCAGATTATGTAGTCGAAATGATGAACAATTGTTCTAGGGTCTTTTAAGATAAATAACCCTATAAACGCTTCAATAAAAGTTTTATTATTTTTTGTAAATTAAATATAGGGTTGAAAGAGATGATGTAAGACCATGTAAAATTAAATTTCCAGTGCATGATTTTTGAAAATAAGTAAAATATAGTATAATTTCTGGTTAATAATATTTAATTTTTAAGGGCATAGGCATAGCTCACTCATGTAAGAAGTGCCATGTATGTAATCTATTCCCCAGAAATGAAAATGCAAGGAACGAAGAAGGGAAGGAGAGAAAGTTGGAGGAGGAGGAATGCATGGAAGAAGAGAAGACGAAAAGAAGAAAAATACCTTCTCACTCCCACTTCTGCAAAATCCACTCCAAGCAATAGTAGTAGAGTAACAACTCAGCTGAAAAGTGGTAGCAAGCAAGACTAAAATTTTAACATATACAGCAATAACACTGACATCTGTCTGTCTTAGCCCAAGTATGAAATTACAGAACTTAGCAGACATGTTTAAATCTTACACTCTTACATACTTTTTCCACAAATTAAAAGGATAATATTGTTTGTGTTAGCTTACATGGGATACACATAAAATTAGATATTAGGTTATTAGTGACAATTAATTGAATTGTTTAAAATAAAGAAACTTCTGATCCATAAATATTCCCATTAGATTGCTGAATTTTGATGTCTACCCTTTATGAAGTAAATGTATATATTACCCATTTCCTGCAGGTGCTCTATCATAATTACTTGCAAAATCAGTTTCTATTCATTGAATTTTTAATTCCAAGTCTTCAAAAATGTTGCAAAGATAACTCAATTATTGAGACATTTGTTCCATGGAATCAAACAACTCAGAACCTACATTTTAAGTGCTTAAAATCTGAATGGATACAGACAACTGTACATATAAATTGATATCTAGTAGAGCGTGTTAGAAAGAGTAAATAAGAAATATATCTAACTAGAAATAGTTTTTATATAAGAGGATACTGTTCAAATTCATAGAGCTTGGGTGAAAAGTAAACAGCAAGACAGACATTACTGATTGAGTATTTTGAGCTAAGTCACAGAGACTATAAAACATAAGGCATATTTTAATAAATGCAAACAGTTAATTTACATTTTTATATATGATATGGAAAGAATGATATAAAATATGTGAAAAAACACAAAGAATGTAGCCAAATAAGAAAGTCGTGGAGGTTTAAATAGCAGACTTTTGGCTGGGCGCGGTGGTTCATGCCTGTAACCCCCGCACTTTTGGAGGTTGAGGCTGGTGGATCACCTGAGGTCAGGAGTTCGAGATCAGCTTGGCTGGTACAGTGAAACCCTGTCTCTACTAAAAATACAAAAATGAGCTGGGCGTGGCAGCACGAGTCTGTAATCTTAGCCACTCTGCAGTCTGTGGCAGGAGAATTGCTTGAACCCCAGTGGTAGAGGTTGCAGTGATTCGAGGTCGCACCACTGCACTCCAGCCTGGGTGACAGAGCAAAACTCTGTCTCAAAATAAATATATAAATAAAAATTTAAAAAGAAAATAGATAGCATGCTTTATAATCAGGGCATTTTTCTACCCCAAATCAGACTCTAGAGATATGACAGCAGACCAGGGTTGTTTGTAAGACTTTTCAGGAGTACAAATAAAAACTTAGAATAATTTTCAAGCTTAGAGGGAAACTTTTATAAACATAAATGTGCATACACCCATATATTTTAAAAATTTGCACACAGTAGATAAGTAAATACAAATAAACCTGTAGAATCCAACATCAAGATACCTTCCACTAGAAGTGGGTCGAAATGTGTCTTTCCTCACGCCAATTTTTTTTCTTTCCCTTCATTCTTTCCAGCCAGTCCTGACCTTGAATCTCACCTAATCTTTTGGACTTATCATTACATACCCTGGTTTCTGCTTTCTTTCTTACTGATGAGCAAAATGATTGTATTTTCCACCTTTAGCTTTGAAGACTGACTCTTTTTCTGAAGTGTTGGCTCTCTACCAATTCCTGGTTTTATTTTGGTATTTTTAAAATAATTACTCTATGATAATAATTACTGTAATGATGTCTGAGCTATTAATAAAGAAATGTTCCCTGAAGTTTTATGATACAGTTGCAAGACCATGAGCTACAAAATTTCTAAGTACTAGTTCTAAATTATAGTTCTGCCATTAACTAGCTAGCAACTTTATTTACAAAATGATTGTAATAAGGCAACCTATTAGGGTTCTATGGGAATTATGTCATATATTACACAATTTTCACAACAGTTTTTGCCATTAAAAAACACACACAGATTATACAAACACAACCTAGATGTTTAAGTGAATAGTCCACATGCTTTGTTCCACCCATAACAACTCCTCCTCCTTTTACTGGTCTCATGGTCTTTCTTCTCCTGTGTTGAAACATGCCCTTACCTATGGATCTGAAATTAACACCAATTTCATTAATTAAAACATGGCATTTCCTTATTTACATGTTTTGTAACAATTTAAATTAACAACTTTTAGATATAAATAAAAATATGAGAGACATATTTTGACGCATAAACCTAATACTTTTTCCCTGATACTACAGTAACAAGTATTTATCTTCCATATATTGATATAAAGCATTAAATGTATCAATACTTTATCTGGAGAAGGTTCATCCTAGATTTAAAATACATTCATTTTGAAACAATCCCCTATTACACATTCTTAATAAAAACTGTCCATGTTTGCTTGGTTTATAACTTTGTGTTCCCTCTCTCATACAACTTTTGGAAGCACTATTACAACCAATATTCAATATCTCTCATGGCTGTTCCCATCCCTCCAAAACAGAGCCATTTCTCCTTGTTTTTTGTGGATTTTTTTTGCCTGTTTTTGTTGTTGTTGTTGTTGTTGCTTAGTTTTAGCAGCAGAAATTTAGCCTTTCTCTCACCCTCACGGTCTCACACTTTATGGGACCACTTATGTGAATGCTTTGGCAAAATTGTGCTCACAGCACCAATTTCTGTTCCACCTAGTATGGTCATGTAAGTCATCACTGAATGACAACCATAGGAACACATCTTTTCCAAGGAAAGATTTTCTCAGTTCCACTTGAGCCTTATTTTCTGTCAACTCCATCAATCAGTGGAGAGAGACTAGTCCCCTATTCACAACAGCTTAGCCAGTTAATAATAAGCCTGTTAATGACTTGAGACAAACACAGTTCCACCCTTTGCAGTTGAGTGTGTTACTTACTTAATTCAAGCATTTTCTCATAAATAAAATAATACCAGTACTAGTGGGCATTATGAGGGAAAAAACGTGCTGGAGGTATTCTAGTATCTGAAAATAGACTGTAGATATTTGATCTTGTTACCATTATCAGAGTCACAATAGGTAGAAGGGCAATTGCAGATGCAGTTTTGCATAGAAAGTGTTTTTCCTTCCTTGCTTCCCTCCCTCCCTTCCTTCCTTCCTTCCTTTACTCCTCCCTCCCTCCCTCCCTTCCTTTCCCTTCCCTTCCCTTCCCTTCTCCTTCCTTCCTTCCTTTTTTTTTTCTTTTTCTAAGCATTTTTCTTCAGTAAACCCTGATTAAAACATAGGGTAGTGTAATTCGTATTACGCTTTCACTTGATCAGGAATACATTGTCTGTCTTTGGAGATTCTGTTCATAAGCGAGTACTTCTAACTTGTAAGTGAAAGTGCAATCAAAGGTCTACAGATTTCCTTACATAGCAATTTTGAGCCTAAGCAAGTCATAAATTGGAGCTGTCTATATCCCTGTGAGAAAAACAGGGACTACAGTTACTTTCTTCATTTATTGAGGAAGTGATTGTCATAAACAGGGTCTTCACTTTTTTTATTCACATACTTTATGCATTATTTTGATGTAAGCATTTGAATTTCCTGCCCCGGAGAAAACATTTTAGTGCTTTATATCAATATATGGAAGGGAAATATTTACTCTGCTATGCATTTTTGTTTTATGTATCCCTCAGCACACGAACAATACTTTTTACGATGTTTTTCCATTAATGTGTTTGTTTTAGGAAAGATGAAGTTCAGCAACCATTTTTCTTTCCGCTTTGATTCATACATTCTCTAAGGCTCTTGCTTCTTAATGCAAGGTGTATTGATATACTGATTTAATATAGCAACATCCTTTATTGAGATATATCTCTGTAATGCCATTGGGAGCAATGAACCAGCTAAGACACTTGCAATATTAAAATCAATTAAAATTTAAAAAATGTTAAATTGCATTGTTACGATGGAATCAATTTGAAAAACTGGCTATTGAGCAATTAAGGAAGAAAAAATACACTGGGATTTCATGTTTCTCTTGCCTTTTTAGCCCAGAATATGGTTTTTGTGTAAGTACTACAAATGTCTTCTATTAAAGGCTGAAGTAAACTTTTCTCCAAAAGTGATGGCTTAACCTTCCATACCTATGTTTAATTATACTTTTTAAGAATTTCAAATTTTAAATTGTCTAAGCCCCTGTTGCTAATTTTATATCTTAGAGAGGCACATTGACATTTGAGGGCACTAGGGTACAATGTAATGCATTAGTACAAGAGGAAAGGACAGATGCTATGCTCTAAATTATTGATAAAGATTTTAAAGGTGAAAGAGATGCAGCATAATGGGAAGAACTCCTATTTCCTTCTCTTTTCCTTCAGAAACTTCAGGTATTTTAAAATGTTAACATTTCTCCATAAAAACTCCAAGTCATTATTAGTGTGAGTAGTAGATATGTACTAATTATATAATGGGATTTAAATAAATTATTTATGGGTGACTAGTATTACACTGAAGGTGAAGGTGGGTGAATTTTTTTTTAATGCTACTTAAAAACAGAGTACTTAAAAACACATGGAAAAGCAAGAGTACCTAGAATATTTACAAGCATAAAAGTGTGTGGGGTGGAGGCCTATACAAACTGTAAAACGGTAACCGAGTGTCTGTGTGCTGGGCTGTTAGCCAAGTCACTGAAAGGAATTTAGACCTCACCTAGAATTTCAGTCTTGTGTATTATTTAAATAATGAGAGGACAACATAGATGTAGAATGGTCCTCAATGCTCTGCCATTATTAAAATATAGAATACGGTTTGCCTGTAAATTATTAAAATTAAATGGAGGATGCACCATTTATGAGAAGAGTTCCTAGTCAGTAAATTCCAGACACAGTCATGAGAATCCCCCACATGCTCCGTATAGCTGAATTTTTTTTTCTTCTCATTGTTGCAACTATAATCGGACGATGGGTACCTTCTCTTGAGGTTAGAGTTAAGCATCTAGATGGCATTGGACCTTAAAATCTTCGGTCTACTTTATAAAAACACATATGGAGGACGGAGAGTGCTACCTATTCTATGTTTACTGCAACTAAATTGGGAAAGATAATTTGAAGCAGTGCACGATGCAGATAGGAATATGCCGGTGCTGTGATTTCACCAGCAGTTTAGAAACTTCACTAGGATGACAGAAGTGTGGGAAAAAAATGGAAAATAGGGATCTAGTAGAAAAAAATTGGCTCTAAATAATTATTGATAGATCAATGGAAGGGAGAGGAAAAAGCATGTGATGAAGGATCTAGGAATTTCAGATATGTAAAGGATAAAGGACAATGTCAATGATGTATAAGACAGTTCATAAGTATTGATTGCTGTGATGTGGACACTTAGGAGCTTAGTACCAAGACGTACAACTGATCACAAGATAAATATTAGCAGATGTCCTGAAGAGCATTTAAAAATATAGAGGTACATCTACAAACACACAAAATGAGAAGGAGCAGTGTATTCACTGATTTGAAGTTTATAGTCAAAAAGTAAAATGTGTCCAATTGATTCAGGATAAATGAATAGCCAAACAGTTAAGCACTATGTTTGGAGAATTAAAAACAATCAGATATTGGGAAAATTTAGAAGTATTACCAAAGAAGAATTAATATGGATTATTCCAGAACAATAGAATGTGTGAAAGAAATTATGAGAAAAGAAATTTTTAAAAGGCACATGGGGGAGAATAAACAAGTCAGGTCAAAAGCTGCAGTACCATTGACGGTTTAGGTCCTGAGAAAAACACTCATTCTTTCTTAAAAAATAGAGAAGTTGGGGATGCTTTCCAAGACGACGAAAACTACTTACCTGTCAGCTGAATGCTTGAATACTTAATTTAGATTAGGGGACGCAGTTATTTTTGTTTGTTTTCTATTTCTAATTTTCCCCCTCCTTACAAATGCAAATATAGCTCTAAGTCTACAAAATGTAAAAGGCTTCGAAAAATGAACTGAAACCTGATTGTGTAAAACCAGCATTAAAATTTAACATGCAAAAATTTATAAGGGTATTTAAAAGTCAATCTGTTTCATGAGGATACAGATTAACGACAACAATATCTCTCACTTTCGCACAGATAAGCTATTATATACTTTTATCTTTAGACTAATTATTTTTGATTGCGATTTTAGTACAGTTTTCTTCACATGCCTTTTCATATTTACTTCATCCTGTCTTTTGCTAAGTGAATTCACTTTTATATTATGTAAATTATAGTGGGACCGTGTGTTGTTTCCTATTCTGGGACAATGAAATTTCTTTTTTTTCTCATTTTGAGTTTATTTCAGTTTTGTACTAACACCTTGTTTTGTACCAGTTTTCATGCACTTATCATATATTCTAGGATCTTTGAAGAGCAACACAAATAATTGTAAATATTTGAAGGAGTAGAGACAATATACATCATTTTCCACATAGTTTTGTTGAGCAAACTTTTAGATCAAATGTGGTTTCTCCTGAAAATCTTAAGCCACAAATATTATTTCACCTATTAGTCATTCCTACAGTAGTATAATATTTGAAATGAGCTATAAAAATACTCTAAATACTAATAAAATTAAAACAATGTCGAAATCACTTTGTGTGAACAAATTTACTAAATCAATATGAAATGTTTGTTTCCAAGTGAGAAGAAAATTTGTAAACTTGAGAGAGAAAAAACTCTTATTCTAGCCCCACATACAAAAAATTTTTCTTTATTTATCTTCTTTAGTCTTATATAAAATCTTCTGTCTATAGCTACAACTACAACTTTCCATGTATACAGATGTGGTAATGGGTACCTATACAGAGAAATATACATAGATACATGCATGAATATATATATATGTCTACATATATATATTTATTAAAAATTAGGTACTTTTATTAAATAATTTTATTATACAAAACTAGTGAATATAGGCAAATATGTTCTTTTCTGTTTCCTTCTTGAAATATAACCAAATATGTCCATATTGCAACATTTTATAACAGGTATATGATAATATAAAAATATATAAAATTTTTAAAAAAGAAAAGCAGTCTATGGTATGATTGAAATAATATTGTCGGTATAATATGGGGTATTCTTATTGACTTAGTGACTAAGGACTAATGATGATCATGCAAAATTTTTGTAAAAAAGAATAGGTCACAAACAGAGCTCAAAATAGGTATTAGACATCTAATTTTACTATGTAAATGAGCTGCATTTTTGCACTCACAGAGATGTCTAACATACGAGTAGAAAGGTTCCCTGAATCTGTCCTACACATGTCTGAATCTTCAAATAAAATTATTTATTTAAAGATGTTCTTTCTTTGTCCTCTGTGTTTTTAAAAAATCTATTATTAACAAATATCTTTTCAGGCTAAAACAAAAGGCATTGTGTTGAAATTTTGGTCAGGATTGAAAGATTTTTCTAAATTGGTTTTAGAAGAATTTGTTTCCTTAAATATTGAGTCTTTTAGTACAAAAACTTTAAGTTTCTCTTGATTTATCTCCATTATTGTATTTCCTATTACTTAGTAAAGCTTTGTAGAGTATTTCAGCTAGCACTTGTACATTTGTGACAGAGTAAATAGTTTCACATTACTATTCAGATATGCAAAGAAAATAAAGAAAATATAGCATGCTTATATTTTAGTGACTAAGTTATCCTTGCCCATAACCTCCTACACCCTAAACTGAGATAGGTCTTAAATTGTCCATTGTATTTCTCTTTAAAATGATCGTTTTTGATGATGAACATATCATATTGTCAATTATGCTTCATTTAAATGAAATATCTATCTATACGTATCTGATTTTGCGCACCTCCATTGTTCCAGTGTAAAATGTTCAGTCTTCTGTATTATTTTGTCCTCTTCTTCCTCTGCTCTGTGATGGCATCAGGATGTGGGTTATGGTATGACACTAACCAAACAATGAGGTTACCAGGGAGCAGAGGCACAAAGCTGCTTGTTGTCTCCCGGACTCTTGTTGGTTTCCACTGTGTGCAGCATGTTCTGGTTTCTGGACTTTCACTGGGGTGCTGCTGTTCCCTTCTGGCCTCTTCAGCCATGTGGTTTTTGCATCGTGGTTGAACATGGCATTCAGTCATTGCCCCTAGTTACCAATCTCCTGCTCACTGGTGCTCTTCTTATAGACAGTAGGATTTGTCCTACTTATCATGCCTGCCAGCAACTCTGCTTCCTCTCACAGAGCTCAGCGACCCCCCACATCTGATGAAACATGGTAAACTACATATCTAAGTAGCTTAACCACCTCCAAGTAGGATAAAGAGATCCACGTCCAGATATATCATAGTACAAATGTTTACAGCCAGAGACAAGGAGAAAATGTGAAGGCAGCCAAAAGATAAACAACAGGCCATGTAAATGGGAACCCCAGTAAGAATAATAGATAATCTTATATCAGAAATAAAGGTGGACAAAAGGCAATGACATCCAGCAAAACTATCTTTCAAAAATGAAGACAAAATAAAGACATTCCAAGATAAACAAAACTAGGAAAAATTATTGCAGCAGACCTGCCTTAAAGAAAATTTCAGGCCGAAAGCCAGGAAACTAAACAATAATTCACATACACATGGAAAACAAACCAGGACAATGAACCCCAGTAAAAGTAATTACGTGATGATAAAAGCATAAAACGCATATATCTTCTCCTTCATTCTCTTAACTTATTTTAAAAGCAAATGCATAAAATAATATATAAAATTATACTACTGGGCCTGTAACATAGAAATGTGTCTTAATCTGATCTATACCATGCTAAAAAATCATAGATTGAGTAGCTTATAAACAACAAAGATTTATTTCTTACACGTATGGAGGCCGTAAAGTCCACAATCAAATAACTGGCCGATTTGGTGCCTGGTGAGTGCCTGATCCCTAGTACATAGACTAATCTTCTTGCTATGTGCGCATATGGTGAAAGAGGTCAAAAAGCTCCTATGGGTCTCTGTTTTATAAATGTATTAATTTCATTTATGAGGGCAGAGCCCTCATGACCTAATCAATCCACCAAAGGTTTCATCTCCAAATTCCCTCACACTGGGGTTTAGGTTTCAACATACGTATTTTGAAACGACACAAACATTCAGTTTATAGAATGATGTAGTATATTTGACAATAACAGCACAAAGTGAAAGGAAAAGGGGTATTGAAATACTAAATAAAGCTACATGGTACACTGAATCAACAGAACTAAAGAAGGGAACTAGCAATGGCAAAAATTATCGAGATATAGTATTATTTGGCCACCATTATTAAAACTGAAAAACATTTGAATCTTCCATCAGTTTTCTTAATGATTAATAAAATATAGATAGGACTTCTTATCATGGAGACTTCAGTTGATTAAATTCAATTTTATGAGTAGTTGAAAAGGAAGAAAGACAGGTAGATAACAAATAGATAAATACAAAATAGACGGAGAGTAAGAAAAATGTTTTTCCTAATTTTCAAATATAGCATTTTTTTTTTTGAGACAGGGTCTCACTCTGTTGCCCAGGCTGGAGTGCAGCAGCATGATCATATCAAACTTAGCATTTTAAAAATCCAGATATTGATTTTGTCCTAAGTAGTTTGTTGCCCTGTTGATAATACAGTTGTTTTTGTTTGCTTTTTTAAAAAGGCAAATATTGAACAACTACTCTGTTCATGGCCATATGCACGGTTTTGGAGATTAGAAGTGAATAGGATATTGACACACACAACATAGAACTGAATTTTATCGTTGGTCTGAAGGTAGATTTTGGTAATAGTAATAAAGGCATAAGTAGTGCTAAATTTACTCAGAACTCATTTTGATTCTGCTTCGAAGAATGAATGATAAAAATTATTCCCACTTTTGATATTTAATTGTCCCTGTGAAACCTGACCAACCGAAAAACACAAGAGTCGCTCAAAAAGTAAACATCGGCCACTAAAAATGGGGATTTTTTTAGGAACAGAGCTAATAAAAGAATAATCTTTCTTTACCCTTTCATGAATCTTTCAGTCAAACAAATAAAAGTTCAAGCTAAAAAAATCCACAAAGCTTTACTATGTGAGCACCATGCAAGAGTGTCAATTCGAAGTCTCCATTCCACAGTTCTCCAGCTCTATCATGAGGGGAGCAAAGGCTACATTATATCTTTATTTTTTATTTTATTTTACATTTTTTGGGACCAAGACTCGCCCTGTGTCACCCAAACTAGAGTGCAGTCGCACGATCTCAGCTCACTGCAACCTCGTCCTCCCAGGTTCAAGAGATTCTTGTGTCTCAGCCTCCTGAGTAGCTGGGATTACAGGCGCACACCATCATGCCCGCCTAATTTTTGTACTTTTATTAGAGACAGGGTCTCAACATGTTGGCCAGGCTGGTCTCGAACTCCTGACCTTAGTTATCCTGCCTGACACAGCCTCCCAAAGTGCTGGGATTACAGGCGTGAGCCACTGTGCCCGGCCTATATCTTTCTTTCTTTATCTGCTACGTCTGTTTACTTACAAGATCTGTTTGTACAGGTGCAATGTCCTATTTATCTTTCTCATCTAACCGTATTAGAGATATGACTTAGTGTATGCATTTACTTCAATGCCTGTTCAAGGGAGAAAGGACAGAAGGGTAGGGGAGATGATAGAAAAGTGGCTGAAATATGCATACGTCAGCTCCTTATATATTGTGCCCTCATTCTTGAAGCCCAAGGAAAAGAATAATCTATTATGCATAAATTTCATTAATTACAACCTTATCACTCAATATAAAAGTCATTGCACTTTTACTCAACATAAAAGTAACATAAATGTTTTACTTTTACTTAATATTAAGTAACTTCACTTCTCTTATTTTATTTCACATTCTACAAGTATCCTGAGTTGCTGTTGCTTTTTTTTTTTCTTTTTTGCTTTGTTACCCAGGCTGGAGTGCAATGACTTGATCACAGCTCACTACGACCTCGACCTCCAGGCTCAAGAGAGTCTCCCACCTTAGCCTCACCTGTAGCTAAGACTACAGGTGCACCCCACCATGCCCAGATAATTTTTAAATTTTTTTTGTAGCCAGCGAGATCTCACTGTGTTGCCCAAGCTGGTCTTGAACTCCTGGCTCAAGTGATCCTCCCTCCTCATCCTCCCCCAGTGCTGAGACTGCAGGTATGAGTCACTGTGCCTGGCGGTAACCCTTCAGAGGAAACTTTTTGTGTAAAACTGAAAAGAAAGAAAAACGTTAAATAAATAAAACTGATGAAATCCCCTTGTTTCAAGCATACTACTCATTAATGCCAAACAATGTCTATTACTTAATCAGCCACCAAAACTGTTAAGAAACAATTCTTTAGATTAATTTTCTTCTCCACTCCTAAAGTAAATACAATCTCTCGAACCATTGTTATGTTTGTCAAAATGGAAATAGCATATAACGGCTCAAAAGCTAAGGCTTTACAAAACTATGCATTAACAAGTGATTGGATGACTATAACTGTTTGTAGTGAAGTAAACAATCTATTATAAAATCATCAATATATAACAAAGCTGTTTCAAAATGCCAAAGAAAGTGTTTAGTTTAAGTTAAGAAAATTTAGAATTTAATTCAAAGCTTCATAGTTCCTTGGGGTTTTCATTATTTCATTATTCATTATTTATTTAATCATTATACCCTAATGGCTTTATAAATTAGTGCAGTTTCCAAATCTCTAATTCCTCTAGGTTTTTTAGCACTTGTTTTTGGTACAAGCCAACTTCAAAATTACTTTATACAGAAATAATTGACAAGGACTTTATTTTTAAAATTGATGCAAGAGAACTTCTATTGTAAGATGGCCATGTTTAGGTGGGTGCCAGATTTTTTTTCCCCTTCACACTTAATGCAGCCTGACATTCCAAATGACTCAATATTAAATCAATTGGTTAACAAATAGTAGTAATTCACTTATAAAATTCAGCAACTATTTACATGATTCCCTCTGAGTTTCTCAGGAACACTTTCTCTCACCTCTCCCGTATCTTAGAACAGGTTATTTACATCCAGAAAACACTGTACTCATTTCAAATTCTCAGTCTTTGTCATGATGTATCCAGCAGCCTTTTCTGCAGGAGGGCAGGAACCATACCTGTCTTGTTTACCTCCATATATGTGGCATAGGATGGGCTCTGTATCTCCATAAGTATTTATTACATGACTAAACCTATGAACAAATATATTTAACTATCTTAGAAAGTATTGTGGTGAAAATAAAAGAACCTTATTAGCTATATTAAAGGATACACATCGTCCTGAGTGCTTGTCCTGCCATAACAGCATCTTCTTTCCAGGGTTGTCTCACAATCTCTAAAAGAAAAAGTCCATCATCCCTGATTCTTTGTTATCAGTTTTTGCCTCCCAAGACCTCATTTTTAATGATTTAATTGTTTTACATTGTTGGCTACTATGAAAAAGTGGTATCTAAAATAAACAGTTCTATTATGATTATTATTGTTATTATTACAACTATTATTTTGAGACAGAATCTCACTCTGATGCCCAGGCTAGAGTGCAGAGGCATAAGATTTGCTCGCTGCAGCCTCAACCTCCTAGACTCAAGTGATCCTCCCTCATCAGGCTCCCGAGTAGCTGGGACTATAGGTGTGCACCACCATGCCCAGCTAATTTTTGTAGTTTTAGCAGAGAGGGGGTCTCACCATGTTGGCCAGGCTGGTCTGGAACACCTGGCCTCCTCAAGTGATCTGTTCTCTTCGGCCTCCCAAAGCGATGAGACTACAAACATGAGCCACCACGTCCTGCCGAAACAGTTCTACTTTTTTGTTTGTCTGTATGTTTGTTTTGTTTTGTTTTTTTACTAAAGAGCTATATATTCACATTATCCTGGTACAAAGCAAAATGTACTCTGGCTAACCTGAAGATTTCTAAACTAATATTGTGCCTTCCTCTAAACTCATTTACCATGCTCCATCCACACTGAACTTCTCTTCTTCCCAGCACGATGCCCCAGTTGTTTTAGTCTTAGGGCACTTGCTCTTGCTTTTTCTTCTAGCAGAAATTATCTTTCCCCTGTCTCCTGCCTCTTTTCTTTTTGTCATTGAAACTTAATTATAAACCTTTCAGTGGAGGCTTTTCCTCATTTTGCAATACCTCCACTTCTCTTTCCACCACATCCCTACATTCTGACATTCTGCACATCATACTACAGTTTTCCTCTCTGAGGTTTCATGTCGGTAAGTTTTCACTGACAACCTTGCCTATATCATTTGGAGTCTCTTCTCCTCATCCTAAAAGAGAAAATGGATGCTTTTCACCAGTTTCAACAAAATTTACTAAGGGAATGAAAAAATGAATGGAGACGAGGCTGGATGAATTAACAAATGTTAGCCTGAGTAAGCTTGTAACTTAACTTCCAAACAAGAACATTGTAGATAATGAAATGGAAGTATTATTTAATCATTTCACTATGTCAAAAGGCACAAAATTGGGACTGCCTTGGGCTAACCCGATGGCCCTCGGAAAACTAGTAAATAGGATAACTTCACTTGTCAGCTCCAGAAACTTTGAACTCTTGATGTGAAGAGTCCATTTTTACACCATTCATAAAACATTAAATTCAACTTTAAGCATTTGATAAAAGTAGACTATTTTTTAAACGGCTGAGTCACATATATTCAAAGATAGATTTTTTTTGAAATCTGAATTAAGACAGAAACCAATTCAAGACATGCAAACCTATCAGGGTTATCAGTTAAGGCACAGAACATAGAGATTAAACAAACTAGGTGTCGTACATATACAGTTACTATATTTAGTTAAAACATTGTACTTGTTCCTAAGCTTTTTTGTCAGATTATTTCATAGTTCCAACAGCATCACGTGGTATTAAATTCATACTTCTAAAAGGAATCCAGAGTTAATTTCACTGATACCATAACCTCAGAAGGAAAATTGTTTTAAAATAATTGAAAATTATTGAACACTGTCAATAAATGAGAGCAGGCAATTTAATGCCAGGATACTCAGACATCAAAGAGAAGAACAAAAGGAAAAAAAGAAAAGAAACCCAGAGACGTTTATAACTATAGATGCTGAATTGGCAGCACCTGTTTCTGCCAGTTGCTCATCACTGACCAATGTACAAGACAAAATTGGAAACACAATTGATATTGATAGGTGTTAGTCGCTGAAGGGGAATTGTGCTGCTTGAAGTAAATGATAAAGAAATTGAGGGCACAGCCCTAAAAGTATTACCTCATCACCTTCTGTAGTGCTATATACAGTTTTACAGAAGAGTTGTCCTTTGACTTAGTGTGGTTTAGTACCTTTCACATATGACTGAATGGAAATAATAGATTTTTCATTTTCAATTTACAAGTATCAGGATGGCATACACTTCAAAGAAAAAAAAATTCAGAAACATCACTCAACAGATAGGCTACTTATAAGTTAAAAGAGATGGTAATTATGACAAGAAAAATGTAGTCTGATTGAAAGATATAGGAGTGGTGTGAAGATGTCCACCCTAGAAGCATTTAAGGCCAGAGGGATAAACTTGCCCACAATGGTAATCACATGTCCCAGGAATCAAGAGCCAGGTGCTGTTTGGGCACGGAGAAGACACGAAATGGTGAAAAGACAAAACAGACAAATAACTTCTGTGTTCAAATGGAATAATAAAATAAGTAAATAATTAAAATAAAGAATGTGTCCTGCACACAAATAAGGGGTGGGGCAATAAACATTTTAAAAAGAGCGGTCAGGAATAGACTCAGTACAAAGCAGATATATGAACAAAATTCTCACCTAAAGAGATAAGGAAAACAACCAGGCAGAGAGTTGAGGCTTTCTAGGCAAAGGGAACAAGAAGTAACAAATCCATGTGGCAGATACAATCAAGTACTAGGTGAAATCAAGAAGCTGCCAGCCTGGGGACAGAGAAGTGAAGGAGAATGTGTGCATTCTTTTTCACACTGCTATGAATATACTACCTGAAACTGGTAATTTATAAAGGAAAGAGGTTTAATTGACTCACAGTTCTGCATGGCTGGGGAGGCCTCAGGAAACTTACAATCATGGTGGGAGGGGAATCAGGCATGTCTTACATGGCAGCTGGTGAAAGAGTGTGAGCATGCAGGAAAAACTACCACCTATAAAACTGTCAGATCTCGTGAGAATTCACTATCATGAGAACAGCATGGGGGAAACTGCCCCATAATCCAATCACTCCCCTCTCTCCACACATGGAGATTACAATTGGAGATGAGATTTGAGTGGGGACACAGAACCAAACCACATCAGAGAGAAATGAAGTACTTGGTGAGGGCTTCAAGAAATTTCAGAAACTGGATTTGGCACTACATTGGAGTATTCTAACCAGAGTCCTGACAAAAGGTTATGTGCTTTAATTCAAAATATTCCTCAGTGCTGTGTTAAAAATTAAACATACAATGTATGTTTTAAATAAGAAAAAACCAGAAACCACTAGAAAGTTTTTGGATCATCCAGGAAAAGTGGAAATTTGCCTCACTAGATGATCTTGTTATACCAACCTTATTCTATGTGGTGATTTTTATACATTGCTGTCTCCTCTTTGTTAACATTTTCTCTTGGAATGGTTGGATCTCTGGTCATTAATGAGATGGTATAATATTTATAGTTTCTTGTACTGCTTTCTTTTGGCTTTTCTATTATTATATAAGACATATAAAATTAGTTTCAGATTTTTTCTTTTTTTATCCTCTGAAATAATTTATTAAAAATTGGGTTACTTTCTCAAGTCTTTTTGCTAAAAGTCACTTCTGAAATCATCTGAATTTTTTATCTTCTTTGTGGAAATATTTTAAAGGCTTGAAAACAATTTTCTATTTCATCCGGAGCCAGTTTTAGTAGGTTATAGTTTATAACATTTTAAGCATTTTATCTTATTTTAAATTTATTCACCCATTTTTATAGCATTCTTTCCATATATTTGATCTGTTTTACTTATAATCGTCCCTCTTTCCTACCTAATATTTTCTATTTATGTAAACATTTCTGTCTTATCAAAATTTTATCTTGCCTATTTTATCCGTTTACAAGCTTTTATTCTGTTGACCACTTTTTTATATATTTTCATATATAAATACATGTTTTACCTTAGTTTATCAATTTAATTTATGGTTTAATGTTGCTATTTTCTTTTATTGAAAATTATGTTAGATGTTTAGCTTACTAATATTTGGCCATGTTATTAAATAATCAAAAAATAATTTACTTCTATTTCCATATTCACTGCATCCCACAGATTCAGATAATGCAATTCTACTTTCTACTGATTTCTAGTAGGACTCATTAAATATTTGAAATTAAAAAATAACCTGTAGACTGTGTGTGATGGTTCACACTTGTAATTCTAGCACTTTGAGAGGCCGAGGTGAGTGGACTGCTTGAATCCAGGCATTTGAGACAAACCCCATCTCTATCAATAAATAAATAAATAAGTAAGTAAGTAAATAAATAAATAAATAATAACCTAGTTTGTCTCATCCTAAAGTATTCCAGATTAACATATAGGTTAATACAAACAAAAATTACAAAGTTTACAATGAGATACAACTATACATCTATACAAATGGCTTTTTAAAAAGAAAGAGACTATTGACATTATCAAGTTTTGGTGGGAACCCAAGAAACTGGAAGTTCATACATCCTCGTGAAGAATAATAACTTTACAGTAACTTCAGAAAGAAATTTGGCAGTTTATAACATAATCATACATGTGCCCTGTGATCCAGCCATTCTACTCCTAGATAGTAATGTATTAATTGGATATAATTATAGAAATTTCAAATAATTATTAATCATAGAAATAAAAGCATATGTTCAAACCAAAATATTCAGTGGATTTTTTGTTTTTGTTTTTTGAGATGTAGTCTCGCTCTATCACCCAGGCTGGAGTGCAATGGCGCGATCTCAGCTCACTGCAACCTCCACCTTCTGGGTTCAAGCAATTCTCCTGCCTCAGCCTCCCCAGTGGCTGGGGTTACAGGCACCCACCACTACACCCGGCTAATTTTTGTACTTTAGTAGAGATGGGGTTTACCATATTGGCCAGGCTGGTCTCCAACTCCTGACCTCAAGTGATCCACCCACCTTGTCCTCCTAAAATGCTGGGATTACAGGCGTGAGCCACTGTGCCCTGCCTTCTAGTGAATTTTATAGCAGCATCATTCATCACCAGAAATTAGAAACAACAAAGACCTTTTGAAGGTGAATGGATAAGCAATCTGCAGTTTATGACACAATAAAATATGACTCAGCAATAAAATGTGATTAAACTGAATATTCAGACAACAAAATGATAAACAATTTTACTTTTGCTGGTAAAGTAGCAAATTCAAAAGTCTAGACACTAAATAATTGTATTTATATGTCACTCTGGAAAGTCAAAATTATGGAAACAGAAAATGTCCATGCAAACTGTGAGACAGCATTGTTGGAGTGCATGCTTCAGTTTGTTTTCGTTTTACAGTGACGTATTAGTCAGGGTTCTCCAGAGGGACAGAACTAATAGGACATACCTATATATGAAAGGAATTTTATTAAGGAGGATTGGCTCACACGATCATAAGGCAAAGTCCCTTGTTTGGTCATCTGCAAGCTATTATCTATCACAGGACACAGAAAGAAGCCTGAAAAGGAGGGAAGCCAACACTGCTGCCCTCAGTCTGTGGCCGAAGGCACAAGAGCCTACGGCAATCCACTGATGTAAATCCAAGTGTCCAAAGGCTGAAGATCTGGAATCTGATGTTTAAGGGCAGGAGGAGGAGAAGGAAGCATTCAGCATGGGAGGAAGATGAAATCCAGAAGACTCAGCAAGCCAGCTTGTACCACCATCTTCTACCTGCTTTGTTCTAGCCAAGCTGGCAGCCAATGGTGCCCACCCACATTGAGGGCTGGCCTTCCTCTCCCTGTCCACTGACTCAAATGTCAGTATCCTCTGGCAACGCCCTCACAGACACACCCAGAAACAATTCTTCACCGGCTATCTAGGTATCCTTCAATCCAATCAAGTTGACACCTAATATTAACTATCACAAGTAACGAATTACCTCTTTTTACATGGTACCTCTACTATCCATGATAATTATTTTCCCTAAACATTGATTTGATCTCGTACTGGAAATATTACATCAGCTGTCTTTTGGTTTGTGTAAGCACCACACGGATCTAATCTATATCTAATATATCCACCAGTGTACTGTTAAGGTCACATGATCCAAGGTGAAGAAAAAGAAACAAAACTCTCTCAAAGGGTTCAGGAGATTGAAACCCAATACTCACACATAAATTGAAACCCAACACTCACACATAAATTGAGGTCACCTGATCCAAGGTGAAGAAAAAAGAAACAAAACTTTCTTTAAGGATTCAGGGGATTGAAACCCAACACTCACATATAAATTAGTATCTGCTCATGTTCGCTAGACTGGAAACAGTAAAGAATCCTGGTGCATTGGGTAGAAGACTACTCAAGAAGTTCCTCCCTCAGTGGTGGAGTACTACACTAAGTACTGCTGAAGAGATTAAGTTAATCATTTGGATTTAGAATGACTCTACTCTATTTCTAAAGTTTAAATTCATAGCACTATGGAAATTCTCAAATTCAAAGAATACTACAGCTAGAATCCCTTCTCTAAATTACATTCACTTAGAGGGGGTTGGGGGAAGGGACCACCTTGAGATGTACAGAAGATTTTTTTTTTCCTTTGGAGACAGATTCTTGCTCTGTAGCTCAGGCTGGAGTACAGTGGCACCATCTCAGCTCACTGCAACATTCGACTCCCTGATTCAAGTAATTCTTGTGCCTCAGCCTTCTGAGTAGCTGGGACCACAGGCGTGTGCCAGCACACCCAGCTAATTTTTTGTATTTTTGTTATAGACGGGGTTTTGGCGTGTTGCTTAGGCTTGTCTGGAACTCCTGAGCTTAGGCAATCCTCCCACGTCACCTCCCAAAGTGCTGGGATTACAGGCATGAGCCACTGCACCCGGCCGAGATGTACAAGAGACATCCAGTGACTCTCACAAGTAAGTGAGTTGCAGCCCACACAGCAGCCACTGAGTTCTTGTAATTTAAACATGTCCCAGAACAGGTAACAGAATCTCATTGAATGCGGCATTTTGGTTATTACTTATTTGTCAAAGCTTTCTCAGTAAATTGAGAAATTTAAATTTCTCAAAAACTGTCTTTTCATATCTCATATCATCCCCAAATGCTTTAAAGTTGTATGTGGTGGAGTGTAAGAATTGAGGAGGAATCAATATATAGCCTTTTGTTTTCAGGAATTTTATGTGTATTGTATAGTCTTCCATGCTGTACATATAAATATTACTTTTATCTCATCATTAAAATTATTATTTGTTGGTTATAATTCACTAGGTGAAAGTGATTCTCCTCAAACCTGTAAATGTTATTTAGTTTTACTCTGTCTTTTATTGCTCGAAAGATACATTATTGGTGAACCTATTAAAAACAATAGATCAAAAGAGAATGATGGTGACTAAACAATGAATATAGGCAGGAGAGTAAACAACGTCAGAAGGGATTATTTTTTAATATTATAAGATCAAAAAGTAGATGACAACATACTTAAATGTTTAATGTAAAAACTCTCTTAGGCAGTAGAATCCCATGGGCATTCACATGACAACAGAGTAAATAGAAAAGTTAGACTAGGAGAAAAAAGCAACTTTCCTAAAAAAATTTTAAAAAATACAAAAAAAATTGAAAGAATACTACTAATTTATTATCACTGTGAGAAGCTGTATTTTTGGTAACTTCTGAGTTTATGATATTCCTCTTGACTTGGTTTTGTAAAATAACGGTGAATATGTAATATTATATCAAAGTGTAAAAAAAGTTTTTAAATCATTTACGTCATAATCGGAGAACTCTGATGGTTTCTGGCAATCAGACTGCATCTCCCTAGCACATTTATTTACCTATATAAAGTAGAAGTAGAGATCGATTCCGAGGAGGGTAAGCACTGTGTTGCATCAGATGAGGCCTCTGAAAAATCATAAAGAAAGCTATACTTGAGCAAGCAGAAATGAATCATTTGTTCAAGCACAGACGTTTTCAAGGGACTTTGGGAGAATAAGATTTTTAAAGTGCATTTAATCACAACTCAGCGTTCTACCTTTTTTCTATTAGGTCCATCATCTTTAGATGGGGAATTACTGAGGATATGAATCCAGATTAATTCTTCAACATTTGCAATGGTCTCAAATCTGATCCTCAGTATGGTCAGCCCTTAATTGAAGGAGATGAGAGTATCTGTAAGGTTTTCAGATTTTTCATGCTTTGTTACAAAATGGTAATTAGCCAGACTTTTTTCTTTCAGTGTATTGCAGGTGTGTAGGAATAACATAATTGATGTCAATAGGCCTTATAACTACAAAGAATATTGCTATAACTTCTAAGTCCACTGTGCCTATCAAATGACAAGGTTAACACAGAGCCACTGCATCCTCCTCCACCTGGTTTCTATTCTTATTCACCGCAGCTTTTGCTCTATCCCACCAGGATCTTGAAGCATAAGCCACGAATATAATTTTTCTTCCATCTAGGGAAATGGGTTGGCGATTTAGAATCCCGCAATAGTTATTCACTGGCGATTGGCAACCCCCTGGAGGATATAAACTTTCAGGCAGTTCAGCTTTTTTGCTCCTGTGGGTGAACCAGCTTGAAAAGACAGTATTGTAAAGAAAGTTGCAAGTGGAAGAAAGCTGCAGAGACTGAGAGATTGATATGGAAGCTTGCGAAAGGTATCCAAAGGGACCTAGCTGCAATCCTAACACTGCTAGGCTGCAGAGTCATTGCAGCACATCGTATCACAGGTGTCGCCATGAAATGATTTATTATTGAATATTCTTAACATATTTTTCCACAATTGGAGAGAAAAGGGAAGAACAAACACTCAATTAAACTTCCTATTGAAATTGGCATATATTTTTCTTTAACTTTCACAAATCAAAGCAAATTGCATGTCATTAGCTAATACTAAACAGCTAAGAGAAACAACATCTACATGTAAAGAGAGTAAATTGATAAAATCATTATGCCATAAAATCGGTGGAAAGGCCATGAGATCTAATAGATGTTACAAACTTCATATGCTTTTTAAAACATTTATTGAGGTATAATTGATATACAACAAACTGCACATATTTAAAGGGTACAGTTTGATAAGTTTTGACACACGTATAAATCCATAATGCATCACCAAGATAATAAAGGTGTACATCAGCCCTCCAATTTTTTGGCTCTTTTATAATTCAAGGGTATAAAGTGCTTCCACTCATCCACCACTTCCACTATGGCCCCTGAAAACCCAGGTCTGATACATATATCAGATATCTGTATCTATATATATCATCTATCTATCTATATATATCACCTATATATATCATCTATATATATATATATATATACACACACACACACATAGGTAGATAGATAGATACAAGATTCTAGATTTGTATTAAAAAGAATTATTCAGTATAAACTCTTTTTGAGAGTGGGAGGAACTTGTCTCTTCATACAGTATAATTACTTTAGAATTCGTTAATATTTCACTGTTTTTAACTATGTGTTCTTACAATTTCTGAGTAGTCTTCTATTGTGTGGATGTGGTACAGAGTGATTAGTAATCCACCTACTGACCAACATATGGATGTTTCCAGTTTATTTGGCTGTTACAAATAAATTAGTAGCAAACATTTAAGTTTAAGGTTTTTTATAGACATATGTCATCTTTTCCTTTGGTAAATAAGGAGAGTTGAAATGGCCAGATCACAGGTAATACATGTGCTTAATTTTTAAGCAATTGCCAAATTGCTTTCCAAAGAGGCATATAATTTAATTCTCCACGAAAAAGTGATTTCAGTCCCTCTACTTCTTTCTCAAAACTTGATAAAATTTTTGTTTTTACTTTTAGCCATTTCAATATGTTTGAAGTACTACTATATTGTGGTTATAACTTCTATTTCTCTTATGACTAATGATTTTAATTACCAACTCATGCTTACCTATCATCCATTTGTTCATTTGTTTTCTTTGTTGAAGCAACCATTCAAATTTTTGGTTCATATTTAATTTGATTTTTATTTTGTTATTGATTTTCACACATATATATATTCAAGGTACATGTTCTTTATATCTTTTTATGCTCATAGTGTATTTCAAGAAGCAGAAGTTTCTCATTTTGAAAACATCCAATGTATCAATTTGTATTTACTGTTGTATCAAAAATATTTGACTATAAATCTGTAGTCTATTTCAAGTGTATTTTTGTATATGAGCCGAGATATAAAATGAAGGTCCTTTTATATGAACATGGATACTCAATTATCCCAGAAGAATTGGTTAAAAAGATAAATTTTCTCCACTGCATTTATTTTTACACTTGATCTTAGCCAAAAGGCCGAGAAGTGATCCACTGCATTTATTTTTTAAATGAATTATCCATTTAAGTGTTAGTCTATTTTTGAAATACAATTTCAACATTTATTTTAAAGGGTACACATGCAGATGTGTGACATCGGTATATTGCATTACATGAGGTTTGGGCTACAAATGATCCCTTCATCCTGGCTGTAAGCATAGTACCCAATAAGTGGTTTTCAGCTCATGGCCCTCTCCCTCCTGTACAGTACTCCCTAATGTTTATTGTTCCCATCTTTATATTTATATATATGTGTGTATTACAGTGTTTAACTCCCACTTATGAGTGAGAACATTCAGTATTTGATTTTCTGTTCTTGCATTAATTCACTTAAGGTAATGACCTCCAGCTGCATCCACATTACTGCAAAGGTCATGATTTCCTTGTTTTAAATGGCTGCATAGTATTCCATGGTGTACATATACCACATTTTCTTTATCCAATACACTGTTGACGGGCACCTAGGTGGCTTCTGTGTCTTTGCTATTGTGAATAGCGCTGTGATGAACATGCCAGCATATGTGTCTTTTTGATAGAACAATTTGTTTTCTTATGAATATATTCCCAGTAGTGGGATTGCTGGGTTGAATGGCAGTTCTGTTTTAAGTTCTTCGAGAAATCTACAAACTGCTTACACAGCGGTCAAACTAGTTTCATTCCCACCAACAGTGTGTAAGTGTTTCCATTTCTTCATGGTCTTCCCAACACCTGTTATCATTTGACTTTTTAATCATAGCCATTGTGCATGAACCTGGGAGGCGGAGCTTGCAGTGAGCTGAGATCCTGCCACTGCACTCCAGCCTGGGCAACACAGCGAGACTCCGTCTCAAAAAAAAAAATAATAATAATAATAATAGCCATTCTGACTGGTATGAGATGGAATCTCATTGTGGTTCTGATTTGCATTTCCATGATATTAGTGATGTTGAGCATTTTTACGTTTGTTGACCGATTGTCTTCTTTTGAGACATGTCCATTCATGTCCTTTTTGCTTTTTAAATTGGTTTATTGTGTATTGATTTATTTAAGTTCCTTGTAGATTCTGGATATTAGACCTTTATCAGATACTTAGTTTTCAAATATATTCTTCCATTCTGTGGGTTTTCTGTTTGCTCTGTTGATAGTTTCGTTTGATGTGCCCCAGCTCTTTAGTTTAGTTAGGTCTCACTTGTCAGTTTTTGTTTTCATTGCAATTGTTTTGGGGACTTAGTGATAAATTCCTTGCCAAGGCCAATATCAAAAAGCTTTTCCTTGGTTTTCTTCTAGGATTCTTATAGTTTGAGGTATTATATTTAAATATTTAATTCATAGTGAGTTAACATGTACATAATGTGAGCGGTAGGGGTCCAGTTTCATTCCTCTGCATATGGCTAGCCAGCTAACCCAGTACCAGTCGTTGAATAGTGGGTCCTTTCTCCATTGCTTAATTTTGTTGACTTTGCCAAAGATCACATGGATAGGTGTGTATAGGTTTATTTCTGCATTATTTATTTTCCATTGGTCTATCTGTTTTTGTATGAGTACCATGCTGCTTAGGTTACTGCAACATAGTTCAAAGTCAGATAATGTGCAGTCTCCACATTTTCAAAGAACAATGATGTTTTCTTTCTGCTTAAGTTTGCTTTGGCTATTTGGGCTCTTTTTTAGTTCCATATGATTTTTAGAATAGATTTTTCTAATTCTGTGAAAAATGACATGGTGTTTTCATAGGGATAGTGTTGACTCTGTAAATTGCTTTGGGCAGTATGGACATTTTCCAGTATTGATTCTATGAATCCATGAGTATAGACTATTTTTCCATTTACGTATGTCATCTGTAATTTATTTCAGCAGTGTTTTGTGATTCCTCTTGTAGATAACTTTTCCCATCTTGTTTAGCCATAGTCCTAGGTGTTCCATTTTTTTGTGGCTACTGCAACTAGGATTGTGTTCTTGATTTGTTTCTCAGCTAGAATGTTGTTGGTGTATAGAAATGCTACTGATTTTTGTACATTGATTTTGTGTCCTGAAACTTGACTGAATTTGTTTATAAATTCCAGGAGCTTTTTGACAGAGTATTTAAGGTTTTCTATAAATGGAATTATATCATCAGCAAAGACAGATAGTTGTGTTCTTCTGTTCGTATTTGGATGCTTTTTATTCTCTTTTCTGATTGCTCTGACTAGGACATTCAATATGTTCTTAAATAGGAGAGGTGAGAGTAGGCATCCTTGTCTTGTTCCAGTTCTCAAGAAAAATGCTTCCAGCTATTGCCCATTCAGTGTGATGTTGGCTGTGACTTTGGCATAGATGGATTTTATAATGTTTAGGTATTTTCCTTTGATGCCTAGTCTGTAGATGATTTTTACCTTGAATAGACTTTGCATTTTATTGAAGGTTTTTTCTGTGTCCATTGAGATGCTCATGTCATTCTGGCTTTTTATTCTGTTTATATGGTGAATCACATGTGTTTATTTTTGTATGTAGAACCAACCTTCCATAACAAGAATAAAGCCTTCTTGAGCATGGTGAATTAATTTATTGATGTACTGCTGGATTTGGTTCGCTGTATTTTGTTGAGAATTTTTGCATCTATATTCATCAGGAATATTCCCCTGAAGTTTTTGTTTCTTTGTGTTGTCTCTGCCAAATTTTGGTATCAGGATGATGCTGGCTTTGTCAAACAAGGTGGGTAGCAGCCTCTTCTGGTTGATTTTATGGAATAGTTTCAGTAGGGGTGCTATCAGTTCTTCTTCTTACATTTGGTAAAATTCAGCTATGAATCCATCTAATTTAAAGCTCTTTTTAGTTGGTGGGTTTTCCATTACTGATTCAATTTCAGAACTTGTTACTGGTCCATTCAAAATTTGGCAGAGACAACAAAAAACCAAAACTTCAGGCGAATATTCCTGGTGAATATAGGTGCAAAACTTCTCAACAAAATCCAGCAGTACATCAATAAGTTAATTCACCACGATCAAGAAGGCTTTATTTCTGAGATGCAAGGTTGGTTCAACATACAAAACTAAATATATGTGATTCACCACATAAACAGAATCAAAAACCAAAACCACTTGATTATCTCAATAGACACAGAAAAAGCCTTTGATAAAATGCAAAGTCTATTCATGATAAAAATTCTTTGCTTAGATTTTTACTTTCTCCCTGGTTCAATCTTGGAGGATTGTTTGTTTCCAGGAATTTATCCATATCCTGTAGATTTTCTAATTTTTGTATGTAGTGATGTTTGTAATAGTCTCCCAGGAGCTCTGTATTTCTGTGGGATTGTTTTTAATGTCATCTTTTTTATTTCTGATTCTGCTTATTTGGATATTTTTTCTCTTTGTTAATCTAACAGTCTATCAATCTTACTTATTCTTTGAATAACCAATTCTTGGTTTTATTGATCTTTTGTATGAACTTTTGGGTATAAATTTCATTCAGTTCTCTGATTTTACGTATTCATTTTTTTTCTACCAGTTTGGGGGTTGGATTGTTCTTTTTCATTTTCTAGTTCCTACAGGTGTGATGTTAGTTTGTTAATTTGAAATCTTTCTAAATCATTGAAAGTGTTTAACACTGTAAACTTTCCTCTTAACACAGCTTTTGCTGCATCCCACATATTTTGGTAAATTGTGTCTCTATTTTTTTATCTCAAATAAATTTTTGATTTCTGCCTTTACTTTATTGTTCACCCAAGAGTTGTTTAGAAGCAAGTTGTTTAGTGTTCATGTTTTTGTGTAGTTTCAAGAGATTTTGTTGGTATTGATTTCTATTTTTATTGTACTGTGATCCGAGAATGTGCCTGATATTGTTTCAATTTTAAAAATTTATTGAGATGTGCTTTGTTGCTGAGTCTGTAGTCAGTCTTAGAATTAGTATGTGCTCCATGTGCAGAGGAGAAGAATGCATATTCTCTGGCTGTTGGGTGAAGTATTCTGTTGATGTCTCTTAGGTCCAATTGGTCAAGTGTCGAGTTTAAGTCCATAATTTTTTTGTTCATTTTCTACCTCGCCAATCTGTCTAAGGCTGTCAGTAAGGTGTTGAAGTCCCCCATAATTATTGTGTGGCTCAGTCTTTTTGTAGGTTAAAAAGGTTTTATGAATCTAGGTGCTCTAGTGTTTAGTGAATATATATATTTTTCTTCTTGTTGAATTGAACCCTCCATCATTATGTAATGCCCTTCTTTTGATCTGTCATGTTGTTGTTGGCTATTTGTTTTGTAGACTCGACTATGTAATTGCTTTATCTTGTCTGTGGGTTATGTGCTTGAGTTCATTTTTGTGGTAGCAGGCTTTGATTTTTTTTTTCATGTTTAGCACCCCCTTAAGGACCTTGTAAATCTAATCTGGCAGTAACAAATTCTCTTAGTATTTGTATGTCTAAATAGGATTTTATATCTCCTTTGCTTATGAATCTTAGTTTGAAGGGTTTATTACTCTCTTCTCACACTGCTAATAATGACATACCTGAGACTGGGCAATTTATAAAGAAAAAGAGGTTTAATGGACTAATAGTTCCACATGGCTGAGGAGGCCTCACAATTATGTCAGAAGGCAAAGGAGGAGCAAAGTCACGTCTTACATGGTGGCAGGCAAGATAGAGCACGCAGGGGAACTCCCCTTTATGAAACCATCACATCTCATGAAACATATTCACTATCACAAGAACAGCATGGGAAAGACCTGCCCCCATGATTCCATTGGCTTCCATTGGGTCCCTCCCACAGCATGTGGGAATTATGAGACCTACAATCCCATGTGTTGAGGGAAGGAGGGAGATGCTTGGATTGTGGGGACAGTTTTCCCCATGCTCTTTTTGTGATAGTGAGTGAGTTCTCATGTGATCTGATGGTTTTATAAGCATCTGGCATTTCCCCTGCTTGTAGTTCTGTCTCCTACCACCTTGTGAAGAAGGTGCCTGCTTCCCCTTCTGCCATGATTGCAAGTCTCCAGAGGCCTCCACAGCCACGTGGAACTGTAAGTCAATTAATCCTCTTTTCTTTATAAATTACCCAGTCTCAGGTAGTATATTTACAGCAGAGTGAAAACAGACTAATACAGCTTCCCTTGTAGGTTACAAATTCTTTCTCTGTAGCTGCCTTCAAGATTTTGTCTTTTGCATTGATGTTGGTTAACCTGTTGACTATGTGCCTTAGGGCTGGTCATCTTGTATAGCATTCTGCAGGGGGTGTATGTATTTCTTAAATTTGAATGATTTTCTTTCTAGCAAGTTTAAGGAAATTTTCATGAACTATATTCTCAAATATACTTTCCAAGTTGCTTACTCTCTCCTTCTCTTTCAGGAATGCCAATGAGTCCTAGATTTGGTTTCTTCACATAATCTCATATTTCACAGAGGTTTTGCTCACTTTTAAAAATTCTTTTTTTCTTTTTTGTCTGACTGTGTTGATTCAAAGAGCCAGTCTTCAAGCTCTTAGCTACTTTCCTAAGTTTGGCCTATTCTGCTGTTAATGGTTTTGATTGTATTACGAAGTCCTTAAATTTTGGTGTCATAATTTGGGCTGTGTTCCAGAAGGTGGTATTTGAGAAGGTGTGGCTGGTAGATAAGTTCCTACTTAGCCACATGGCTCTTTTGTGTTTTGTTGTCTTGGTGGCATTGCTACGGTGGGCAAGGAGAGATATAACCCCCTTAGCTGGTTTATCCTTGGCTTGGAGGAGCCCTCTCCAATCTCTGGTTCCATGCTCACATTTCCACTGTTAGGTGTTCTGGGCCATGGGGCTTTCTCAAGTACGGTCGTGGTTGTGAAACAAGAAAGGTTCCCTTGTCCCCTTCAAAGGGCATGCGATAAGAACGTGGTTCACTCATTCAGTGCCCCACTGCTCACACCTCTAGGAGCATACAGACAGGAAGGCTGTGGGGCTCCCCGACCCCACGGCAATGTCTAGGGGTTCATGTTTGCAGCTGAAGCCCCAGTGGGTGTGTGTTACACGGTGCTCTTTTAGTTTAGCCGTCTATAGGCGGCTTGTGTTAGTCAGCTCAGTTAGAACCCTGCCTTATCGCAAGGACAAAGGCCTTTTTGTATCCCGGGGTTCTTGCCCTGGTGTACCAGAAAAATTGGATCACACATAGGCTTGGAGAATGACTGCAAGGTTGTATTGAGTGGAAGTAGCTCTCAGCAGATGGGGGAACCATAAGGGAGATGGTTTTCCCCTGGAGCCAAGCCACTCTGCAACCTGGGCTCTCCTTCAGCTGCCCCAACCAAACTCGTGTCGTTCTGCTGGTGGGTGGCCTGCCAGTATGCTGGTGCCTGTCCACGCGTTCCTCTTGATGTCCAGCCACCCATGTATTTCTCCACTGATGTGCTCCTCTCGACGTCCAGCTGCCTGTGTGTGTGCCTGCTAGGGTCTCAGAGTTTTTATAAGCACAGGAAGGGGGCATGGCAGGCTAGGGTGGTCTTGGGAAATGCAACGTGTGGGCAGGAAAACAAAAATGCCTGTCCTCACATAGGTACATGGGCACAGGCCCGGGGGGTGGAGCTCTAGCCAGGGACCACACCCCTTTCCCCCTTTTGTATCATTTAAAGGGACCACGCCCTTCCCTTCTCAGCACTTCCCTTCCATATAAGTTGGCAGACAGGTCTTACTCTGTTTTCTTCCCAGACCAGTCCTGCTGATGGAGACACACTCCACTTCCCTGCAGGTCCTTGAACCCATGTGTCTACCCCTCTCAGTGTTCTGCGAGTGAGAGCTTCTCCCACTGCTTGAGTACTGCTCAAGCTGGTGAATCCTGCCTATCTAGGTGCAGCAGCATGGGTATAATTGTCCAATCTCCAATCTAGGTATCTCCCAGGGGTTCGGAGCTATACATGCCCACAGAGTTCAGGCAGAAATGGGGTGTTGTGCTGGATACCCAAGCAGGCGTTGCCTGCCTGGCTATGAGCAGTGGGAGTGGGGTAGAGTCACCAGCTCCACTGTCTAGGTGCTTCCTGAAGGAAGAGAGAGCTGTGTCCACTGGTTGAATTCAGGCTGAAGCAGGGCTGCTCTGCTGGAAGCTGGCTCTGAGCTTTGCCTGGTGCAGGAGTGTAGGACAATCTTAGTAATCCCAGGCACCGCATCGGCAGCCTCTGTGGGGGTTATGGTAGACGGCATCAGACTGCTCTGGGGTCCATGGCCTGTAGGGGTGTCTGAGGACTTGAATGTTGCTTCTGTAATAACTTCAGGTGGCTTTTGGTATCAGTCTAGAGGCCTGTGGGTTTCGGGGGATTCTCTTATTTCCAGGATTGCACAGATCCCTTTAGGAGGTGTGGGTCCCCCAGGGTCTCTTACTCACCCCTTCTCAGCTGAGAAGCTTCCCTGGCTCCATGCCCAGCCCAAATGGGCTGTTTTCTGTGTCTTCCCGCTCCCTTAATGGAGCCTGACACAGTTTTTAAGTGACAGGCTTGCAGAGTCAGTGTTTACTTACCACTCTATTTCCTCACAGTGACACGGCACACGTGACCTGGCTCTAGCTCACTATCTTGGCCCCTTCCCCTGTGGTAGTCTGTTTCTTTATTCTGTTCTTTGATCTATTCATCTGTTTCAACACCCACATCTTACTGTCTTGATTACTGTAGAATTATAAGTATTGGAATCAAGTAGTGTCATCTCTAATTATTTTCTAGTTTTTCAAACTTCTTTTAATTAATTTAGGTTTCTGTGTTTCCATTTAGATTTTGAAACAGATAATCAATATATCTTTTTTTTAAAAAAAGAGCCTGCTGGATTTTTTATTGCATTGAAACTATAGATCATTGTGGGAAGAATTGAGGTATATCAGTCCACTTATTAGTTGTTCTTTAACTTCTCTAAATAATCATATATGGCTCCCAAATAATTAGTGAGATGTATCTTTATATTCATATTTTTAATATGCTGCTGCATGGTAATTTTGTATTTCAATTGTTGGTTGCTTGTTGCTAATATACATAAATACAATTATTGTCATATATTGACAACAATCTTGCTAGATTTTCTTCTTACTTATAGTAGCCTTATTGTAGAAGCCGTCATACTTTTTATATAAACAGATCGCGAATAAAAAACTTTCTTTTTCCAGATCTAGATATTTTTAACATTATTATTATTGTGCTTTTGTTAAGACAGTATTCAAAAGAAATAAGTATGGGCGTGCATATTTTTTTTTATCTTAGGTGAAAAGCACCTAGTCCTTGGTATAATTCACCTATAGAAATTTTGAAAATGTCCTTTATCGATTGAGGAAAATGCTTCTAATCCTAGTTTGCTGAGTTTTTATTAAGAATTCCTATTAGATTTATTCAGGTTTTTTTCATCTATGTTGACACTTTAATGGCATGCAGGTCTGTTTTAAAACACTAAAATTTTAAAGTTGTATTATGTCATCATAATCTAGATTATTTTGACTAGGTGAATCAGATTTTTGCTTATTTGTTTCAAAAATATTGCTCATAAAGAAGATGTTTTGCTATAAGAGGGCAAGAATATATCCTCTGTCTTGCCCTATAGATTAAAATTTAATTCATATCTAACTGTGTATGCCATTCATTTAAGAGCAGTAACTTCCCTTAACCATTTTTTTCTAAGTATATTTCTTCTACTGTGCTATTATACTTAACAGGAAGTCATGCTGATAGCATGTATTTGTTCTTCTTGGAATTACAAAACTTTTAGCATTCAAAAATTTTGAAAAAGCTGAGAAATATATCAAAATAATAATGATAGCAGCAATAATTACACTAATAGCAGTTATGACTATATTTGTTATTATAAATGATGAACCTGAAATGTGTTGTCAAAACATATTGTCTGTGTACTTGGGATAGCTCTGCTAATAAATAACTCTTACAGAGCACATAAGAACATATGGCTAAGTTTTACTCTACAAATAAGTGTTAACCTTTAAAGGATTATTCTGTGGACTTTAAAGAAAACCTTAAAAGTTAAATTTAAATGTGCAATGTACAATATATTTGTCTAAATCACCAAATATATTGATGATTTAAGGTTGTTACAGTTAATTGTAGTGAATCCATCAGCTTTTAATATTATTAATTATGCATCCTTAGAAAGAAAGGAATACTGACTTTTTAAAAAGACACTGTTGTTTCTATTATAAAATAGAAACCTTTTCTTTTTTTAAATGTTCTACTGGTGCCAACCTGAGGATTCTACTTCTCCGTTAAAAAAAAAAAAAGGTATGAAAAGATTGTTAGTCGTAGACCTCCTAAAAATCGCAGATAAGGGTTAGGGTGTTCATTGTATCATCAAATAAAATCCATCTTATATATGTGCAGATTAGGTGAATAGACTACATGCTTTCCACTATATTTCTTCTGTATCTTCCCTTTTGTGACAACCAAACAGACCTGGAGAAAAGCACCAATCACCTCTTAGTTATTTATGAACAACCAATCACATCTTGTTAACATAATGTAAAGTATGTGGTCTTCTAGTCAGAAGTGACACTATTTTAATAGTATCACAATTTGCCCCAGATACCTTGGACTTTTGGTAATAAGACATCATAAAATATGCTAGTGAGTTACTGCTCTGTCTTTGGGAAATTAAGTGAAAAGCAGTTCACAGCTGCACTTCTCTACATAAAGACTCAGAAGGCAAAAGAGTTCAAATATAACCTAATTAAATAAGACAGCAAATCTAAGTAGCATACAAAGCTATTAAACAAACCAGATTGGTCCATAATAATAAGAAACATATTTCACATCTGTTGCACAGTACAGAGCTTTTAACAAGTAATAGGCATAACGTGCTGGAAAATAGTTGCTATTCCCCATCAGTATATCATTGTCAATGGTAGTGCTGTCTCAAAAGAAGCACTTATCTCATACACTTTATTGCTTGATAGCTTGCTGATTGCTTTTACAAAGCAATAAATTGATGGCCTGATTCAGCACTGACATTAGGTTATGTTCATTTTCAGTGATTGATGCCTTGAATTAGAACTCTTGTATTCTTCTCTGCTTTGGAATATGAAATTCTAAACAGGCCTGTCTGATGTCACAAATAAGGCAATATAACTGATGCCAAATGAGCTATATTTATTCATTTAAATAACTAACTGGCTCTTCACTTTAATAAAGTTTTCATAATGTATGTCTTAATGTCTCCATTTCAAATTAAATTGTCTAGCCAAATTAAAAAAACACCTTGTAAAAATAAGGTATATATTTTAAATTGCAATTCCAAAGCAGATGCAGGGTAGCATGCAAAATCAGACTATATAAATTATTAATAAATAAATTAGATAAATTAAATAATTTAACTACTTCAAATCTACAGGATGAAATCTATTATTTTCCATTAACAGAAATAATTGCTTGATTTTGTAATTTTAAAATAGTAATGAAACTAAAAAGGTAAAAATAGGTAAGAAAGAAAGAAAACCAGATACCAAATATATTTTAAACTCCATATTTCAAATCCCAAGTAGTGTGATGTATAATTAAAAAATCTCTAAAGACTAGTGGCTCTCAGCTGGGCACAATTTTACACCCAGGGAACATTTAGCAATGTCTGGAGACTTTCTTTTTTTCTTTTTTTTTTTTGAGACAGAGTCTTGCTTGCCCAGGCTGGAGTGCAGTGGCCTGATCTTGGCTCACTGCAACCTCTGCCTCCCAGGTTCAAGTGATTCTCCTGCCTCAGCCTCCCGAGTAGCTGGGATTACAAGCATGCACCACCATACCCAGCTAATTTTTTTGTATTTTAGTAGAGAAAGAGTTTCACCATGTTGGCCAGGCTAGTCTGGAACTCCTGACCTCAAGTGATCCTACCAGCTCGGCCTCCCGAAGTGCTGGGATTACAGGCATGAGCCACTGTGCCTGGCCTCTGGAGACATTTTTGGTTTTTACAATTGGAGCACTGCAGTCAGTGGGTGGCAGCCAGGGGTGATGGTAAACATCTAATATGAACAATCGTGAGACCCCAAAAGTTAATAGCGCTAAGGTTGAGACAACTTTCTCTAAATACTTCAGTAAGCTACATAATGAGGCTCCCAGTTGGTCAGCCCCCTTATTCTGTTAAAAGTATCTTCTCAAGATATATCTATCCTTTCCATTTAGCTTTGCTCTGTGTCTCTCTGTCTGAGCTCCTTCCGTTATCAACAAAATAAAACTGTCGTACGATCAGGGACATATAACAGGTAGGTAAGATAGGGAATGGATTGAAAGGGATGATGTAAGTCATGTTAAGTCTAGCAAATTGAGAATTACTGAAGAGCAAAATGGTATCAGATAAATTAAAAAATGGGTAGCTCACAGGAGTAAATGATTTGCGCTGTGCTTATGACACTGCTCATTTGATGATTAAAGTTGGACTATGTGTATGAAAGAAAATAACATTTCAGACAAATCTTTTACACCTATATTAAAATATGTGTTAATCTGTAGCTAGATGTGAGAGCACTTATAAAAACACTCTCTTCTTTTTTTTAAATTGTGTCATGTATTATTTTACACTAGTATGAGAATAGAATAAGTTTGTGTGATGTGTGTTTGTGTATGTAAAAGGCAGAGAGAAAGAGAAAGGAACATGTAGCATTAGGTATATTATAGTTGACTTATTATTTATGGAAATAGAAAGTAGAACAGAACTTAAATAGAACAAGCAATATTTCTAATATCGCACCATCAAATAATATTTTATTTTAAATAAAGACCAAAAACAGCAACTCAGTTGACTTGCAATTGATAAGAGGTCTTTATTTTTTCACATCTGAGAATTTAGATTACATAATGAGATGCAGTAAAATGCTGAAATAATGCTCAAACAAGGAAGATTTAATAGTCAAAGTTACATTTGAAACCTCATACTTTGTTTCTTACTCTTACTTGCATAATTTCAAATTCCTACCTACATATTTCTTATGTGCATATGCAAATATTTAAAAATAGATTGTAAGAAATGGAGCTTCTAAGAAAAAGATAGTGTATTTAAATTGTTATGACCACTAAAATGCCTTAACAAAATTTATAGCAATTTTCATTCTCACTCATAAGATTGAAATTACATTGATAATGAACATTCCAGGATATATGATGAGCTGATTAATCAAAAGTCATTGATTATTGTTTTAGATTATTTTTTAAACTTGCTCATTTATGTTGTCTTGAACATTAGAGCATTCTAGATATTTACCATTACTGTGCTCAACACTACAGATAAAAAGATAAAAATACACCAACTGTCTTCAAACATCTGAACTGTAAACAAATTAGTGATTATAATGTTTAATAATGTAATTGTCATTTCGTGATAAGTCCTGATTTTTCTCTGTTGTTGTTTGCTGACCCATGATGCAATATTCACAAAACTATCAAATCACTTTCTGAAGACACATGTGGAAATGAATTTTTATATATATGGTCACTGAACCTTACATGATATTAATCTTTATGAAAAATTTAATTATATAATACTTGTTTATTCATCAGCAATATTTAAGATGTATGTGAGCTAGAAAAATTTAATTATGGATCTTTGATTAGACTGATGGATAATATTTTCTTTTTTTTTATTATACTTTAAATTCTAGGATACATGTGCACAATGTGCAGGTTTGTTACATATGTATACATGTGCCATGTTGGTGTGCTGCACCCATTAACTCATCATTTAGCATTAGGTATATCTCTTAATGCTATCCCTCCCCGCTCCCCCCACCCCGCAACAGGCCCCGGTGTGTGATGTTCCCCTTCCTGTGTCCAAGTGTTCTCATTGTTCATTTCCCACCTATGAGTGAGAACATGCGGTGTTTGGTTTTTTGTCCTTGTGATAGTTTGCTGAGAATGATGGTTTCCAGCTTCATCTATGTCCCTACAAAGGACACGAACTCATCATTTTTGTATGGCTGTGTAGTATTCCATGGTGTACCACATTTTCTTAATCCAGTCTATCATTGTTGGACATTTGGCTTGGTTCCAAGTCTTTGCTATTGTGAATAGTGCTGCAATAAACATACGTGTGCATGTGTCTTTATACCAGTGTGATTTATAATCCTTTGGTTATATACCCAGTAATGGGATGGCTGGGTGAAAGGTATTTCTAGTTCTAGATCCCTGAGGAATCGCCACACTGACTTCCACAATGGTTGAACTAGTTTACAGTCCCACCAACGTGTAAAAGTGTTCCTATTTCTCCACATCCTCTCCAGCACCTGTTGTTTCCTGACTTTTTAATGATTGCCATTCTAACTGGTGTGAGATGGTATCTCATTGTGGTTTTGATTTGCATTTCTCTGATGGCCAGTGATGACGAGCATTTTTTCATGTGTCTTTTGCTTGCATAAATGTCTTGTTTTGAGAAGTGTCTGTTCATATCCTTTGCCCACATTTTGATGGGGTGGTTTGTTTTTCTCCTGTAAATTTGTTTGAGTTCATTGTAGATTCTGGATATTAGCCCTTTGTCAGATGAGTAGGTTGCAAAAATTTTCTCCCATTCTGTAGGTTGCCTGTTCACTCTGATGGTAGTTTCTTTTGCTGTGCAGAAGCTCTTTAGCTTAATTAGATCCCATTTGTCAATTTTGGCTTTTGTTGCCATTGCTTTTGGTGTTTTAGACATGAAGTCCTTGCCCATCCCTATGTCCTGAATGGTATTGCCTAGGTTTTCTTCTAGGGTTTTTATGGTTTTTAGGTCTAACATTTAAGTCTTTAATGCATCTTGAATTAATTTTTGTATAAGGTGTAAGGAAGGGATCCAGTTTCAGCTTTCTACATATGGCTAACCAGTTTTTGCAGCACCATTTATTAAATAGGGAATCATTTCCCCATTTCTTGCTTTTGTCAGGTTTGTCAAAGATCAGATGGTTGCAGATATGCAGCATTATTTCTGAGGGCTCTGTTCTGTTCCATTGGTCTATATCTCTGTTTTGGTACCAGTACCATGCTGTTTTGGTTACTGTAGCCTTGTAGCATAGTTTGAAGTCAGGTAGTGTGATGCCTCCAGCTTTGTTCTTTTGGCTTAGGATTGACTTGGCAATGTGGGCTCTTTTTCGGTTTGGATAATATTTTCTAGTGACTAGAAGTGGATTTGTATTTCAGTACTGCAACTTACCATTACTGAGCTAGTCAACAACATTTTATCATTAAACTTCCATTGTCTACTTTATAAAATAAACCAAACATTTTTGCAGAAATTAAATGATGGGTGTTTGGTTTACTTGAGATAACACATGTTGAAGAAGTTAACAAATTTTCTGTTATTAAAATCTTAACAAATAGGTAAACTTCATGTTCTTAAATAGAATACTTAAATGACTAAAAGATATCCTTAGCTGTGGTGTGACTTCTTGGGAAAAAAGTCTAAGTACATGTCTGAAGCATTATTATAATTTTCCCAAGGCCTGTAAATATTGTAATGGCATTATAAATGCTGCACATTCATAACATTGTATTAATGCATATTGTATTAATGAAAGGGTGTCATAGAACACTACTCATAGGAAGTTATTTTGTGCCAAGAATTGGTGGATAATTTTTATAACTTTATAACAATAACAAAAAAAACACTTGCCTGTGGAATGCTTTATAGTCTGTTTTTACCCATGGTAACTGGTAGGACTGATGGCAGACTCCTGGGGACTTGATGGGCATGGATTACAGTAGCCTTCAGTAAATGGTTCTTTAAATATGTTACAAAACCCTAAACCCTCCAAGTCTGCCCCTGTCAGTGACCCAGCTTCAGAAGACTATGAAGAAGTAGTGAAGGCTTTAATATTTCCTCCTGCCCCTGGGAGTTTGTCATTATTCTGAATGCCACAGATTATGTATCCCTGAAGAGGAAGGGTAAGCTATTTTGAGTATCATATCTAACTCCCCCAACACATGGAAAAATTGGGTGTTCCATTAAAAATCTATTTGCAGATAAGAGCCAAAGAAGATTTGTCCTACTGTGAATGCTTTGTGATAGTGACTTATCTGAATAGATATTTCCTAGAGTAAATAAAACCAGAGGGAGATTATGAATGCCTTGACTTTCTAATTTTTGTGAATATGTTCTTTCGATTTCTAAGGTGAAATATATAAATGTTCTTAACATTACCATCTTATACATAGAGAAATATAATATGTATAAGATATATCTTGAATTGTGTACTTTGGGGGCCAAGTTTATCTTAAAATAAACTATAGCATGATGGATTAAATATCAAACTCACAGTTAGGCTTCCTTTGAACCTAGTAGTTAAATATAGATATGTGACAAAGTGTATTTTTAAATTAGCGCTTAGGCAACTTTCTTATCAATAATATCAAACTCACATCATTAGATATTTTCTCTTACATGCACAAAAAACAGATACAGTATTAAGGTAAAGCATGCAAGTAAATGAGGAAAAATAAGCAAGTGGGATGCAAATAGAGAATGGACTCACAGGCATATTCACTCTGACAGAAAAGAAAATCAAAGAGAAGCAAGGCACAGATGGAATAGAAAGATGCCTTGCTGTCCTTGCCAAGACCTTCTCATAGTCTAGGACGACACACCTGCACAACACAGTTGATGAATACTCTAAACAAACTCTAACACGGTCTCAAATATAGCTTTCTCTAAGAATGCCCAAGTTCGAGGCGACTGTTCATGTCTCTCAATTCTCTTATCACTTTCTACCTCCTTTGTGTCACATACCATAATCTACTTTATAATTACTTTTGTACATTTTTCTGTCATCTCACCTAGATTGCACCACTAGGAGAGCAGCTTTTGAATTTTTCATCATTTCATTCCCTCAGTCCTCAGGCAGAACACTTTGACCACAGTGGACTGTTAAACAACACTATTGAATAAGTGGATAATAACGATTGGATAGGTGGGAGGATTTATTCTTGAAACATTTTGAGTATTTGTACAAGCTAGGAAGTTTGCTTCAAAGCCTTTAAAATTATATGCGGTTTGACACACCTCTCCTATACTCTATCCTTCAACAGAGATCGAACACTTAATTCCCTATGTCAAGGAACATACAACTTGATTAGGTTCTGAACATTAAAACTGTAATATTAACAACAAGGACATAATATATGCTGACCAGTGTTGAGGGCATATATTTAAATCCAGGATTTTATATACAAAGAAACACAATACATAGCAAGTTGGAGAAAGTTTAAAGGTAGACTTCCAGCTTTTGGATCTATCTGTTTACTAGATTAATTAGACTGTTAGCATTATCTTAATGCATTTTTAAAACATGTAATTGCTTTTCTCTTTTAGTAAATAAGTATAATGCACATCTAGTTCGGCTTTAACTAAAGACTCTAACAGTAAAGAAAGTGTACTATAAAAATGGTTCCATATGATATATGGAACACACCAGTCTGTGGAAGTTCAGTGAGTGTGTCACAAATGTATTGAGAATATGGTACAAAAATCTCACTGTTAAAAATAACAGTATCCAATATGCATGAGAGTTGATGTTAATCCACTGGAAATGATTGTGCAAGTAGCATCAGAGTTGACCAATATAAGTGTTTGCCATGAAAATGTATTCTCTTTATGAAAACTATCTATCAGGAATCTTTAAATTTTAACTGGAACTTGCTTTACTTGGCAGATATTTGGCAAATATCACAAGCTGTTTTTTCTAACATATTTGTTAAACTACTAAAAAAGAACTTGCAATATAATAAATGGACTTCAACTAGTTCCCTAAGGAATGACAATTATGTATTCAAATCAGACGTTTTATTTTATAATTCTTGAAATGATTTTTACATTAATAGCTCAAAGTGAATATAAATTTTAAAAAGTTTTCTTTTTTATAATATAGAATATTGTAAAGGGTATTGTCTTTGTCTTTACTCTTCCCACATGTGCAAATGTTATGCAAATAACATTAGCAGTAGCCTTTATGATGGTTAATTTTACCTGTTGACTTGATTGGGCTAAGAAATGGCCAGATAACTAATAAAACACTGCTTCTGCGTATGTCTGTGAGGGTGTTTTCAGAAGAGATTAGCTTTAGAATCAATGCCTGAGTAAAGAAGATACACCCTCACCAATATGGGCATGCAACATTCAATTCCTTGAGTGCCTGAATAAAGCCAAAGGTGGACTAAAGGTGAATTTGCTGTCATTCCCTGAGCTGGGGCATCCATCTTCTCCTGCTCTCGGAAATGGACGTTTCTGGTTCTTGGGTCCTCAGACTCTGGGATTAATACCAGGAACCCCTAAATGCTCCCTGCTTCCAACCCTTTTCAGATCTTCAGCTTTAGACTGAAGTCACACCATCAACAACCCTGGTTTTCAGGCCTTCAAACTTGGAGTGAATTAAAACACCAGCTTTCCCAGTTCTCCAGCTTGCGGACAGCATATAGTGGGATTTCTGTCTCTCCATAACCATGTAAGCCAATTCCCATAAGAAATCTCCCCTTATCTATCTATGTACACATCTATATTCTATTAGTTGTGTTTATTAGAACCATGATTCATACAATCCAAAAGATAGTTAGTAGAACTTAAATATAAAAATTAAATAAAAAAATAAATGCAAACAGGTAAATTTTTACTTATACAAATTATCAGAGTACATGCTTACAGAAAATGAAAATAGATACTATTTAGACATAACTTTCAGGGGATTCATATTTCCATGTCCTCAAAGAGAATATTTTACAAAGAAAGGGAAATCAAAGAAAATGTGACAAAATGGAAATAGCCATGCATATTGGAGTGGCAGTGTTTCTTATTATATAACCCCAAATGAGAATGTTTCTAATGTTCAATAAATGCACTCAGTATTCCATAAGTATTTGAATTCCTGTTGATTTTGTTACTTTTTTCTTTTCCCCCCGAGTTTCTATTAATTTTCTTTGTACAATGTTCTTTTCACAAATCTCATGTTCAATCCCTGTGAGTTTTAACCTATTAGTACACATCTGACCATTTAATTGTCCTCTTAGGAATAAAAGACAAGTTATTCTTGAGTTTCATCTTTACATCCGGTGTTTTTTGTTTGCACATGTAGAAAAAATAGAATATTCCTTTACTTTTTTTGAATTGTAACTTTAAGTAACTACGTATGAATTAATGCTTCCTTTTAACTGATTTGGGAGGAGAGTTGCTACAAGTCTATGTGGCAATTTTGGCCTGATGATTTCCTAACCACTAAAATTTACTAGAAATATATCTACTCTACATGTTTGACTGCTTAATACAATTATTAAGAAATGAGTAAGGAATTTCTGAATACTTTCATAATTAGGAAGAATGCTAATCCTATTTCGCTATGCCTTTTATATTTCTTTGTCATAACCTCTACCTCTGTCTTTCTCTCTGTCTCACTGTCTGTTTGTCTTTCTGTCTCTCTCTCTACACACACACACATACACACTCACACACACACGGACATATTTCATACAGAAATGAGTATTTAAGGGTTTATATTAATAGTCGTGTATCCAAAAGGGAAGGCTTAAAGACAGAATCATGCCTTTATCTGTGAAGACACCATAATAAATCATTTTAGAAGTAGAAAAAGCAAAGTGAAGACATTTTGGCTGGATTAGAAAATAAAAGCTGTACCTGCATTTTCCAAATTTGAAAAGTAATATTGCTTTTCCATGGGGCTTTGGATGACAATAAGCAGTTGTATCTAACACCTTTGCTATTAATTAATTTTCTGAAATTTAATAAGACAAGAAAAGTAAATTGTGGTTTTATTTCCCCCTTTTTAGAATAAAACGTTGCCTATCAGTTTATTGGAAAGTAATGTAAAGAAGTCTAAAATTATTTCCAACATCACAATACAAAAACCTATTATTTTAATATATATCATCAATAACATAAAAGGATACAGCCTGTAGCATAAAAGTTTTCATTCAAAACATCACCAAATATTGTTTTTATTCTAATATTATAAGAATTTTCCTTTGGTTTCCTCAAAATATTAATATATCGTATGTACACAATAGCTCTGAAACACATATTTGTGAAAATAAAAGAGTATATAGCTTAAATACAAGCAATTAAATTATTTTCCTACTAGAACTTAAGATAATCACATGTGCTCAGGTTCTTTATAAAAAAGAAATATTGTATATCAAAATAAATTTCAAAATCAAGTGATTTTTGTCTTTATTTTTCTTTTTAATAAATCATGTCCAATCATTCTGTAAGACCCAGTGTATCTATCTTTACCTAGGTTCCAGCAAAGTCTTTGACTCTTAAGCCTCTAGTGTTTGAGTTGATTTTGGAAGCGTAGCAGTGGATGTCTACTGCAACCAAGATGGGAACACAAGACTCATGGAAAGACAGAGCGCCTTGCTCAACTTGCCCTTTTAGGTTTACAGGCACTGCGTGACTGCCAGCATAAGACAACCGGAAGCATGAGGAATTGATAATTTGTGTAGCTTTGTCGAATCTTCTAAATCACAGGTTTTTATTTTTCTGTGTTCTTATTAAGGTTTGTGTTCACAATAATTGTTTTCATGTGGTGAAACTAGCAAAAAGGATGAGGAGGAGTGAATACATTTTATAAATATGTATTTGTAAAAGTTTAATTTTCTCTTTTGCTTTTGGATAATTGACAAAATAGCTCACATAAATGAACAAAATGATAAAGCGAGGTTATTTATATTAATTGCATTGCAATTAGAAAAAATGGGGCTCAAAGTTCACATGTTCCTTCAGAAATTAAAAAAAAAATGGTAGTAATCAATGTCCTAAGACTTGAAAATGTCTCCAAGGCATATAGCTGGTCCCACTTCTCCCAAATCTCCACTTTCCCCTCTGATCAGCACATAAAACAATTACTCATCTCATAACTAACAAAAACATCCTGTTGCTGTTTCCCCATGCTGAAATACCAGATAAAATGAGACTGTAGATGCAAACAACATGAACAACCAAGCAAATTCAATTCAATTATGCCTCTGCTCTCCATCTTTTAAAAAACCACAAGTCAATAAATAAACAAAACACCCATCTCTGCCCTCTAAGAATGTGTAAGGAAATAATAAGACTGTTAGTCTCCTTGAAGGCATTACCACTGTAAAGCCTACATATCGATCCATTCTGGGCCTTCCTTTTGGGATAGGGAGTTGTTCATAAAAATCCATTTAGATATTCCCTTCTATACATAATTCTTACAATTCTGTCTCCCTTAACCCATCTGAATACATGCCCACCAACATATTTAATGAATTTGACTCTCAATAGGCATACAACTGAAGACTTTAACATAATCTGAGATGCCTTCATGCAAAGGTTAAAAGAAAGCAGTTTCCTTCTGTTGTAAATGTTTTGCATTTTCTCAATATGCATTTATCAAAATGCATACATTTTAAAATGCCATAGGAAATCTATTAAAGGATGATTGATGAATTGTTTTGCAGTTGCATAGCTCAAAGCATTTCCTTTTATCCAACTAAGGCATTACCCATAGGGCACTAGGTTTAGCGAAATAAAAAACAACGCTTTGAGTCTCTTGCCAAATAGTGGCAAATAATGCCTTCCAAGCTTATGAGCTTTAGTGAAAAAGCTATAGTAACTGTCATTCACTCATAGATTCATTCTTCAATCTGAGTCTCCACACACTCACCTGAAGGCTTATGATGAAAGGCTGCACTAAGTAAACCTGAAAATCCCCCTGTAAGCTGGCAAGAAACTCAAAGCAACAAAAAAATGATTCATTGTTCAGAACATCATTTTTTATTTGCAAGAGAGTGGAGAGCCATGACTGAAACTAATGGCTGTATGAGGAAGAGAACAAGAAAGAAAGGTAAGAAAGAAGACTATATAAAATAATAACAACTTCTTTTCTTCCTGATTTTCTTAATGGTAACTTTTTTGTTATATCTTGGTGTAATAAAAAGTCTGATTTCATTTTTTCTCAAATTTTCAACTGACTATGTTGAAAAATTTTAAGGCCCCTCCCCCCTCACTGTCATCCCTTCCTTTTGTTCCCTACATCTGGGCAAGCTGGTAAGATGGCCCTGTGCTCTCTCCTTTGTCTTCAGTGGGAGATTTAAACCATACAAGCCTGTTTCCACAAAAGGAGAGTCTCAGCCCAGTCCTACACCCCAGCCGCAATAAAAATTTCAAAGCAGTCCTCTTTTTATTCACCTTCTCTCTGTAGCCAGTTTCAGGCAGGCTTATGAGGCCTACTGCTGCTGTCCTCAGAACTCTCATTATATGAATAAAAACAGTTTTTATATGACCTTGGTCCTTGTGTATCTGCATCCTTCCTGGCATTTGATCCAATATTTGAGTGGGGGCACAACCCCATTTCTTCAGTATGTCTACAACATTTAGTCTGATAATTTAAAATTCACTAAATTATTTTTATCTAAATTGTGTAGAATACAAATTTAAGAATGCCATTCAAATTACACACCAATAAAATCATTTTTGATGCACTCTTCAGAATCTAAAACCAAATTCTAAAAAAATTGCAGAGAATGCTATATTAATTTTGTGCATAAACTGAAGCAACATTCTTCCAAAAGAACAGATGTGGTATTATCATATGGAATCTACTCACAGTTATATGTAAGTAGTGATTTTGAGCTAGACTGGGGATAGAGAAAATATATTTTTTATTATAAACTTTTTAAAACTTATGCATATGTTACCTTTTGCAAATATTTTAAAGACAGAGTTTCAATTTAAAAACCTACCTTTACGACATTATAAAATAGGAGGAAAAGATAGTAGTTTTAATTAAAATATAATTATACAACTATTAACAAAAGAAAGAAAGGATGTCTTTACTTGTGATCTCCAGGATATTGATGAAAACAATAATAAAACATATAGGTGAATATTAAATATAAAATTTGGCAGTAAAAGTAAAAAGAAACTAATAAGAATATGTGGGCAAACAGTATTTTGGAATCTTAATTACAAATATATTAGTATTAACATAAAATAAGTGACTATGATTTTTAGACTGGATGAACAATACACAAATGTGATGCGTAAGAGCATAAAGAAAAAAGAACGACTTCGGCCCAGCACAGTGGCTCACACTTGTAATCCTCGCACTTTGTGAGGCCAGGATGGGTGGATCACTTGAGGTCAGGAGTTTGAGACCAGCCTGGCCAACACGGCGAAAACCCGTCTCTACTAAAAATACAAAAATTAGCTGGGCATGGTGGCTCATACCTGCTGCCCCAGCTACTCAGGAGGCTGAGGCAGAAGAATAACTTGAACCCAGGAGGTGGAGGTTGCAGTGAGCTGAGATTGCGTCAATGTACTCCAGCCTGGGAGACAGGGTGAGATGCTGTCTCAAAAACAAAACAAAACAAAACAACACAAAAGAATGCCTTAGAATGAGGATATAGGAAGACTTAAAGTTCTCTTTCTCTCTCTCTCTCTCTCTCAATCTGTGTGTGTGTGTGTGTGTGTGCACACGTGCGTGAAATTTAGCTCCAGGATTGGCGGGTGCAACTGTGGCAAGTACATAATTTGTAGGGCAGGCCAGCAGGCTGGAAACTGCAGTCTTGATAGAATATTTTCATCCTCAGGGAAATCTGTTTTGTTCTTAAAGTCTTTCAGTTGATTAGATGAGGCCTGTCCAGATTGTCAAGATAATCTCATTTATTTAAAGTCAATTGATTACAGATGTTAACTAAATCTGTAAAATACCTTCACAGTAACTAGATTACTGTTTAGTATCTGGATACCAGAGCTATGATAGTTTATTTTAGGTGTCAACTTACCTGGATTAAAAAAATGCCTAGAAATTGGTAATGTATTATTGTTGGGTGTGTCTGTGAGGTCATTTCCAGAGATTAGCATGTGAGTGATGGGTGTAGTTGAGAGACCTCTGGTTATTGTGGGCAGGTACCATTCTATAGGGCAGGGGCCCAGAGAGCAAAATCAGAGAATAGGCAAGTGTGGGGATCCATCTTTCAGAGCTGGGATACAATCTTCCTCTTCTCTCTTTGGACAACAACTACAGGATCCCTGCCCTTTAGACTCCAGGATTTTCATCACTGGCTTCCCTGGTTCTTAGGCCTCCTAACTAACTGAGGCCACACTACCAGTACCCCAGCATCTCCAGCTTGCATGTAGCCTCCATAACATTGTAAACAACCCTCCTAATAAATTTATCTCTCTCTCTCTCTTTCTCTCTATCCATCCATCCATCCCCATCTCTATTCATATTCTATTGATTCTGTCTGTGGAGATCCCTAATTAATATAATAGCCTAACTAAATTGATATATAAAACTCATCATCACAATCTACCTGTTGTCAATTTGACATCCATACACATCTACTTAAACCATAACTAATCATCAAATAAAGATAATAACAAAGTCAAATTTCCACCTAATATAATACAGCTATTTTATGAACAACGAAAAACATGCCAATCCTTTCCACAGAAGAGAATGCAACCCTTTGGATGATGCTTACTCCTTGACACTTCCTTAAATTAAATATGATGTATGGTTAAGAATTATTAATATATTTTTGCAAGATTAGTTGATAAGAGAGAGAAGTACACCAAAGTATTATATTTTTGTTTTTGTATACACAAACACACACACAGAGGAATATTTATATAACCTGATAAGGAAGAAATAGTCCCACAACCAACGCTTCAAAAGTTGAATGAAATGGGCTATGAAATTTTGCCTTATTCGCCATATTCACCTGACCTCTCACCAACTGACTATCACTTCTTCAAGCATCTCAACAACTTTTTGCAGGGAAAGCACTTCCACAACCAGTAGGATGCAGAAAATGCTTTCCAAGAGTTCATCAAATCCTGAAGCATGGATTTTTATGCTACATAAATAAACAAACTTATTTCTCATTGGCCAAAATGTATTGATTGTAATGGTTTCTATTTTGATTAATAAAATGTGTTTGAGCCTAGTTAAATGATTTAAAATTCATGGTCCAAAACCACAGTTAATTCTGCACCAACTTAATATTTCTTATATAATATGTAAGATATGTAAGATCTTATATAAAATAATATTTTATTTTGCTTCTGTAATTCATTTAAGCCTATGTTATACTTTTTGATGTTTTTCCACAACTTATGGATGTTTCCTTCTGTTTTTTTGGTTTGTATTTTTTTTCTATTTTTTTCTCCTTCCTGTTTCAGTTTGGTTTCTAAAGGTCTACATTTCATTTCACTGATTCTTTCCTTGGCTATGTGAAGTACACTGAAGATTCATTAAAGAAATTATTTTCTGTTACTATATTGTGTTTTTAATATTTTATTGTAATACAACACACATAAAACAAAATTTACCATTGTAACCATCTTTAAGTGTGAAATTCAATGATGTTATATACTTTAATGATACTGTGCAACCCTTATTTTAACCTGATCTCCATAATTATTTTCATCTTGCAAAACTGAAACTCCATACCCATTAAACAATAATTTCTCATTCTCCCCTATACCAAGCAGGGGGAAACCATCATTCTACTTTTGGTCTCTATGATATCGACTACTCTAAGTAGCTATATAGGTGGAATGATACAGTATTTGTCATTTAGTAATGAGCTTATTTCACTTAACATAATGTACTCAATATTCATCCATTTTGTAGCATATGTCAGAATTTCTTTTTATTGTAGGGCTTAATAATATTCTAAGTATATACACATTTTGCTTATCCATTATTGGTCATTTGCGTGGCTTCCACATATTTTCTATTTTAAGTAATACTACTCTATGATCATGGGTATACAAATATTTCTTTGAGACCCTTATTTCAATTCTTCTGGGTATGTTCCCAGTAGAATTGCTGGATCATATGGTAATTGTATCTTTAATAATTTGAGGAGTAACAAACTGACTTTCATAGAGACTGTACCATTTTACATTCCCATCAACAGTGCCTAGGAGTTTCAATTTTTCCATTTCATTGCCCAAAATTATTTTCAGTTTTTTTTAATATTAGGCATCCTAATGGGTGAGAGGTGGCATTTCATTGTAATTTTGATTTGCATTTCTATAATGATTAGAGATACTGAGTATCCTTTTCTGTAGTTTTTGGCTATTTGTTTATTTTCTTTGAAAAAATATCCATTCAAGTAATTTGCTCATTTTTGAATCAGTTTTGTTGTTTTGTTGTTGAGGTTTTGGAGTTCTCGATATAATCTGCATATCAATCCTTATCTAAGATATGATTTGCAAATATTTTCTTCCATTTTGTAGGTTGCTATTTTATTCTGTTGATATGATCTTTTGATGCATTTTTAAATTTTTTCATTTTTTTTTCTTTATTTTGTCTTTTGTTGCCTGTGCCTATGTTGGTTTCATATATTCAAGAAATCATGCTAAATCTAATGTCATAAAGATTTTGTCTTTTTTTTTAAGAGTTTTATATTTTTAGTTGTTAAATTTAGACCTTTGATGCATTTTGAGCTAATTTTTGTGTATGTGTTAGGTAAGGATCTAACTTAATTATTTTGCATATGGATATCCAGCTTTCACAGAACCATTATTGAAAAGACTGCCCTTTCCCTATTGAATAGTCTTAGCACCTTTGTAAAAAAATCATTTAGCCATATCTGTGAAGGTTTATTTTCGGATTCTGTAATATATTTAGTAGGTCTCTATGGAATATATATGCCAATACCATACTGTTTTGATTACTGTAGCCTTCCAACAGATTTTAAAGTTAGGAAATGTGAGTCCACCAGGTTTTTGTATTATGCTTTTCAGGATTTTTTTGGCTATTTGTGATCCCATGAGATTACATATGAAATTTAAGATGGGTTTTTCAATTCTGCAAAAACAACAGAATTAGTATTGGGAATATATTCAATTTGTAGATTGCTTTAGGTACTATTGAAATATTGATATTAAGTCTTTCAATCTGTGATCATAAGATCTTTCTATTGATGTCTTTACTTTTTTTAAGCAATGATTTGTAGTTTTCACTTTACAGTCTTTTACCTCCTTGGCTGTTAGCTGCTAAGTATTTTATTGTTTTGCCTGTAAATGAAATTGTTTTGCTACTTACTTTTAAGATTTATCATTGCTAGCATATAGAAATGCAACTTTATTTTTTGCATTGCCTTTGTATTCTGCGTTAATACTGATTCATTTATTAGCTCTAGCAGTTTTGTGTGTGAAGGGGGATCTGTAGGGTTTAGGGTTTAGAGTTTTCTACCTGCAAGATACTGTCATCTCTAAACAAAGATAATTTTACTTCTTGTTTTTTCAAGTTGCTAGGTTTTTCACAGCATCTGCTTGCCTGGTTCAGCACCGTATCTGTCCTGTGCAGAGACCTTGGTGCGGAAAGGTCCTCACTGCTCTACGCCTAGGCAGATTTCCAGGAATCTGAAGCATTCCCTCACCTAGATCAGCAGCCTGACCCACCATACCATTCTTGAGCAGAGACAATGGTGAAGCAAGGCCCACTCTGCTCCACACCCAGGCAGATCTCCAGGGATTTGGAGTACTCCCTCACCTGGATCAGCAGCCTGACCCACCCTACCATTCTGGTGCAGAGATCCCGATGCAGGGGGCCACTCTCTGCTCCACAACCAGACAAATCTCCAGGCATCTGGAACACCCACTCTCCTTGATGAAAAGTTAAGGCTGCACCCCCATCTCTATGCAGAGAACTTGGGACAGAGGTTTCCCAGCTCCATGCCTAGGCACATCACTGGGCAATTGGCGGCTGCCCACTGGATCCTTCCTCAGTAATCATGCTTGTGCTTGAGAACAGGTGACCTGTAGATGGACCTGCCTGGCTTAGCCCCGCCCATTGTTACCCTCACTCCCCAAAGAGTGGGCATGGATCTAAGACCACCATGCACTCCACAGATTAGATTCCCCATTGCATGAGGAAACAGAGAGCTTCTCCCAGTAAACAAGTATTAAGTATATACCCAGCCACATTGGCCATAGTTGGTGCTTATCTATAAGTGCCATGTACTAGCTTGTTGGTTGAATTGCAAAGCCTAATATAAAACCTGTAAACAGAAGTGCATAAGGATTCAAAGCAATATCAAAAGACCCTATTCAGCATTCTCTATAGTCATATGGAGGGGGGAGGAGAAAGAGAAAGAGAAATAAAAAATATAACATTATTGAGTAAGAAAAATCCTACCCACATGAAAATAACTTTAAAAAATTAGAAGTGACAACATCTACAATGAGAAAGAATCAGCACAATAATTTTGAGACCATAAAAAACTCAATATAGTGATGCCACCGAAAGACCACACTAACTCTCCAGAAATGGTCCCTAGCAAAAATTGAAACTCAGAAATTACAGGTAAGAATTTGAAGTATGGATTCAAAGGAAGTTCAATGAAATCCAAGGCAAGTTTGAAAATCAACACAGAAAAGCAATTCAGGAAATGAAGGAAGAGATAAATATCTTAAAAAAGAAATCAATCATAACTTCTGGAATTGAAGAACTATACTAAGAAATTTCAAAATACAATAAAAAACTTTATCAATAGACTGAACCAAGCATGAGAATAAATTTCAGAGCTTGAAGACAAGTCTTTCAAACTAACCCAGACAAAAATAAATAAAAAACAATTTAAATGAACAGTCTTCAAGAACTGTGGGATTATGTGAGGCACCCAAACCTATGAATTATTGGCACTTTTTAGAGAAATGAAGAAAAAGTAAACAACCTGGAAAACTTATTCGAAGGAAAAATTCAAAAAAATTTCCTTAATCTTGCTGCAGATGTTGACATCCAGACACAAGAAACCCAGAGAACACCAGAGAGATACTACACAAAACAAACATCACCAAAGTCATAGAGTCATCAGACTTTCCATGGTCAACACTAAAGAAAAATAGTCAAAAAAAATCCTGAAAGGCACCTAAAACAAAAGGTCAGGGTGCCCCACTGCTGCCACAGTGATTGAGCACACAGATGCTGGCATCTCCACCCATCCTTGTGGTCCACTGCTACCATTATGAATGCACGCACAGGAGCCAGTAGCCCCACACTCACCGACATCCTGCCCCACAGCATAGCAGTTTCCTAACCTCAAATTGCCAGAGAACAAAACCAGGTGTCTGGTACCAGGTCCCCAGAGTTAGAGAAAACAGAATAAGAGTGCTGATCTGAGACTTGGCCCCCTTAAACCTTCCAGAAATGAACCCAGTCAACTGAACCCACATTAAACCACAATCCAAACACCAAGGGCCAGAAAGAAGATAAAAGAAAACAACAAAAACAACAACAACGAAAATTCAAAGGAGAGCAACTCAAACATTGAAGGAATATGATCTCACAGACATGCGAAAGAACCAGTGCAAAAACTCTGGCAACTCAGAAGTTCAGAGTGTGCCTCCAAATGATGGCAATAGTTTCCCATCAATGATTCTTAACCAGGCTGAAATGTCTGTAATGACAAAAATATAATTCTGACTATGGATAGGGATGAAGATAGTTGACATCCAGGAGAAAGTTGAAATCCAATCCAAGGAATCTAAGATACACAATAAAATGACACAAGAGATAAAAGATAGAATTGCCATATTAAGAAAGAAACCAACAGATCTGATATAGCTGAAAAACTTCAAGAATTTCAGAATACAATTGCAAATATTAACAGCAGAATCTACTGAGCTAAGATCAGAGCTTGAAGACCACTTCTCCAAAATAACTTAGTCTGAAAAAAATTAAAAAAATAAAGAAGAATGAACAAAACCTCCATTTTGGCATTACGTAAAGAAACCAAATCTATGATTCACTGGTGTCTCTGAGAGGAAGATAATGTAAGCACTTGAAAAAAAAAATTGAGAATATCGTCCACAAAAAATTTTCCACCTTGCTAGAGAGGCCAACATTAAAATTCGGGAAATGTAGAGATTCCATGTGAAATACTATAGAAGACATCCATCTCCAAGACACACAGTCAGGAGATTCCTCAAGGTTGAAATGAAAGAAAAAAAATATTTCTAGAGAGAAAGGGCAGGTCACCAAAACAGAAAACTTCTTCAAGGTAACAGCAGAGATTTCAGCACAAATTCTATAGTCCAGAAAAAATTGGGGACCTATATTCAGCAATCTTAAAGAATAGAAATTTCAACCAAGAATTTTATATCCAGCCAAACTAAGCTTCATAAGTGAAGGAGAAATAAAGTACCTTTTAGAGAAACAAATGTTAAGGGATTTGGTTACCACCGGACCAGCCTTAAAGTAGGTCCTTGAGAGAGAGCTAAATATGGAAAGGAAAATATGTTACCAACCACCTCAAAAACCTAAGTACATAAACCATTGACACTATAAAGCAACCACACAAACAATTCTGCATAATAACCAGGTAACAACATGATTACAGAATCAAATCTGTGTATATTACATTATTGAATGTAATGCCCCAGTTAAAAGGCACAGAGTGCCAAGTTGGATAAAGAAGCAAGACACAACAATATGGTGTTTTCAAGAGATCTATCTCACATGCAATGATACCCAAAAACTCAAAGTAAAGGGATGAAGAAAAATATACCAGGCAAATAGAAAAAAAGAAAAAAAAAGCAGAAGTTGCTAATCTAATTTCAGTAAAAAACAATCTTTAAACCAATATTGATTTAAAAAACAAACACTATTAGACAGATCATTGAGGCAGAAAATAAAAAGATATTCAGGAGATTTACTCAACATTTGACCAAATGGGCCTAACAGACATCTACAGAACTCTCTACCCAAAAACAACAGAATATATATTCTTCTCATTTGCACATGTCACATACTCTAAAATTGACCACACAATCAGCCATAAAACAATACTCAGTAAACCCCCCAAAAAACCCGAAATCATACCAAATACATTGTCAGTCCACAGCACAATAAAAATAGAAATCAATATTATGAAAATTGCTCCAAACCATACAATTAGATGGAAATTAAACAACTTGCTCATAAATGACTTTTGAGTAAACAATAAAATTAAAGAAGAAATAAATAACTACTTGAAACTAAAGAGAAAAAATATACAAGATACCAGAATCTTGATACATAGATAGGCAATGTTAAGACGGAAAGGAAGTTTATAGTGCTGAATGTCCACATCAAAAAGTTAGAAAGATCTCAAATTAATAACCTAACATCCCACTCAGAGGAACTAGGGACAAGATCAAACCAACACAAAGCTAACAGAAGAGAAGATATAACTAAAATCAGAGCTGAATTGAAGGAATTTGAGACACATACAAAAAATACAAAAGATCAGCAAATTCAAGAGACTGCTCTTTGAAAAAATAAATATGATTGATCTGAATCCCTAAATAGACCAATAATGAATTCCCAAATTGAATCTGTAATAAAAAGTCTACCAGCCAGAGAAAGGCCAGGGCCAGATAGATTCACAGCCAAATTCTACCAGATGTATAAGGAAGAGCTGATACTTTCTTCTCATCTGCACATGAAACATACTTGAAAATTGACCACATGCCTAGCCATAAAGCAAATCTCAATATATTTTTAAGAATCAAAATAATATCACCCATAATCTCATGCCACATTGGAATTAGAAGAGAAATCAACACAAAGAAGATGTCTGAAAACCATACAATTACATGGAAATTAAACAACTTGCCTCTAAATTACTTTTCGGTAAACAATGAAAATAAGGTATTAATCAAAAAATTCTTTAAAATAAATTAAAACAGAGACACAACATACCCAAATCTCTGAGATGCAGCAAAATCAGTATTAAGAGGAAAGTTTATAGCACTGAAAATCTACTTCAAAAAGTCAGAAAGCTTTCAAATTGATTACCTAACATTACACCTAGAGAAAACAGAAAAACAAGAACAAACTAACCCCAAATGCTAGCAGAAAAAAAAATAGCTAAGCAGAACTGAACAAACTTGAGACCCCAAAATCCATACACAGAATCAATGAACACAAAAGTTGGTTATTTGAAAAGATAAACAAGTTCAAAAGACTTCCTTCTAGATTAACAAAGAATAAAGAGAGAAGATTCAAATAAACACAATCAGAAATGGAAAAGGTGACATTATAAATAATTACAAAGAAATTTAAAAAAATGTTAAGAGACTATTATGAACACATCTTTGCAAACGACCTAGAAATCTAGGGACAATTAATAAATTCCTGGAAACACACAATCTCCCACAATTGAATCGGGAAGAAACTGAATCCCCGAAGTGACCAGTATCAGGTTCTGAAACTGAGTCATTATTAAAACTTCTACCTTCCTCCCAAAAAATCCTAGATCAGATGGACTCACAGCCATATTCTACAGAAAAGCAAAGAAGGGTTGATACCAATGCTACTAGAACTATTCTAAAAATTGTGGAGGAGGGATTTCTTTCTAAATCATTTTATAAAGCCAGCATCACCTCTATTCCAAAACCTGGGAAAGACACAATAAAAAAAAGAAAACTACAGGCCAATATTCATAATGAATATATGTGCGAAAATCCTCAACGAAATACTGGTAAACCAAATCCAGCAGCACATCAAAAAGTTAATTCACCATGATCAAATCGGCTTAATTCCTGGGAAGCAAGTTAGGGTCAACATGCTCAAATGAGTAAATGGGATTCACCACATAAAAATAATTAAAAATAAAAACCACATGATTATCTCAATAGACATGGAAAAAATTTTAATAAAATTCAGCATCCTTTCATGATAAAAATCCTCAAGAAACTAGGCATCAAAGGAACTTACCTCAAAATAATAAGAGCCATCTATGACAAACCCACAGCCAACATCATACTGAATGTATAAAAACTGGAAAGATTTCCCTTGAGAACTGATACTAGAAAGAATGCCCACTTTTACCCCTCCACTCCATTTACATAGTACTAAAATTGCTAACCAGAGCAATCAGGCAAGAGAAAGAAATAAAAGGCATTCAAATAGGAAAAGAAGAAATCAAAATATCTCTCTTTGCTGATAATGATTCTATACATAGAAAGTCCTAAATACTTCACCAAAAGACTCCTGGAACTGATAAATGTATTCAGTAAATTTCCAAGATACAAATTCAATGTCCAAAATTCAATTGCATTTATATATAGCCATAATGTTCAATCACAGAGACAATTTAAGAATGTGATCACATCTACAATAGCCAGAAAAAAATTACATAGAAAAACATCTAACCAAGTAAGTGAAATCTCCACAATGAAAACTACAAAACACTGCTAAAAGAAATCATAGATGACACAAATAAATGGAAAAATATCCCACGTTCATGGATTGGAAGAATTAATATTGTCACAATGGCCATACTGCCTAAAGTAATCTACAGATTATATGCTATTCCTCTCAAACTACCAATTTTTTTTCACAGAATTAGAAAACACTATTCTAAAATTCATATGGAACCAAAAAATTCAAATAACCAAAACAATCCTAAGCAAAAAGAACAAAGCCAAAGACATTACATTACCTGACTTCAAAGGTCTGTTACAAGGCAACTGTAATCAAAATAGCATGTTACAGGTACAAAACCAGACATACAGACCAATGAAACATAATAGAGAACCCAGGAAAAAAAAAAGCTGCACACCTACAGCCATCTGATCTTTGAAAACATTGATGAAAAGAAGCAATAGGAAATGGACACCCTTTTCAATAAATGGTGTTGGGATAGCTGGCTAGCCAATGCAGAAGATTGAAATTGGAACCCTACCTTTCATCATATACAAAAAATAACTTCAGATGGATTAAATATTTAAATTTAAGATTTCAAGCTCTAGAAATCCTAGAAGAAAACCTAGAAAACATCCTTCTGGGCATTGATGTTAGAAAATAATTTATTACTAAGTCATCAAAAGCAATTGCAACAAAAATAAAAGTTGACAAGTGGAACCTAATTAAACTAAAGAGCTTCTGCACACCAAAAGATACTGTCATCAGAGTAAAAAGACAACCTACAAAATGGGAGAATATATTGCAAACGACACATGCACCAAAAATGTCATATCCAGAATCTGTAAGGGTCTCAAACAATTGAACAATCAAAAAACAACCTCATTAAAAAGTAGGTAAAAATCATGACCAGATGTATCTCAAAAGAAGAGATATGCACAGCCAACAAGCATATGAAAAAATCCTCAACATCACTAATCACTGGAGAAATACAAATCAGAACCACAGTGAGATACCAACTCATACTAGACTAGTCGGAATGGCTATTACTAAGACGCCAAAAAACAACAGATGCTGGTGAGGCTGCAGAGAAAAGAGGATGCTTATACACTGTTGGTTGGAATGTAAATTATTGCAGCCACTGTGAAAAGCAGTGTGGAGATTTCCCAAGGAACTTAGAACTACCATTTGACCCAGCCATCTCATTACTGAGTATATATCTATAAGAAAACAAATCATTCTACCAAAAGGCACATGCATTTTTATGTCATCACCACACTGTTCACAGTAGCAAAGATATAAAATCAACCCCCGTGCTCATTAATGATGAACTGGATTTTTAAAATGCGTTTCATATACACTATGGAACACCATGCAGCTGTAAAAAAATAACAAAATCCTGTCCTTTGCAGAAACGTGGATTCCACTGCTGGAGGCCATTATTCTAAGTGAATTAACTCAAAAACCAGAAAACCAAATATACCTTTTCTCACTTATAAGTGAGAAACCTTGCCTTGTTCCTAATCTTAGAGCAAAAACTTTCAGGCTTTCACCATTGAGGGTGGGCTTTTCATATATGGTTTTTATTATGTTTTGGAAGTTTTTGATTCCTAGTTTCTTTAGTGATTTTATCATTAAATAATTCTTTTTGTGCATGTGATATTAGATGAGACGACTGTGTATTCCTCATCCCCATTTTGTGAGTATAAAATATAATGTTGATTTTCATATGTTCAACCATGCTGGCATTCCAGATATAAACCCCACTTCTGTATGGTCTATAATTCTTTTAATATATCAATGTGCTAAATGTTGTGTGCTAATATTTTGTTGAGGATTTCTGCATTAACATGTTTAAGGAATATTGGTGTGTAGTTGTATTCTTTTTTAATGTCTTTGCCTAGCTTTGGTACCTGGTTAATGCTGGCTTCAGAGAAATCAGTTAGTAAATGTTCCCTCCTCTTCAACTTTTGGGAAAAGTCTTAGAAAGATGACTGTTTGCTCTTTAAATGTTAAAATTTACCAATGAAGCTCTCTGGCCAAGGGTTTTTCTCTGTTCAGAGATTCTTATTACAATCTCTTAACTAGTTATAGATCTAATCAGATATTTTTTATTTCTTTATGATTTAGTCTTTGTAGATTTTGTGTTTCTAAAAACTTGTCCATTTCATCTAGGCTATCCTACTTGTTGACATTCAGTACAGCTGACATTCAGAATAGTATATTGTACTCTCTTATAATGATTTTCATTTCTGTAGCATCAGAAGGCATGTCCATACTTTTACTTCTGATTTCAGTAATTTGAATCTTCTCTCATTTTTCTTAGTCCGTCTAGCTAAAGTTTTGTCAATATTATTGATCTTTTCAAAAAGCTATCATTTAGTCTCATTAATTTCCCCCTTTTTTGTTTCCTGTTTTATTTATCTTTGCTCTATTTTTTATTATTTTATTCCATCTGCTAGCTTTGAGTTTAGTTTGTTCTTCTTTTTTAGTTCCTTAAGTTATAAAATTAGATTTTTCATTTTACATCTTTCTTGTTTTTAAAGTAAGCATTTACAGTTATACATTTCCTTCTTACCTCTTTTTTCTCTATGTCACATAAGTCTTGGTATGTTGTGTTTTGGTTTTAATTTGTCCCTAAATATTTTCTAATGTCCCTTAAGTTTTTTCCTTTTATTCATTGCTTAAGAGTTTATTTTTCAAATTTTCTCATCTTTGGGTACTTTTCACTTTTATTTGTTATTAATTTTTAAATGCACGTTCTTCTGCTTGGAGAACATCTTCTGTATAATGGTTACAGTTTTAAAACTATTAAGATTTTATATACTTTTTCCTGTATCTATCCTGAAAAATGTCCCATGTGCACTTAGGAAGAATGGATCTTGCCATGTGCACTTAGGAAGAATGGATCTTGTGTTCTTGTTAGGTAGAGTGGTCAGTATGTGTCCATTAGATCTACCTGTTTTATTGTGTAAAGTCCTCTATTTTTCTACTTACCTTCTGTCTAGTTTTTCTATTTATTCTTGAGAATGAAGTATTGAAGTATCCAAGCACTACTGTACAATTGTTGATTTCTCCCTTCATTTCTGTCAGTCTTTACTTCATATATTCTGATGTTTTTGAATAAAGTGTGTAAATATTTCTAATTGTCATATCTTCTTGCTGTATTAAAACTTTTATTAATATACAATGTTTTTGTTTCATATACTTTTTGATTTAAAGTATATTTTGTCTGATATTATTATGGATACTCCTGCTCTCATTGGCCACTATTTCCTGGGACCATGGTTTCTCATCCTTTCACTTTTAATCTGTTTGATTTTTCAGATCCAAAGTGAGTCTCTTGTAGACAGCAGATAGTGGGGTTTTTAAAAATCCATCATGCTAATATCTGTATTTTGATCGGAGATTTTACATTTATAGTAATTACTGGCAATGAGAGATTTACCTGTCATTTTGTTATTTGTTTTCATTACTCCTTACAGCTTTTTTTTGTCACTCATGTTCTGCATTACTGACTTCTTTTGTATTTTGTTAAGCTTTGCAGTGAACAGTTTAAATCTGTCTCATTTTATTTTGTATACATTTTATAGCTATTTTCTTTGTGGTTACCATTGGAATTCTACTTAGTATCCTAATCTTATAACACTGTAATTTGAGTTATTAATTCAAATTAATGATTTAATTTCAATAGGATACAAAACCCCTTCTTCTTTAATAGTTCTATCCCCATCCCATTTAGTTGTCAATGTCACAAAATTACATCTTTATAATTACATACCCCTAAGAATAAACTAGTGATATTCTGAAATGCCTTAGTCTTTTAAATTATGTAGGAAACAAAATGCAGAGTTATAAATCAGTTAGAGTAATAATAACTTTTAGAATATTTATTGTTTTATTTGTACATGTATTAGTCTCTTAAATCATGTAGGAAATAAAAGTACACTTGTAAAGTGTCATTACAATAACACTCGTTTTATAGTTGCCCAAGTATTTACTTTTATTGAGAGCTTTACTTCCTTATATGGCTTTGAGTTACTGAGTGCGTTCTTTTATTTCACCCTGTAAGATTTCCTTGAGCAATTTTTTGTGTGTGAGGCAGGTCTCATGATAACGTTTTACCTTAGATTTTGTTTATCTGTAAGCATCTCAGTTTCTTGTCCACTTTTAAAGAACAGTTTTGCTGGATATGGGATTCTTGGTTGACTTTTTCTTTAGCACTCTGAATATATCAGCCATTGCTTTTTGGCCACCAAACTTTCTGATGAGAAACCAGAAATCTGCTGATAATCCTACTGAGAATCATTTGTATGTGGTAAATAGCTTTTCTCTTGTTACTTTCAAGATTTTCTTTTTGGATTTTTTTTTTCAAAAGTTTGATTATGTCTCAGTGTGGGTCTTTAAGTTCATCTTACTTAGAGTTCACTGAGTTTACTGGATGTGTATATTCATATTTTGCATCAAATTTGGGAAGTTTCCAGCCATTATTTCTTCTATTTCTCTCTGCCTCCTCCTTCTTCTACCGTGACTTTCACAATGTATATATTGGTCCACTTGATTGTGTCCTATAGGCCTCCTAATCTTTGTTTATTTTCTTCGATCTTTTTATTTCTGATCTTCATATTCAATAATTTCCATTATCTTATTTTCAAGTTTGCTGATTCTTCTACCTGCTCAAATCTGTTATTGAATTTCTCTAGGATTTTAAAATTTTTTTCATTTCTTTTCAGCTCTAGGATTTCTTTGTGGTCTCTTTTATTCTTATTTCAATTTTGTTTATACATTTTTTTTTTTTTTTTGAGACGGAGTCTCTCTGGCCCAGGCTGGAGCGCAGTGGCGTGATCTCGGCTCACTGCAAGCTCCGCCTCCCGGGTTCACGCCATTCTCCTGCCTCAGCCTCCAGAGTAGCTGGGACTACAGGCGCCCGCCACTATGCCCAGCTAATTTTTTGTATTTTTAGTAGAGATGGGGTTTCACCGTGTCAGCCAAGATGGTCTCGATCTCCTGACCTCGTGATCCGCCCGCCTTGCTTGGCCTCCCAAGTGCTGGGATTACAGGCGTGAGCCACCGCGCCCGGCCTATACATTGTTATCTTAATTTTCTTCATGTTTCCCTTAGTTATTTGAGCACTTTGAAGAGTTATTTTAATATCTTTGTTGAGTGGATATGTCTTCAGGTCTTTTTTAGGGTGAGTTTCCATTGATTTAATTTTTCTTTGAATGGGCCACAATTTTCTGTTTATTTTTATGCCCTGTGATTTTGTTGTCGTTGTTGTTGTTGAAAATGGGACATTGGAATCTACAATGTGGTAAATCTAGAAATAATATTCTACCCCTTCCTTAGGGTTTCCATTGTTACTATTCTTGTTATTGCTTTATTTATTTATTCTGGATTGTTGTTGTCTCTGTGCCAATGATCAGACTAATGTGCATATTAAGTTTTTCCTAGGATTTTTCTAAGCCTCCACCTTCCCCTTGACATTTATGATAATTTTCTAATTTTCCCTATATATGCAATTTATTTTAAATATCCTAGTATTTAATGTCTAGCTCTCAAAATGGAAAAAATTTTAAAAGGATGGGAGGGAAAAATAGGTGCTGGCCCTTTAAATATCCCAGAGATCACTGGAGATGGAGGAGAAAGTTCGTTGCAATCAGGGAGGTGCAATAAAAATGGTCCTTGTCTCATTCTGTGTATCTCTGTAATCAAAACAGGCATTAGCAATCAGGACACAGATCCCTGGTGTTTGGAGTACAGCGCCTTTCTCGCTCACTCTTTCTCTCACAGCTGTATTCAGGTTGCTCCAGGAACATGTGGACAGCATCCTGACACGGGTCTGGTGCTCATGGGCTGAGAGCTGCAACTTTGCTGAGAGCTGAAGATGATGGAAATTAACCACAATTTATTGTCCAAGCTTGACCTTGGAAGTTGTAAGTCTTCAATAAACTCCAGAATTCCAAAATAATTGAGTTGTTGTTTTCTTCTTCAAGCTAACCTTGTCTTTTTCCCCAGTTTCCAGGGATTCCTCTTGGTTTTAGCATACTACAGACACTCCTTTTACTCTTTCTCTTTCTTTTCTTCCTCCTTCCCTTCCTTTCTTTTCTTTCTTGCTTGCTTTTGTTCATTCTTTTTTCTTTCGTTTTTTCTTTCTCTTTGTTTTTCTTTCTCTCTTTTCCTTTCCTTTCCTTTTTTCCTCCTTTTCTTACCCCTTTTCTTTACCCTTCCCTTCCCTTCACTTTCCAGTCTTCTTTCCTTTCCCCTTCTCTTCCCTCCGCTCTCTTCTCCTCCCCTCTCCCCTACTCTCTTCTCCTTTTCTCTCCTTTTCTTTTGGCATAGGTTTTCTTGGTTCAGTATTTTTCCACTCCTAGGTTTGGGGCAGGTACGGAAAATGACCCCATTTTAATCTGAATTCAGTACGCTCCATGCTCTTTTCTACCTGTTTAATTTCCAGACCTCTTTTCAAGATTCACAGTAGTCATTATGTATTTTTAAATCTGTAATTAATTTCTAATAATGTTCCTGTTACAGTACTTGTTTCTCTCTATTAAGTGTAGTTATCAATTTGTAATAAAACTATTATTGCCAGTTTGATTCTCCTTCTAGGCTTTAAGCTTCAGATTCAGTGAATGTAGATTATTTTCTTTTCTAAAGCCCAGTCTCAAATACAAAACTGTTACTAATAAATATCTTTTGACCTTTTAATACAAAATATTTACCAAAGAAACTGTAACAATTAATATTTATTCAGTTAAAAGATTAAAGTAAAATAATTGCTATCCATATGATATTTCTGCAATTTAAATATTCATTCCTTACACTCAGTAGAATATTTTAATTATAAATTAAATAGTGGTGGGTAAATACAAATTAAATTATTTGGTCTGAAACTAATGTACATAAATACCTAAAAATCCTTTAGTATTATAAAACTTCCAGGGAAGGCTATTTCAGATTGTGATTTAGGTTTATTCTTATAAAGAAAAACTAAAACCTTACCAATCTCTCCCTTCCCAACGGGACAGTTAAAGAGCAGTATATTCAGAAATAGTGATAGGAAATATTTTCTTTATATGGATGCTGTGTAGAGAACAATGGTAATTACCAGTCTGGAGGTGAGTGAGGAAATCACTAACTATAATAAGATACAATTGAACTCTACCTTTGGGAGAGACATTTCTCTAGGCAGTAATAAACAAGTCACAGATACTGGGTTGGAATGTTACACTTTCAGAATAATGACCCATGTGTTGAACATACCCTAAAGGAATATACTATTTTCTTGCTATGTTTTGTCTGTTTTTTTTCCTATTAAAGCATTTTATTAATCTACACTTTTAGGAATTTAATAGACTGATATTTATTTTAGCTCTAAATCACATTAGAGTTTATCAAATCTATTTTTCAATAAATTAGAAAACTAAAACAAAAGGTTAGCAAAAATGGAAAAGCTAGGCTTAAACCCACATCTCATCTCTTCCAGCCTAGCCCAGCCTTTTCTGCATGATCATTTTTAAAGATAATCATTACCATCATTATCTTCACCCTGTTATATTTTTTCTGTTTACGTTGAAAAAATTAGTATGTTTAAAGGATTCGCAGTCAACCAATACTGGTACAAATAAATCAAATACTGCTTTTCAAGAGACTGAAGAAATAGAAACGGACTCCAGAATATGCCCCCCAAAATCAGATGTACCTCTACCATGAAGACAGAAATGGTAGTGTGAATTTTTGGCCCCAAAGAGGCAGAAGTTGTGGTACTGTTAAATATGGCAGAGGGTGCACTAACTTTAAAAAATCATGCAGCAGTGCCAAAAGGACTCATGACAAATACCAAGAGGGTTGAATCATTGTTGAATAGGAAAATACTATAAAAATAATTAAGAGAAGGACAGATGCAAAGAAATAATAAATCTCAAGTAAGATTACACCATAGAGCAGAAACTTGCACCAACAATTTTTTACTGTATTTTCATTTATTAATGCAAGCATTTCACTTAATTTTTACCACTTGAAAGTAGTGTGTAGAAATTTTATGTCTTTAAAAGTCTAAAACATAGACTGCATGTTTAAAACTATACTGAAATAAAGTAAAAGTTTATATGTATCAAAAATAAATAAACAAACAAATAAATACATTATTTTACAGTCTCTTACTACATGAAACTAATAAATACTAGAGTCAGTATTATCCACTACCTCCTGTCACCTATAAAGAAAACATGGTCATATATGAATGTGTAATATCAAGTTACATATTGCCCTATAAATAACCTCAATAAAATATACACATATCATATGCACATATTGTACTAGTAATAACGTTTATTTACATTGCTCTGAACCTAAGAGGATAGTATTAGAAATAAATGGATACCTCTACTCAGAAGCATTTCATTAAGGTAAGCAGAAAACTAAATTATCACCTTAGGTACCTAATTGCATTGGTCTCAAAAATTGTTCAGCACAGTGAAGCAAAAATCCATTGAAGATTAAAGGAAAGTTGAAATCTAGATTAATTCTGTGGAGTGTGGCCTGAATCTAGAACAGGAGGGTGATCCACATTTGCCAGAAAACACAAGGAGTGTGCAGTGAGAGCAGTGAGAAGGAACCGAGGACCAATTCCCGTAAGCGGCCGATGGCATCGGTGATTGTGCTACTTCTCATTACTCCACTCTACCAGAAGATAGGCCGCTAGCTAGTTAACACAGATTAATATCTTCTAGTCATGATTAAGTTACATGAAACTAATAAATTGTAGTGTACCATATCAGCAACACACTGCATTTTAATCTATTTCATATGAAGACCTTATAATTAAATAAAACATATAAAGATCCATTAATAAAAATAATCTAATTATCAAGACTTAAAAATGCATAGCATTCTGCATTAGCAACTAATATTCCCAAAACAGTGAGTCTGCTCTAAATTTATTTTTTTCTAAAAGCCGTGAGAAAAATAGGAGAGTTACTTTAAGAGAGCTCAACATTTCTACATAAAAATATCATAAAGTAACTTCAAGTAAGTTCAAATGTTTGAATATAGAACTAACTTGGAACTTACTTCTATGGCACAGACCAGGCCTCATATTTTTTGAAAATGTCATTGACATACCTGACTGTTTAATTATTTAGAAAATTCTCACAAATTTTGTCCACCATTACCTTTAGTGTGTCATAAAATTAACAGTAACTCACAATTCAAAATATGTGTTAAAAGCTGTCTTGTGTACTTAGAAATTATGCTCCTAAAATTTTATCCTGTTTTAAAAAGTCTAGTTTGCTTTACAGAAAAAAAAAACTATTACTTTTATATTGTATGAATAGCATGTCAGACATACTTGCCAGACACCACATACTATACGAATATTATTTATTTAACCATAAGTAGTATCTGGTAAAGTGTAACTCATTTGTAAAATTTCCATCCCCACAGATACAATGGTTTTGAACTATGAGTGTGTTCCTTCTTCTCATTCTATGTCCTATTTTCCAATAAATGTAATGATCTAATTCCATAGACTCGAATGTTTTGTGCTGATTAGATTAGTTAAATGCCAACTCTCACTTAGGATCTAAGGGTTGAAGGACTTTCTATTAAGCTATTGATAAAAAAATCTGACTTAAAAGATTAAGACTGGAAATCACTACCTTACTTAACACAGTGACTACTTCTTACAATAGAAAGGCTGAAAAGTTTACATTAGTTTGATAATATGCCTATTGATAAGCAAAACACTACATCTGTAAATCATATAAGTGTTGTTAAAACATATTTCTTTATCCTAGTTTTAAAAGTCTTTTGAAATTACAGGATGTAAGCCATTTCTTTTTTAAAAAATTTTATTATTATTATACTTTAAGTTTTAGGGTACATGTGCACAACGTGCAGGTTTGTGACATATGTATACATGTGCCATGTTGGTGTGCTGCACCCATTAACTGGTCATTTAGCATTAGGTATATCCTAATGCTATCCCTCCCCCCTCCCCCCACCCCACAACAGTCCTCGGTGTGTGATGTTCCCCTTCCTGTGTCCATGTGTTCTCATTGTTCAATTCCCATCTATGAGTGAGAACATGCGCTGTTTGGTTTTTTGTCCTTGTGATAGTTTGCTGAGAATGATGGTTTCGTTTCATCCATGTCCCTACAAAGGACATGAACTCATCATTTTTTATGGCTGCATAGTATGCCATGGTGTATATGTGCCACATTTTCTTAATCCAGTCTATCATTGTTGGACATTTAGGTTGGTTCCAAGTCTTTTCTATTGTGAATAGTGCCACTATAAACACACATGTGCATGTGTCTTTATAGCAGCATGATTTATAATCCTTTGGGTATATACCCAGTAATGGGATGGCTGGGTCAAATGATATTTCTAGTTCTAGATCCCTGAGGAATCGCCACACTGACTTCCACAATGGTTGAACTAGTTTACAGTCCCACCAACAGTGTAAAAGTGTTCCTATTTCTCCACATCCTCTCCAGCACCTGTTGTTTCCTGACTTTTTAATGATTGCCATTCTAACTGGTGTGAGATGGTATCTCATTGTGGTTTTGATTTGCATTTCTCTGATGGCCAGTGATGATGAGCATTTTTTCATGTGGCCGTTGGCTGCATAAATGTCTTCTTTTGAGAAGTGTCTGTTCATATCCTTCGCCCATTTTTTGATGGGGTTGTTTGTTTTTTTCTTGTAAATTTGTTTGAGTTCATTGTAGATTCTGGATATTAGCCCTTTGTCACATGAGTTGGTTGCAAAAATTTTCTCCCATTCTTTAGGTTGCCTCTTCACTCTGATGGTAGTTTCTTTTGCTGTGTAGAAGCTCTTTAGTTTAATTAGATCCCATTTGTCAATTTTGGCTTTTGTTGCCATTGCTTTTGGTGTTTTAGACATGAAGTCCTTGCCCATGCCTATGTCCTGAATGGTGTTGCCTAGGTTTTCTCCTAGGGTTTTTATGATTTTAGGTCTAACATTTAAGTCTTTAATCCATCTTGAATTAATTTTTGTATAAGGTGTAAGGAAGGGATCCAGTTTCAGCTTTCTACATATGGCTAGCCAGTTTTCCCAGCACCATTTATTAAATAGAGAATCCTTTCCCCATTGCTTGTTTTTGTCAGGTTTGTCAAAGATCAGATAGTTGTAGATAAGTGGCATTATTTCTGAGGGCTCTGTTCTTTTCCATTGGTCTATATCTCTGTTTTGGTACCAGTACCATGTAAGCCATTTCTTAAAACCCATTTGTTGGAACAAATATTGGAACAATTACTATGTTTATCATCAGAATTTAGTCCTGCAATCTTCATGTAGTAGGTGTTCCTTAGATTATAGGAATGCCATTCCTTTAATAATTGAGCCTATTTTCGTAAACTATTCATTGAATAGTAAAGTGCTCAATACACGAAAAAAATGTTTTCACGTTTTGTCTTCTGCCCTCAGACAAGTGGCCTTTAAAATACATATAAATTATTTCTCTCAAAATTCACTTTTGCCAGATAACACATGAACTTGTTAAAAACTTTTCATAATTTATAAGACAGTTTTAAACTTCAATTTGATGTTTGCAAATGTGTATATATGTGAGTACATGGGTGTTTGTATGATATATTTTCTATAGTTTTTTTTCAAGATTACAATCCTTTAGAATTTCAATGACTTAATATTTTCTTAATTCAAGCAAACTTGTCAATAAAAATCGGATTTTTTTTACACTAACCTAGATCTATCTATTTATCTATCTATCTATCACTGTTATGTTTATCAGCAGTTATAAATTGCAGACCTATAAACAACTTTCTTAACATAAAATAAAATGAATGATACAGTCTAAATCTCTATTTAAATTTAAATTGACTTAAAAGTTAACTTTGTAATTGAGAGACTCCATAAACATTGAACTATGCTTTAGAAGAATAGAGTTAGGTATGAAGAAAGTTATATTTAGAAAAATGACCATGTTTTATAATAATGAAAGATAAAGTATGCAGTTAAGCTTGGAAATTGAATTCCGTTTTTGGAAATGAGTCATTTTCAAAACATTGAACATACTTTGCTTATATGTCATAGGCATGTTTAAAAAAAGTTAGGCGTTGGCTGGGTGCAGTGGCTCACACCTCTAATTCTAGCATTTTGGGAGCTGCAGCAAATTTAAAAGTCTCACAGAAACTGTAAATACCTATATCCAACTGTACTCCATAAATCATTTTAATTTAAAGAGGTATCAGAAACTTGAAATATTAAAAATAAAACAATATGAAGCCTCTGATTCCCTGCAAAAGGGTTCTTCCCACTCTTTTTCTTTCTTTCTTTTTCCCACTCATAATAAAAGATAACATATACACACATTTCCTCAGTCCAAAAATCTGTTTTACCTGGTATGTTCTTTCTTATTCCACAGATTAATACATTAGTGTCTTCAGAGTCAGAGGGTATTTCATCCCTTCATAATTACTCTTAATCAATCTACCTCTTGCTAACTTTGCTCCCATTTACTCTATGAGGTTGTATAAAATCTTAAAAATAAAGAAAAAGAAAGCAAATAAACATTAGCTAAAGGAAAAAAAACTTACCTATTTTCTGGATGCAAAATATCAAATCCAGTTGTCAAAGAATTTTTTTCTTACTATTTTCTCATTTTTTTTCAGTCAATGTCTACCCCAACATTTGCTGTCCATAGCATTTCAATGTTTTACTTTATGTTTTACTTTTTATTCAAAGATATGTGCCGTGGAGGATTACACCTCCTGTATTTTGTAAGGGGTTTGTTTAAAGAGTACTAAGTTTAATGAGTAAGTTCTGGGGATCTTATGTACAGAAAAGTGACACTAGTTAATAGCGTATTACATACTTGAAATTTTCTAGGAGAGTAGCTCTTAAATGTTCTCACCACAGAGATACACACACAAAGATAACTGTGTGAGGTGATGGATCTATTAATTAGATTTACTCTGGGAATCATTTCACAATGTATATAAATTAAAATATTATATACACTGTAAGTATATGCACTTTTAAGTTGTCAATTTTACCTCAATAAAACTAGAAAAATAAAATAAATATGTAGACGATAAAAATAATAATATGAGAAACAGACTTCAACATCTCTGGGTTAATCTATGCAATGACTTTAATAATGATTCTTATTGTATTTTTTCATGTACCTTTACAATCTCTCTGGGAAAATCATCAGCATCATTTGTTTTACCTTTCATTAAAAGAGGAAATCATGTGGATTGAACATCACCACTGACACAATTACTTGTATGTTATTTCAATGTAAACTAAAAATAATTTTTTTTTGATAACATTATTTGTTTCATCAAGAATAGGAATTCAAATTTCCTTACCGTTAACCGACATTGGTCTGCATGGCTTTCTTTGACTGTTAAAAACAAATCAAAAATCACTGCCGAAAATAATTATCTTACTAATGATGGCAGATAAATCATTAAAGAGCTTTAAAATAATCAGTGTATTTGTTAGAATGTCTGTTTTTATAATATAAGGACTTCTGAAAAATTATCGTTTCTGATTGCTTCATAAGATTATTTTTTAAGACATTTACAAGGTCTTAAATTTATGGACACTTGGCCATAAAGTGCTAGTCATGATTATTTTTTCAGAAACACAGCAAACATATTGTCAAAGAACTTCCTTTTTTAGTTAGAATTCATCGATTCAAATCTCAGTTCTTACACTTAAATAATTTTCAGCCAATTCTTTAACCATGTCTACAAGTTTTCTTGTTAGTAAAATGTGAGTGACTAAAATATTTCCCAGGTCATAAGGTTGTTATAAGGCTAAATAGTGTAATTTATGTAAAAATTATGCTTACAGAGTGCTTGAAATTATCACTTATTTAAATAACTATTATTACAATAATAATTCTAATTAGTTATTAGTTTTGGTAAACTGCAATTACTTTTACACCAACCTAATAGTATTATACATAACTAGTTTTACTGGTTGTTAATATAGAAATCTACTTAAAATTATCATATTTTAACAATTTCTAAAACAGAATTTCAAGATTTTAATAAAATATATGTTGTAAAAATAATGCCATTTAAATACAATGCATAAAATATGTTTCATATTAGAAAACAAAAAAGCTATAAATAAAATTGCATAGCTTTGATAACATTTAGATTTAATTCATCCTATTATTTTTCTAGGCTTCTATTGGAATACTTACCTCAAAATTAGACAAAATTCTAGAAAAATGTATCCAGGACAGGGGCTTATTTAGTCAAATCTAAAAAAAAATGTAGTATCTGCAGTTCTCACTGAATATTTTATCAGAAGAATTTCTGCTGTGAACTTTAAAACAGGCTCATTGTTTGATGTGGTGAAAGAAATGATCAAGATTGTGAAATAAATTTTATTCCTTATCCTGGTATAAACCATTTTAAGCTTATGGCTTATTTGGAAGAAGGTGTAGTAGAGTATAAGGATGCCATTTACTTTAATTCAATCTCAAAGTTAGGTAATGAAATATTCTTGAAGATATTTACTGAAATGAGTCTTAAATTCAAGTAGCCTCCCATTCTGGAGTTAAAGACCTTAAAAGCCTATATTTATCTCTTACCTCCATCCTTTTTCCTAGACCTACCTTCCAATATCAGACTACAGTATCTCTTAGCCCTTGGTAGATTATAACATTAATCTTTATTAATGTGGAAGACACATTTTAAACTTTAACTGCAAAGAAAAATATCAACTTGTAAATTTTAAGACAAAAATATGATTCATTGAATATAGAGATTGTGCCATTAGAAAATGATGACTCAAGGTATTTTCTATTGGTAAACTTCTCTAAGATTAGCTGAGGTAGATATAGAACAATTGGCCAATTATTTTGTTGCTTTAAATATGAATCTGTTTAGGAACTTTATGTGTTGCATTGAGAAGGCAAACCTCAAGTTTGACTAAATCATCCAGTTTCTACTTTACCAATATATACCATATTCAGAAGGAAACATTGAGCAGAGGTTTCATGTTCAAAGATGTGCTGTTTACTTGTTTAATTTTATTTTTAAAAAAATATTTTGAAACTTGTTAACTCAATCCCAAATTAAGGAATAACTTGAAGTATTTTAAAATGTACTCAGAAATGTTAGCTAATATTCTGAACAATTTACTAATATAAATCCAGTTGACAATACAAATAGAATTTTTTAAAATTAACTTCATTTGAATATTAACTATATATAATAAAATTGATTGAAGTGTAATTTACACATACTAAAATTCACACAGCAATTAACTAAATTTATCTTGACAGTTTCATGAGATTTTTTTCAAATATATTCAGTCGAATAAAACATCAAAATCATATTTAATAGTTTTGTCATCTCCAAAGCTCCCACATGGCTCTGAATGTTCTGATCCCTTCCCTGACCTTGACCCTTGGAAGCAATTAACCTATTTTCTGTAATATTATGCTTGTATTTTCGAAAGTGTATGTAAATGGAATGATATTTTAGGTATTCCTTGGTATCTCATTCTTTTGCCTAACATAGTGCTGTCAAAATGCATACATGTTGTTGTGTGCTATTCATCACATCATTTTTATTGCTAAGTATTCCACTTTATACGTTACATTTACCAAAGTTTGAAACATTGCAAATAAAATTTTTATGGGAATTTGCACAAGTTTTTTTGTAAACATGTTTTCATCTATCTTATGCAGTTACCAAATAGTGAAACCTATACAGTAAGTGCATGTTTAGCTTTATAAGAAACCATCAAGCTTTTTTTTAAAAAAATTGATTGTATCATTTTACATTCTATCAAAGTAAGAGATTTCCTTTTGCTCCACATCTACACCAGTCTTTTAAGGTCAATCTTTTTTATTCTATCCATTCTAGTAGTTGTAAAAAGATACTGAATTGTTTTTATTTACATATACTAAGTTTGAGCATCTTTCTTTTCTAGTGCTTGTTGGCGTTTATGAAATACTCTGCAAATATTTTCCCACTTATTTATTAATGGATCATATTTTTTTCTCTTCATCTCCATAGCTTTTTAAAAAATGTATTCTGAGGCCACAAAATATCTTATTTTTTTGTATAAGTTGTATAAATCTTATGTGATATATTTTAAGTAACATAGAAGGTGTACAAAAAGGTTTGAAATACATTTTTTTGCCTACATATATCATTTTTCCCAGTATCACTTATTGAGAAGATTATTCTTCTAAGTGCAGAGTTCATTCCTTAACCATTAGCCCTCACCAGAATTCATTTTATTCTTTGTTAAATCTTTCCTGTCTTTTTAATCTCTTGACATTTTTCTTCTCTTTTGATTTTTCTTTTTAATTTAATCATTTAAAACTTACATTAAATAGCCTGTAACTCAATTATTTTACTACAGGTCTTGTACCTTCACTCTCCCTCTTTTGATAAGTTGTTTCTTCATGCATCTGGTAATTTGAGTCATGGGTTTGTCTCAGCCAGGCTTTATCCCCAGCAACCTCGTGCAGCCTGGCTGAGCATGTGCCCTCCAGAGCTGTAATATGGTAGCTATGATAAGTGCTCAAGTGGTATTGATGATTCATTTTCCATTCTGGAACATATAGGTAATTTACCTGTAAATTCTGGTGCATTCTGGAACATATAGATAATGCAAATTTAAGCCTTAAAATATTTTTAGTATAAGATTGCATTACAAATTCTCAGTGAACACGTCATATTTGTATAAATCTTAAACGCAGTCTTGTTGTTACCTCCATGTATCAGTAAACAGAAAGTTTTAATACTTCCTTCCACTGAAGATATAGCCATCAAATGATTTTTGAATTTTGCATGAATCTAAGTTCCAACTTTCCATTTTTGAATGACCAAAACCTTTTCTGCACCTAGAAGGCTGTGAAAATATAAACCACTTGAAAACCAAGGCCACTAAGCTAACCTCTTTCTGTCAATTTACACCGGCGTTCTGATTTTCAATTCGTGTTTTGTGTTCATTTTTAAATTTTCCTTTCTTGTGAATTCTGTTAATATAAAATGATGCCTGTTTTATATTCAATAGAGATTCTAAATCTTTAGTAGCATGAATAATAGATTGCAGGTTATCTATAAAATCCAGAAAATAACAGTCTAAAATTATCTTTTTATTTTATAGAACTTTCACAAAATTTTGGACTTTGTTTTATGTTTTCCACATCTGCTTCATGTTTGCATTTATTTACTTGTGGATAGATTCTCTTCACACTAAACAATGTACTTTTTTGATGCTTTCATTTATTATAATAATATCTGGATACGTTGGAGAAGTCCATACCAGCTCTCAGTTGGCCAGTGTGAAACCTGATCCCTTTACTTCACATAGAGAAGAAGACACATTCACCCAACTTTCGAAAGGGGACTTACTTAGATATTTGTGTCACACGGAGATTGTATTTGCTACTACTAGAAATGGCTTCATTTCCCAAATACTGTAATATGTTTGATTGCCTCTGTGGTGCTCATTTGCCTCAGGACCAAAATCTGCCCTTCTGCACCCTGTGCATTTTTAAAATAATGAGTCTTTGCAAATATCTCTTCTAGTCATCTTTGTCAGCTGTAATCTGGCTAGTTCCTTCCAATAGGAGGCACTAGCAGGTGATTACAGATCAGAGGAACTTCTGCCTTCTGGAGGCATCTCTCCATCAAAGCCTGTCAGCGCTCACAGCACAGAGCCTTGTTCTCAGTCCTCAGACCAACATAACACCTAGGGCTTCCCAGCATCCCCCACAGTCCAGGGAACCAGGTACTGTTCACACTGTGTTGATTCTTCCAGCCCCAGTGGGGAGATGCCCCAACCCTCACTGGGAAACACAGGCTCAGCTTATGACTCATGGGAGTTTCTCCATTTCTGACAAATAGCTTGCTCCTCCTCCTTTCCTCCTGAGGAACACTACCTCTCTTTTCATCCCCAGCATATCTAACACCTTAACGAGAATTCCCTATATTAAATCTCCGTAGGCTCTGTTCTCTTGTGCAGACCCTTAGTGATACAATCCCCTAGAGAATGCAGTGACAGTTACTTTTGAACATAATTCAGGCAATGTTTAAATTATTCATGGGTACGGCCTTTATGAGAGGAAAAATCACAATTCCTAATAATCTGGCATAAAAACACTTACAAAGATTGTTTTGGTAAAATAAGTTAATAATCCGGTCTCAGAAAATGCATGACAAAGTCACACCTAAAAGGAAGTTGAAGTTTAAAAAAAACACACCATATATCTCATAATTTTATCTATAGGAAGTACAATATTGTCAGTAAAGTTTCAATATAAGAAAGTAATATTCACACATTCCTTTTAATCTTTTCTTATGCTTAGACAACAAATCAGTCAACAAATAACTACTAGCATTAATACCACATCAATCACTGTTCTAGAAGACAAGTTTCTGGCCTCTGTAGCTTACATTCTAGCTGGGAAGCCAGGTAATAACATTTAAGGCAATGGTAGAGTGATAATTTTAAATAGTGATGAATGTTATGAAGGAAATAAAATAAAATATAAATAAAATAGTAAATAAACTAGGATAATATGATTTAAAAAATGGCTCCTTTTGAAAAGGTTGACATTTTAGCTCAATCCAGAAGGTCAGGGTGAAGAGGGAGTGGTGGTTTCCATTGAAAGTGTGGCAAAGGAACTAAACTGGGAATGTTTGGAATATGTTTTGTAAGTAGTGAATACAGTCTATTATATCAATGTGACAGTAACAGTCAATATGAGAATTTTGGCCTAAGCAACTCTATGAATGAAGGTGTCATTTAAGAATTTTTTGGTTTCTAGATAATTTGGCAAATAATAAAGACTTGAATTATATGTTACAGAATAGAAATCTTACATGTGGATTCTAGGCTTCCATGATATTTTGGAGAAAACTTTATGTAGAGAAAAGAAAGTAATAGGCTAAACACAGGGACAAAAAATAAATTTAAAACATTCTATCAAATTTTATATTTTGGGGTTATACTTACTTCTGAATAGCCTGAGAAACAGGGATCGCCTTTTGTACAACTATACTCTCTCCTCTTTTCCAAGTCTGTAGTTAGCCTATCTATGTGTATCTTTCGCTGACACTGTCCATATACCACAAAACATCTTCTGAGGGACAATTTACATAACATTTTTTGAGTCTTTACTATATAGAGAAAAACTCAAAATTTTCTTCAAGTCCTTGGGGTGGAAAATAATTGTGATATATATACTACTGTTCAAAACAAAGAATATGCAAATGTATAATAGTTGAAGGTATTTATTTTGTAGTGTTAGGTAATGTAGGGAAAATAAAGTCCCTTTATAAGTATCTAAAATTTTCCATCTCTGAATTTCTATCTATGATGTATTGTATGTGTGTATATTATAATCACTAATAACTGTTCTATTGTATACTAATCAATAGTCTTGATGCCACTTAGATATCAATATTTTATTCACGGAAATAACAGATATATTTTTCTGCTAATAGGTGAACCTAACCCGAGAAATTAAATATGAAGCTAAGATATCAGCCCGACTCATGAATAATTTATCATTCCTGTTTTACTAATTGTGAAATGAATATATTTAGGTCAAAGATTTACCTGACATTCCTGTGGAATTTTGCATCCTCTGGTCTTTTTTATTCATTATTGAAGCTTTATGTTTTTCTGGAGATTTTGCCTAAATCAGCTCTTGGTGGAATTTGCTTGCAGTTCATTATGACATCTGGGTAACATAATAAAAAAAAGCAAAGTTTTGAAATAATAGCTTTGTTTGCATCTTGCATGCATTCTTGATATCATGGGACCCTTTTGGACACATTAGAATCCCAAGATACTGAAAACTTATGCAAGAAATCAGTTGCTAATGGATAATTTATTAACTCCCTTTTTGTTCTTAAAAGCATGACATTGTAAATTGTTCTACATGGGATCTTTTTAAGAGATTTCATTAATCATGTGGTTTAGATAAGCATTGCTATAAAATTTGTAATTTTCACAAATGTAATTAAATCAGAGATCTTTGATTATTAATTTACATATTTTTACCCTGTACATATTAGATATCAACACTTGGGAATATCAGTGCTAAATTAAAAAAAAGTCACTATTATTATAGAGCCATATGGCTTAGGGAGAAAAGATACAGAAAATAAACTAGTTAATTATGTCAAGTGATTCTGGAGCCATAAGTGCTATGGCAAAAGTGACATAGGGTAATGGGACTGAGGCTACCATGGTCTATATGTTTGTGTCCCTCCAACATTTATGTTTTAAAATCCTAACCTTCAAGATAATGGTATTAGGAGGTGGAGACTGGGGAAGTAATAAGCTCATGAGTGGGAAGCCCTCAAGAATGAGATTTGTGCCCTGGACAACTCCTGTGCACCACACGAGGACACAAAGAGAAGACACCATGTGAAAACCAGGATGCAAACCTTCCCAGACTCTGAGTCAGCTGGCTCCTTGATTTTCGACTTCCCAGCCTCCAGACCTGTGAGATGTAAATTTCTGGTGTTTGTAAGCCACTCATTTTTATGACATTTTGCCACATAAGCCCAAAAAGAACTAAAACTTGGGACTTGGATTGGCATGATGGTAAATTTGGAGAATCTGAAAAGAAAAATCTTTTCTGAGTAGATAGTATTTTAGGTGTGAAAAGGAATATTAAAACGCAGCAATGTGGCAATCTGGAGAAAGAATATTCTGGATGGTGAGAAAAGCAAGGAGAAAGGTCACCAGAAGAAAATGAGCGTTGTCTGCTTCAGAGAGAGATAGAAGCCTGGCATGGTAGGCACACAGGACGTGAAGAGAAAAGGAGAAGCTGCCAAGATTTTCTAGGTCATGGTTACCCTTTGCATTTTATTCAGGTTTAATAGAAAATGCATTGGTGTGTTCGAAGCAGTGTGGCTGTCGAATTCATTTTACATTTTACACTTATTACATTATGCATAATACAGAGAGGAGGACTTGAGAAAAACAAGAGTAAAACCAGGAAAAATGGTTGAGAGATGATGGCAGTAGTTCAGATGATACTTAAGATAAGTGAAACACAGTATTTAAGAAATAACATCTCCAGAAACTTAATGGTACATATACAATAGGGTGTCTAAACCACGTAAAATTATGATTATGGCCCCTCCGTCTTTCTCTCTCTCATATCATGGTATGTTCTGATTAATACATATCTCCTTTATCACTTTTTTTTTAGCTTCAAATATTCCTCCTCTAAAAAGTTCTTGCCCTCACTAGGACCAGCTACCTCATGTCTTTGTGATTACAGATTGTTTTAAAATTTATCTGGCCTAATATTCGGTTAGTACATTCTAATTTAGTCTATGGGTGTTATAGTTCATCACTTGAGACAGAGCATAATTGGGTAGCAATAACTCAGACACTCACCCCAATCTAAAGGGTTCTAAAGAAGAAAAATCCCCATAGTCTAAATATTAAAACCTAAGACACACACTATACCAGGAGTAATCGAATTCTTCTGTATTAGAAGTTCCAGACCTTAGCAAATATCCCTAATGCAAATATTGCAGAGTAAAATGACTGTCAAAGTTACTGATGAGGCATTTCCGATCATAGCTTTAGCTCTGAATATGTTAGTGTATTAGATATCTATTGGTACCATAATAAATTGTCACTAATTTTGTGGATTGAAACAACACCCCTTTATTACCTTACCATTCTCTGTCAAAGGTCTAGCACAATATTGTTGGTTCACAAAATCAAGGTGTGGGCAGGGCTAAGAATCTTTCCTGGGATTCAGGGGATAAATCTACTTCGAAGCTCCTTCAGGTTGTTGTCAGAATTCATTTCCATGCTATAAACATGAAAGTGCCTAAGTTTCATTTATGCGAGATGGATAAGCAATAGAGACATGCTGTACAACATTGTGTCTATAGCTAATACTCTTACATTTGTACAAATGCACTTACGTTTATTTTAAGTACATTATAACTAATGCATTTACAAATTTGTTAGGAGAGTATTTATCGTATTAAGTGTTTTTACTACAACTTTTGAAAGTTCGTTTCCTTCCTTATTTCTTTTCTTCCCTCCTTGTCTCCCTTCTTTCCTTTTTTCTTCCTTCTTTTCCTCCCTCCTTCTTTACTTTCTTCCTTCATTCTCTGCTTCTTTCCTTCCATTCTTTTCTCCCTCCTTCATTCCTTCCCTCCCTCCATCTTCTATTCCTTCCTTTCAGTTTGCTATCCCAAGCACAAAGAACAATTTAAGCTTACAAAATTGATTAATATACACCCTGAATAAATTTATGTCAAGTTCCTTCCTGTAATATAATCTTGTTTTTCTACAACTGAAAAATGAGTCTTGAAGGAAAGTAAACTAAAAGCTGAAAAAGCACAATTTCTATTTTTACTTTGAGGTATAAATTGCCTTTGTCATTTTAAAATATGCCAAGTTAAATATTATGATAAATGCATAGGCTTTTCAGACACATATTTTAAAACATATTTAAGTATGTAAGTTTTCCCAACATGTTAAGTAGAACCAAATAGCAGCCAAATTCCAAGTACACGATTACAGCTGAATGTAGAAAGCTGTGAAGAATTTAGTAACGTATAGAAAACCCGGTCCTCAGTTTAGCCAAATACTCTAATTTGGAAGTGCTAAATCTGATGTAATTCCAAACCTTTGCTAAAAGAGACCAAGACATGACATGAGACAAAGCTATCTTTGGTCTTCTACAGTTTATGCAAAGTCAAAAATTTTTTCTATCTGCAAATTTAATTTCCATAGCTTGATAAACTCATGTCTACCTAATACGTATTTTCATCAAGATAGTTACTTTGATTTAAGGTAATATATTTTACCCTAGGTTTATTTATTATTAAGCATTTAAAATTGTGTTTTAAAAATCTGTGGCACTAGTTTCACTAGAATTTTATTGATTCTGTTATTCTATTAGTCAAGATGCAGGTATTTGAGTGATTGCCTCAATCTTATCTCTACTATTCGCCCTTTATTTTATCATGAAATTTTGCAGCAAAATGGATTGTCTGCAACACCAATACTATGGCAGAAATATAAAATTCATAAACCCTCTTAAATTAGGAAAAGAAAAGGAAAAGAGGAAGGAAGAGGGGAAGAAAAAAAGGAGAACAAGAAGAGGAAGGAGAAGTAGAAAAAAATAACACATAGGCATCATGGATGGCATTCTGTGTACGATGTATATGAAAGGACTTGTTTCTTTGTATGTGTGAAAGGACTTGCTTCCTAGCTCATACTACAATTGCAATGGTTTTTTGAGGAAAAAACTAACTAATAGATTAAACATAGAGTATAGATTAAACATAGAGTGTAAAATAGTGAGATGGAAAGATAACATTATAGACATACATATAATTATAGGGGAAAATGCCAAATAGATAATATAGTATTTTCCACCTCTGAAATATATTTATATCTCTGAGATGGACACACATGTTCAGTTTTATGTAAAGGAAACACAGGATATTTAATAACAGTTTTGACTTAACAAGAAAATGAGAATGAATGTCATTCCCCAGGTGTCATTCTGGCTGCCTCAGACTGTTCTCGGCCACCCATCAGTCCTGATTTTAGTGCAGATAATGTTGACATAGGCGTGTGGACAAACCATTGTATCACCTATGAGGGATCTAACAGAGTGTAATCGATAAAGTGTAGTCTCAAGACAATTATTGTAAATTTAAGCTATGTACAGGACAAAAAAGGTAAATACTATATACAAGTGAGTGCAACTTAAAAATAAATGTGTTTCAATGAGAAAAGCACAAATTTAAAATTGTAGGAAGAAGAAAAAATTTTGTCAATATTAAAATTTTTTCATTAACAGGAAAAGTATCTTCACAAATAAACATTATTAATGGATGCAATATAGAATATACTTAAATATTTATGCCCTATTTGGAATGAAACAATCTTTAAAAATATTTTTAACTTGATGTCTGGTATTCTTTTACACCGATTTGACCCCACATATTTAGAAATTGCCATATTCTATAGAGAACCAATTTTTATTAATAATTCTATCATTAATATCTTTGCTCAAATGTTCATTTAAATCTATTATTTTATCACATTATTTAAAACATCTATTATCTGATGCTGTATTAATGGATATAATTATAATGAATAATATTAACAGATAATATATAGATGATACTAAACCAGATATTATAAATTAGTTAATATTGATGATATTGTTTATATATTAATAATATTAATGGAGATTAATATTATTAATCTAGATAATATTTATCTGGATCCTATTAATGAGAATATATAAGTAATATCTTTTATCATATGTAAAATAATTTCAAAAGAGTACAATTTCAGGGTAAAGGATCACCTACTGTTTGAGCCCTTGGAACATAATTGCAAGATCATTTCATCAGCACAGAAAAGAATGTCAACCCTCTTCTCGTTATTGGCTAAAAATGACATTTCCCTTTTATTTGAATAATGTTCTGTATTTTTCCCATCATAACTTCTCAGAACAGCAGTGAAAATCCATGTTACTGTGTTTGTTTCTTAAACCATTTAAGGAATTAGTTTGTTTTTTATTTAGAAAGTCAGTTTTTACCAATTCTGATTATAATGATGTTTTAAAATAAATGTTTTAAGAACTTAAAACATTAAACTACATTGAGCTAATATAACTTCAAAAATAACATGCTCTTTGTAGAACCAGAGACCTTCAGAGAGCAACTCATGCTGTTTACTTGATTTTGGTTATTGTCTATAATAAGTGAAGTGATGCCTAATCCCTTCCTATTTCTAAAGGAGGATATAAATATAAAAGACTCTTTGATTAGGAGGAATCAGACAAGAGATTTTTTAGGAAACATAAAAATATCAGCTGATGTACAATCCTAGCATTTATTTTACTGTTTCTTAATGTGTCTCTTTGTCCAATCCTCCCATGGCATCAGATCCTACAGCAGAAAGTGCTTATCAAACTGTCCAGGGGCCACTGCATCCCTGGGCTTATTACAATGCCAGTATTGGCATCGTCTGATTTCCATCTCTATATTTGCCATATTAACAAGTTGACTGCCAGAGTAGTACTTAAATGAGTTTATTAAATGCATTTTATTTTTGAAGCAGTATTCTATAGTTTTAGAGGTGACCCACTTTGTGTTTAAATTTCAACACATTTTTTGCAAAGATTGGTTTTATAACTCAGAGAAGAATCACAAGCACTGTGGTAACATAAAACAGGATGATTTTTTTTCCAAGTGTCCAACATGAGAGAGTGTTTAAATGTACTGTAAACAGATTTGCTGAATAAACGGAATTGAAAAGCACTCCCATGGGATGACAGACAGAACAGGGTGAAGAAAATCAGCCCAATAATGGAAACTGAGAAGCAAATGTATAAAACCAGAAAAACATTATGAGATAAAAGTCAGAGCATGTAGCTCTGCGGAGACATGGTGGAAAGGGTCACTCCTCCAGCTACAGCTTTTTTCTTAAAGCCTGTTTAGTGCACTACTGGTAGAGCCACTGTCCAGGGGCCACTGCATCCCCAGGCTTATTACAATGCCAGTATCAGCATCATCTTATTTCCATCTCTGTACTTGCCATACTTAACAAGTTGACTGCCACAGTAGTGCTTAAAAGAGTTTATTAACTGCATTTTATTTTTGAAGCATTATTGTATAGTTTTAGAGGTGACCCTCTGTTTGTTTAAATTTCAACAATTTTTTTTTTTTTTTTGCAAAGATTGGTTTTATCACCCAGAGAAGAATCACAAGCACTCTGGTAACATAAAACAGGATAATTTCTGTTATCTCTCATGGCTGCTATTTACATGGCATTTCTTTTTTATTTTTATCTTTGAATTTAAAGTTGCTGCTGCTTGTTTGTTTTACGGATTTGGCTGCACGAGTCCAGTGCATCCCCAGATGCCCCTGCTCCAATTACACCCCTGGATTCGAACCATTTAGTGATCAGCCACTGATTGGGCTTAAGTCCCATGAGTCAGTAAGGTTTCCACCTTTAACGTTGGATCTAGGCATGGCCTGGACACCACCCCACAGTTCAGGGGGTTCGTGACTTTATGCATTATTCAGGCAGGAACTGGGGAATCGCAGATTCTGGAGATCTGACTCTGTTTTCTCCTCATATGGCACACACGGGGCAGGTGCACAGCCTGCATCACAACCAGGACAGACGACTGGGGTTTTTAGCTGTGCTCACTTTGAATGTATTTTCTCTGATTTCCCCATAAGCTTCTGAGTTGCCTGGTTTCATTGGCATCACACACAGCTATTATCCTCCAGTGACTGCCAGCCGAGTGGCCTATTGTTTTCCACAACACTCTGGCATGTGCATCGCTCCACAGTCTGATGCAAAGTTCAGCCACTTGGCAAGGGCCCCGTGTTCGGTGCTGATGGTCTGTGAGGCTTACTCCAACTCTTGACTTTCCCTTGTTACATCTCTTGATTCACTTTTCCTCATTTCTGGGACTGTTTTTGTTTGTTTGGTCATTTGACTGTTTAGTAACTTGGCTGTGGAATGTTTTCCTTGAAGTTTGTATTCTCTGCTATTTATGCTCAGATGTTTGCCTTTATTTTATCTTGCATTCTGGCTTCTTAGACATTGCTAATGAATCAACATAAGCCATGTATGGTTCAAGTTTTATGATTAGTCCCCCTTAGCTAGGGAGATTTTCACCCTTTTACATTGAATGTACGTGCAGCTTAGAGACAGCTTCCACAGTTCAGAAAGGTTACGGTTTTAACCTTCATTGAGCCAAGAACAGTGACTTCAGAGGTCCTTCTCTGGTCTTTTCTCCAAGGTAGTAGTTTGGAAACATACACTGTTTTCCAAAAAACCAGGAATTAGTGTGATTTTATGTTAAATCTAGCTTTCCAGATGGTACACCTGGCTCAGAGTAGCTTATGGCTCAGCTGGTGTTTTAAAAGAAGTTGTGTGTAAGCACCTCAATCCAGTAAGCATTCTAGATTTTTCTGATGAAGCTGTGTAAATTGCAGAATGAATTCAAGTCTGCCCTGTTTTTCATGGTGCATGGTCCCGAGAGGTATAGTACAGTGCATGTACACAGCCTCCTGGACCTCAGGAAAAAGTTGGGCCCAGGAGGATTCTTTTTGTGTTTTTTCTATTAGTGTCTGTATTAAACTTACAAGTCTACCATTTCATATGATGCAATTCATATGGAGAATTACCAATTTTCTCTTTATTGCCAGCTACGAAGATCCTCCATATAAACTCCTCCAGGCTTAGTACTACATAAAGTCAGTCCCTTAAGGCTATACTATGAAGCTCTCCATCCTTATAGCCCACATTTTTACCCTTAGGAAGAACTTCTGCAGTAGACCTGGGGTGGAGCAGTGTGGCCCCCTCCAGCCAGAGTGGGTCTCCTGGGCTATGTATGTGTGGGTGCTCAGAGAGAGGGATGGTCGCCCCGGTCTTCAGCTTGACCCTTTCTGTGAGTATGGGGGCGATAAAGGTCTGAGTGTCTGGGGTGTCCTATCTGAAGCAGAGCCTTTGCCTTATGAGTGGGAGGTGGGTTGGAGAAAACAAAGCTAGTCCACTCAGTCATGCTTGCTCAGAATATTACTTTCATAAGACAGGCCTGGAGATGGATAAGAGGCTCTGGAGGCCTCTTCTTCACCAGTGACATCATAGCTTTAGGCTAGGAATAGAGAGGACAAGGAACCCCTGTCTCTTTGGTGGAACCTGCCTGGTGTAAGTGCCTGGAGTTGATTTCCATCTCTTGGAGTTAAGGAGTGGGGAGCAGGTCCTGGCTCAAATGAGCTAGACTTCTACCAAGATTTTTGTAGATTTTCGTGAATTAAAGTTTCCCATTTGCTGCATACATTTAGGACAAATTTCAGAGACTTTAAATTGTTTTTTGAAATAATTTTCAATTTTCAATGGTGATTTTTTTTTATTTTACTGCAGAGAGGAAACAGAGCTGATCACACTGCCATTCCAGAAAACAAATCTCTTTATTTTGCCCAAATACATTTTCAATATGTCTTTTTTTTTTTCTTTTTTTTTTTTTTTGAGACGGAGTCTCCTTCTGTCACCCAGGCTGGAGTGCAGTGGCGCGATCTCGGCTCACTGCAAGCTCCGCCTCCCGGGTTCACGCCATTCTCCTGCCTCAGCCTCCCGAGTAGCTGGGACTACAGGCGCCCGCCACCATGCCCGGCTAATTTTTTGTATTTTTAGTAGAGGCGGGGTTTCATTGTGTTAGCCAGGATGGTCTCGATCTCCTGACCTCATGATCCGCCCACCTCTGCCTCCCAAAGTGCTGGGATTACAGGCGTGAGCCACCGCGCCCGGCCTGTCTTTTAAATTGTATTAAAATACTTTGGAATTTTCTTTAGGTTACATCAATTAAGCAATTTTGGGAGAATTTAAATCTACATGTATCAGGTCTTCCTAGACACAAATGTTGTACTTTTTTTATTTACCTAGGTCTTCTTTGTTATTAAAGTTATATATATACACACACACACACACACACACACACACACACACATACACATACACACATAAATATATATATATTTTCTGTAGCTAACTTATATAAATTTATCTATATATATACATAAACACATAAATATATATATTTTCTATAGCTATCATATCATTTCAGTTAGAATGATCTTGAGGTATTTGATATTATTGTAAGTGGTGTAATTTCTTTAGTAACGTTTTCTGTCTCTTGCTGATATAAAACATGTATAAACTTTTCAATATTAATCTTATATCAAACATCATCTTAAATTGTTTTATTATTTAAGATAAAAAATTGAATTGTCTAATATAAACAATCAGGTGATCCAGATTTATCTTCTTTAATTTTATTATCTATGAACCATAGAAAAACCTTTTGTTTTTTTTTTGTTTGTTTTTTTTTTAAGACGAAGTCTTGCTCTGTCACTCAGGCTGCAGTGCAGCGCAGTGGTGCGATCTCGGCTCACTGCACTCTGTCTCCCGGGTTCAAGCAGCTCTCCTGCCTCAGCCTCCCCAGTAGCTGGGAATACAAGCACCCACCACCACACCCGGCTAATTTTTGTGTTTTAGTAGAGACGGGGTTTCACCATGTTGTCCAGGCTGGTCTCAAACTCCTGACCTCAAGTAATCCGCCCACCTTGGCCTCCCAAAATGCTGGGATTAACAGGTATGAGCCACCACGCCTGGCAGAAAAATCTTGAGTCAAAATGATACTGGATATCTTTGCCATATTTGTCCACTTAAGGGAATTTTCTAATATTTTTCCTATATAAGATGGTAAGTTAATATTTATGCTTAAATAACTTTATTGAGTTAGCAAGTGTTGTGTTACTAATGTATGTTGAATTTTATCAAGGGATTGAAAATTTCAATTCATCATTTTAAAAATTCAATCTTGTAATATGGTGAATTACATTTATAAATTTTCTTTTATTAAATTCTACTTACCCTTTGGGGATAAACACGAAATGATATAGACTTAGACATAAAGTTTGTTAATATTTCGCTTATAAATCTTATACCCGTATTTATCTTTTAATAGTTTTGTTGTGCTTATGCTGGCCTCATATTAAGACTTAAATTATATTCCTCATTTTGTATTACTTATATAATATTGGGAGGACTTTCTATTTTTAACTAAAAGAACTATTCAGTAAAACCAACTGTGCCTAGTGTCCATTTTTAGAAAAAAATCACCCTTGTTTTAGTTTTCAGCAGTTTCATAAATAAGCTTTTATATTTTCAAAGTTTACAAAATTTGTGTCATATGATTATCCAAATTAGAAGACAAATATTGACAAACAGATAATCAGTAAAATTCATATAACTGTTTTTGATAAGTTTCACACCTAAAGCATAAATCCAAACAAATAAAAGATTAGAAAAATTCATATTAGGCAAATCTAATATAAACCCTTCCATAGCTTTATTAATATCAGCTAAAATAAATTTTAAAATAAAAGAATTAAAATATAAAAAATAACAAAAATCTAGAAAAGATACCACAGAAGAATAGTTTCATGAAGATAGGGTACTAAATGATTTTAACACTAATGGCACTATCTATGAGGACAAAGATTGATAAATCTGATTTTATAAAAATAATTAAAGTTTTCAAAATTTTTGCCCCCAAAACATCAAGTGAGTGAAAAGATAACCCAAAGTGTAAGTGTAGAAGAAGATATTTGCAGCACACTTAACTTCATAATATGGAAAAACCATAATGATATGTCAATCTATACCTACTAAATGGTGAAATTTAAACAAACAAATGGAAATAAAGGTCTAAAAGTTGCAGTAATTGATGAGGATGAGAAGAAATGAAACCTTCTCATATGGCTGTGGAGGTTAAATTAATGACTATGTGTCCACTGAGCAAATATATACTCCCATAAGCCTACCAACAGATATGATTGCACCAAAATACATATAATAAGAATGTCATAACAGCATTCTTTGCAATAGCTCAAAACTAGACTGAAAATAAGTATTCTCAATGGTAAAATATATCAATATACCATAGTTTTTTATTACACATTTGAACATCTTATAGCAATGAAAATGAACAATCTTCTAAAACACAATGGGGATGTATCTCATAAATTTTGTAGTGAATGAAAAAAAGTAACACAGACCCTATGTTTGTTCAACTATTTAAATAGAATATAGGTAAACAGAATAATGGTTGCATAAAGATGCTCACATCCCTATGGATGCTGTGAATATGATTTCTTACATTGCAGAAGAAAATCTGCATCTATGATTAAGTTGAAGGTCTTGATATGAGATTATTATGGATTATCTGGGTGAGACCAATCTAATTGGATGAGTCCTTAAAAGCAAATAAGCTGTTAACTCTGATGATAGTTTCTTTTGCTGTGCAGAAGCTCTTTAGTTTAATTTGATCCCATTTGTCAATTTTGCCTTTTGTTGCCATTGCTTTTGGTGTTTTAGTCATGAAGTCTTTGCCCATGCCTATATCCTGAATGGTATTGCCTAGGTTTTCTTCTGGTGTTTTTTATGGTTTTAGGTCTTATGTTTAAGTCTTTGAGAAAATTTTTGCAATCTCTTCATCTGACAAAGAGCTAATATCCAGAATCTACAAAGAACTTAAACAAATTTACTAGAAAAAAAAATCCCCATTAAAAAGTGGGCTAAGGATATAAACAGACACTTCTCAAAAGAAGACATTTATGTGGCCAAGAAACATATGAAAAAAGCCTCATCATAATTGGTCATTAGAGAAATGCAAACCAAAACCGCAATGAGATACCATCTCACGCCAGTTAGAATGGCAATCATTAAAAAGTCAGGAAACAACAGATGCTGGAGAGGATGTGGAGAAATAGGAATGCTTTTACACTGTTGGTAACAGTGTAAATTAGTTCAACCATTGTAGAAGACAGTGTGGCAATTCCTCAAGGATCTAGAACCAGAAATACCATTTGACTCAGCAATCCCATTACTGGGTAGATACCCAAAGGATGATAAATCATTCTACTATAAAGACACATGCACATGTATGTTTATTGCAGCACTATTCACAACAGCAAAGACTTGGAACCAACCCAAATGCCCATCAATGATAGACTGGATAAAGAAAATGTGGTACATATTTGTTTGACCTCATGTATTAGTATGAGAATCATGAATACTATGCAGCCATAAAAAAGAATGAGTTCATGTCCTTTGCAGGGACATGGATGCAGCCAGAAACCATCATTCTCAGCATACAAACATAGGAAACGAAAACCAAACACCACATGTTCTCACTTACAAGTGGGAGTGGAACAATGAGAACACATGGACGGAGAAAGGGGAACATCACATACTGGGGCCTGTCGGGTGGTGAGGGGCTAGGGGACGGATAGCATTAGGAGAAATATCTAATGTAGATGACAAGTTGATGGGTGCAGCAAACCAACATGGCCTGTGTATACCTATGTAACAAACCTGCACGTTCTGCACATGTATCCCAGAACTTAAAGTATAATAAATAATTTGTTGTTTAAAAAAGCAAAGAACCTATCCTGACTGGAATTAAGAAGAGATGTGACATTGGAAGAATAGTCAGAGTGAGATCCCATGAAAAAGTCTTGACCTGCCATTTCTGGTCTTCAAGATGGAGAAAAGGGGGCCATGACCAAGGGATGAAGGAAGTTTCCAGAAGCTGTAGAATAAACAGATTATCTTCTAGAGCTTCCAGGAAGAGAGACAGCCTGACAACACCTTGTTTTGAGCCGAGTGTAACTAGTTTCAGACTTCTGATCTGTAGAACTGTGAGATTATGAGTGTGTGCTAATTTAAGCCACTAAATTTATGTTAATTTTTTATGGCCTCAATAGAAAACTAATACATGAGGCCAAGCAAATCTGTGCTATTAGTGATCTGCTTTATTTTTGTGAATGTAAAGAGTGGTAATTGGGTATGCAGAATGTGACCTTTTATTGTCTTAGGAAAGTTCTACTTATTCACTAGGTTAAGATTACACAGTTTCAATCATTTTACAATAATCATTGTAAAAACAAACAAATCTCCAAATAATTAAATTGCAATGTGGAAGACAGCCTTGAAATAATCACAAGTATTCAAATCACAGGCCTTAAAAAATGAAGGAATATGACATAAAAGACGTAAGCATAAAATCTGCTATAAGAAAAATGGTGTCCCTAAAGAAAATACTTGAACTGAACAGGCAAGAATCTGAGGGATGATATGAAACAACAACAACAAAAACAAAACCATGGGCCTAGACAATATTGAAAAAGAATGCAGTGATGTCTTTACATTCAAGATTTAAGAAAATTTCCAATAACTATTCATATAGTTATGAATAAATAAATTTTCTAATTCATAATAATGTAAAAAAAGTTATAATTTTAGTGGAAGAAAATAAAAAATGGCATCAGATATTTCTATTTTGACAATATTAAAATATATTGAGAGTATACAGAGATTAAAATGAAGAAGTTGGGGTACAAAATATCAATAGTAATTTATGTTGTAACATACATGTGATATGTACATTGTTAGATATGTGAAACTTGGGAATGTACCCCAACTATTTCCTCATGCTGAGGAAAAAATGCACACAAATAGAAAAAAGAACGCTTGAATATTTACTCTTGCTCTATAAAGGTTCAATATAAATTAATATAGTATTTAAATTTTTCCAGTGTATTATCACTAATTTTGAGCAATGGAAACTAAATGTCTAATGAAATTAATTTGGGTACACAAATTACAGCACATCTGCAAGATAACAAAGCTTGTATCAATTTAAAATGCTTATGAAATAATAATATGCACGGTATATCAGGTATAAAGTATACTTCAAAACAGTACTGTGGTTTAATTCCAATTTAAAAGAGGAAAAAAATAAATGTCTGGATTTTTTTTCAAATTTAAATATTTATTTTCACATGGTCTTTAATGGATAGATACTATTTTTGTTAAATGTAGAAATAAATATCTATTTAAAAGAAAATATTCAAAATTGTAAATCAACTATACTGTAATACATTAGACTGAAGAAACTTCCAGAAAAGAAGCTAAACAAAACGCCTCAAAATAAGTTTTTATGTTTTATTTAAAAATATTTAACGTACTTTGTAAGATGAAGATGTTTTCAGATTTACATATTTTAATTTCCTGAGTGCTGCAATCCATCAACTTACTTGCCAAAATATACAGATGTCCTTACATTGCAGTAGATTACTTTACATTTTATTTTCTCCAATTTGTATGGAGTCACAAATCAAAAAGTTTGCAACACAGTTTTGATTAATTAAGACTCAATAGAAGCTGTTTCCTGTTTTAGGTTTGACAGTAATTTAGCGTAATATAAGTGGCATGGCATTAAACTACATTCCTGAACAGAATTCACTTCCATTAACAAGCTCCATTAGAGAAACATAGCTGTCTACAAATCAACCATTTTGTGTCAGTTTCAGTAATTACGGTTTGGGGATAATTGGTGTAATATCACACCTTTTCTTATAGTGCTTGAATTGTTTGGCTATGCAAGGCAAGGCATACTGTTGAATAAAGTATAAGCTAAATGGAATTTTAAATTATTTGTATCAGAGACTGCTACTCTGAGAAGAAAAAAGCCAATTGCTTTATGAAATTCATGACTGCTATTTTAACTCTGAATGAATAATATATTTATTAACAGACAATTTAAGGTAAATTTAAAAAATGCATATAAATATTAACAAAAATTTACCTTTCTTAAGACATGGTGATTTGCAATGTCATACTCCATTAAGAAAAACAAATGTTGTACTTGTGTTATCTATTATAAGGGTATATTTTTACTCCACTAAATTAAAAAACATATATGCACACACATATATACATAAAAAATACATGTATTTCATATATATATATAAAAAATATATATATATATATAACACACACACACACACACACACACACACACCACACAGCAGAAATGGACTGTGTACCTGCTTCTAAAAGTGTGTCTAAGTTTAATACTGGGATTAACACATACTAACATTGTGGAAAATCTGCATCACAGAGAGCAGTTATATGTTGTTTGCTCTATCATTTAATAAATAAGATTCTTCAGTGCATATAAAGTGCTCTTCCTAAGCAATTTCCTCTCATAATTCAGCTGTGTGTTTGCCTTATTGCTAAACTAATTATACCAAACAGAATTGTGATTACTAATAAAACTACTGGAAGCTTGTGATTTATGATTAAATGTAAAAATATTATTACCTCATTTCTAAAAAGTGTAATTTTTGACTATCAATGCGCTGTCAAATTTCTAATTCATATTCTTTCCATTGTAAATAAAACCGGCCATTGTATCAGACATACTAGATGACTCTATTTGAGCTTGAAATGGAGATATAGTATAGTAAATAGCTTTGGCCAGATTATTATCCTGAGTTAGTTGTCATTTACATATTAAAAAAAAATTATGTCACAATTTAAAATTATAATGTATCCCTTTTTTCCTTTCATGTCTAGCTATTGGAGTAGCTATAATCGCATTCTTGCCAAAATAATTATGAATAGGAACATTCCAATTTTTCTTAGTTATTTTAAAATATTTAATAAATTATTGGCGACTATAGTCACACTGTTGTCATCAAATATTCGATCTTATTCATTCTAACTATATTTTTGCTCCCATGTCATTTAAAAAAATACTTAGTCCTTGTATCAGCAATTGACTGTGTAAAATTGAATTAATACTATTATGCTAAATGTTAAATATCATCAAATAAAGCTGCCATCAATAAGAGACATAATTTTGTGTGCAAAGCAAGAGCAAAATAATGCCACCAATTAAAACATGATGTATTAGTCAGAGTCCTCTGAAGAGACAAAAACAACAGCAATTATTTGAACAACTAATTATAAAATAATTTATTCAAATTATTTGATAATCTATATCATAAAGTTATTACACAAATATACAAATATAACTTTAAATTATTATTGAAGATATTTATCATTTCAAAAATGGCTGCAAAACAATGGGAAGAAATTAGAATTATTAAAATTTAGAAATCTCAAAAAAGGGGCTCACAAAGGGCTGAGACTTCTTAACACCTCTGAGGATAAGGCATATTTTGTTTCGTGCAAAATAAGGTTTTTCATCAGAAGAAATGTTCTAAGTAATACCATGACTGTAAATAAGACATTCCATACAAAAGTGGATGACAGGTGCTGGCAGAAAGTGTTATGGGAAGGGGAAGCAACCCCATATCCGTAACATCTGTCTATTTCAGTGAAGACAAATCTCTGCCTCCCCCATGGTGAATGTGGCCTAGTGTGAACATTAGCTACCTGTGTTTGCTGGCTCACCCCTGATCCCCTACCCCGCCATATGATGTTTTGTTGAGAGCACACTGTTGATCTCACCTGGTGGCAAATTAGTCACTCAGCAGTACCAGCAAGACCCAGATAGTACTTGGGGACGGAAAGTGTTTGCTGTTGATGCCATGAATAGTCTTCATTCCCACAATCATGACCAGTTTGTATATAGCCTCTTTGAGCAAATAATGAGGTGGCTGATAAAAGAGGTTCATGTATCTACAGAATATGCATCTTTTCCTTTGACTGAGTCTCCTCTGTGATGGACGCCCTTTGGTGACATTCATATTGGATACAAACCGCATCATGCCCTCTGCTGGGAGGGCTATCCACTTAACTCTGTCTCTGATCTCTCAATCACCAATCAAGCAATGCTAATTATTTTCAGATTCCAGAACACTGAGCGTCACCATTAACAGTCTCACGAGAATCAATGTCGATCATTACTTCTGGCCATTTCTGTGTTTAGAAAAAACTGGACAACCAAATACGCTACCTAAATTACCTTCATCCTGGAGAATTTACCTTCACTGAATTGCAGTATAGAGATCCAGTCATTCTTTTCCTTTTTCTTTTTTTTGATTAATGAAATATATTTTGCTCAATCATCTCTGAACCAGACCCAAGCACTTTTTTTGTTTTGTTTTCTTCCTAGATCAACTGCCTGTGAGGAATACCCCCATGAGGCTAAGGATGTGGATTTAACGAGAGAAGACAGTGCATCAAGAGTCTAAAGGTAGGAGTCTGGTCACCTGGCCATGTAACTGACTCATTCCTCCAGGCATTCTTAAGCCAATTACATACTATTTCAGTTAATAATAATACCCTTTATGTGTTTACCAAATATAATACATGGGCCAAATAAACACAGTTCATGATGGTAAGCTGAGCCACTGGTGCCTATCAATGTATATCTAAAGAAGGTATTGATCTTTGAAAGAGAGGCAATAGATTTGCTCCAAAACCCTAGTGAAATTTAAAGGGTTCCTCTGTGACACTCTGTCCGTAAATCCTAATATGACCGCAGCAGCAAAGCAACAATGTGGTTTAAAAAATCTGAAGTCGAGCGTCGTAAACCTGAGTACAGAAGGGTAGATTTGGAGCCAGGAGACAACTTAATAACTGGCACACAAATCATGTCATCCATTGTAAACTTGCCCTGATTTCAGATATGTTGAAATGTGATGCAAATAAAGGTTTTTATGTGTTTGTTTCTTTATTCATTTACTTATTTTAACACTTTTGAGGGGTATAATTGACATACAACTAATTGCATGTAATTAAAGGGTATAATTTGAAAATGTTTTGACATGTTTATACACCTGCAATACCATTACAAAATCAAAACAATGAACATATCTATCACCATCAAAAATATTCTATTTCTCCCTGGAACTCCAATCCCCAATCTGCTTCCTGTCTGAGAGAGTACATTATTTTACATTTCCTAGAATTTCATTAAAAGTGCTTGATGGCATATGGAATCTATTTGCCTGGTTTCTTTCTGAAACCCTAATTATGTTCACTCATTTTGTAACCTGTATAAATACATCATTCTTTTTTTCGTTGAATGTTATTCAACGTGTGGATGTATAGTGTATGCTCATATATTGGTGGAGTTTGGTTTGCATCCACGTTTGACTAGTGCATGAGCTGCTTTTATCTTTTTGGGAAAATAACCAGAAATGTAATTCTTCAATGTTATAATTTATTTTCATTCAGGCAAAATGTTCTGATAACATTGCTTTAAGTTTTCTCTTTGATCTGTGGGTTATTTAAAAGTATATCATTTAATCTCCACATATTTGGGACTTTTTAAGTTATCTTACTGCTATGGATTTTTAGGTAAATTCCATTATGCCTTGAAAACTTAACTTGCATTATTTCTGTTATTTTAAATTTACATTTCTTATGATAAAAAATCGTCTTCATTCAAAACAAAGTTTGGGCAGGTTTTGTGGCAGTCCTCTTCAGCAGACTGGGGGTTTTCATACTCAAGGTCCCTCTCCTTAACACAACCTGCTATGTGAGCACTTATTAAATAATATTTGACACAATGCTCTGTGGGAATCAGGGCTTGAAGGATGTGCCTGTTCTCATGGCTACTGCTCTTGCTGTGTGTCATAAACTACATGAGTTATAAAGTGTCCTTTGTCTCTCACCAATGAGCCTCATGTCTTCTATCAGCATCCCTAAAACTGGCTGGCTAACTTATTAGTTTACAAATATGGTAAAATATCAAATGCTTCAAAATTCTTGACTTTTAAAAATTCTATTATGTCTACATTTTTGAATCATTCATACTTAAGCCTTTTTACTGGTTAGCCTAGGATTCACAATATCATTTGAATTAAACTTGTGTTATCTTCAAGTATTATTATTTCATTTGACATATAGGAAACTTTGAAGAGTTTGTTCCTGAGATCTAAATTGGATGGTTTATTCTTTTGTTTTCACATACAATAATCCCCCCTTATCCTTGTCAGATGCTTTCCAAGATCCCCAGTGGATGCCTGAAACCTTGGATGGTGCCAAGCCCTATATACACTGATTTTTAAATATTATTAGTAGGTAGATAGTGTATACAGCTAGATCAAGGGATAATTCAAGTACTGGGCTGGGTGGATTGGGATGGCATGAAATTTTATAACAGTACTCAGAGCAATGTGTTTGTATTTGTTCTCATGGTGCTACAAAGAAATACTGGAGACTGGGTAATTCATAAAGGAATTGGCTCATAGTTCCTCATGGCTGGGGAGACCTCAGGAAACTTACAATCATGGCAGAAGGGGAAGGAAACACATCCTTCTTCACATGGTGGAAGGAAGGAGAAGTGCAGAGCAAATCAGGGAAAAATCCCTTATAAAACCATCAGATCTCATGAGAACTCACTCACTATCATGAGAACAGCATGGGGGAACTGCCTCCATGATCTAATCGCTTCCCACAAAGTTCTTCCCCAACAAGTGGGGATTATAATTTGGATTACAATTCAAAATGAGATTTTGAGTCAGGACATATCCAAAACATATAAGTGTTATTTAAGACTTATTGTTTATTTCTGAAACTTTCCATTTAATAGTTTTGAATCATAGTTGACTGCAGGTAACTGAAACTGTGGGAAGTAAAACCATGGATCAGGAAGTACTATTGTATTTTATTTTTACGTATGTTATAAACTCAAAATACATGGTCACTACCATTCTTTAGTCACCTAACTTACAGCTAGTAACAAAAATAAAGGAAACATATTTTATTTCATCTTCATTTTCTCACTTTTCCCCAATCTTTATTTCTTGGTGTAGATTCAAATTTGATTGTTATGATATTTCTTCCATGTGGAAAAAAATCATTTAACATAGATTTTAGGAAACGTCAGCTAGCAATGAGTTGCCTTATATTTGAGAAAATCAATTTCTCATTCATTTTTTAGGAATGTAATCATTTGAAATAGATTTTGGTTTGACAAATTTTTCTTTTTACATTTTAAATTGGTCTTATTCTTCTTGTATGTGTATCTTCTTGCTTATATGTTTTTGATGAGAAGTCTTTAATACTTACCCTCATCTAGATGTAGATAATATGTCTCTTTTCTGTGGTTGTTTTCTTTGTCTTTGGTGTTGATTTTCTCTTTGTTTTTAGTTTTGAACAGATTGAATTGCACATGGCTGGATGTGTATGTGTTTGTGTGTGTGTTTGTGTGTGTGTTTAAGAAATATGGAGTACTTTCAGAATTTTTGTAGTATATCAGATTTTCAGATTTGTGAGTTTGTTATCTGTTATTATTTTGGATATTTCTGCTCTGTCATTTTTCTTTGTACTTCTTCTGGCCTATTTTATCTTTTTCCTTCTGAGATTCCAGTATTGTGTACCAATCTGTTATTGTCCCAAAGGTCTTAGAAACTGTGTGTATATATATATATATATATATATTCTCTTTATAATTCAGTTTGGGTAATTTCTCTTGACTGATCTTCCAGTTAACAGATTCTTTCCTCAACTGTATCTAGTCTCCTGATGACTTAATTGAAGATTTTCTTCATCTTTGTTTTTGTATGTGCTTTCATTTACATTTGATTCTTTCTTTTAGTTTACATATCTTTGCAGAAATTATCATACATAATGTCTCTGCTTTCCACTAAAACTTTTAACACATAAGTGATAATTATTTAAATTTCCTATTGGATATTATCAACATCTGTGTCTTATCTGCATGGTTCTGAGAACTGCTTTGTCTCTTTATAGTTTTTATTTTTTATTTTATTTTCATATACTTGTAATCTTTTGTTGAAAGGCAGATATCTTATGAAAGAGTAGACATAAAACTTATTTTAATACTACTAGATGTACATGTCCTTGTTTCACCCCTGTAAAGCAGGAGTTTCCTTTGATCTAGATGATACTTGGACTGTGTGGGAGGTTTGTTGTGGTTTTGGCTAACATCAGTGTACCATAGGCTTCACGTTCCTCTGATGAGAATTTACATATAGGGCTATGTCTCCCTGACTTTAGAAACTATTATCAGTCCACAGAGGCTTGGATATCACTTGTCATCCATCCTACATCTGACCCCAAAACCCCTCCTTAATCTGCTTGAGCCCTGGCATCCCATAATGAAGCATGCTCCTTTGACTGATCCCAGTGATCCGTTTCATGTTATGATGTCTTATGCCACACTCTTGCATGTGTGCTCTGTACCCTGTAGGGTTCAGGGTCTGATGCTTAACACTAGGCAGCTCACCTGTGCATATTGTCTTCTCATTCTCATTGGTTCCCCACACCACAAGCCAAATTATGTCTTCTAAACAGATGCCCTCCTCACCTTGCTTTAGGTGAGTAATAGCTCTCTCTCTCTTTTTCTGAGGTTAAAGAGAGATCCTAAGGCTACCATCCAGACCTCTGAGTAATGAGAACTATCCAGGTTTGCTGGTATCTCTGAGGAGATGTGGTGAGACCAGTTCTGGGAATGTCTGAAAATCAGCAAAATGGAAACCTGTTTCAACATCTGCTTTTTTAATGCACTCTCATTTTCAGGGAGTGGTATAAATCTTAAAAGATAATAATAATAATAAAAATTAAGAAATTTTCTGGTTGATTATTCAGTAGACTAGACACAGCTGATGAAAAAGTAAGCACGGGGTCACATTAACAGTAGAGGAAGCAAACAAATATGAAATTAAAGCAAACAATTGCTAAGAACTACAAATCGTTCCTTGGTTATCTATAATGGGGGTTAAACTGAACTTTCCTGCTATGTTGTTTTACATTACTGCAATTAAACTTTGCTAGAGAAAAAAAAACTTATGTGTTGACTAGCTTCACTTTAAACTTATTGTCATAAAACTAAAATATTCCTGAAGATAGCATGGATTTCTTGAGGACCAATTTAAATCTAAGGAAACCTAGCAAAAATTAAATAGATCAAATTAGTGTTTGTAACCAGAAAAAGCTGTGGCTGAGAAAACTGATAAATAATTTCAGGGGCAGCAATTTTTACTCTCATGTGTAGCTTTAGGAGATGACATAAGTAAACTCGGAAACAGGCAACTTCCTAAGGACTGGGGAAAATGGTTAGGATCCTGAACTGTCTAAGAATATATTCAGTGATAGGTGAGATTTAGTCAGAAAATAGAAACAAGGGTAGGGCCTATAATGAGGTGGGAACTAAATCCATATATGACCCAATAATTAAATTAGCCTTCAGAGCTTGTTATACGGTATTAACCCTTGACTCCTTTTTAACTAGAAAATAAATCCCTCATATAATGATATTGATGTTCAGTGCTCTAATTATAGAAATAGTGTTTGGAAGTTGGAAGCAAGATTATGTTTGGATTACAGCCTTTAGGTAAAAGGCTAATTACCTTTACTTAATTAATTAATTCCATCAGTCATGCAATCAATAAATCAGTTATCTACTTACTATATATTTATTGAATCTCCCTTACTTGTCTGGTGCTGGGCTTTCCTTTTGATTATTAGGGTAGGGAAAGATTTCTACCTCTAATCCTAAGGGGAAATGAAGCCTATAAACATAAATTTTCTATTTTAAACTTTGTAACAATACAGCCATGTACTTTGCTGAAAGCTAATTTTGCATAACAGTGACACAAAAGTGGATTTTAGTACACATGCCATTTATCAACCTATAAACAATGCCTTTAACATAAAACAAAAGCCCTTTATTTGGATGCACACATTGCCAAAAATCTTATAGACTATTATAAGATTTATGATAGCTTTCACATCATTCTTTTTTCTGGCATCCACTTGAGTGCATTAACTTTGAAAAGAAACTATTTGGCTTGAATTGTGAATATGACTTCAAACAATAAAAGCAGAGGAATCTATAGAGCAGCTGCTTTCTTGTATATCAATACACAAGTGTATATAGTTTTATATATAGAACCATATCCCTGTGCTTTTAGGTAGCTGCAAGTTCACTTTACATTCATCTGAAACACAAGAAGGGCTGTGTGGCAAATTTAGGTGTTAGAAAATTGTTAAGAATTTGTTGACACAGTGACAAAAAAACACAATGAACTCACTATTATGTGTTTATTACACTGATAAATGTGAATTCTATATCTGATAAAATGATTTTTCAGAACTCAAATTTAATTACAAAGCAAAAGCTGGGAAGCTTGGTATATGATTTTCAAGGAGACAATACAGATATTCTAAAAATAATTAAAACATTATTGTGGTTTCATCAGAAAGAAATATTTGTGAAACAGAGCTAGACTCTCTGAAATATAGTTCAGGTTTTGTGATAACATTTCATCAGACATGTTGATATGGACAGGAGGCAGGTAAATACTGGGTAGAAGAGGGCAGTCCCTGGTGAGGGCCATACCTTCAAGCCTGGGCCCATGGCCTGAAGTGAGAACTTCCATTTCTGTTTTCCTGCATGAATGTTGCCTTTCCAAAACCATAGTGGCCCACCCCACTCCCCATCCTATACCCATAAAAACCCCAGGCCCCAGTGGCAGAGCAGCAAAAAAGCAGAGAAGAAAAGAAGCAACTGGATGCCAGAGAGAAGAAGCTTGACTTCAGAGGTACGGTATGACCTTGGAGAAGAGATTGGCCAGGGAAGGCAGAACTCCAGGGGAAGAACACCTTCCCACTCCATCCCCTTTCCAGCTCCCCATCTCGCTGGGAGCCACTTCCACCACTCAATAAAATCTTCCACATTCAGCACCCTTCAATTCATTCACATGACCCGATTCTTCCTGGATGCCAAACAAGAACTTGGGTATCAAGAGGATGGGTACAAAAGGCTGTCACCCTGACCTTCCACTGAGCTGTTAAACTGCCTATGCATGACAAAGCTAAAAGAGCATACTGTAACACATGCCCTCTGGGGCCCCAGGGGTCACAGGCAACCTTTCAAGGCAGTCCCAGGCCTGCACAGAGTTATGCTCCTACCAGATTCCCAGAATCACTTGTCCCAGTTTCTGCACCCACTCACCTTCATGATCCTCCTTCTGTAAGGGGTTGAGAGCTATTGGCTGAGTAAACAAGTTAACCCCTTTGTGAGTCCTGTGAAGGGGTCAAGGGAACATATCCTGTTTCATTGTCATTTAAACTCTTTGGTCCAAATGTGAGTATCGAACACTGGAAAATCATCTGACTTCATTTGACTATTCCATAGTGTTTTTCTGTCATTCATTCAATTAATATATGAGAAGGAGAAAAGAAAAATAGGCTTTTTTGTTCACTACTTGCAATAAATAGTTCTGTTAGAACCTGGTGTTGAATTCCAAAATAATGATGAGATTTACAAAAAAATTATCTGGCCTGATTATCTTTCAATATCACAGTGACTGATTATGACACTAAAATATCAGCATTAACCTTCACAGCATCATGTGGGTAGGCACTGTCTTCTCATTTTACAGATGTGAAAACCAAATCTAGGATTAAATATGTTAATCGGAGTTACAATTTAAAGCTTGTAAATTCTGATATTGAGAATAAAATGCTGATCTGCCTGATATCCATAACCATGGGGTTAAACACCATGAAATATAGTAACTCCTAAATTAGAATATGAAGATAATGGCACTTGAGTGGATTAGAAGAAAAGCAAGTTTTTCATCTTGTACAAACAGAGCCTTAAATTTTATTGACAGTGTGTTAAATGGAGAGCATTAACTAGAAAATTTGGATGATTACTTAAAAAATTGCATAGTCCCTGTTTTGACAGTAAAAATATGTAGTTAATATTTTTGTAAAATGAAGTTGCTTAATTAAGATTAATTTAACAAAATATGTTCCATATTAATTTTTGTTAAGAGTCACCTTTGCACCTGATATAAAACAGCATTATCTTGCCTTCTAACAAATTACAAATTCCATGAGGTAGTTACCATATTTGTCTCCTTATGTCCAGAGTCTTGTACAGTTTCTGCTACATTGTAGTTGCTTACTAAATGTTAAAATTAACTAAAATAAACTATGCTTAAACAATGTTCCAACCTTTAAGATGAAGTTAATCATACTTTGTTTTACTTGTTTATAAGCTTAAGAACATATTATTTTCGAAGATATAATTCACTGAGATATAAACATGCATTATATATATTTTTTTCTAGATGATAACTTACTCAATGACACTAAATTAATGTTTGCTGAGAAATTTCCATCTTATTTTGAGTTTTTCTATCAAACATATTTTACTGTATTACATCTAGTAACTTAGTAAATAAGCTATGATTAAAGTAGAATTTTGATAATGCTATGAAATCATATATGAATTTTGTACAAAAATTAAATTCTGTGATTTTAAGACTAAATTCTATGAAGAAGGGAAGTCTAGAAACTGACTTTTTATAACCCAAACCTTAATTATCTGATTCAATTAAATCATATTGAAATTGTGTGTTTTAAATAACAATGGATTATTAGCGTGAGAAAAACTATTTTGGGGAAAAAGATGTTCTTAATTACCATTAAACAGGAATTAATCTGTACTACTATAAATGTATAAATATGGTGCTACGGCCTTCTGAACTTGATGTTGTTATACTATAGGGAGAAAGCTATTTTTACATGTACTGGTGGAATTACAAAAACCTGAAGTCAATAATAAAGTCCATCTGTATGTCACATCCACTGCACGGCTGGCAGCATGGTTTTCTCCATTGTGCGAATTGCAAAAATCAAATTTATTGAGGAGATATAGAAAGCTTAACATATTTTATGAACAATATAAAGTGTGACTCACTCCTGTAAGTCTAAAATCAATAGCTAAATGTCTAAGAATAAAAAAAGGCCCTTAATTTCAATAAATACAACACATTTTTCTACTACGCTGTTTCTACTAAAATATCCCTTCTTGAGGGATTAAATCTCATCCCTGCTGACTCCCATTGAGTAATAATTAATGTGGTTCATTTTTGAATAGAAAGATTGTGATGTTTTTAAAATTAAAAACACTGATCAATTTCTGATACCATTATTCAACCAAAGGGAAAATGCTCCGGACTTTTAGAGAAATGGCTGATGATAGGAATATGGTAGCAAATACATCTAATAAACCTGGAGCATCTTGCAATGGCAGGATGTAAGGTAAGTGCTCTAACAGAAAAAAGAAAAAAACAAATAAAGCAAGCAGAAACCATGATGGAAAGATGCAAACAGGACCCAGGGCCCAGCTGAAAAGGATCCCAATGGCCAAAGCGAGACCAATTTAATAAACAAAACAGATAAAGTGGTTGTAGATTATAGCTCAAAGTATATCCATGAGTTTAACTGTCAGAAACAAATAATTGAATACATAAATAAATGAAGGAGAGAAAAATCTCCTGTGCAGAAGAATTCCAAATAGTGTATGCAGATACTCCAGCCTCGAGAGGGTGAAGCACAAGTGCCAGTTCAAGCTGCACATAGTGACTTCTTTGAAAGAGCACAGCATGGAAAAGGGTGAAGAAAGAGCTAGTGAGCATGGAGAAAGTAGACAGCTCTACCTCAGCCAGGTGCGCAGGCACCACCAGCAGCAATAATTCACATCCCTAATCGGCACTGTTGATGTGAAGTGACAAAAATGGCATTTTAGCCCTGTGGTGTGTCTTTCAAAAGTCCATAAAGACAATCTCATCCTGAAAATATGACCATGCAAATTCCAATAGACGGACATTGTATAGAATATTTCACTAGTTTCCCCAAAAACTGTTCATCAAAAAACAAGCAAAACCCGTGAAACTATACAAGCAGGAGAGGTTTAGGGAGACATGACAATGACATGTAATGTGGTATCTCCAATGAGACTCAGGAACAGAAAAAAAAAAGACACATTAGTTAAAAAATAGGAAGAAAATCTGAATAAAGCCTGGACCTTAGGTAACAATATAAATTGTGACAAAAGTAGCACAGTACTGCAAGATGTTAATAATAAAGGAAACTGGATGTGGTGTGTCTGGAGACTCTTTGTTCTATCTTCCCATTTTTTTTTAAAACAAACCTAAGGCTATTCTTAAATAAGAAGTGTATTTAGAAAACCAAAATTTCCTAGTAAGGTTTTAATAGCAATATATAAGATTATTCTCAAATTTATAAAATTTGGTAAAGAAACTAGTACAGCTAAAACAATTTTGGAGAGAAGAAAAAGAATTAAGTGGGAAGGATCAATCTACCTTATTGCAAGATATTATATAGCTAGAGTAATCAAGGGTATTTCCAGAGAGGATCAACACATAGATGAATGCAGCATAATAGAGAACTCAGGAATGGAATGAGAAAAATATGCCCAATTGATTTTTGACAAAGTTGCAAAAGCATTTCAGTGGAGAAAAGAGAGCCTTTTCAACAATTGGTACTGGAGCAATTGGACAGCCATAGACAGAATAATAAACTTCAACAAAGTCTCACACCTTATACAATAATGAACACAAGTGGGTCATAGATGTAAATATAAAACTTCAAAACCTTTAGAAAAAAATGAGAAGGTCTTGGAATCTAAGGATAAGCAAAGTACTGAGGGCAAAAAACACTTTGTTCAGTAAAGACCCTCTAAAGAGGATGAAAGTATTATACAAACTAAAAACTGGGAGAAAATACCTGAAATCACATATCCGACAAAATGCTTATAGTCTGCTTTTGCACTGTTATAAAACGATTCCTGAGGCTGAGTAATTTATAGGGAAAGGAGGTTTAATTGGCTTAGGTTCTACAGGAAGCATGGTGCTGGCATCTGCTTCTGATGAGAGCCTGGGAAGCTCCCAATCATGGCGGAAGGCAAAGGGGAAGCAGGCCCATCACATGGGGGAGCAGGCACCTCACACAGCAAGAGAAGGAGTGAGAGAGAGAAGGGGGACATCCCAGATTGTTTTAAACAATCAGATCTCACGTGAACTAACTGAGCAGGAAATCACTCTTCACTAAGGGGATGCTGCTTTGCCACTCATGGGGGTTCTGCCCCCAGTATACACAATCACCTCCCACAAGGCCACACCCTCTAACGTTAGGAATCACATTTCAATATGAGGTTTGAAGGGGACAAACATCCAAACCATATCAGTACTAGTATCTAGAAAACATAAAGAACACTCAAAACTCAACAGTAAGCAAAAAATCAATTAGAAAGCAAGCAAAAGACATGATGAGATATTTCACCAAAGGGGATATACAGATGGCAAATAAATACATGAAAAGATGTTCAACATCAGTAGTCACTATGCCTCACTATGCCTGTTTTCCTCTCCATATTAATTGTGCATGAAAGAAGATACAGTTAATTAAACTGATAGAGATACATTATATATTTCCAAAATGATAATAAGTATCAATCTCATCAAGCTGAAATCTTTAAGAATTTTAGTAATATTAGCAACATTTTAATTTATAAATTTACATATATGGAAAAAGATATAACAATATTAGGTATGAATTACTGTTGTGATGTGAAAAAAACAAAAAAGATATATGTTTTTAAATTAAATATAAGATTGGATTATCCAATGTGACACAAATCAGATATCTCAGTATCAGGCTTTCCTCACTAACTTCAAGAACTCAAGCTATCACACTGGCCTTCCCAAGTCCAATGTCTAATGGAGAAAACTTATAAAACTATAGATGAAATTATTTTCCTGTATCAGTTTTATGTTAATACATCTTGTATCCTCTATGCCTTCTTTCTATTAACCTCTCCTCTTGCTTTTTCTCTCTGTGATATTTTGATTTAGGATAACAAACCTAGTCTGAACAATTTTCTTAGCCCTAGGAAATTGGTTCTCAAAATACAGCTTTATTAAATGGTAATTAAAGGCTTTAAAATAAAATTTCAAATACACTGGCTTGATAATAGATTGCATAATGTTCATTTGTTATATCCACCAGAGACCTTCTTGAAATTTATAATTTGTAGGTCATTTTATTATATTTTTTCTGGTGTGTAGTGCCATGATAATTGATTATATATGTCAGTAATCCATGACGGAAATTGCTTTCTTACCTATTTCAATAGTGGAGCTACAGTAAAGACAAAAATAACTATCTGTTATAGAATCAAAATGGGATTATAAACATAATGATGAAAATATCTGTTTTAACTATTAGCAGCTTTTTCTCAGTGCATGATTGCTAAGAAATCTTATTAAATATCATGACCACAACTGCGTTACTTGGAAAACCAATAAATTGACGCATGTTGGAGGGGGTCAGTGACTTTTATACAAAACTTCAAAGGCTGCCATGTTGCTTCAGAATGAAGCACTGAGGGATGGTAGTAGTTTTATTTTAATGTTTCTTAATTTGAATAACCATAATCTTGAGTTATGTTTGTGCAATATAGATGAGGTGGAGTTTGCAATTATAGAAGGAAAAGAGAAAAGAGAGAACAGAGGGAAAAGGGAAAATAAATGAAATTTTAAACATGATCATATTTAAAACAAACATAATTGCTATTAGAGCAATGAGAATCTTGGGAAAAAGGCTCATAAAATTACTAACTATCTTGAGTCACTCTTGCCTGTGCTGATTGAAAGTTAGGTAGAAGAGGAACATTTTATCAGGAAGAAGACATTTGTACACAAAAGGGCTGATGATTTAGTGTGAAAGAGGCACAGAGAAAGTAACCTATAATGGGCATTTATTTGGGTAAGCAGGTGTGAAAAATACTCTAGGGAGCTGAGTGCCAGTGTTTAGAAACAGCTCAGGCTCTGAGCACTTGTAATTATGCAGGCTTTCCCTTTGGGCTTACTTGTTTATCTGTCTGTTGGTGGTTGGCTGAACTTTTTAAATTAAAATTTTGATGAAAAGAAAGTTCCTGCCTTAAAACCATACTTTGTAAGCCTAAAAAGGACTCTAGAGAGCAACTTTAAAGTTTTATGAGGATATTTTTAAATATCAGTTTTATTTTTATTGTACATTTTACTTTTCTATTTGCACTGCTCTGCTTAGGAGGAAATTAATTTAGAAAATAAAAGAAAGTGGCCCCCAAAGTCTTCCAAATTGTTTTTACTGTACTTTGTAAAAATTAAATCTGGTTAGCTTAACTGTGGCGAAGATTTAGTTTAAGGGCTGGAAGGATGCATTATTTTTTTCTCTTTTTAAAAACCTTAATTATATTTATTAAGAAAAATTGTTTCAGTATAAAGGTTTTGTGTGCTAAAGTCTGACTAAAACAAAAAAAAATATATTTTTCTTTGACTTTCTACAATTCAAATATGTAAAAACAATAAAAATAAGTGGAAAATAAAAATATACTTACATAAAATCATGAAAAGATAAAAATGGGCATATGATTGCACAAAAGCCTTGCTAATCTGACATTTTCATTCTCAATCTTGTCTGACATCACGCTGGCTGCAAATACCCAAATATTTCCAAATATCTACTTACTGTTTTTTATATCTTTTTTTTTTTTTTTTTTTTTGAGTTTCCCTCTGTCACCAGGCTGGAGTGTGCTGGCACGATCTTGGCTCACTGCAACCTCCATCTCCTGGGTTCAAGTGATTCTCCTGCCTCAGCCTCCGAGTAGCTGGGGCTACAGGTGCGCACCACCACTGCCAGCTAATTTTTGTATTTTTAGTAGAGAAGGGGTTTCGCCATGTTGGCCAGGATGGTCTCAATCTCTTGAACTCATGATCCGCCCGCCTCAGCCTCCCAAATTGTTGGGATTACAGACCTGAGCCACCACATCTAGCCAATATACATTTTAAAATGGATTACTGAATAGATAGTTGTAATTTGGCCATCAGAATGACAGAGACAACTATATATTTTATTTTACCATCTAGAAGCAAATGAAAGAAGAAATATTCCATAAATACTTTATGCTTTTGAACTACATGGACTCAATAAATTGACAGAAATATGTTATTAAGATTACAGGATAATATAAAAATGGAGGTTACTGACATAAAAAGTAAAATGAGTTCAACAAAACCATATTTCACTAATAATTAAATAAATAGGATAATGTGAGAAGACAAGAAAGACTGCTGTATAGGAGCCATGACATGAGAACATGAGTCACCGTATTGGGAAGGGTTATTGACCTGATCCACGAGAGGAGGTGGGGCTACCTTCCACAATACCCCGGGGCAGGAACACATGTGGAGCTGAGATGATCACCTTGGGTGCTCCTAGAACACTCTTATCCTACCATAGCTGTGAAAGAATACATGTAGCAACCCCAAGCAGAGATACATTGTCAAGAGTTAAGGTCTTTCAGTTGACAGCTGAAGGTTGGAGAAATTAACAATAAATAGTAGAGCAAGTAAGGGATCAATACAAGTTAGGGCCCCCAAATCAACTTTGATAATGGGGCTGTAATATCTCCCACTAACCTCTCTCTTCCAAGTCCAACTCCCTCCCACCGAAGGTAGAAATTGCTCCCTGAACCTGTGTAGAGAAACAGATCTGTGTGGTGCAAGGGAGTAACGGGGAACAGTGATGACCATGACAACACACGACTCAGATTTGTTGCCACACAGCACAATTTAGAGACAGCACCAGATTCTCTGCTCATCACCATGTTAACAACAGATTCATTCGTGAGCATCAGATTCATGCTCATCACCATGTTAACAACAAAGCTTTGCTTTCTGCAGGCTGTGCTCAGCCAATGACTCAATGTAGCAGAGATCCAAGGCAGGCTCTCTCCTGCAATGCATGGCTCCCTCCTGCCTTCTGATAGGCAACTGTGGCGTGAACACATTGCATTGGTTTAGTCAAAACCCCATTAGAACTGTGCTGCTGCAGTTCTAGACCTTCAAACCCAACATTTCTTCTTACCCTTTCTCCTTCACAGGGTCCAGAACAGCATAGCGGTCTGAAAACATTTCCCAATGTCTCCAGTTCCTTCATCTTTTTATTTTCCCTCCCAGATGTTCACCACAAATACGTGTGTGTGTGTGTGTGTGTGTGTGTGTGTGTGTATACATGTGTGTGCTCTCTCTCCCTTCCTTTCTCTTTTTCTGAGCCACGAGTCATGTAAATAAACCAGAAAAATACCAAACCCCAAATTATCGAGAAATAATATTAATAAAACAGTTTTTTTTCTTCTTACTACATGCAAACATTTTTGGTGTGTATTGAGTCTATACACGGTTTCTCCTTTCGGAAGTTCCATTAAGCACATATTTAGAATCTTCCTTATTGTTCGTACATTTAAGGTTTTTAAGGTACAAACGGATGTGACTGTGATGACATTAGTTGCCACAGTTTTATAAAGTTACACTCACCTACTTACTCCTATCGAGAGGAAACTTCATCGTGCACACAAAGTGATTATTGTTCTACCAACCAGATAGGAGGCTGATTGCAAAATATGTAAAGTGAGTACCATGCATGGAAATTCTACACATTTGTAGACAAACTTTGTGATAGGAGATGCTAAGAGTATTGAGGTCATCATCTATCCTATAACATTACTAATTTTAGAAGCATCAATCAATCATTTTAAAGTAAATCCAGCATAATTGACAGAAATACACAAGCACATTTTTAGTAGCTGCACTTTCCACAGCATTTTAGATTATATTGCATTTTTCAGCTTTGTTCAGTGTCCTGAACTATATGCTGTGGTTCATTAAAAACACACATACAAGAGGAAAGAAAATATACTAGGCCAATTTAATAAAAAATAAACTAGGAGAATTACGTTTCAGCCTAATGATATCACATAATCCAAATCTCCTTTAAGGACTGTTTGATGCCCATAATTAACTGGTCATTAGAGACATCAATTCCCTGCTGGCTTTAATCATGACTCAAACTTACAGCACAGTGAACACTAACTACCCTCAAAGGCATATAAATTACTTCAAAATCTCTCTTTTCAGGTAGAGACTGTGAAAATCAGTTAACAGTTCGTTTTCTTGTTACACCCAAGAGAAAAAATGGAGATAGTTTCTGAAATCCAGAATGGGAGTTCAGTACCTAATAATTACAGAGGGATTTTTGTATCATCTAAATTTAGTCAATTAAATTTAATGCAGACAATTCATTTTTTATATATTGAGAAATGACACTATGGCCAGAGGGGGAAAATACAGATAAAATAAACACTGCTCAGGCCATAGAGAAAAAAGTAAATACTAGTTCAACTTATATTTTAAAATATCTCCATACATGAGAAGGAGAATAATAGATGTATCATCAATGATTAGAGTCGTTGAGGAAGGTTACCTAGGACATAAAAGGGCTGTCACCATGTACTTCTCATAGCAGAATTTTACAGTTTTCACATGTGTGAGCCCTTTCCTGCTTATTTATAATAACCCACAGAGTTTTCATTACAGGAAATGATTGAAAATAATTGATGAACCTGTGAATTCTGAGGCAAATATTCAGGTATTCTTCTAGGCTTGATTATCCTGGTAAGTGCTTCCATGGTTCTCATTTGTCCATTCTTAAACACTACAGGCTCCCTCTTCCTCTCAGTCCACATGTAATTAATTATTTCTGAAAAATGTATTGCACTGATAGATATTGTTTTAAATCTCTTTCTACTTGTTGAGAATTATGAAGGGTTCAATATATTATCTTACTGCAAGCTAACACATTAGCCTGCAATGATTTTACAGATGCTAAGAAAAGACACAACACTCCTAGTTTACAGACTTTGTTACTTAAGGCAAAAGCAGTTGCTGAAATATCAGAGAGGTGGCATCAGTTTCCTGAGCCCCATATTACCTGGTCAATACAGGTGGACTAAGACGGCATCCAGCATATGCAATGGGTTGCGTTTCAGGAGAGGAAACTTTGCCCTCATTTGCAAACCATAAGATAAGCAAACCCACTCTTTGAGGGGAGAAGTCAACTAATTCCTCAAGCTTGCTCACTGAAATCACAGCTTTAAGAAAGGGACTTGTGTTACTGGTATATGAAGCAAGACATAGGGGAGTGGAAGGACCCATGGAAGAGCATCTCCCAATACTAGTTTCCATGACATTATCTCGGGGCTGGCTTTGTAATTACCAAGTTCATAATTGGTTTTCTTTTCTCTTGGACCTCTAGTTATGAGGTAACCTTCAAAGTATAACTGTATAAATTGTCTAAAAGCTTTCATATGATTTCCTCATTGTTCATTCGATATCCTTTAATGCCATATTTAAAATGTTTACCATACGTGTATATGTGTGTATACTTCTGCCATACAAAACTATTAATATATTCGTAATTAAACTATAGTATCCATGAAACCATGTAAATTCAACAATTCCTCATAAATTTTATTAATTCAGATGACATTTGTTTAGGTAACATCAAATTTATTAAGGAGAGGTACATCTTTTTGGAAATATTAAGTATAGGTAATAAGTATTTGCTATTTTCCAGAATTACATATACATTTTAGTATTTGCGATGTTTAAAATATGAAAGAAATGCCCAAATTCTAATTTATCTTAATATGTCCGATGATATACTAGGTATACAATTAAAATGTACATTTTGCATATTAATCTGAAAAGTGTTTAGAAGTCTAATCATTCGTATTGAGGAGTCTTAATTCAATATTTAATATGTGGATTTATATTACTAAACACAATTTAAAAAATGAAAGGCCAAAATAATTCTCTTTCTGCTACCTAACATTTCCCCTCTCCATTTGTCTTACGATTATTTATTTCAGGGTTGAACTCCTTATTTGGGGGATTATATGAGGAACCAAAAAATGTATTATATTCTGACCTAGGAACATGAATCTGCCTATTTACATGTTTACTTACACTTCTCAATTTTACCAACTTTTTCATTACAAAGAAAGGAATAATACGTAGGGTGATTTCAATTTATTGTTCTGTCTTTAAGTCATGTTCATATTCCTGAAAACTCTATTTGTGAGCATCTATGTAGCTACTGTACTAGTTAATGAGGAAATGATGTTTATCCAAAATATTCTCCACTCTCTAATTATAAGCTGTCCAGCCTGATACTCCATTCCTTTCACTGCTTTGCCTTTGATACTCCTGCATGCACACGATATGCTCATTTATTCCTTACAACAGAGTGCTGACTTTTTCAGCGAATAGCTGAGCTACATTAAAATCTTCTCAGACTCAGTATACCTCAGACTGTTTGGAATGTGGATGAGCTTTTGCATCACTGATAATGCACCGCTTTTCTAGCTTCAGCAATTCTACTCATTCATTTCTACATTAGTTCTGAAGAGCATTTTATGTAACTTTTCAATTATGTTAAATGTTACTTTGAACTTTGGAAGCATGACTGTACCCCATTGAGTGGGTGAATCTCCTGATCCTTCCTGCACTCTTTCTTTTTCTTCTCCCAACCCATCAAGCCAAGTGCTGAGCTTCCTCTCCACAATTCCTTTGAGAATCAATCTTCATGTGATATACAGCCTAGGGGTGCCTTCTACAGAGGTATGAACTACAAATATATGTCTGCCTTGAGATCACAAGAGGTATTAAAAGATAAACTGAGGCACGTTAAAATTTTTAAACAGTTTATTTGAGCAAACATTGATGTATTAACTGGGCAGCTTCAGAACACAGTTGATTCATGGCTCCACTAACGAGGTGCAAGTGGAGGGCATGTATAGAGTGAGCATCAAACAAAGCAAATACTTGATTAATTAAAGTGGTGCAGTTGCCTCACTTGGGTCATTCTAGTGGAAAGTCCAGAGCTAGAATTTAATTGGCAGTTTCTGATTGGTTAAGTTTTATTTTACTAGTTACACTGAGTTGGGTTTCAGTTTGTTTAGGTAGAAAGCCAGGGCACTGGAGCCACCTCAGTCTAATGACTTCCCCATTAATTATTACTATTATTATTGTTATTTTGAGACCGAGCCTTGCTCTGTTGCCGAGGCTGGAGTGCAGTGGTGAGATCTCGGCTCACTGCAACCTCCTCCTCCTGGGTTCAAGCAATTCTCATGCCTCAGCCTCCCGAGTAGCTGGGCTTACAGGCACGCTCCACCGGGCCCAACTAATTTTTGTATTTTTAGTAGAGACGGAGTTTCAGCATGTTGGTCAGGCTGGTCTCGAACTCCCGACCTCAAGTGATCTGCCGCCTTGACCTCCCAAAGTGTTGGGAAAACAAGCATGAGCCACCCTGCCCAGCCCCAATTAATAATTTTAACAGAGGCACAAGACACTATGTTGCTGATATTATGTTGAATAGTTTACATTTTCTCATTTTATTTAGCATTTCATAAATATTAAATCATTATGTTCTGTACTTGTACACTAAAGAGCAGTTTTTGTTTTATAAAAAGAAAACATTGCAGATCACTTATAAAACTATTTATTTAAAGCATATTTCTGTATTTTTCAAGCACTACAGGAAAATAAAGATTTAGGACCTGATTTAAAGCAGACTTATAAGACTTCTGGGATCCACTGTAATACACAGACCCAGCCAACACTCAGCCTGCACACAGCAGAACACCTGGGTTGTGTGGGGAGGTGGTGTGGGGGGATAACGCTTCAGTTGTCACGAATGAGGATACTTCACAAATCCATCATGAGCTTGCACTAGTGAACTCGATGCTTGAAAATAGTTTATCCTATCAAGCAAAAGTCTTACTTTCTTAACAAAATATTTTATTACTTTGATAACTAGTGAAACTATAGCTAGTATTAAAATATACAATATTATTAAAATAATTTAATCTTTTATTATAATGTATCAATAAATTTTATTTAATTAATAAAATATATTAGTAAGATATTCATAAATAATAGTAAAATTATTGATTCAAAATAGTCCAATTTGTTGAGCTTTAAGAATATTTATTCTTGTTTAACATTTTGAGCAATTCTATAAACTTGACTTTTTAATTAGTCCCATTTCTCTAGTAATTACATTCGCACATCAGTATATGTAAATATAATTCACATTGGATTGGATTACAATGGATACATAGTACCATTACAATGAATCCCAGTGTCATCACAGTAGTGGAAACCGTGACCCTCACTGCTAAATGATACCCCAGCATCCTTTTTGGATTGTATTGTACCTAGATTTTATGAAGACACTTTACTGCCTAGTTAGAAACTATAATATCTATAATTTGAAGTTAGCTGTGGACCTATCACTACTTTTGTCCTTTGAGACATGAGCAGAAATATTGTCTTGGGCTTCATTTTTTTGACTTCCTGTTTATTGAGGAATGCATACATCTAAAGTAGAAACCTGGAACCAGAGATGAGAGTCAAGTGTGGGTGGTGACCGAGCTCCCCACCAACCTGGTGAGACTGAATGTCCTATGAAGCAACACACAGACAATGGTGGGAAAATTTTGTTTTTCTGAGCATCTATATTTTGAGAACACAAAGTGCAATACTATAATTAGTTTTGGTTGCTATGTCATAATGTATAACCTTGATCACAGTCACTCTCATCTTTCTCATCGCTGAGTGTTGAGATATTACATAATTTATTGTCAGTAACTGGTAAGCTCTGTGGGTGTAAAGAAGTTGAACAGGTACCATTTACATCATTTTCAAAATGGACTGTTTACATCCATACCCAGCCTGCTCTCACCAAGGTTTCTTCTTCATTTTGACATGCTCCCTAATTCCTTCTGCCTGACTTCTCTCATCTTATTTACAATTTCATTCCAAGCTTAAAAGTGTCCTAGATGCTCTAGTTGCACTTCTTTTTTTCAATTATTTTTTCTTACTGTTAGTGACATTATTCCATACATTCTTCCCAGGTTTATAATTTTATGTAATTTTCAGTAAACATTCTTACAGTTTCACCTTTTCCCCTAAGTATTTCTACTAATTATTTGTGCTTATTTAAAATTGGCATCTCTCTCTCTATTTCTCCATAGAAATTTCTTGAACTAAAGATGCTACTTTGTCTATTAATAAAATAATGATTTAGAACTCTCTCCTCCTGGGTAGAAGAGAAATTTGGAGGTTGAGAGTAGCTGAATGAAGAGTTACTAACATCTACTTTGATTTTATCCACAATTATGCCAATGGGGAAAACACATACTGGGCTATGATATGCATTAATAAGAAAAGTTGGTGCAAATTGTCGATTAATTCAAAATGCTCATTAAACAAACCTGGCTCTTTCCATTTAAACTAATTCATAACGAAATGATATTACATTCAGTGAAAACATGTAAGCTGACTAGTGCAGGCAGATAAGTTATTCTCAAAGCCATTTAAAAATATACGCAAACTTTTAGAAGCCAAATCCACATCTCTGTCCTCATTACTTCTCTAGAATATGTAGACACCCAGGACACAGAGTTCCACAATGTTTTTAATTTGATTATTACTGATCTCTTGCTATGACCTGGTGCCTCTCTTCCTAATCTTGATATATATCGATGTATCATCACCTGTCCATTTGTTATCTACCAACTTCCCTTGCACTAAATGCTGTGACAAGTAAGCAAAGTTTGTCTTAGAATTGCTACTGAAGGGAAGCATGCCAGAAATATAAATCAACCAAATGAAAGTAGGAGTAAATAAAAGAATAAAGACTGTGTTTCAGTTAAAAAGAGAGCCAGTTACTGGGATTTATGCCATGTCAAATGTAGGTTAATGAGAGTATTTTCATTATCAATTTTTGACAAAAATGTAAAAACAGTGGGAGGTTGTAGATGACAAGAATATGATGGATTTCAAGAAACTGCTATATGAAGAAGAGCTTAGCTGATCAGTGTTTCTCTTTTGTGTGATTCTCCCTATTTATTCATGGAACTAGGTTTTTTATTGAGTGTATAAATCCGGCACATAAAATACACATAAATAAATGTTCAAACAGTTGCACAACTTATGTCACTTCTCAACATAGCAGAAAGTGCAATGTTTGAGAGTCACCAAGAAACTTTACTCTGAAACAACACCTGAAGAAAAAAGAGTAATTTAGCCACTTAGTTCTCATCTGCAATTTAAGGGAAAAATGCATAGTGTACAAATACATATTGAATAGCAGAATTACCCAAGGTATGCAGCAAAGATTTCCATCTCCCTTCACAGGTTCAAGGGCTGTCGTTGTTATTTGTTGTTGTTGCTGTTGTTGTTGTTGTTTTTGAGACAGGGTCTCCCTTGGTTGCCCAAGCTGGAGTGCAGTGGCATAATCTCGGCTCACTGCAACCTCCGCCTCCCCAGTTCAAGTGATTCTCGTGTGTCAGCCTCCCAAGAAGCTGGGATTACAGGGGTGCACCACTATGCTCAGCTAATTTTTGTATTTTGTAGTAGAGATGGAATTTCATTATCTTGGCCAGGCTGGCCTCGAACCCCTGGCCTCAAGTAATCTGGCTGCCTTAGCCTCCCAAAGTTCTGGGATTACAGGCTTGAGCCACCACAACTGGCCTTGCAAAGTTCAAATATACAAGACTATATTCCTAACTATGGTCATGAGGCTATTCCTTAGATCTCCAGAAATTATTTATCTTGCAAACTGAAAGTTGGTACTCTTTAACCATCATCTATCCATTTACTTAATCCTCCTCCTGCCTATAGAAACTAAAGTTATATACTCTGTTTCTTTGAGTTAGAATTTTTTAGATACCACATATAAGTGAGATAATGCAGTATTTGTCTTTCTGTGTCTGGCTTATTGTAATTAGCATAATGTGTTCTCTGGGTTCATCCCTGGTTTTGCAAAACAGTATTTCCTTGTTTTTCATAAGGCTAAATAATATTCCATTGCCTGTGTGTTTGTGTGTATACACACACACATACCCACACACACTCTTTATATATGCCACATTTTTAAATCCATTCAATATGGGTCTCTTTTAACGGCTACATCTTTCCTTTTGTTCACATTGTTTGCCCATCCTGCTCAATATCTTTCCAATAGTCAATAACATTAATACATTAATATTTACTACCGTATTAGAGTACAACATCCTCACTATTCCTTTTCTATTTCTTGTGGGAGGATCCCTGCTAGAAATTAGACTTTCTGTTGATTTCTTGGAATCCCCTCTTCCTGGTCACTTTCTCCACTCTCACATCTCACATAACATACCAGTTACGCCTCCTACAGGAAGCAGATTAGGCGAGGGGACTTCAAAAAGTCCATGAAAAAAGCTTGGTATGAAAAAAAAATCTGTCTGAATTTTAAAAATGTTTTTGCATCAAAATAAACTTTTACTCACTTGTCATAACATATCTGTATAGGATCCAGTTTTAGACACTGAATAGGATAGGACATCATTCTGAAAAGAGCCCCTATCAGAACAATGTGAATTCTGCTGAAATTGAAACAAGAACAGACATCAAACTTATGGTAAAGTAAAGCTTGGGTGGAAAAATGGTGAAATAATAGATGCTTAGGAGAGGTTTATGAGATCAATGTATCCAAAGAAATCAGCAGTTTAATCATTGACAACTCGTTTTAAGAAAGAGGAGATACTGTTGAATATGAAGCCTGAAGCCACAGGACATCCACATCAATTTGTGAGGAAAAATCCATTTTGCTAGTGCTCTAATACAAGAAGGCCAATGACTAATAGTAGAAAACAAAGCCAACGCCATACACATCTCAATTGGTTTAGCATACAAAATTCTGACTGAAAAATTAAAGCTGAGCAAAGTTTCCACTTGATGAGGGTAGCAAGTGTTGCAATCAGATCAGCTGCAGTGAAAAGCAGAACTTTCATTGGAAAACCAAACAAACGTGATAAAGATCCTGAATCATTTATTTGAAGAACTGTAACAGATGAAATGTGACTTTACCAGTACTATCCTGAAAACAAAGCACAACCAAAGCAATGGCTACCAAGAGGCAAAAGTGGTCCATTCACAGAAAAAGAGAACCGGTCAGGAGCAAAGAGATTCTCAAGGCATTTTGTTTGTTAACTTTCTGGATGGCCACAGAATGGTAACATCTGCTTATTACGAGACTATTTTGAGAAAGTCAGCCAAAGCTTTAGCAGAAAAATACCTGGAAAGCGTTACCACAGAGTCCTTCTTCACCATGACAATACTCCTGCTCTCTCCTCGGGCCAAACAAGGGACATTTTGTTAAGAGTTTTGATGGGAAATCATTAAGCATCTGCTTTACAGTTCTGATTTGTCATCCCTCTGACTTCTTTTTGTTTCCTAATCTTAAAAAAGTCTGTAAAGGGCACCCATTTTTCATCAGTTAATAATGTAAAAAATACTGCATTGATATGGTTAATTTACCAGAATCCCCTGTTCTTTAGTAATGAGCTAAAGGGCTGATATCACTGCCTATAAAAGGGTCTTGACCTTGTTGGAGCTTATCTTGAGAAGTAAAGTTTATATTTTCATTTTTATCTTACAATTCCAGTTTTTCATAAACTTTAAAAAAGTCCCCTTATATTATCCTAAGAGAGTAATTGGGGACCAAAAATAAGGATGCTTGGCCTTTCTTCTCTGGCTTTTAGGAATGAAATTGTACAGATACCGTGTACTTTTTAAGAGCAGTCTTTGTAGTGCTTAGCAGAAATGTTCCTGTCTATTACTATAGGTGATAGTGTGAATTGTCTGCCTAAATCTTGAGTTCAATATTAGAAAACTGTTTGCCCATACTTTAGTAAGCTACAACCTTCAATGTCAACTTTCTCACTTAATCAAAGTGATATTATAATGCCCTTGTTGATACATTTCCCAGTGATTCAGAATTTACCTGAGAAAGAGACATGATCTATGTTGTATTAACATTTTGGGTTATCTCAAAAAATCTATGGTGTCAAAATTACTTAATATTTTCTAATGTATGACTCATTATCCTCACTTTTCTTAAATCAATCACAGATGTGGTCCTAGGATTACTAGTATTTATTTTGCATGCATATTCGACCAGAATCTGTTTCAAGTGCATTGCAAATATTAACTCACATAAATCCTACATGAGGGTGATTCCATCATTTTCATTCCAATTTTACTAATGAGGAAACTGAGGAACAGAGATGATCTGTAATTTTTTCAAGAATGCACTGTTCTTAAGTAATAATCTGGAAATAGAAGCCAGGCAGCCTGTTGCAAGGACTGAGCAGTTCATTAGCCACATCTGAGACTGTGCTTTAGAGTCTAGTGCTTCAAATCTAACATTTTGCTTTTGAAGCTTGAGCTATTTTATTTATCACTTCCTCTTGCTACTGATAACATTGCCTTTTTTTCTAAAAGCAAGACATTTAAACCTTTTGCTCATCTCTATTCGCTAAATATATTAGCTCCAATTAAAGAGGATTTTTACCTGGAAAACAAGACTGGCAAATTGACATCTTTGTTATTTCTTTACACCTATGTTTACAATATCTGCTAAAAAAGCCAGTAAACATAAAACACCAAGAAGAGAGAAAAGGTGGCTAACCCCTGTCATGAGAATTCAACTTTTCTTTGTTGGTGAGTGAGACATGTGCTTTCCATGGAGACAGGAAGAGCAATATGCAGGCAGACACACACCTAGGAAGGAAGAAGTGATGAGATCATTTCATGAGCTAACTCAGAGTTGTAGCCATACAGAAAAGTAAAAATGAGTTCAAAGGTGGTTTGGCTAAAATTAGAATGTTATTCACACATGTAAGTTCACACATACAGTGTTGTTTTTTTTCCTAAAAATGCTTGGAGATAGAGCAACGTTGCATGGGCACCCTTAACACCCTACAGAAGTAAAAGTCAATTTGGAAATATCTGAAAGTGGTTTAACTTTGACCTGTCATCAGTAAAGGTGACTACACAAATTTCTGTGCACAGCAGGGCATTGCTGAGAATGAAAGGAATTAGTGCTAATGGTTACACCAGGAAACAGCATGCCTTGTGCTAGCTCAAGCACATCAGAACATATAATCCCTACTCATGTAATACTTTAAATTTGTGTCCATTTCTAAAGTGTATTTTTACTTTATATTTAATACTTAGTAAACTGACCTAGAGTCTGCATCAGCACGTATCTTTTAGTAGCTGATTTTTGTGAAACAAGATAGGACCTTAATTAGTAATTTTAAATGCTAGTTTATTCCTAGATGACTCTCTTTGATTTTTTGGTTTTATATGTGTGGTTCTTCACTTCAGTACTATGTAGACTCATTATTATGTCAAAAAATGTCTTCACTTTCATTTATTTAGCTCACTTTCGCATTCTGACTTCTATCCCTTATTGATGTTCCTTTCATTTTTGCTCTTTTGTCGTTAATTTTTTCAACAAATCTCTTGTATTGAAATATAACATATACAACAAGTTGTGTAAATTATAAATATTTGTATTAGTGTATTTTTCATAATAAGTATACCCATAAAATCCCCAGGCCAATGAAGAAATAGACCCTTTTAAATACCCAACATGCTCTCTCCTGGGATTGCCACCATGAAGATTACTATTATATGACTTACATCAACATAGATTAAAGCTACCAATTTGTGAGCTACATATAAATAAAATTTTGTGGGAGCTGCTTATAAGGAGAATTTTCCCATATCTACACTTTTTCTTGTCAAGTTTCTCTGTCAATATTATTTTTTCAGGATTCATTTATGTTGATGCACGTAACAAGTTTGTTGATTTTTACAGCTATGTTTGCATTTTCTTCTACTAAAAAAAGCCACCATTTGTTTTTCCATTCTACTGTTGGTGGTGAGTTAGAATGTTTCCAGTTTTTGCTACACATTTCTTCCAGTATTTTTAAGGATAAACTTTGCAATCACATTTTATGAGTTTGGTCATGTCAGTATAAGTTTTAAGAAATAAGATGTGTATTCTAATATAAAATAAGAAAACTTACAATAAAATATGTTACACTTATTACATATCTCAGTGGAGTACATAGTGTAGGATATTGTTTATATGAGGTTTAGAATTTGTAAAACTAATCTTTGCTGCTAGAAGTTAAGATATTGGTTACCTTTGAGGTGTGGGAAATGGAAAGAGAGATTTAGGGTGCTAATAATTCTCTGTGTGTTGATATGAGTGCCAATGACAGAAAAGTGTATAGTTTGTGAGAAGTCATTAAGATTTGTGCATTTCTCTGAGTGTGTGTCATATTTAATACAACATCTAAAAATTTTCTATATTGAGTGGATCAGCTTATAATCCGTATGAACAGATTAAGGAGCAGCTTTCGTTCCATCTTTTTATTCCACTGAATGTTTTTCTTAATGGATACACTGGAAAGTAATTTGGAAGAGCAGTTGATAAGAGATGTACGATGTTAACTTGAGATTATAAGCACTTACATAGGCTTGATAGCTGTGACGTATTTTGGTTATTTTCCAGCCCATTCCCATATAATTTGATTTGCTGATTTAAGTAACACTCTTTGGTGTATTAACAACAACCTGAATAGTAATTTTAACCAAATGAAACAATTCTATTAGGAGAAACAGCAAAGATGAAAATTACCGGAATCAGGCAGCTTCCAGTCATGATGCATGAGAACACACTCAACTTCTAACTTGTAACTTCTAAACAAATTCTGAACTGCTGAAAGTAACACACAGAGAATTATAGCACTGTATATACTTACACATGTATCAAGTTGCTAATAAAAAAGACACTGGTGCAGAACATTATTTGTAATGTCATTTACAGACACCAATTTGTATGCATTAATTGCTCCTCAACATAAATAATTTATAAATAAAATATTATTAGTTGGTTATGCATTTTAGTTCTTGGTTCTCTTGAGGAGTACGATTCTATATCAGTTTGCTCATTAGTGTTTGCACAGCCTGTGTCCTGAGGCTTCTCACTATAGTGGATTTACTCATTTAGTCAGTGCACTGGGTCCTCTAGATCCTCCACTTAAATGTGTAAAAATGTATTTAAGAATGCTTCTATTATGAATTGAACGTTTGTGGCCCCACCAAATTTGTGAGTTGAAGCCTTCATAGTCACTGTGACGGTATAGGAGATAAGCGCTTGGTAATTAGGTTACGTGAGGTCATGATGGGGGGTCCTCCATCCCTCATAATGGAATTAGTATCCTTAAAGAAGTAGAAAGAGAGACCCTTTTCTTTCTGAGAACACACAGAAGAGGTAACGTGAGCACATGGTGCCAAGGAGACCATCTGCAAGCCAGGAAGAGGGCCTTCCCTGAGTGCAGAAACTGCTGGCACCTTGATCTTGGACTCCCCAGACTCCAGAAATGTGCGCAATAAATATCTGTTGTTTATGCCACTCGATCTATGGTATTTTGCTACAGCAGCCAGAGCTGACTAAGGCAGAATCTACCTTTTAGAAGCCAACAAAGAGTGCCTTGAGCAACAAGACATGTTTTTGAATGTCAAAACAAAAGGACTGATGAAGATTATTTTATTTCCACTGAAAGCGACTTCATTCTATGAGTTAGTGTTTAGGTCCTATAATAAAATATATCTTATTTTATGAAAATAATTGTGTCAAGTGTGTTTTTAACAGATATCTGAGGAATAAAAGGAATCAAAACTACTTCAGTCAAAGTAATATTCAAAGTATCTTGGGGATTAAAAATGTTTGGACTTTCAGTTTCAGCTCAGAAATGTAGAAAGCTAGAAAGAGTGCTGCTCCCACTCATACAAAAATTACATAAAAAGAAGTTGGGCAATATGCATATTAGTGATTTTCTTAAGCCATTAGAAAATTGAGAATGCATGCCAACCAAGTAAGCTGAAATCTGGGGAGATACAGGCACTTATGTGGATCCCCCACAAAATCCCAACTATTTGATGCCAGACAGATTGAGCTAATTAAATTGTGCAATGCAGAATGAAAATGCAGGGCCCTTGTTTACAAATTATTAAGAATTTCAAGACAGAAACTGCAGATGATTTGATTAAGTGTGGGCCATTTTAAACATGAGACTCTGGTGACTGCACATACCACACACCCATGAAGCCAGCTAAGCTGCCACATGCCATATAAGTCAGTGGAAAGACGGAGCTAAGAATTCCTAAAGGCTGGATGTGAGGTTTTTAAATATACGATGGTTCTAGCGGTTGAAAATACAGGGAATCCGTGTATTTTGGGGAGTTTTCTTTCACACAAATCAAGCCAGGAGCTCACAGGAAAGATGGGGAAGAATCCTGATTTTTTTTTTTCTCTCTCATGGTGCTGTACAGGGAGAGGAAAATAGCAGGCACTGCTAACACCTCATTTAGCCCAGCTACTCCATGCCCCTGTAGAACAAAATATTTAATCTACAGGGGAAAGACCAACAAAAACTCTCATGTAACGACACTGGCAGAAAACCATAAGAATGGGGATTAAAAAAACAAAAACAAATTTGCTAATGTAGAATTATTTATGCAGTATAATTACCATTTACATTGAAGGAGAAATAGTGTCTTTTTCAGACAAACACAAAAAGGAGAGATTCCGTTCCTAAAATACAGACTTTATAAGAAATTTCTCCAGACAGAAGAGACATTGTACCAGTCAGAAAGGTGGATCAGAACAAACCAATGAGTATTGAAAAATAGAAAAAAATAGTATTTTTTTATTTTAATTGCTTTAAAATGTTTATTACTGTATAAAGGAAACAACAACAATGTAATAGTAAAAAGTATGAAAATAACATCACAAAGAATGGCAAGGGGGATTGGAAATATATTCTTATAAAGCTCTTATTCTATATGTAAAGTAGTATTATAGTATTTGAATGTAGAGTCAAATTAATGAACAATGTACAGTAAAGCAGAGGGAAATATCTAAAATGTCTTAAAATAAAAAATAGACAAAAGTGGAATTAAATAAGTGAGACTCTATTTGTAAGATTAATATAAAATAAAATAAATACTTGAAAAATGTCAATTCTTCCAAGATTGATTTTTCTATTCAACATTATCCTATTAAAAATCCTAAGCAAATATTTCATTTTTTAGAAATAAGAAAGCTGATTACAAACTTTGTATGCAAAAGCAAAGGAATCAGAATATCCAAAACATTTCTAAAAAAACAAGTGGATGCTTCACAGTCCCTTATATTAGGAATTTATAATAGATCAATATTATAGGAGAGAAAAACAATTAGGAGACCTCTATCAGTATAGACACTGAATATATACACGGTTATGGGCAGAAAAGATAGCCTTTTCAGCAAATACTTCTGTAAAATTTGGAAGTATATATGCAAGAAATATAATAATGATGATAAATTAAAATAACCTAGAGGCATATTTCTGACCTTATAGGAAATTTAACTGAAAACTTGATTGATTGATAGAGTATAAGTATAAAACTTCCAGAACACAAACATAGAAAAACATCTTTGTGCCCTTGATTTGGGTGATACTTTAGGTATAACATCAAATGTACATATATATGTATATACACACACATATATATACACACATATATGTGTGTATATTTTTTTAACTTTATCAAAAGTAATTCTGCTTTGTGAAAGACCCTATTGACAAAATGAAAAGACAAGCACACAGTAAGAGAAACTATTGCAAATAGATTATCTGATAAACAACTTATATTCAGAATATATGAAGTACCCTCATCTTAGTGGGTTAAAAAAGAAAAGCAAAAAAAAAAAATTAGAAAGGCACAAATATTAAACAGATACTTCACTAAAAAAGATACACGGGTATCACATAAGCACATCAAATAATGCACAACGTTATTAAACATTAGGTAGATGAAAATTAAATTCACAATGAGATATCAGCAGACACCTATTAAAAAGACTAAAATCTAAGCTGACAATACAAAAGGCTGACATTATTAAAGAGTAACTGGAGCACATACATGTCTGGTAGAAATGTCAGTCAAATGCTACAGAAATGTTAGAAGGCAATTTTGCACTTCTCAGAAAGTCAAAATACACTTATCCATGACCCAGAAACCTCATTTGCAGATATTTACCCATTTACCTAAATTCTCTGAAAACATTTTCCCACAAAATATTTATTACAACTTTTTTTATTTATTTATTTATTTTTTTTAGATGGAGCCTTACTCTATTGCCCAGGCTGGAGTGCAGTGGCACATGGCTCACTGCAACCTTTGCCTCCCGGGTCAAGTGATTTTCCTGCCTCTGCCTCCCGAGTACGTGAGATTACAGGTGCCCACCACCATGCCCAGCTAACTTTCGTATTTTAGTAGAGAAAGGGTTTCGCCATGTTGCCCAGGCTAGTTTGGCACTCCTGATCTCAAGTGATCTGCCCGCCTCGGCCTATAAATTTATTTATAATCAGTAAACATTGACATAACCCACACATCTCTTAAGAAGTAAATGGATTAGAAAACTGCAGTGCATCCATGCAATGAACGACTAACTAATAATGAAAAATGTGAGCTACTGACTCAGATATGGGGGAAGAATCTTATATGCATGTTGCCAAATGAAAGAAGCCACACCCAAAATGTGACATAGTGTCATAGTTTCATTTACACAACCTTCTAGAAAAGGCAAAACCATAGGACATATAACAGATCACAATAGTGCCAGTTATTGGGGATAAAGTAAGGAGTTGACTAGCAAAGGAACATTTTTAGAGTGTTGGAAGTGCTCAGTATGGTGCTGGGGTGGTAGACACATCACTCTGTTTTTTCGTTAATAGCCAGAGAACTCAGAAATGTTAACAGTGAATTTTACTGGGTGCAAATTTTTTAAATATCAAGCAAAAAAAAGTACTTAATTTTTAAAGAAGCTTTTTTATATTCAGTGTGATGATTCTATATTTAGGTATTCTTTTTGAAAAATTAAAAAGGTCATATACAATTTTTCTATGTCAGAAAATGAAGTATCCTCAAAACTTAATTTCTTTTTGAACTAAGGAAAGAAGTTTGAAATGCCAAATTCAAGACTTAAAATTAAACAATTTTTTCGTTGTTCAATTCCCACCTATGAGTAAGAACATGCGGTGGGAGGATGGGGGAGGGATAGCATTAGGAGAAATACCTAATGTAAATGACGAGTTAATGGGTGCAGCAAACCAACACGGCACATGTATACATATGTAACAAACCTGCACGCTGTGCACATGTACCCTAGAACTTAAAGTATAATAAAAAAAAAAACAACATTTTTTTGAATTTAAAAAAATCATGATAGGCAACGTCATAGGTATATCATTTGGGGAGTAATCATCTGGCTTCTTTTTTTTTCTTTTTTTTTTTGAGACGTAGTCTCGCTCTGTCACTCAGGCTGGAGGGCAGTGGCCCGATCTTGGCTCACTGCAAGCTCCGCCTCCCGGGTTCACACCATTCTCCTGCCTCAGCCTCCTGAGTAGCTGGGACTACGAGCGCCCGCCACCATGCCCAGCTAATTTTTTGTATTTTTAGTAGGGACAGGGTTTCACCGTGTTAGCCAGAATGGTCTCGATCTCCTGACCTTGTGATCTGCCCGCCTTGGCCTCCCAAAATGCTGGGATTACAGGCGTGAGCCACCGTGCCCGGCCCATCTGGCTTATTTCTAAGCTGAATGATGTTAGACATTTCCAAACATATGAATTTATTTATTTATTTATTTATTTATTTATTTATATTTTTAACTGCCTTTTGCTAATCAGTGATTCTGATTTTCCTTAAGTTGTTTAAACATAGTATAGAATTGTTCAACAAAATGAATAAGAATTAGAACTGAAACATTTTCAAATTTATTCTTCGATGTGATCTCTCAGGCACTCAGCACTGTTGATTTCCACTACCTCTAGACTACCTTGGCTTCCACAGTCTAATTTTACATACTCTTGGTCTCCTAATGACCACTTGTATGTATTTCACCTTCCATGTCTCATGGATATTGTAAACACAATGTCTCCAAGACCACAGTAATTTTACCTTCTCTCTAAAGCATGCTCTTATTCTTATATACTAGTGTACCATCATCCATGATCTATTCCATAAATTCTGTTTTCCCCTCTTGTTGTACCCATATCTCATCTATGAAAAAGTCAATATTCCTTTTCATGTAAATGTAATTCTTTCCACCTTTGCTAATTCAATGGAATCAGGTTTATGTCTCGCCTTATTTGAATTGCTACAATGTTCTCTAAAGTGTTCTTATCTTTCCACAGTCACTAGAATGTAATAGAAACAGCTAATTTCCCTACTTTAAAAATATACCGTATCTCCACATCTTCTAAAACAGAAAAGCTTGACTCTCTAAGGTTGTTACACAAGCCTCCCCACTCCCACAATGTGTTTTCTGTCTCAGTAATTCCATCTCTTGCCATCTCACATTTACCTCCCTTAAATCTTCATATTTTAAATTTATTTGATATTAAACTACTTGCTCAATATCTATCATGATTCATTTGTTCACCTTATCATTAGATAACAGTAGTAAATATTCATTATTTGCCCCTTTTGCATTTGCATCTTGCTTTATCTGAAATACCAACTCCCTGCTCTCTGCTTAAATGATCCATTCTAAGAAATGCCTTTCCTGATGATGTCATCTCAAAGAAATTCCTATTATCTACCTCTTTTAATTTGTTTACATCATCCTATTTGTATCTTCACTGCAATTATTACAAATGTAAATGTATCTCTGTCGTTCATTTGTTTAATTATTATCTTTCTGCTTTCATTAGAATACATATTACCTGAAGTTAAGAGTCTTACATGTCTTCATAAACAACCTATTTACCAAGACCCAGAATAGTACATGACATATAGTAGGCATAAACAAATATTTGGGCAAAAAAAAAAAAAAAAAAAAAAAAAAAAAAAAAGAAAAGAAGGATGGAAGAGAAGGTGGGGGGAAGGAGGAAGTGCTGGTTTCTTAGTATGCCTTTAACATGTTAGTTTGCTTTTCGGCTACCATGCTGGATATATTAGTCTGTTCTTGCACTGTTATAAAGAAATACCTTAGACAGGGTAATTTATAAAGAAATGAGGGTTAATTAGCTTAAGATTCTGCAGGCTGTTCGGGAAGCATTATCTTGGCCATTTGCTCAGCCTCTGGAGAGACTTCAGGAAACTTACAACCATGGCAGAAGGCAAATGGGAAGCAGATTTGTCTTTCATGGCCAGAACAGAAGGAAGAGAAAGATGGGGGAGGTGCCACACACTTATAAACAACCAGCTCGCCTGAGAATACTATCACAGGAACAGCACCAAAGGGATGGCGCTAACCCATTCACGAAGGAGCCACCCCCACGATCCAATCACCTCCTATCAGGCCACACCTCCAACACTGGGGATTATAATTCAACATGAGATTTGGGTGGGGACACAGATCCAAATCATATCATTGAATTGCTAATAATAAGCTCTGAAGAATTGTTCTCTAAGTATACTTGAAAATATATAAACATTTTATAGGCACAGTTTTCTATCTTCTGCAAAGATAATCTCACCAAATAATTCCTTTATTAGCTTATTTTCCCCTTCTTTAACTATAGAGTCATAGTTAGAATAAGGGAATAACTAGAAAATGTATCATTTTGGCCCTCTGAAATTTTGTCCACCTGGTTGCAACTAAGCTTGTATGTATTTGTGATGCTCCAGGGGTCATATGGACGTATATTAAACATTGGAAATTGTAGAGATGTATGTTTGTTTTCATTTACCCCCTGATGCTTATGTTTATGTCCTATTTCTGCCCCTAATTAAGAGTGTGTTTCCTTTATTAAGAAAATAATGGGAAAGCTTAGGCTCATATAGAATTACTAATGGATGATATTGAATCTCCAGCTTAACTAGATAAATCTATGTTTTAAACCCTACTCTTATCTTGGACTTTATAATCATTTAACTGCACTCACTTTTCTCAGCCTTTTTCTAATCTACCTTGGGTTATCATTTACTCATTATCATTATGTTAGTTAACAGAATTGAAGAAATGTCATGAAAGCTGTAATATTTTCCAATAAATAAAGTGTAAGTAGACCTTTTGATATGAGTTATTTTGGTCCTCATAAATTAGGCCTCTTGAAAGATAATATTTCAACCAAAAATGGATATTTTTCTGTCAGTGAAATAAAAAAAGAAAAGATGAGTACACCTAATGGCAGGTTTTTTATGAATGCCCTAATATCTGTCAGCTCTGAGGAATGAGGAAGCAGGAGTCTGTTTTAAACCCACAACTCTCTTGTGTCTGAAAGTATTCAATAGCTTACTCAGCCTGAACAATTTATTATTTTGAAGCCTACTCCATAAAATGACAAGATTAAATTATTCAGTCAATATTGCAGTGTTGGCTTCTGTCATGGATGTATTTAATTTAATAAAAAAACATTGAATGCCCCATTTATCATACGGTTACCATTTTATACACTGCATTTGTTGACACCATCTCTTTTTTTTTCTTGGCATTGAGAACACTAATTAATTCATGACTATGATATATCATCCACAGTAAGTGTCCCTAGAGCTCTGGCAGGTTAAAAAACTGGTCAAATATATATCTACTAATAATATTTATCATTGTACTTAACAGCATTACATGTGATAATATAGGGATTCTTTAGTAAGCAGAGTCTATAGAACAATTCTGTTATTATTTATTCTTTAGTATAGTCTCTGAATTGCTATGTGTTTATAACACACTTCAAGGTCTCCTATATGTACAACACTATGCCCCTGGAGGAAATTTCTTTCAGATATTAGGTTATAGTATATAACACTGAGCTATGTAAGTTTAGGAGTAAAAATGATCTTTTTTCAGTTCTTTTGTCTGTGCATTTTGAAAAAAATTAAAATTGACTTTTATTATTTAAATCAGTGAATAACTCTTTCTAGCTTTTTTTTCCCCCCTGTACTCAGGTACTGTTTAATTCCAGTGTTCTTAAAACAGATCCCACTGTCATTTTCCAAATTCTTGAAACTTATATGTAGAAATAACCATTTCATTTTCAGGTAGAAGATGAATAGCCCAGTATTTAGTGAGGAAACAAAAATAGTTGTACAAATCTATTTTCCCTAATATTTTGAGCATACACAAATATTTTAACTATTCTACTAAAAACAACTTCCCATTGCACAATAATCTTTACGGAAAAAGGATTTTCATTTGAGTGCTGATAGCCAGTATCCAAATTAAATTTCTTTAAAAATATAAAATAATTGAAGTTACTGGCCATTCTAACTGCATAGGGGATAAATTCCTTTTATATATTGTGAATGTGGTCAAATGTTTGAATATCTAAGTAAAAATTTTTAATATTCTGTCTTTCAGGCTAGTTTTTATTCATGTGTTCATGAATAGTGAATAGGACCTTTGTTGTTACTGTTCTTTTTCTTTTTTTCTTTTTTTTCTTTTTTTGAGACAGAGTTTCACTCTTGTTGCCCAGGCTGAAGTGCAGTGGCGCCATCTTGGCTCACTACAACCTACACCTCCAGGGTTCAAGTGATTCTCCTGTTTCAGCCTCTCCAGTAGCTGAGATTACAGGTGCCCGCCACCACACCTAGCTAATTTTTGTATTCTGTTCTTGTTTTGTAAAAATCTTTCTCAAGCTTGCTTGTTTAGCATAAAGCTTCAGAACCTAGGTCCCAAGATATATTAATATAGCCGTTCAGTGGGCATCCAAGGTGATTCTCCTGCAAGTGGTTTGCAGACGCTATGAGAAACAAGTCTCTAAACCACAGTATCATCTCTGGAATATTTATATTTTTATTACATTTTTAAGTAGTCATCCAAAAATCTAGAAATTGTATTTTCCAAAAGTAAACTTTTTACAAATTATAAGTCTAAGTCTGTTATATCCTACACAAGCCAACTTCACCTCCTTCTATCAGCACCCTAATCCCTTAAAAATATATTCCCAAGTGAATCTGCTTCCATGGTAAGAAAAGTGACATATTTTCCTACTTTCCTCATATTCGTTTTTCAATGTTCATGCAGCTTCCTGAATTTCGATATAAAAATGTCATAAAAGTGTAAGTAAAGAAACTATGAACAGGTGAAAACAGTGAGACACAAAACTATAAATAAAAATAAGGGGAAATATTTGCTTTCATTGGACAATGAAATAAATAGAAAAGCATAGCTAAGGAGATGGTCTTAGTGCAGACATGGGGAAGGCCTAACACTAAGGTGATGGCAAATTCTTAGAGAATGATGCTTTACTGTTCCTGGGTTTCCAGTTATATAAGACACCCGATGATAACAGATAATGCCAACTGAAATTCTGAAAAAAAGCTGAATGACAAGCCCTGAGGAACAACTATATTGAAGAATAGAAAAAGTCATTTTTGAGTAAAGTTGATCATATTTTATTTTGCTTTCACACTTGTTCATGTTAACTATAATCTTCTGAGTTCAGCAATTGACTGCTTAGAGTAATAAAATGGAGTGATTTGGGGACTATAAATATTTGAGATTTTTTTAAAAGTGGATTTCTAGTTTAGAGGGACATTTTCATCATTTCCTTTTGAATATACAGAAGCAAGAATAGTTTTATGTTATCAAATGCTTATGAACCTTATAGCCTCATTCTTTTTGGATATCATAGAAGAAAATCAATAAAAAGATAGATACAAAGTCAAACTATCCTGCCATCAAGATGAAGCATTGCCCTCTTTAAGTGCATTTGTAAGTTGTGGCATAAAATGGATCATAAAAGTTTTGGTGTATTATTTATATGGAGACAGCTTTCCTGTCTCATAAACTCTTACTTTGCTTTCAGTGCACTGGGAAACAAGGAAGCCTAGAAGAGGCACTAAGAGGTATTGTGTAAGAGTGTTTATTGATTCAGACAAACTTTCTAAAGTCCATTCTCAGTCATGCTGCAGGATTGCACGTTTTTCATCGGATTGGTTGGAGGGTGACTCTCAAGGCTATGACCTGGCCTCCTGATCGTCAGCTTGTCAGTGAGGTTCGGCATTACCTGAAAAAGCTACAGTGCATTGATGGTGCCACATAGAAACAGTGCTCCAGCAATGTGTTGTTAAATAGCACTGAGGTTTAGCTATCCTGTGCCTGCTCAATGCATTAACCATTCAGCTCAATGCTTTTACACCAAATACTAAATCATTTCAAAAGCCATCCTTGTCATTACAAATTAGCATGTCAGAAACTAGTAACACTATCAATTAGTGAAGTAATGGTAATGTCTGTGAATGTCCAGTTTTTACTTGTCATCTTATATTCTTCAGCATCTCATGTCATAACTGGTAAAACTACATCCACCCTTTTTCCACAATTCCTTCATACCAAGAGTTTGAAGATTTCAAAAAATTGATGCTTCATTGGAAAGGTTGAACAAAAACAGCATAACATGTTTCTATAAGAAGTCCATTCCACTTTCTGCCTTGAATCATGTGCTCTTGATTAAACAACACTATTTTAGAAATGAAAGGTTAGTTTTGACCAAAACCAAGTTTTGCTTTTCAATACTACACATGAAAGCTGCTGAAATGTCAGATATTTAAAAGGGGTTTATTTTAATTAATGATGCTTCTTAATGGGACATTAACAAAAATTCTACTGTTTGTCCTGTAAAAACAATATTAAACTTCCCTTAGCATAGGTAGATATTAAGAGAGATGGATAGATTGATAGAGTGAGATGTCAGAAGATCCCCTAGAATTATGAAAATTACTACTTACAATTATGTAATTTATTTAAAATGCATTTCACAATTTAACTATATCCTCTTTCAAAAAGTGAAGAAAACAAAGCATGAAAAATAAATGGTTTTTATTCCCATTGATTTGAATCGAAGGCAGATGTGTTTGTACCTTTAAATGTATTTATATATTCAGTCATATAAGTTCAAGGCTTTTCCACAATGTTGAAACTAAACAATAGAGCTGCTGCTAACTGTTAAGTCCATAGTAGTTTATTACCTTCATCAAATTACATTCATGACTACTTAATGAAAGTCAATCAGTGTACCTTGCAGGGTATGGAGTCAGAGGTTATGTGATACCCATAGCACTAATGACTTCCTGTCTGCCATGTTGAGGAACAGAGCTAAGGTCAGGTGAAATAGGAAGAGAAAGCTGTTATACTTTAATCGTTCTTCATTATCCATTTCATACATTATGAATGAATATATTGGAAAATTCAGAAAGTTGCATGCTATTTCAAGTAAGAATGTCTAAATACTGATACAAAGTTATACAAAAGACTTGGAAAGAAAAACCCATTTTGCCATCTCATGGCTTTGTCAAACTAAATTCATGGGTACGAAACATATAAAAGGCAATTTAGTTCACAACTTAATAACTCATCGTGAGGGAAATGAAAAGTTGATCAGTGTTTATAGCACTTTCAAAAGCATATAGTAAATTTCCTGTTAAGCAAAAATTGACTCAGTTAATGATGCATCCATGCTTTTTGCTTGTTCTTCCCTTTTTTAACCACTCCCCGCCTTAGAAAAAAAAAAAAACAACTCAAATTTGGTTATTGTCTTCTGTGAGAGAATAGTAGACATTTTTAAAAGATCAAACTAAAGGAATCAATTTTATTGCTGGAAAGAATCAATGACCAGGAAGTTTTAAGAATTATGTAATATATATACCCACACACACACATATGTGTGGGTATACACACACACACACACACACACACACACACACACATATAGTTTTTGGGAAGTGTGTCAAAAGTCAAAAATAAATACTGGGGTCCTCAAAATATTATTTTCTTTTTTTCTCAGTTATATGTTGATTCAGTCGTTCAGGTAACACCCATACACCCATTGGCCACTGACCTATGGCCAACTTTGAGCTGCTCCTGAGCAGGTAAAGATGAAAAAGCCAATGCATTATCCACTGAAGTTAAAAAAAATATATAGTTCGTGGTTACCTAAGATTAGTGACTAGACGTTTACCCAGCAGCTAATGGAAACACAGAGGAAAAATCAGTTTTAGATGGTGATTGTTGTCAACATCTTAATATAGAAAATATTTCACCAAAATATTTTTCTGGAAATTTCCTTTTCTTCCAAATACACTGTATCTAAACTACAATATAACTGTTAAAAAATATCCTTTCTGATCCTTCTTAATTTAGTTTTTAGAACTATGTTTGAGTATATTAAGGAAGTAAGAAATTGGGCTAGTTTTTATTTTCAAAATGTTTTTGTATCCTCTGTCTTTAATCAATGATTCTGAATCTGAGCTGTAATCTTGCAACATAGTCGTTAGTGGTTAGCATTTGTGTATTTTGAAAATGACAGTGTTATATGTGTTTAAGGCACAGTTCCTTAAAATGATGATGCCATGTATTAGGAAAGTGTAGGGAAATGGGTATTAATTTATGCACAGTTTATGAGAGAGTATATGGGCAAACTTTACATAGCAAAAGTTATAGATAGTCCAAGTAGGAAATCAGTTCTATATATTACAGTATGTTCATCCAAGGAATCTCACACAGATTTTAGGGAAGAGAGCTTATAATAGCATAGGGGATTATTAAAGAAAATCTTTTGTATAAGGTGTAAGGAAGGGGCCTAGTTTTAGTTTTCTGCATATGGCTAGCCAGTTTTCCCAGCACCATTTATTAAATAGGGAATCCTTTCCCCATTGCTTTTTTTTTTTTTTTTTTTTGGTCAGATTTGTCAAAGATCAGATGGTTGTAGATGTTTGGTCTTATTTCTGAGATCTCCATTCTGTTCCATTGGTTTATGTGTCTGTTTTGGTACCAGTACCATGCTGTTTTGTTTACTATAGCCTTGTAGTATAGTTTTAAGTTGGGTAGCGTGATGCCTCCAGCTGTGTCCTTTTTGCTTAGGATTGTCCTGGGTAAATGAACACATGGACACAGGGAGAGGAACAACACACACCCGGGCTTATTGGGTGAAGTGGGGGAGGGAGAGCCTCAAGATAAATAGCTAATGCATGCAGAGTTTAATACCTAGGTGATGGGTCGATAGGTGCAGCAAACCACCATGGCACACATCTACCTATGTAACAAACCTGCACATCCTGCACATGTATCCCAGAACTTAAAATAAAATAGAAAATTGTATGCTGTTGGGGAAAATGTTTGTAACATTGTATACAAATTTTTCTGTATTTTTGGTAAAGTACATTATGAATATAGTATATAGTCATATATAAACTGAAAAACTGAAAAACTTTATTCAAATGGACAATACCAGATCATATATGAAATAGATTTCTGACATGCAACTTCTACAGCAGTCAGCTCACAAAGGTCAGGATTTGGTAAATGGATGGCAGTTTTTCTAATTTTTGTCCATTTCCACATTAGTACCAACTAGAGAAACTCAACTATGCTCCAGAAACCAACCACATAAGGTTTTTCTCATTAGCCACCTCCTGCTTTCCTAAGCCAGCAAGCCTGTCAGAGAACACCTGATGGCTTCTCTTTTGTTTTCCATGATGAAGCTTTTCACACCACGCTTGCCTTTGAGCTTTTGTCAAAGGCACGTGACTTGGTGGGTCCCTTTATACATAATTTCAATGGAATATTTACTCATTTACTTTTTAGCTGTTTGGAAGATTTATTCAGGAATCCATAAGGATGTTTGCTATTTCCTGTATGAAACACTTAAAATAGAATATCCCACAGTTTATACATGCTTAACATTATAATATTTACTGATCTTTAGACACTTTACCATTGTAATATGAACACAAGCCCTAATAGAGGGATGGTCTGTCATTCCACGTTAAATTTTCTGAATTTCTAAGAAATAACAGAAATCATTTTTGAGGAAGAAATTACATAATTTATACAGATAATCATAAAATGTTGTGATTTTTATCATTGTTATAATAAAAGCCTATCCTCCTTTGTTAAATTATTTTAGATGGTCTTTAATAGAAAAGATTAGGAATGGTTATTGAATCAATAACATTGTTTCAGTTAGTTTTAATATAATCCTTATCATTTTGATTGTGGCCCTTACTACAGACTTCATATGTTAAAAAGATTTACATTTTTATAATTCCCTAAAAATCATCTATTATTCTTTAATAATATTTAAAGTGGCCAGGCACAGTGGCTTATGCCTGCAGTCCCAGCACTTTGGGAGGCTGAGGTGAGTGGATGGCCTGAGCTCAGGAGTTTGAGAGCAGTCTGAGCAACATCATGAAACCCTGCCTCCATTAAAAATAGAAAAATTAGCCAGGTGTGGTGCCTGGCACCTGTAGTCCCAGCTATTCTAGAGGCTGAGGTGGGAGGATCACTTGAGCCCAGGAGGCCGAGGCCACAGTGTGCTGTGATTGTGTCATTGCACTCCAGCCTAGGTGAACAAGTAAAATCCTGTCTCAAACAAAATAAAAATAAAAATAAAATTAAGGGTATTCTTAAAACTTTTCTGTCTACACATCTAACCCATCTATCCAAGCTTCTGTCTTGGTAGTCATCTTACTTTAACATGTGAACTAAGATGTGAGGAATTTGTGGCCATGTTTGTGTCCATATTTTTACTTCACTCTAGCCTCTTTATTGGCATCTTATGAGGTAGAGGGTAACATTTGTAGTTTTTGTTGATCAAAGGTTTATCTACACTATGCAAATTGTTAAACTGCCTTGGTTTTTACTATCCTAACAAGAATATTGATCCAGTGTTAAAGTCAGTATTATAACCCAAATAAATAATTTTATGTTTTTAAATGATGAACCCTGTCTTTAATTTCATAATGTTGGTCAGGTGGTCTGCAAAGATTTGTGTTCCTTTTTATAAAGTAGCCTTGTTCTGGAATGTGGCTGTCTAGCCAGTGACTACACTTTCTATTCCCACTTGCATCTAGGTAAACTTAAGAATTTAATTCTGGCCAAAAACAAATTCAACTGTAAAGGAAAGCTTGTTAATTCTAGGCTTCACTTATAGAAAAATCTTCTAGGAATCTCCCATGCTGTTTCTCCCCTATGTGTGGGCAAAGTGAGGACATTCACAGTGATCTTGGAGGCCACTTTGCAAAAATGAAAGAGCCTCCATTATCCTGTATGCATAAATAACTGGAAAGATCAGAATCTCTTCTCAATCCACCATCTCCACCACTAACTGAACTTTATGTTAGCATGGAAAAAGAAGCTTATGTGTAAGTGATTGAGATTCCAGAAGTAATCTTTTATTTCATCTTGTATTTAACTTAATAAAGTGATTATTGTTCTCTTTAAAAGGCATATAGTATAATACTGGTTAAATGGAAATGTAGATGATTCTGAACAGCTAATCTAAGCTGACGTATTTTATTCATCATAGTAAATACAGTATAGGTAAATATAAACAGGGAGCTTGTTATTCTCATTCCAATAAACTGAAAGATTAATTTTTTGCTTTTTCTTCTTTGAGACAGGGTCTCACTCTCTTGTCCAGGCTTGAGTGCAGTGGTGCAATCACAGCTCACTGCAGCCTCCACTTCCCAGGCCCAGTGCATTCTTCCATCTCAGCCTCCCAAATAGTTGGGACCACAGGTGCATGCCACTAGGCCTGACTGATTTATTAATTTTGGGTAGATATGGAGTTTTGCCATTAGCCCAGGTAGTTCTCGATCTCCTGGACTCAAGTAATTATCCTGCCTTGCTCTCCCAAAGTGCTGATGTTACAGACATGAGCCACCACATCCAGCCTATTTTTTTTTGTTTTAATGCCTGCACAAAAGGTAAGAAAGGAAGGTAATTCTTTCTATTGATTTCTTAGTATAACGGAGGTAGTCATCATCACGTGTGAGAGACACAAAGCAGAAGCAGGCAGGGGAGTGGGAAAGCTTAGTAGTGAAATGAGGTAGGGTTTCAGGTGTGCTATGATTGGAGTTTGGCATGGGAAGTTGGATGCAGGCTAACTAGAAGCAAGGGATCTCATATAATTGTCTTGAGGAACATATTTGGACTTCTCTGGTCGGTCCTGAGTTGGATGGAGTCAGGGACAAAAAATAGGGAATCTGCCAGTTCTTGACCCACTCCTGACCATTCTAGGCAGATAGAATTTTTGATAAATTTGAGAACTTTTGAAGTATTTCATTTTTAATCATCTATTATATAATGATCCATTAAAATGTATTTTCTTACTATAATGTCAAAGCATCTATAAATAGAATTACAATATTAAATGCACACCAGAGGGATGATTTCTTGAGGACTCTGCTATTCACGGATTGTTTCTGCTCTGGATATACTTTGGCTTCTCCATTATATGTGATGCACATCCTTGATAAGGAACTTAACACCATACTTGACACTCTATGACTAAACCTTTCACAACACAGAAAATATATGTGAAGCAGATCCATTAAAAATTTAGATAGATTCTACCAACTCATTGCCCAAACTTACCCATTATCCTTTAGAGCCAAAGTAAGGAACAGCTCAGCTGAAGAACTTATATGTAAATTTCTCATACTTTTCCAGTAAAGAAGCCAAAGGGATGAAGACATTATATTTTTTTCAAGACCTTAGGATCATCAGAAAATTGTTATCCCTGATTTCTAGTAGTATATAACTGGAATATCATCTTGGTAGCAACTCCAGCTAAAAGCATCTTGTTGCTTTGTAGTCATCCTTTCCTCTGTTTTTTCCATGTACCTCTAGATCAGAACAGTTATTATCCCTTTGGCTTCCTCCTGGGGAAAATAATATACCTGGAACATCATGGCCTGGGCTTCACCAAAATTCCTTCCTATTTTTCTCAGCTCCCCAATGAAAACTTAACACAGCTAAATATCCCTTTTAGTTCAACTCTGATGTAACGGGTAGATGAGCTCTTACTTTGCTCATAGGACAGTGAAGTCTCTAAAAATGATTCCAATTTCTCAGGCTCAACCTTAGAAGAAACAAAACTTCGAATTTCCAAGAGAGATTGTAATTTTGCCAAGACACAATTCATTATTTGAGAACGTCCTATCTAATGAGGGAGAAATACTCTCTACTGATAAGCCAAAGACTATCCAAACCTATTGAAGACACATTACAAAGTGATAAATGATAGGATTTCTAAGTTTAATTGGCAACGAGTGCCAAGGTGTTCTAAGATTACAACATCTCTTTATGAATTGACTAAGTCCTTAGTAAGAGACCCTTGGCTATGGGAACCTAAACATGAACGCTTTTGGTAACCTGAAGAGAATTCTTCAACAGCTTTGTTCTCTAAGCATCTCTGTCTACCAAAAGTTATTTTTTTTTAATCTATTTGTGCATGAGCTACATGGACAATCCTTAGGGTTTACCCTTTATGTCAGGAAAATAGTAAAAAACAAAAACAGTGGTGCAAAACCTGTTGGTACTTCTGCTAAAAATAATGCTAGGCTCCCTGCTTGATCTCATGGTTCTTTACCCAGTACAGACATTACTGCTGAGAGCACACAGCACTTTCAGTCTGCCCATGAACCTCTTCTGAGATGCTGTTAATCTTTGCCTCTCTCATCTTGGAGGCCACTTTGCAAAAATGAAAGAGCCTCCATTATCCTGTATGCATAAATAACTGGAAAGAGCAGAATCTCTTCTCAATCCACCATCTCCACCACTAACTGAACTTTATGTAAGCACGGAAAAAGAAGCTGATGTGTAAGTGATTGAGATTCCAGAAGTAATCTTTTATTTCATCTTGTCTTTAACTTAATAAAGTGATTATTGTTCTCTTTAAAAGGCATATAACACTAGTTAAATGGAAATGTGGATGAATCTGAACAGCTAACCTAAGCCGATGTATTTTATTCATCGTAGTAAATATAGTATAGGTAAATATAAACAGGGAGCTTGTTATTCTCATTCCAATAAATTGAAAGATTAATTTTTTGCTTTTTTTTCTTTGAGACAGGGTCTCACTCTCTTGCCCAGGCTTGCCCTTCACCACTGCAAAACTTGAACGCTGACACTCTGCCTCCACTAGAAGTTCAGAATAGTTTGTTTTCCTCAGTTGTGGAATATTCTTTACCCCTCTTGTATTTATTGGTGACTGTCATTGAAAATAATAATATATCATATTTTTAATGGGCCATATCTCAGAACTAAAATTGGAGATTTTTAAGCAGGATATATTATTACCAATTTAAGCTCTCTTTTAAACTATAGCCCTCCATTGAGGTAAAATTAGCTAAGATGGCCGCATTTATTGCATATACCAGAGCTTGTCAACTAGCCAAAAATTATCTATACAGATGACAAGTATGTCTCTCGAGAAGTACATCAATTAGAGTCCACACAATGGATGTAACCCTTATCTAAAATGGACAACAAGTTAATGGACTTTTAAGTACATGCCTACTTTTTAGAGAGGTGGCCATTATAAAGTTTGAGGCCCAGGCAAATCCAGATGTGGACATATGGAAGCTGAAGGAAATATAGAAAAGCATTATGCCAACGAGTAGCTGTATCAAAGGCTATGATCCTGTCTTAATCATCAAAGGATACATTTTGGAATAATTCAAGTAAGTCATTACAAGATATCAATAGTTATTTGGTTTGGGAAGGAAAGAATGAAAAAATATATATATGGTTGTACTCTTCACTCAGGTAATCTCTGACCCTCTGAAGATGGCTGCCTGGTAGCACTCAGTGATTTCAAATGGATATTCACTAAATTTCTTCATAAAACTACTCATCATGGTATAGACAAATTTGTTGTTATCTTAAGTCAGCATTGGTAGGGGAACTTTGAAATGACAGTTGACATTATTTTCAAATCATGAGTCATTTGTCAGCAGCTGAAGAAAAACTGTAAAGATATACATGAACAGATTCCAAAGCCTCAAGAGTATTTTGAACACTTTCTTGTGGATTTTATCTGACTTTCATCCCCTCAAAGAGATTTTTAATATGACTTAGTCATCATATACCTATTTTAAGAATCAGGTGGAGGGTTTCTTTAGTAAAAATCTGTACTTTTCACAGTAGTTGAAAGGCTGGATGATTTTGTGTTTTCATCTTGAGGCGCACATCTGTGGGAATTGTGATGAATAATTTTATGTATTGACTTGACTGGGCCATGGGATGCCCAAATATTTGATCAAACATTATTATGGATGTGTGGATGAGGGTGCTTTGGTTGATATTAATGTTTAAATTTGTAGATTTGGCCAGAAGCGGTGGCTCACGCCTGTAATCCCAGCACTGTGGGAGGCTGAGGTGGGCGAATCACAAGGCCAGGAGTTTGAGAACAGCCTGGTCAACATGGCAAAACTCCATCTCTACTAAAAATCCAAAAATTAGCTGGGAGTGGTGGTGTGCACCTGTAGTTCCAGCTACTCAGGAGGCTGAGGCACAAGAATCTCTTGAACCCGGGAGGCAGAGACTGCTATGAGCCAAGATCGCACTACTGCATTCCAGCCTGGGTGACACAGCAGAACTCTGTCTCAATGAATAAATAAATAAATAAATACATAGTAAATGTGTAGACTGAATAAAGCACATTGTTCTCTCTTATGTGGGTGAACCTCATTCAATCAGTTGAAAGAAATAATAGAAAAAAAAATGCTGACCTTCTGCTGAAAATGAGAATTCTTCCTGGCTGATTGCCTTCAAATTGAGATATCAGCTTTCTTCTGACTTTAGACTTAATCTGAAACATCGGCTTCTTCTGAGTCTCAAGCCTACTGGCCTTTGGACTGGAGCACCACCATCAACTCTCTTGGATCTCAGACATTTGGACTTAGACTGAAACTAAACCATTTGCTCTCCTGGGCCTCCAGCTTGCTGTCTCACTCCCCAGATCTTGGAATTTGCCAACCTTTATAATTATTTCATGAGACTATTCCTTATTTTATGTGTGTGTGTTTGTATAATGTAATAAAATATATTGTGAAATATATTAAATTATATATAATTATATAATATTTTTATAATAGTATAATATGCCATATATTATATAATCACATAATATACCTTAATATCATATACATACACATGCATATATACAAAAGCAGATGTATGTATATATAATATATAATACATATATGAAAAAGTATTACAAGGTACTTATGTACTATGACCAACAGGGTAAGGCTACCTTTGCACAACATTTTCCTAAACAACTTATTTATGATTATTAAGCAGGAAATTTTATCTACTGAAGGATGCACCAGAGAAAAACGTCCCTTGAACGTTGTTGAAGTGGATCTTATCAGGCACTGTTGGTAACAAATACAATAGTGGAACTCTAAGGAATCAAATCCTAGTTCATGTTTCATAACTAAAGAACAAATTTAGAGCACCACACAACTGGAAGACGATTCCAATTGGGGACTTCAAACTGTCGCTTCACGGAGATCCTCTAGAAGCAGTAGGTCTTTGGAAGCAGACAGTGATGCAAAACCTTTGGAAGAAGCAGATGGCCTCAGATAGATTCCCAAGACATTGGAACAAGGCCCCTGTCTAATTATGGTTTTACTTTTTATCCACTTGCTTATAAACATTTTTCTCAAATAGACCTCTGATTGTTTTCCATACACAATAACCCTTTGTTTTTTTCATCTTCATCACTGTAATTGTTAGGTCAGAAGATACTCACTCTAATGTCATTTTCAGATTACCCCAATCATTAGTCCTGCCCTCAGTCTTAGCCCATTACCAAACTCCCATGAGAAACCATCCAGTCTCATACAATGGAACCACAGCAAACTATAGCAGATGGCATTTCCACTTTCGTGAAATGTACAAATTACCTTTAACCAATCAACTTGTGACTTTCTAGTATCCTTTTGCCCTCTAAAAAAAAAAAGAACCAATAATCACAATCTAAAGTCCATACCCTGGGTAGTTCTAAACTTGAATTCAACATCCATTTTAGGGTACTACACTAAACATTTGCCACCTGGGATAGACTAATAGAGACAGAAATATATAACTTAGCTAATGTAAGGCCTCAGTTTGATCTCCCACATGCCCCTACTGGATACTCTTTTGTTTGTGGCAAAACATCTGGTGTTTGCCTCATGCTAACATGGGTGCTTTAAGAACAATATTGTGAGATGTGTCTATACAAAGAGACCACACTTCTCTGAACACCAAAACTATAAATTCTGACACAAATATGAGTTCTAAAATGAGGTCACCTTGATTATTCAGGCACTCTACCTGGGGAAATTACTGATTCATTTTTTTATGTGAACTGATTCATTTTTTATGTGAACAAGTAGCGTTTCCAATGGTGGAACTCACACGAGTAGAAAAGACTGCAGAGAAATTATTACATTATTAATGGAAACACCTCTGCCCTAGATGGAATATAGCTCAATCTCAACAGCATGAAGAGTGATGCATAACGCATTTGCTCTAGGTTTCTTGTTGGCTAGTCTTGATGACATGTGTGCCACGGCTAATATTTCTTACTGTACTTGGATCACTGAAGCAGGTAAGCAGACGAGGCTATGCATTCCCTTAAGGAAAAAGCTACTTGGCTTTCTCAGGTTCATCCTAATGGTGTTTGGAATTTTTCTGTTGGACAACTGGGGTTCCTGGTTCTAAAGGATCTTACTTGGATTTTTAATGATTCTTGTTTTTGTCATAGTGGTCCTAATAATGGCCCACTGAATTGTATTTTGAGTACTAAACGCTTCTTTATCATCCTTTGGTACATGATGATGCAACAACAAAAGGTAAGTAGAAATCATCATAAACTAATTATAGAAATAACTGAACAATCTCTGAGAAGATCTGGCTCTCTAGCCTTCTTCGAATTGATAAATCTCTTCCAAGTGAGAAACTGACCAACGAGAGGATTGACAAACAATATACAAATGGATTTGATCAATGATCATCAGCTTCCTTGTATTTCCCCCCAAATTTCCAACTCAGGACCAAACAGAAAATGTCGGATTCTTACCAAACAAATCACATAAGCCCCTCTTCTAGTTAACTTTGTCATGTCAAAGCCTTCCAGTCAAAACATACCTAGATCTTTTTGTTTTGTCACTATGAACCTTTCAAATTTTTCTGCATGCCTTTGAGTCTCTGCCAAATGCAAGTCAGGGTTGTTACAGCAAACTGTCTCTGTTCTCATTTGAGTGCTCTGTTTTCACAAGACAAAATATGCAATATTACATACTAAAATAGGACAATGATCGCATTTTGTTTTTCTGTGTTTTCAAATTTTGTATATAAAATATATGTATATATTAGTGAGATTATAAAAATATTTTAAATTATAAATATACCTATGCAATATACAATTTCTTAAGTTTTAATTTCAATGAGAAAAAAATGAGATCAAGTTTGCCATGTCCTTGCAGCTAGGGTAAGTGAGAAAAGCTTTTCTATGAGCCAGTTTCAATATTAATTTCTGAAATACATTTCAAGTAGAACTAAGATACTGAACTGCATGGGAATCAAGAGGAGATTAAAGTTACGAAAGAAGATCCAGTCAAAAACAAAATGAGAGAACACAGGAGCAGAGCTTTAGTTCAGAAAGCAAATGATGTGAAGTTTTTATAGAAAAGCACCTCAAATGCATATCCCTGTCTCCTTTCGGCTATCCAACATTATTCTTGACAAGTTCTCTTATCTAATCTGCTTTTCTGAGTAGATTGTTGAAACATGGTTTTAATGGCTACAGTATAAATAAATAAATCAGCCACATTCCAGTAAAAACCCCTGACCCAGTACAACTTCCAGACATCTAATCCTGGGGAATCTTTCTTTGAAAGCAAGTAATATATACATATCATTTAGACATATGACATATATTCTGGAATCTCTTAATACGCATTTTGTTTATACATGTTTACATATGCTCATATACATACAATGATATGTATGACATTTACTTCTATTGGTACTTTCTAAATGTCTAAATTTACAAGTACTGAATATTGTTTATTTCCTGTCAGAGGGCTTTAAAAAAAAAATCTGGCCAGGCGCAGTGGCTCACGCCTGTAATCCCAGCACTTTGGGAGCCCGAGGCAGGCAGATCACCTGAGGTCAGGAGTTCAAGACCAGCCTGACCAAGAGGGCAAAACCCTGTCTCTACTAAAAAATACAAAAATTAGTTGGGCATGGTGGTGGGCACCTGTAGTCTCAGGTACTTGAGAGGCTGAGGCAGGGAGAATTGCTTGAACCTGGGAGGCAGAGGTTGCAGTGAGCCGAAATTGCACCACTGCACTCCAGCCTGGGCGACAGAGCAAGACTCCCTCTCAAAAAAAAGAGAAAAAAAATCTGTCCCCAAAATTATATAACTTTGAGACAGAGTGAATGATTCATGAAACAATTTTATTTATCTTTGACTCTGATTAATAAAGTTATGGAAATTATGTAAAAGTATAGTAGCATCTAGAAATCAAGTAGCAATAGAAATAGAGATGAATTATTTTTAGGTAAAACCTACATATAACATAAGGCAGACTAATTTTTAAAAATCATGCTTATTAAAAGCTACTACTCTCTCAACCACAAAATAAATGAAAAGAATTAGGAAAATAGATTAGTAATAGTGTAAAAACCTTTGTCAGCTGATAATCTGCCATGTCTAATTTCATTTCTTATTACATGACATTAAATGTCCAGTCTCCAGTCCGCAGGTGAGAATTGTTCTCTGAGAATAAAATTTCCCTTTTCCACCAACATAGCAATTCTCACTTCCCTGATTGCTAAGTGATAATTAATACTTTTGGATCCAGATGGACATGTAAAAATATGATTTTCATTACCTTTTTTCAGGTCACAGAAGTATAAATGCTTTAAAAAAAACCCACTGGTATTTATTATTAACTATTGTGTAGTATTTTTAAAAAGCAGAAATATTCATCATGATCCTTCACATATAACTGTCTTACCTAATTTTCTAGTTAAAAAGTGCATAAATTAGAAACTGTCATTAATTGGAATTAAAATAAGTTTCCACATAGGAAAATGAAGGAGAATAATCAAACAATTCAATTATTCTGATTTTCATACAGATAACCACCATGAATTCCAGAACTACATTTTTATTATTATTTCAATTGCTTAGTGAGGTGCAGATTGGAGCTTATTCATTTTATTTAATGTAGGCATAAAGTGACCATTCTGTGATTTGATAATAGGTCTTAATTCCTGATATATAAATTTAATCATAATAATAAGATATTCTAAACAGCCTCTTTCACATGTAAGATCATTATACAAACGGGAACAAGGTAAACAAGGTAATGTGTTTCTCCTCTCACAAGATCAATGGAATATACTATTTTTTAAGTTTCAGACTGATGTTCTAACATCAGTTTAATTTAACTCTCTTGGAAAATACTCTCTTGGTAAATGAAGGGATTCCTATTAAAAATGTAACTTGCTAATAAAACCCAGATTCAGATTACGTGTGTGTATGTATATATATATATATATATATATATATATATATACATACACACACACACAAACACACATATACATATATGCGCAATGGAAATCAGTACTGTTGATGGTAGATTCTCACTACCACTTCCAAAACAAGCATTAATAATTTTCCCAGGCAATGTAACCCCATGAGTGTATACAGTAAGACTGGCCCTCATTTTTTAGGGCATTCTCAAAAATTACCACCTTCCCAAGAATGTCATTTGACTTAGATATTAGGTTGCTTTTACAGCCCCCCAGTGGCTGGTTCTTCATTTATTTGAATGTAAAGCAATGTTAATGTTGCCCCAGGGATGCACAGAGTATGGTGCAATATTTCTCAAACTTCAATGTGCATACAAATCGCCTGGGGATGTTATTAAAACACAGATGTGGATTCAGTGGGTCCAGCGTGAGGCATTCAATTACCTATTTTTAAATAAACTCCTAGGAGATCTCCATGCTGCTGGTCAGTTCTTGAATCACCCTTTCAGTAGCAAAATAGGCAAACGCATACCAAAGCAATGCTTCATTTTCACCACCAGTTTATTGCCTATTAATGTGACTCTATATCAGTGTTTTCTTACCATTACCGAAAACCTTTTGACAGTCACAGGGATGCTTGTGCTGAGATGTTGCAGTTGCCTTTTCATGCCACAGTGAGTCAGTTCTTCCTGCTTTCCTTCCTCCTCCATGGACATCGAGAAATTTGTCAAGAATGCAACGTTTTGCTCTCCTCCCTTGCTCTCCTTCACACCCTCTACATAGTTTCTTTTGCCAACTGCCTTCTCTTGTTCCTTCTCCTATTCCTTCTATTTCCTGTATTTTCTTTCTCTCATTCATCCTCTGCCTTTCAGTTTTTGCATCCCTGTGGTCATTTGTTTTATCATTTTCTTTCTTGCTTTTCTCTTTTTTTCTTCCTTCCCACTTACAAACAACTATCTCTCCCAGGAAGTGACTGGACTCAAAATATGGTGCAGTAGTAGTTTGTATACGGATACATGGAGTTTTTGAAACACACACCTTTGCACTCACACACTCTCACATACTCACGTGCGCACACACACACACAGAGTTCATGTCTCAATTGTGACTGTAACCCTACTTGAGAAGATTGTATAACATACAAAAAAGATAACTATAATTTAATCCAGCCAACTGAGAGAAATACTGAGGGAGTAATTTTATTCTGGATTGGCTTTCAATTCTTTTTTGTATTAAGATGTACGTGTTGTCCTTCACTTCTAGGTACTGCAGGATTATTTTAATCTAGCCTATTTCCTTTTTGTTCTTCTTTTTCAGAATAAAAACAGTCAATTGCCAGGCGTCTTAAAAATTATTCCCTGTGTATTAGTTCCTTCTCACACTGCTATAAGAACTGCCCGTGACTGGGCAATTTTTAAAAGAAAGAGGTTTAATTGACTCACAGTTATGCATGGCTGGGGAAGCCTCAAAAAACAATCATGCCAGAAGGCGAAGGGGAAGCAAAGCACCTTCTTCACAAAATGGCAGAACAAGTGCTGAGTGAAGCGGAAAGGGCTCCTTATAAAACCATCAAATCTCGTGAGAACTCACTCACTATCATGAGAACAGCATGGGGGAAACCACCCCCATGATTCAATTACCTCCACCTGATTTCTCCCTTGACACATGGGCATTATAGGGATTACAATTCAAGATGAGATTTGGGTGGGGACACAAAGCCTAACCATAACACCGTGTTTAAACAATGTGAAGTTATACAAAACAACTGTCTGCTTTGCTTAAGTCCTGGGTCTAAGAGTACTGCCTAATATTTTCACTATGCTCCTTCTCATAACTTCTCTGGGGTCCCATTTCCACTTACTTTTTTGTTAGTTTACATTTTTCCTTCTTTGCGCCTTCTCTTCCATCTACATGTTTCATTTGAAGGAAAGACTAGAATCTATTCATACAAAAGCAGATTTAAATCGCGATCTGAAAGATGTTTTTGCAATGATAGCATGAGCTGCATACTTCTGGTGCCAACAGATTGCAATGAAGGCAACAGAATGACTGATCACATGCAATCTGCACCCTATTCGTGTTCATAGACAGCACTGTTCTTGTTCTGTTTCCAATTGTCTCTTTACCAAGGGCAGCATTCCTGGAAGCTCTGTGTCTTAATTACTGAAGATGGTTCAAGTGACCAGTTCTTACATTAATTTTTATATGTAAATACTGAACTCAGTTTTAAGTGTACAATTTGTGCTTTCATATTCTTTTTATTTTTAGGTTTAAATTTATGTTTATTTTTTTGAACTTTTAGGTTCAGGGGTACATGGGCAGGTTTGCTATATGGTAAATTTGTGACACAGGGGTTTGAGGTACACATTATTTCATCATGCAGGTACTAAGTCTAGTATCTAATAGTTATATTTTTCTGCTTTTCTTCCTCCTCCCATCCTCTACACTCTGGCAGGCCCCAGAATCTGTTGTTCTCCTCTTTGTGTCCATGTGTTTTCATCATTTAGCTCCCACTTATTCAGAACATGTGTTTTTTGGTTTTCTGTTCCTGCATTAGTGCCCTAAGGATAATGGCCCCTTAGTATCCTGAGGATAATGGCCAGCTGCATCCATGTTCTTGGAAAGGACATGATGTCATTCCTTTTTGTGGCTGTGTAGTATTCTGTGGTGTATAAATACTACTTTTTTTTTTTTTTCTGAGACGCAGTCTCACTCTGTTGTCCAGGCTGGAGGGCAGTGGCGCAATCTCGGCTCAGTGCAACCTCCTCCTCCCAGGTTCAAGTGATTCTTTTGCCTCAGCCTCCCAAGTAGCTGAGATTACAGGTTTGCGCCACCTTGCCCAGCTAATTTTTGTATTTTTAGTAGAGATGGGATTTCACCACATTGGCCAGGCTGGTATTGAACTCCTGATCTTATGATCCTCTCACCTCGGCCTCCCAAAGTGCTAGGATTACAGGCGTGAGCCACCGCATGTGGCCATTTTCTTTATCCAGTCCACCATTGGGCATTAAAGTTGATTCCATGTTTTTGCTATTGTAAATTGTGCTGCAATGAATATGCATGTGCAAGTATCTTTATAATAGAATGATTTATATTCCTTTGGGTAGAGACCCAATAATGGGATTGCTGGGTCGAATGGTATTTCTGTCTTTAGGTCTTTGAGGAAACACTACGCTGGCGAAACTAATTTACACTCCCACCAACAGTGTATAAGCATTTCTTTCTTTTTCTCTGAAACATTGTCAGCATCTGTTTGTTTGTTTGTTTGTTTTTAGTATTTTAAATAGTAGTTATTCTAACTGGTATGAGATGGTATCTCATAGTAGTTTTTATTTACATTTCTGTAATGATCAGTTATATTTTAAATTTGGTTTATATTCATTTGCTTTAATATCAGAAAGTTAATCAGAATAAATCATTCTGAGTGTAACTTCATAACAAGAATACAATAACTGATCATTCTCAACTGGTAAATAGGTACTTACATAAAAATAATTTTATTGAATAAAATCATCTAATAAACATTCATCTAAATCACTTATAGTTAATAGAAAGTAGAGTATCGGATAACTCAATAACATAAATTTTTGAACTGATCATTCGTGTGACATTAAGTAAATAATCAAACGTTTCAAGGCTACCCAAGGAAAGTAGTAGCTGTTCTATTTTGCTTCTTAGCCACTGAACCCGATGAAGCACCTTTGCTTTTTAAAGTATATTGGACCTTGGTATAAATTAAGCCTCTAAGTTTCAAGGAACAAGTCTGTTCTTTTTAGTTTTCGTCAATGAAGTGCATTTCCTCACATCCCAGGTTAGTGAAGGTCATGAAATAAAATATAGACTTTACATTTTTATTTTGTTAAATGATGTTGAAGGGGGCTTTTTTTTTTTTAATAACTGGAGAGTCAGTACTAAGACTACAGATAAAAACAAAAGGTTTCTTTAGATTTCTTTTTTCATTTTTAAACTTGTTGGATTTCTGGAAAGTTCATTTATATAAAACTGAGAAATAATCATGTTTAGCCATAAAATGAAGTTAGGTTATCAGCCCATATACTTATTAATATGATTTTAACTAAACGGAATGCCTGCAGGTCTATTGAATGATATGTGTAACACACTACAGTGCATTATTTGCTCTGTGGAACAGACCTGGTATCGCTGTCTATTAATTTGCTATCGTCAGGAGTATTTCCCAAATATGACAAAAATAAAAAATACACCCACCAAATCTAAAATTCCTCGGGATTCAGTTCATATCACATAAAAAATGGCTGAAGTAAATGATTATTTCCTTCTCAAAACATTTTCATTTCTTGGCATCGTAAACACCAAAGTTCTGCAATTCTCACCCTGCCTCACTGGATGCCATTTCTAGGCTTCTCTGCTGGTTCGCGTTCCAAATCTTTCAATGTTGAAATGCACCGGGCTCAGTCGTAGCACGTTCCTCTTTATTTAAAGATATTCACATACTGCTGTTTTCCTAATGTGTTTCCCCAACTTCTCCTCCTCCTTCTCTGGGCTCTGGATTCATTGCATGATCCATTGCATATTTAACATCTCAGTTTAATGTGTATAGGCATCTTCAGCTAACATATGCTCTCAGATTTCTAAACAAATTTTATTCCCCAACCTGCACATCCCACGGTCTTCCTCATACTGGCAAATATTATTATTCATCTAGTTCCTTAGTCCAAAAATTCTCGAAGACATTTTTCTTTAGCTGTCACACTCAGCATTCAATATACGAGCAATTCCTGCCAAATTTATCTTCAAAGTGTATTGAAATTTCACTCTATTTTCCTTTGAGTGGAAACATCTCTGTTTTAAAGTACAATGGGTGATTTTCTTGTTTACTGAAATAGCTTCCTATGTGAGTTATATGCTACCAGTTTGCTTCTGAAGATTAAAGTGGTCATACAAAAACACAAATAACATTTTAATCACACAAAGCATGCCCATTTACTCCTTTACTCAAAAATTTCCAAAGGCTTCTATTCACTTTCAAAATATTTAAATTACCTAACCATAGCCAATAAATCCCACATCATTTAGCTGGTACCTATCACTCGGGCATCATTGCTACTTCACTTATTTAACTCTGTCCATGAAAACCAGGTTGGTACTTCTTGAAATATGGTAAAATATCTTCTGCCTCAGGATATTTGCAATTGATATGTTCTGATTCAAGGACACTGTTTCAATAGGTTGTAGTTCAGGTAGATAACTCTTGTCTTCATTTCCGTATTATCTGTTTGAGGAGCTTTTTTCTTACCACCTTCTGTAAAATACTTTGTCCTTTCAATCTGTAGTGCTTTATCTTGCTTGATGGACAAACTTCTCACTACCTAATAGTAGAGCATACCTTTATTTGAATGTGTCTAGTATCCATATTCTCCACCAATATGTAAACTAAGTGATAAGGCTCTATATATCCTACTCACCATTTTCCTTCACGTTTCCAGATTATTTTCTTATACTTAATGGTTCACGCACAATAATACAATTTCTGTACAAATAAATGCACATACGCAAAATGGCAGTTTGTAAAACTACAATTTGTAAATAATAAGTAAATGTAGAAAGGAGACAGAAAACATCAGGAGAAATGTTGCTAAAATGATTATTTCAAATCTAAAATTGAGAATAAAATTTAATTGTCCAGCAAAATATTTTGACACTCCTACCCCAGTTATTCTTCATCATTCTTCTCTGTTTCAGTAAAACAAGGAAGAAGCAAAATGTGGATTTTTTTTTTAATTTCAGCACATGCATATCCAACCAATTATAGTGTACACACATTACAGTGGCCCCCCATAAGTCACTCCTTTGTATCTCCAACCACTAGAATATGGTAAAGATGATGTGATAGTAATTGTCATAATTAGACTGACTTTTGTCACAAAAGTGATAGGTGATCGCTTGCTTGATTAGATTGTTATACCAAAAAGCTAATGGTATGTAACTACCATGATTATCATACTTGAGAGGGCTATATGGCAAGGAAGTGCAGGTATCCTGCAGGACCTGTAAACAGTACCCAGTCTGGATTAAAGCAAGAAAGAGATTCTCAATTCTGCAACTGCAAGGAACTGAATTTTTCCATCAACCCTCTGAGCTTGGAAGAGAGCCTGCCTCTGCAGAAAGCACTCAGGCTGGCCTGCAGCTGGATTCCAGCTGTGTAAGACTTTGAACACAGCACTCAGCTAAGAAGTCATGCCCTGATTTCTGACCCACAGAACCTCTGAAATAGTTATGTGTCATGTCAAGTCAATACATGAGTGATAAATTATTATATGGCAATATAAAGCTTATGTACTTATTTTGAAATTGGTCTTGTAAATCTTTTAAAAGCTAGAAAATGGCCAGGAGCAGTGGCTCATGCCTGTAATCCTGGCATTTTGGGAGGCCGAGGCGGGTGGATCACAAGGTCAGGAGTTCAAGACCAGCCTGATCAACATGGTGAAACCTCGTATCTGCTAAAAAAAAAAAAAAAAAAAAAATCCAAAATATTAGCCAGGCATGGTGGCAGGCGCCTGTAATCCCAAATCCCAACTACTCAGGAGGCTGAGGCAGAGAATTGATGAATCCGAGAGGCGGAGGTTGCAGTGAGCCAAGATCACGCCACTGCACTTCAGCCTGGGCAACAGAGCGAAACACGATCTTAAAAAAATAAAAAAAAATGGAGAAAACACAGAAAAACACAGAACAAGATTTCATACTCAAATAATGAAATCTTGATTATAAAATTATTGGTCAGAAATGTCAAGGCCTCTTACAGATTCACTTGAGAAGCAGCACAAGCAGAAGAAATAGTATTGTTCTTGTCTTTGTTAGATTAAAAAGTTAGATCATAGTGTAGCTAGACACATTTGTGCAAAGTCATAGTAACTTTATATTTGAATTAGTTTGCATTCATCTGTGATTGTATGTATGTTTCTTTGTGATCAGATTGGGTTAAGGGATGTGTAAGGTGTTCTTTTGTCGAAAATAATGTACTTGTTATTTCTTTTGAAAGAATGAAAATAAAATCTGACTGAATATTTCAAACAGCCATACTGCACTTTTAGAAATCTAAATTGCTCTTCTGCTTCAGGCAATGACAACCAAGTGAAACTCTGGAGTTTAGAGAATGTTTTAGAAAGGAGTTTTGCATTCTATCCTTTTTATTACATTGATCTTGAAAACTATCAATGATAATAATGCAGTTGTGATAATATTTGTATCCATGCAGTATCCATGCATAGTAACAGGAATGACTCTGCTGCAAAAGGTTTCTGCCATTGTGTGAACTTTAGGTTTCTCAAAACCTTTCCTTAGAAATGCTTTGTTAGTCATACCTACATCTTGTGATCTTTTAGTATTAAACATATAATAATATATATGCTATTCTGTCTATATGCCAGAAATATTGTTAGGTGCCTGCCATACTTACAAAGAAACTATGAGAAGCTTTTTAAATTAAAAATACGTATGGAAATAAGATATGAACACTGCAATAATTTTCAAAACTCAGGCTAAGGATAATTATTGCAAATGAAAATATGTAACTTGAACTCCATGGCAGTCAAGGTAATAAAATGAAAATAATGAGTTGCATAGCTCTAATTTTTAATAAAAGGAAGCATATCATTTATATTATCAGTTATAAAGCTCGTAGTTTTAGAAAAACAAAATGCATTTAAATCAGAACTTTTAAAAGTAAAACTGGCCTTTGCATTTTTATAATTAATTATATCTTTTTTTATTTCTGAAACTATATAACAAATGGGACACTTTGGAAAATATCCACTTGAATATATTTTTTCAGTCAACTATTTTAATAACACTTTTGAGGTTTCTTCTACGTACAAGTGTGAGTCTACTGATATTTTTGAAAATTAGCATTGCTCTGGGTGGAGTCATGTATCTTATAATGAAGGAGATTGAACTCATGAGCAATAGAAAACACTATAATTTTAGAAGAAATAAAGGTGCCTTAGGAAAAAAAATGTTAAGATATGTGATGAAGAGTGGCTAGAGGTGGGTGAGTCAAGAGTTTTGTAAAAATTGGTGGACAGAATATTCAAATTGGAGGAAATATTAGCTGTGAATGCCCTACTAAAGAAAAATAATGTAGATTGTTTAAGAAAACTGCAAGGTATAGTTGGAAGAGATAAGGCAAGTGGGAGAGTAGTAGGATATGAAGATTTAGAGATAGAGTCTAGAACACATGAACGAACCTCAGGGAGCACTGGAAGGGATATAAAAAGCACGTAAAACTATCTGCTATGTGTATTATGAAGATCACTTTTTCTGCTCTTTCCTGAGTAGGATGGCATAAGGAAGCAGGAATACCAACCGGGAGATTATTGTTCTTGTCTATATGACAGATACCAGGTTAGTGGTGGCAGAAGACTTGAGATGTTGCCAGATTTGAGATGTTGTTTTAAAAGGTTAAGCAGTACTTGGTGATTGGTTGTAAAGCGTATGAATACAGAAACGATAAAGTCCTGAGGTTTTCATCTGATCAAGTAGGTGAATTACATTGCTATTAAATAAATTGGAAAGATGATGAGAACAAGAAGAGTTATATATCTCAATGATTTTGAAGTATCTGCAGATCGAGGTGGTTGACAGTATTACTGATTTTCTGTCTGGCTTTTCTAACATTAATTGAAGGAAGAAGGCTGAAGTTAACAGTTATAATTGTGGAAGTGTCTACTTCTTCTTTTTCTTTTATCTATTTTTGTTTCATATGTATTGAAGATCTGTGGTTATTCATGAATACATTTGGGGTTGTTTTTTTCCCCTGATAAATTGACTTCTTTATTGTTATGGAATGCTTGTCAATGTTTCTGGAAATATATAACAAAAATAAGGACACTTTGATCTAACTTGTCTGACATTAATGCAGACAGTGCAGTGTTCCTTAGATTAGTGTATGTATGACATGTATTGGTCATCTTGCTGCTTTTAGCGTATCTATGTCTTAATATATAAATTGGCTTATGGTAAAGAGCATAAAATTAAGAATTGTTTTTTATCCAAACTAACACTTCATATAATTTTTATTGATACATAATATTTGTACATTTGTATGGGATACATGTAATATTTTGTTCTGTTGTTGGTGGGTGGGCCGGTTTGACTTCGCCAAACAGAATTTGAAAGTGAGTCCAAAGTAAGAGTAAGCAAAGAAATTTATGGCAAAACAAATGCATGCTCTGAGAGAGAGGGAGAGAGAGAGAGAGAGACAGAGTGAGACAGAGACAGAGAGAGAGCCCCTAGTGCCTTGAGGGAAATTCCCTTTATGGGAACTGTACATGCATATTCATAGAATACTGATGAGGTCAAGTATGTAAAGGCAGACCTGCAATTGGAATGTGGGCTCAGGGTCTATGTGCCCTAACACACATCACATGTATCATTAGGGTATAAAATCTCTACCTAGGGATGATTTTTTTACTATTAAAATGAGGGAAAGTTTACTATAAGCTAAACCTTGAGCCTAGCTGCATAGGCAGGACCCTGGAAAAACTCCTAGCCAACCCCAAGGCAGGAATTTGTAGCTAATAGCTTTGTGGGCTTTTGGTGCTGATTGGTTGGAGATTGAGGAAGTTACATGAGGAGTAAGGGACTTTTATTCTTTTTTCCACGCCAATATTGGGTATCAGGAACTTGTAAGCATCTGGTGGTCTGGTGGTATCCTGTAGGATGGTTTACTGTGCAAAAACATTACGTGCTGATGCACGAGGGGGTAGAGCCCACTGGGCTTCATACAGAGGGACAAGTCAGTGGCCTCCTAATCTTACTTGTCCTGCCTCAGTTACATGCATAGAATGTGTCATGGTCATGTCAGGGTATTTAGGATATCCATCCCCTCGAGTATTTATAGTATAGAGATTATAAATAATATAAAATTATAATATATATTATACTAATAGCATTCTAAATACTCAAGGTGATGGATATTCTCTCTTTTAGTCCCCTCTTCCCCCAACTCACACATTTCCTAGTCTCTGGTGACTATTCTACTTTCTACCTCAATGAGATCAACTTTTTACTTCCCACATATGAGTGAGAAAATGTGGTATTTGTCTTTCTGTGCCCGGCTTATTACACTTAACACAATGACCTCCAGTCCCATCTATGTTGCTGTACATGTCAGGATTTCATTTTTATGGCTGAGTAGTATTCCATTTTGTATATAAACACATTTTTTTAAATCCATTCATCCACTGATGGACACTGAAGTTGATTCTACATCTTTGCTATTGCAAATAGTGCTGCAATAAACATGGGGGTACAGGTATTCTTTTGATATATTAATTTCCTTTCCTTTGGATAAATACCCAATAGTGAGATACTCAATCATATTTTTCTATTTTCAGTTTTAGTTTTATTTTCTCTTCGAAATCTTTATTCTGTTATTCATAGTGGCCATACTAATTTACACTCCCACCAGCAGTATATGAGTTCCCTTTTCTCACCTTCACCAATATCTGTTATTTTTTTGTCTTTGTAAGAATAGTTATTCTTATGGGGTCAAGATGATATCTGATGATTTGCACTTGTCTGACAATTAGTGATGTTTAGCACTTTTCCATATATCTGCTGGCTATTTGTATGTCTTCTTTTGAGTACTGTCTATTCATACCCTTTGCCCACTTTTTAATGAGAGTATTTGTTTTTTGTTTTCTGTTGGGTATTTTGTGTGTTTTGGTTCTGTTTTGTTTACTGTTTAGCTGTTTTATTTCCTTGTATATTCTGGATATTAGCTTTTTCTCGGTTGAATAGTTTGCAAATATTAACAGATTTTTCTTTGCTCTGTTGATTGTTTTCTCTTCTGGGGAGATTATTTTTAGTTTAATATAGTCCCATTTGTCTATGTCAACTCCGACTGGTATATGTGCACTCCTCTTGGGGGCCTGAAGACAGACAGGCCCAATCAACTTGCTGCCACCATCACAGCTGGCACCTGCCCACATGTGCCACATGAGGGCCTTAAGAAACAGCTTGTGCAGCCTGTCATAGCCACCGTTAACACAAGTGTGTGCTGCCTCGGAGCCAGGGGGTTGTCCCACAACCACTATGGCCACTGCCTTCCCAGACTGGCAGCACACCCCCAGTGCCCATGCAAGCGGCTTTTTTTTTTTTTTCTTTTTTGAGAAATGGAGTCTGGCTCTGTCGCCCAGGCTGGAGTGCAGTGGCACGATCTCGGCTCACTGCAAGCTCTGCCTCATGGGTTCACACCATTCTCCTGCCTCAGCCTCCCAAGTAGCTGGGACCACAGGCGCCCGCCACCACGCCCGGCTAATTTTTTTTTTTTTTTTTTTTTTTTTTTGTATTTTTAGTAGAGACGGGGTATCACCATGTTAGCCAGGATGGTCTCGATCTCCTGATCTCATGATCCACCCGCCTGGGCCTTCCAAAGTGCTGGGATTACAGGCGTGAGCCACCGCGCCCGGCCCCATGCGGCTTTTAAAGCTTGAAAAGTAATGGTATGTACTTGCCACTAACTCTTTCATTTAATCAGTACTATAATGCTTTGAGGAAAGTTTTTATTTTTTAATTTTTTTTTAACCACCGTTTGCCAATAAGTAAACTAGAGCAATTAAAACATCCTGTCTTACGTCAGCACTAAGAGTTGAAGCTAAGATTCAAAGTTGGAATTTGTATCCATAATCTTCATAGTATGCATCATCCATGTCTTAATAGTGATCTCAAATCAATCTATGTAAACTAAAAAGCACAACACTCCTATCCTTTTTTGTAATTTACTTTTATATAGCAAATAGAAGAAAGATGAAAACAGTCTTCTCGCCTGAAGCTGCTGATTTACTACTACTGAAAAGAGGAAATCTTAAGATTCTAGGATTAGACTTAAAACTCAAAGACTAATGCCGTCTCCTGGAGTGTTGATAATATTTTATGATTTTAGAGTCTAAATTTAGATACTTATAACTGAGAATCTTAGCTTCTTTCTCCTGATTAAATGAGAATAGGATATATGCCCTCCATTTATTAATCATGATATGAGACTAAGTAGATACAGAAGATATTGCTCCCAACACAAGATCACACATCAGCTGTCTAAAAGGAAAAAAATGCATTTTTTAAGCAATAATTTTTCACTGTAATAGTCTGAGAATAAAATATTGGAAAAAAGAGGGTTTTCTTGTTTTTGTTTTTGATTTTACTAATATGAAGAAAAGGACTGACTTATAACTGTGACTGTAAGCTAAGAAGTATCTTAGCTAATTGCTAGAGAAAAAATGCATGAATTTATACTAAACAGTAGAATGTTTGAAATAAATATTTAATTTACAAGTTTCATATAAATTGTTGTATAATATAAATGTGATGAAAAGTATTTAATATAAATGTATGAATAATATGTGTTAAAATATCTACATTTTATGATAAAGTAAGACATATTGCCATTTCTAAATATTTGTGTGTCCTAGAAAATCTTTGGCAATCTTTCTGTATTCTTGATGTAGGCATTTAACATCTACTAAGTCCCATATCATAAATATATTATATATGATTTTAGTAGCTTCTTGTTAAATTGATTCTTTATTATTATATAATGACCTTGTCTTTTATTTAGTGATGTTGATATAAAGTCTGTTTTGTCTGACATAAGTATAAATATGTCTGCTTGTTTTGGTTTCCATTTGCATGGAATATTTTTTCCTATCCTTTTACCTTCAATATATAAGTGTCTTTATTAGTTGTGTAGGTTACTTCTAAGCAGCATATGATTGGATCAAGGTTTTGTTTAATTTGAATTTGGGGGTACGTAGTAGTTGTATATATTTCTGGGGTACATGAGATGTTTTGACACAGGCAGGAAAGGCATAATAATCACATCATGAAAAATGAGGTATTTGTCCCCTCAAACATTTATTCTTTCTGTTACCAACAATCTAATTTTACTCTTTTAGATATTTAAGTGTACAAATAGATTATTGTTGACTACAGTCACCCTAATGTACTATCAAATTGTAGGCCTTACTAAATCTTTATGTTTTGTACCTATTAAATAAACCCACCTTCCTCCAGTCCCACACTAACTTCTCAGCCTCTAATACCATCCTGCTACTCTCCATGTTCAATGTTTAATTGGTTTGATTTTTAGACCCACAAAGAAGTGAGAACATGTGATGTCTGTCTTTCTGTGCCTGGCTTATTTCACTTAACCAAATAATCTCCAGTTCCATCCATGTCGTTGTATATGACAGAATCTCATTCTTTTATATGGCTGAATGGTTTCTGTTTCATATTTGTATCACATTAACATTACTCATTCATATGTTGACAAACACTTAGGTTGCTTCCAAATCTTGGGTGTTGTGAACAGTGCTGCAGTACACATGGGAGTGCAGATATCTCTTTAATATGCTAATCTCTTTTCTTTGGGTATATTCCCAGAAGTGGAATTGGTGGATTATGTAATAGCTCAATTTTTAGTGTTCTGAGGAACCTCCAAACTATTCTCCATAGTGGCTGTAGTAATTTACATTCCCATCAATATTGTATGAGGGTTGCATCTTCTTCACATTCTCACCAGCATTGGCTAGTGCCTGCCTTTTAGATATTTTAACTGAGGCAAGATGATATTTCATTGTAGTTTTGATTTGCATTTCTCTGATGATCAATTATGTTGAGCACCTTTTCATATGCCCATTTGTCATTTGTACATCTTCTTTTCAGAAACGTCAACTCAAATCTTTTGCACATTTTTAATTGGACTATTAGATTTTTCCTGTAGAGTTGAGGACCTTATATATTCTAGTTATTAATCCCTTGTCAGATGAGTACTTTGAAAATATTTTCTTCCATTCTGTGGGTTGTCTCTTCAACTTTATGGATTGTTTTCTTAGTTGTGCAGTTTTTCACGTTGATGTGATCCCATTTGTCCATTTTTACTTTGGTTGCCTATGCTTATAGGGCACACTTTAAAAATTTTTGCCCAGACCAATGTCCTGGAGATTTTCCTCAAAGTTTTCTTGTAGTAGTTTCATGGCTTAAGGTCTTAGATTTAACTCTTTTATCCATTTTGATTTGATTTCTGTATATGGTGAGAGATAAGGGTCTAGATTCATTCTTCTACATATCGATATCCAGTTTTCCCAGCACCATTTATTGAAGGAACTCTCTATTGCCTTATGTAGGTTCTTGGCACCTTTGTTGAAAATGAGTTCACTCTTGTTTGTGAATTTTTTTTCTGGGTTCTTTATTCCGTTCTATTGATTTGTGTGTCTGATTTTATGCCAGTACCATGCTGTTTTGGTTACTATAGCTCTGTAGTATAATTTGAAGTCAGATAATGTTATTCCTCCAGTTTTGTTATTTTTTGCTCAGGACAGCTTTGCCTATCTGGGTCTTATGTGGTTTTATATACATTTTACAATACTTTTTTTTGATTTCTGTGAAGAAATAGAATTGGTATTTTGTTAGAGATTGCATTGAATCTATAGATTGCTTTGGGTAGTATGGACATTTTAGCAATATTGATTCTTCCAATCCATAAATATAAAACATCTTTTCATTTTTTGGTGTCCTTTTCAATTTTTTTCATCAATATATTATAGTTTTCATTATAGAGATCTTTGGTTTCTTTGGTTAATTCCCAGGTATTTAATTTTGTATGTGGCTTTTATACATGTTTTTTTTTAATTTCATTTTCAGATTTTTCACTGTTGGCATATAGAAATGCTACTGATTTCTTTAGGTTGATTTTGTATTCTGGAACTTTATTGTTTATCAATTCAAATAGTTTTTTGGTGAAGTCTTTAGTTTTTTTTCAGATATAAGATTATATTATCAGCATACAAGGATAATTTGACTTTTTTTTTCCATTTGGATGTGGTTTATTTCTTTCTCTGGTCTGATTGCTCTAGCTAGGAACTTCCAGTACTATGGTGAATAGCAGTGCTGAAAGTAGGTGTGCTTGTTGTGATCCAGATCTGAAAGGAAAGGCTTTCAGTTTTTTAAATTCAGTATGATACTAGCTGTGGGTCTGTCATACATGGCTTTTATTTTGTTGAGATGTGTTCCTTCTATCCCCAGTTCTCTGATGTGCTATACTTTTTATCATGAAGGGATGTCGAATTTGATCAAATGCTTCTTCACCATCAATTGAAATGATTACAGTTTTGTTCCTCATTCTGTTGCTCTATGCTTCACATTGATTGATTTGCTTATGTAGAACCATCCTTGCATCCCAGTAATAAATCACATGTAGTCATAAGGAATGATTTTTAAAAAATCTATTGCTGAATTCAATTTGCTAGTATTTTGTTGAGGATTTTTGCATCAATACTCATCAGATATATTGGCCTGTAGTTTAATTTATTTGATGTCTCTCCCTGGTATTGATATCAGTGTAATAATGGCCTTGTAGAATCAGTTTGGAAGCACTTCCTCTGCTCTGTTTTTTGGAATAGCTTGAGTAGGCTTGGTATCCATTCTTTAAATGTTTGGTAGAATTTAGCAGTGTAGCCATTGAGTCCCAGGCCTTTTATTTTTAGGTCGTTTTATTATGGCTTCAGTCTTGTTACTGGTTATTAGTCTGTTCAGGTGTTGGATTTCTTTATGGTTCAATCTTGGTAGCTTCTATGTAACTGAGGGTTTGTCCATTTCTTCCAGATTTACCATATAGTTGCTCATAGTAGCCACTAATGATCCTTTAACTTTATGCAGTATCAGTTGTAATGTCTTCTTTTTCATTTCTGATTTTATTTATTTAGATCTCTCTTTTTTTCTCAGTCTGGCTAAAGTTTGTCAATTTTTTTTTAACTTTTTAAAAAACTAACTTTGCTGCATCAATTATTTATATTTTTTCATTTCAATTTCATTTATTTCTGCTTTGATCTTCATTATTTCTTTACTTTTACTTATTTTGGATTCAACTTTCTTTTGCTTTTCTAGTTGTTTAAGATGTATCATTAGGTCATTTATTTGAAGTTTCTCTTCTTTTTGATGTAGGTATTTATAGATATAAACTTTCCTCTTAGTACTGATTTTACTGTGTCCCACAGGTTTTTGTATGTTGTGTTTGCATTATAATTTGTTTCAATAAACTTTTCAAATTATTTATTAATGTTTTCATTGACTTACTGATTATCCAGGAGCATGTTTTTAATTTCCATCTGTTTGTGCAATTTTCAGAATTTCTCCTGTTAAGATGCTTGATATTATTTCAGTTTTTTAAATGTACTAAGACTGTTTTTGTGACCTAACATATAGTCCTAACATATAGTCTATCCTTGAAAATGATCCATGTGTTGCAGGAATGTGTATTCTGCAGTCATTGGGTGAAATCTTCTATAAATATACATTAGAATCATTTAGTCTGTAGTGCAGATTAAGTCTGATATTTCTTTGTTGATTTTCTGTCTGGAAAATGTGTCCAATGCTGAAAGTAGGATGTTGATGTCCAGCTATTATACTGGGGAGGGGGGGTCTCTCTCTCTTTAGCTCTAATAATATTTGCTTTATATATCTAGGTACTCCAGTGTTGAGTGTGTATATATTTAGAAACATATTCTTTTGCTGAATTGACCTCTTTATCATTATATAATGACCTTCTTTGTCTCTTTTTGTAGTTTTTATCTTGAAGTCTATTTTGTCTGGTATAAGCATAGTGACTCCTGCTCTTTTTTTGTTTCTCATTGGCATGGGATATCTTTTTCCATCACTTTAATTTCAGTCTATGTTTGTCTTTATAGGTGAAATGTGTTTCTTGTAGGCAACAGATCAATGAGTCTTTTTCAATCCATTCAGCCACTCTGTATCTGTTGATTGGAGTGTTCAGCCCATCTACATTAAATATTAGTATTGATAATTAAGTACTTACTCCTGCCATTTTGTTATTTGTTTTCTACTGATTTTCTGGTCCTCTCTTCCTTCCTTCCTTCCTGTTTTTATATTAGTGAAGCTGATTTTCTCTGGTGATATAATTTAGTTTTTGCTTTTCATTTTGTCTGTATTCATTGTATGTTTTTTGATTTGAGGTTACCATGAGGCTTGCAAATACTCTTATAAATCATTATTTTAAGCTTATATAATACCATAACACTTTGCATAAAGAAACAAGCAAGCAAAATGAACACTAATAAACAACCTACACCTTAACTTCATCCCCTGCTCTTTAACATTTTGTTGTTTCTATTTATATCTTATTGTACGGTGTATATCTTGAAAACTTGTCAAATATTGATTGTTTAACCTTTCAATCTTTCTACTTAGCATAAGAGTACACACTATAAAGTGTTATAACATTCTTGTTTTCCTGTATATTTACTATTAACAATGAGCTTTGTACTCCCAGATGATTACTTAATGCTCATTAACATTCTTTTCTTTCTATTTGAAGTATTCCCTTTAGCATTTATTGCAGGACAGGTCTGGTATTGATGAAATCTATCAGCTTTTGTTTACTGGAAAAGTCTTTATTTTTCCTTCACGTTAGAGAGACATTTTTGGCAGATAAATATTCTGTGGTAAAAGTTTTACTCCTTCAGCATTTTAAATATGTTATGCCACTCTTTCTGGCCTGTAAGCTTTCTACTGAACAGTCTGTAGCCAGACGTATTGGAGCTCCTTTGTATGTTATTTGTTTATTTTATCTTGCTACTTTTAGGATCATTTCTTTATCTTTGATCTTTGGGAATTTGATTATTAAACACCTTGAGGTAATCTTTGTGATAAATCTGCTCTTTATTCTATAACCTTCTTGTGCTTGGATATTGACATCTTTATCTTCTCAAACCTAACTTCTCTAGGTTTGAAAAGCTCTGTTATTTCTTTGAATAAACTTCCTACCCCTATTTTTTTCTCTGCCTCTTTTTTAAGTAGCTCTTAGATTTGCCCTTTCGAGGGTATTTTCTAGATCCTGTAGGTGTGCCTTATTGTTTTTTATTCTTTTTTCTTTTGTCTTCTCTGTGTATTTTCAAATAGACTGATTTTAGGCTCATCAGTTCTCTCTTCTGCTTAATCAGTTCTACTATTTAAAGACTCTGATGCATTCTTGAGTGTGCCAATCGCGTTTTCAGCTCCAGAACTTCTTTAAAAAATATTTATTTTTTTTAATGTATATTTTATTTTTTTTTTTAGTTTATTTTTTGAGACAGAGTCTTGCTCTGTTGCCCAGTCTGGAGTGTAGTGGTGAAATCTTGGCTCATTGCAACCTCCACCTCCCAGGTTCAAGAGATTCTCCTGCCTCAGCCTCCCAAGTAGCTGGGATTATAGGCATGCCCCATCATATCCAGCTAATTTTTGTGTGTTTAGTGGAGACAGGGTTTCACCATGTTGGTCAGGCTGGTCTTGAACTCCTGATCTCAAGTAATCTTCTTGCCTTGGACTCCCAAAGTCTTGGGATCGCATGTGTGAGCCACTACACCCAGCCCAGCTCCAGAACTTCTGCTTGATTCTTTTTAATTACTGTAATCTCCAGGTTAAATTTATCTGATAGAATTCTGAATTATTTCTCTGTGTTGTCATGTATTTCTTTGAATTTCTTCAAAACATCTATTTCAAGTTCTCTGTCTGAAAGAAAACATATTGCTGTTTCTCCAGGATTGGTCCCTGATGCCTTACGTAGTTCATTTGGTGAGGACCACGTTTTCCTTGATTTTCTTGACACTTGTAGATTTTCATCCATGTCTGGGCATTGAAGAGTAAGGTATTCATTTTAGTCATCACCATTTGGGCTTGTTCGTATCTTTCCTTCTTGAGAAGGCTTTCCAGATATTTGAAAAAACTTGGGTTTTGTGATCTAAGCTGTATATTCTTTAGGGAGCACCTTAAGCCCAGTAATGTTTTGATTCTTGCAGACCCAAAGAGGTACCGCTTTGATGATCATGAACAAGATCTGGGAGAATTCTCTGGATTAAAAGGCAGAGACTTGTTCTCTTCCCTTCTTTTTCCCCAGGTAAATGTAGTCTCTCTCTCTTTTCTGAGCCACAAGAAGCTGAGGGTTGAGTGGCACAAGCATCCCATTTGGCCACCACCACTAGGACTGTGCTAAGTCAGACCCACAGCTAGCACTGCACTGGGTTTCACACAACGCCTGGTGTAACCACTCCCTGGCTACTGTCTATGTTCACTCAAGGCCCTGGGAATCTATAATCAACAGGTGGCAAAGCTATCTAGAACTGTGTCCTTCCCTTCAAACCAGTGAGTTCCTCTGGCTCTGGGTGGGTCCATAGGTACCAACTAGGCACCAGAGACAAGAGTCAAGAATCTTAAGAGTCTATCTGGTATTCTATTGTATGGTGGCTGAGCTGACACTCAAACCACAAGACATAGTGCTGCCCACTCTTCTCTCCTCTTTCCAAAGGCAGAGGAGCCTCACCCTGTGGCCGCCACCACAACATGTCCACAAGGAGTACTGCCAGACTATTGCTGATGATGTCTTATGGACCAAGTTCTCTTCAGTCAGCTTGTGGTGAATGCTGCCAGGCCAGGGATTCATTCTTCAGGGAAGTGGGCTTTCCTCTGGCCCAGGGCAGGTCCAGAAATGCCATCCAAGAGCCGCATCCTGGAATCAGGGACCCCAAGGGCCCATTTTATGTTCTACCCACTTGTGGCCAAGCTGGTATGTAAAGTGCAAAACAAAGCTCCCTTTCCTTTTCCATCTGCATTTCTCAAGCAGAGGGAATCTCATCCTGTAGCTACCATAGATGCAACTATGCTGAGTCTCACCTAAAGGCAGTTAGTCTCAGAATCTTACCCAAAGCCCTCAACATAGTACCTGGGTATTGCTGTTAGTTATTCAGGGCCCAAGGGCTCTTCAGTTAGCAGGTGATATATTCTGCAAAGATTGGGTCTTTCTCTTCAAAGCAGCATATTCCCTTCTGGCCAAGGGTGTGCCTAGTATGTGCCTAGTAGTGTCATCCAGGATCTAGGGAATATAGAGAGGGACCCTCACAACTCTGACCAGTGGCCCGTCTGCTGTGGTTTAACTGGCATCCCAGATGCAAGACAAAGTTTTCCCCACTCCTCCATCTCCTCTCCTCAAGCAGATGGAAGGGGTCTTTTGAAGTTGTGAGCTATGCAGCCTGAGGTTAGGGGAGGGGTGATACCAGTATTCCCTTAGCTGCCCCAGCTGGTGTTTCATTAGGTCACAACTCCCCCTCCTCCTCCTGCATGGTCCCCACCTTCCCTAGTAACTGGCTATGGGCCCAGCTCAGCAGTAGGACTCAGCTAGCAGTTGCAGTTCTTGTAGCCTAGACTGCCCTTCAAGTTTATTTTGATCCCCAGTGTACTTTATTCTACAGTGGTGAGGCTTGTGGGAACTCAAGTTCTTACTGCTGGGATCAACAATTCACCTCTTACTGGGGCTTGTTTAAATGCTCCCTATGTGGGCTGAGTTTAGTCCAGTTTTTCTTTCTGCTATAACAGGACAATACTAAGCTCAATGCCTCAAGATTGCTGCACTCTCTGGATTAGTCCGTTTCCACCCTGCTGATAAAGACATACTTGAGACTGAGAAGAAAAAGTGGTTTTAATGGACTCACAATTTCACGTGGCTGGGGAGGCCTCACAATCATGTGAGAAGGCAAAGAGAAGTAAGTCACATTACATGGATGGCAGCAGGCAAAAAGAGAGAGCTTGTGCAGGGGAACTCCTCTTTTTAAAACCATCAGATCTCCTGAGACTTATTCACTATTATAAGAACAGCAGGGGAAAGACTTGCCTCCATGATTCAATTATCTCCCACTGGGCCCTTCCCATAACACGTGGAAATTATGGAAGCTACAAGATGAGATTTGGGTGGGGACAGTGTCAAACCATATCATTCTGCTTCTGGTCCCTCCCAAATCTCATGTCGTCACATTTCAAAATGAATCTTGCCTTCCCAACAGTCACCCAACATCTTAACTCATTTCAGCATTAACTCAAAAGTCCACAGTCCAAAGTCTCATCCAAGACAAGGCAAGTGCCTTCTGCTTATGAGCCTGTAAAATCAAAAGCAAGTTAGCTACTTCCTAGATACAATGGGGTACAGGCATTGGGTAAATACAGCTGTTGCAAATGGGAGAAGTTGGCCAAAACTAACGGGTTACAGACTCCATGCAAGTCCAAAATCCTGTGGGGCAGTCAAATTTTATAGCTCCAACATGATCTCCTTTGATTCCATATCTCACATCCAGGTCATTCTGATGCAAGAGGTAGGTTCCCATGGTCTTGGGCAGAACTGCCCCTGTGGTTTTTCAGGGTACAGCTCCCCTCCCAGCTGCTCTCACAGGCTGGTGTTGAGTGTCTGTGGTTTTTCCAGGCACATGGTGCAACCTGTTGGTGTATCTACCATTCTGCGGTCTGGAAGATGACAGCCCTCTTCTCACAGCTCCACTAGGCAGTGCCCCAGTAGGGACTCTGTGTGGGGGCTCTGACTCCACATTTCCCTTTCACACTGCCCAAGTGGAAGTTTTCCATGAGGGCCCTGCCCTTGCAGCAAACTTCTGCCTGGACATCCAGGTGTTTCCATACATCCTCTGAAATCTAGGCGGAGGTTCCCAAGCCTCAGTTTTTGACTTTGGTGCACTGGCAGGCTCAACACCATACAAAAGCTGCAAAGGCCTGGGGCTTCCACTCTCTAAAGCAACAGCCCAAGCTTTACTTTGGTCCTTTTTACCCATGTATGGAGTGACTGGAATGCAGGGTACCAAGTCCCTAGGCTGCAGAGAACAGAGAGACCCTGGGCCTGGACCATTAAACCATCTTTTCCTCTTAGGTCTCTGGGCCTGTGAAGGGAAGGGCTGCCATGAATATTTCTGACATGCTCTGGAGACATTTTTCCCATTGTCTTGGAGATTAACATTCGGCTGCTCCTTATATATGCAAATTTCTGCAGCTGACTTGAATTTCTCTTCAGAAAATGGGATTTTCTCTTCTATCGCATTGTCAGGCTGCAAATTTTCTGAACTTTTATGCTCTACTTTCCTTATAAAATTGAATGCCTTTAACAGCACCCAAGTCACATCTTGAATGCTCTGCTGCTTAGAAATCTATTTTGCCAGACACCTTAAATCATCTCTCTCAAGTTCAAAATTCGACAAATTTCTAGGGCAGGGGCAAAATGCCACCAGTTTCTTTGCTGAAACATAACAAGAGTCACCTTTACTCCAGTTCCCAACAAGTTCCTCATCTCCATCTGAGACCACCTCAGCCTGGATTTCATTGTCCATATCATTACCAGCAATTTGATCAAAGCCATTCAACAAGTTCCAAACTTTCCCACATTTTCCTGTCTTCTTCTGAGCCCTCCAAACTGTTCCAACCTCTGCCTGTTACCCAGTTCTGAAGTTACTTCCACATTTTTGGTATCTTTTCACCAGCACCTCACTGTACTGTTACTAATTTACTGTGTTAGTCCATTTTCACACGATTGATAAAGACATACCTGAGAATGGGAAGAAAAAAAGATTTTAACGGACTCACAGTTCCATGTGGTTGAGGAGGCCACACAATCATGGCGGAGGGCAGGGAGAAGCAAGTTGTGTTTTACACGGATGGCAGCAGGCAAAGAGAGCTTGTGCAGGGAAATTCCTCTTTATAGAAACCATCAGATTTTGTGAGACTTATTTACTATCACTAGAACAGCATGGGAAAGACCCAGCCCCATGATTCAATTATCTCCCACTGGGGCCCTCCCACAACACGTGGGAATTATGGGAGCTACAAGATGAGATTTGGATGGGGACACAGAGACAAACCCTATCACTGTCCTTCCCCCAACACACATAAACATTATCTGCACCATGCCGCTGCTGTTGGGGGCGGGGGCGGTGGTGTCAGCAATTCAAGGCTGTTTTCTCTATCTCTTCCATGTCTCTTTCAGTGATATGAAGTTAAAACTAGGCACTGTGAGTGCTCACTTGATTTTTGGCTCTCATTAAAGTCCTTTTTTGTGTACATAGTTGTTAAGTTGGTGTCCTTGCAGGAGAGATGATTGGTGGAGTCCTCTACCCAGCCAACTTGCTCCACCTTTCTCCTGCATCAAGATCTTTTAAAATCCATTCTGTCAATCTATATCTTTTAAAAGGAGCAATTTATGTTCAAGGTTAATATTGACAGGTGAGGTATTTTTCCTGTCATAATGTTAATTGTTATCTAGTTGCTTTGCAGTCTCATTTGTCTAATTGTTTATTAGAGCTATGAGTTGCATACTTTTGTGTGTTTTCATCATGGTCAGTATTGACTTTTCATTTCCATTTTTAGAATTCTTTTGAGTATTTCTTGTAAGGGAGGCAACGTTAAAGCTAAAGCTATTTCAAAAACAATCAAAAAAAGTCTTCGACAATCAGAGCAACATGTTTTGCAGGTATATGAGTAGCCACAAAGTCAAGTGAAAAGACTAAAGTGGCTTACTATTTTTTTAACCTTAAATCATGTGGTCTAAATAAATTATTTTAGAATAATTTAGAAGAGAAAGAGATAATCACAAAATGAGGAAATTTTATCAGATAAGAGTTCTTTTGGTGAAATATCAGTATGTATTAATTCACTTGAGATATTTACAATCCTAGATTGTCACCACTCTTTTAGGACTGGTGAGTGATTTCCCATAAATGTTGGATACCATAACCATATGAATGATATTTTGATCACATAGATAGATAAACTCGACTAAGATAATCAGGAACAAAATCATTTAAGTGCACAATTTTGAGGTGTTCATTTATTGTGGAAATATTGATCGTATATACAGTGTAAATCAATTTGCCAGTTGCTATAACAATAATGATGAATGAAATATGGCAAATCACCTTGAAGATACTAATTCATTTGTGGATAACTATTATTTGTTACAAAATAAGAACATATAAAGTTAAATAAACTTTTTTCTTCTATTTGCTTGCTTCTATATAGTTTTACAGGAAGATAAGACGCAGAAAATATGTTTTGGTGTTGTTTTTGTTTTGAGATGGAGTTTTACTCTAGTTGCCCAGACTGGAGTATAATGGCACAATCTTGGCTCACCGCAACCTCTGCCTCCCGAGTTCAAGCAATTCTGTTGCATCAGCCTCCTGAGTAGCTGGGATTATAGGCATGCACCACCTCGCCCAGCTAATTTTGTATTTTTTTAGTAGAGAGGGGTTTCTCCATGTTGGTCAGGCTGTTCTTGAACTCTCGACCTCAGGTGATCCACTCGCCTCGGCCTCCCAAAGTGCTAGGATTACAAGCGTGAGCCACCGTGCCTGGCCTGAACATATGTTTTGAAAAACAACTGTGAACATTTATGGCCTTTTAAAAAATTTTACTAAAGGTTAAGAAGTGCATTATCATAAAGGGTTGACTTGTCCAAACAAATTCATATGTATCACTGATCTTATATAGCACCACGCTTTGCAAAGGGTATACAC